>NC_000007.14:108756779-109381779 GCF_000001405.40 Homo sapiens
TCGGTTCAAAAATGCTGAAAGCTCAAGAAGCCAGCATGCCTTTTGTCCTCCACATGACCACATCACCTCTTCAGCAAGGGTTCTGAATTTGATGAGATGGCTAAAATGACAGAAGTAGATTTCAGAATATGGCTAGGAATTAAGATCATTAAGCTACAGGAATATGTTGAAACCCAAGGCAAGGAAGCTAAAAATCATGATAAAACAATGCAGGAGCTAAGACACAAAATAGCCAGTATAGAAAATAATGTAACCAACCAAATAGAGCTGAAAAACACACTACAAGAATTTCATAATGCAATCACAACATTAATAGGACAGTAGACCAAACAGAGGAAAGAATCTCAGAGTTTCAAAACTGGCTTTCTGAAATAAAACAGTCAGACAAGAATAGAGAAAAAAAAATCTAAAGGAATGAACAAAACCTCCAAGAAATAAGGGGTTATGTAAAGAGACCAAATCTATGACTAATTGATGTCTCTGAAAGAGATGGGGAGAAAGGAACCAACTTGGAAAACATATTTCAGTTTATCATCCATGAGAATTTCTTCAATCTAGCTACAGAGGCCAACATTCAAATTCAGGAAATGCAGAGAACCCCTGTAAAATACTTCACAAGAAGGTCATCCCCAAGACACATAATCATCAGATTTTCCAAGGCTGAAATGAAAGAAAGAATGTTAAAGGCAGCTAGAGAGAAAGGCCCGGTCATCTACAAAGGGAAGCCCATCAGACTAACAGTGAACCTCTCAGCTGAAACCCTACAATCCAGAAGAAACTGGGGACCAATATTCAACATTCTTAAAGCAAAGAAATTCCAACCTAAAATTTCATATTTAGCCAAGCTAAGCTTCATGAGTGAAGAAGAAATAAGATCTTTTTTAGAAAAAAAAATGCTGAGGGAATTTGTTATTACCAGACCTGCCTTACAAGAGCTTCTGAAGGAACCACTAAATATGGAAAGGAAAGACCATTACCAACCATTAGAAAAACATACTGAAGTATACAGACCAGTAACACTGTAAAACAATCACATAAACAAGTCTGCAAAATAACCAGCTAACAGCATGATGACAGGATCAAATCCACACATATCAATACTAACCTTAAATGTAAATGGGCTAAATGTGTGGATAAAGAACCAAGACCCATTGGTATGCTGTCTTCAAGAGACTCACCTCACATGCAGTGACACATATAGGCTCAAAATAAAGGTTTGGAGAGAAATCTACAAAGCATATGAAAAACAGAAATAAAGCAGGAGTTGCAACCATAGTTTCTGAAAAAACAGACTTTAAACCAACAAAGATAAAGAAATACAAAGGACATTACATAATGGTAAAATGTTCAATTCAACAAGAAGCTCTAACTATCCCAAATATATATGCACCCAACACAGTAGCTACCCAACACAGTAGCACCCAGTAAGACTAAAGCAAGTCCTTAGAGACCTTCAGAGAGACTTAGACTCCCACACAATAACAGTGGGAGACTTTAACACCCCACTGATGATATTAGACAGAAAATTAACAAAGATATTCAGGACCTGAACTTGGCCCTGGATCAAATGGACCTGATAGATATGTACAGAATTCTCCACCCAAAAACAACAGAATATACATTCTTCTTATTGCCACATGGCACATACTCTAAAATTGATCACATATGGCTGGGCCTGGTGGCTCATGCCTGTAATCCCAGCACTTTGGGAGGCTGGGGCAGGTAGATCACGAGGTCAAGAGATTGAGACCATCCTAGCCAACATGGTGAAACCCCGTCTCTACTAAAAATACAAAAAAATTAGCTGGGTGTAGTGGCGCATGCCTGTAGTCCCAGCTACTTGGGAGGCTGAGGCAGGAGAATTGCTTGAACCTGGGGGGCGGAGGTTGCAGTGAGCCAAGATTGCACCACTGCACTCCAGCCTGGGTGGCTGAGCGAGACTCCTCAAAAAAAAAAAAAAAAAAAATGGATCACGTAATCAGAAGTAGAACACTCCTCAGCAAATGCAAAAGAACTGAGATCATAACAAAAGTCTATTGGACCACAGTGCAACCAAATTAGAAATCAAGACTAAAAAGTTCACTCAAAACTATATAATTACATGGAAATTGAACAACCTGCTCCTGAATGACTTCTGGGTAAAAAACAAAATTAAGGCATATATCGAGAAGTTCTTTGAAACGAATGAGAGTAAAGACACAGCATCCCAGAATCCCTGGAAAGCATCTAAGGCAGTGTTAAGAGGGAAATTTATAGCACTAAATGCCCACATCAAAATGTTAGAAAGATCTCAATTTAATAATCTAACATCACAATTAAAAGAATTACAGCACCAAGAGCAAACAAATCTCAAAGCTAGCAGAAGACAAGAAATAGCCAAAATCACAGCTGAACAGGAGATAGAGACTCAAAAATCCATTGAAAAGATAAGCAAATCCAGGAGCTGGTTTTTGAAAAAATAATAAATTAGATAGAATGCTAGCTAGATTAATAAAGGAAAAAGAGAGAAGATTAAAATAAACAGAATCAGAAATGACAAGAGAGATATTACCACTGACCCCAGAAAATTACACACAAAAATAAGAGAATATTATGAACATAAACAAAAAAACCTAGAAGAAATGAATAAATTTCTGAACACATATGTCCTGCCAAGACTAAACCAGGAAGAAATTGAATCCCTGAATAGATCAATAATGAACTCTGAAATTGAGGCAGTAACAAATAGCTTACCAACGAAAAAAAAAAAGGCCCAGGATCAGATGGATTCACAGCTAAATTCTAACAGATGTACAAAGAAGACCTGGTACCATTCCTGTGGAAACTATTCCAAAAAATTTAGGAGGAAGGAATTCTCCCTAAGTCATTCTATGAGGCAAGCATTATCTGGATACCAAAACCTGGCAGAGACACAACATAAAAAGAAAACTTCAGGCCAATATACTTGATGAACATCATTGCAAAAATTCTCAACAAAATACTGACAAATTGAATGCAGCAGCACATCAAAAAGCCTATCCACCATGATAAAGTAGGCTTTATCCCTGGCATGCAAGTTTGGTTCAACATATGCAAGTCAATGAATGTGATTCATCACTAAACAGAACTAAAGACAAAAACCACATGATTAACTCAATAGATGTACAAAAGGCTTTTGATAAAATTCAACACCACTTCATGTTAAAAGCTCTCAGTAAACTAGGTATTGAAGGAACATACCTCAAAATAATAAGAGCCATCTATGACAAACCCACAGCCAACATCATACTGAATGGGCAAAAGCTGGACGCATTTCCCTTGAAAACCAGTATAAGACAAGCATGCCCTCTCCACTCCTATTCAACGTAATATTGAAAGCCCTGGCCAAGGCAACTGGGCAAGAGAAAGAAATAAAGGGCACCCAAATAGGAAGACAAGAAGTCAAACTATCCCTGTTTGCAGATGACATAATCCTATATTAGAAAATTCCATCATCTCAGCCCCAAATTTTCTTCAGCCGATAACAACTTCAACAAACTTTCAGGATACAAAACCAATGTACAAAAATTACTAGCATTCCTATACACCAATAACAACCAAGCCAAGAGCCAAATTAGGAACACAATCCCATTCACAATTGCCACAAAAAGAATAAAATACATAGAAATATAGCTAAATAGGGAGGTGAAAGACCTCTACAAGAACTACAAACCACTGCTCAAGAAAATCAGAGATGACACAAACAAATGGAAAAACATTCCATGCTGAAGTATAGGAAGAATCAATATTGTAAAAGTGGCCATACTGCCCAAAGCAGTTAATAGATTCAATGTCACTCCTATTAAACTACCATTGGGATTTTTCATAGAACTAGAAAAAGCTATTTTAAAATTCACATGGAACCAAAAAAAAAAAAAAAAAAAAAAAAGCCCAAATAGCCAAGGCAATCCTAAGCAAAAAGAACAAAGCTGGAGCCATTATCCTACCTGACCCCCAACTATATTACAGGGCTACAGTAACCAAAACAGCATGGTACTGGTACAAAAACAGACACATGGCCCAATGGAATGGAATTGAGAGTCCAGAAATGAGGCTGCACAGCTACAACTATCTGATCTTTGACAAAACTGACAAAAACAAGCAATGAGGAAAGGATTCCCTATTGGATAAATGGTGGTGGGATAACAGGCTAGTTATATGCAGGAGATTGAAACTGGACCCCTTTCTTATACCATATACAAAAATTAACTCAAGATGGATTAAAGTTTTAAATGCAAAATCCCAAACTGTGACAATCCTGAAGACAACCTAGGCAATGCACAGGCAAATATTTCATGACAAAGACACCAAAGGCAGTTGCAACAAAAGCAAAAATTGACAAATGGGATCTAATTAAACTTAGGAGCTACTGCACAGCAAAGGAAACTATCAACTGAGCAGGCAACATACAGAATGGGAAAAAATTTTTGCAAATTATGCATTTGACAAAGGTCAAATGTCCAGCATCTGTAGGGAACTTAAACAAATTTACATGAAAAAAACAAACGACTCCTCTAAAAAGTGGGCAAAGGACATGGACAGACACTTACAAAAAAAAAAACATATATGCAGCCAACAAGCATATGAAAAAAAGCTCAGTATCACTGATCATTTGAAAAATACAAATCAAAACCACAATGAAATATCATTTCGCACTAGTCAGAATGGCTGTTGTTAATAAGTCAAAAATAATGATGCTAGTGAGGTTATGGAGAAAAGGAAACACTTGTACACTCTTGGTGGGAGTGTAAATTAGTTCAACCATTGTGGAAGACAGTGTGGCGATTCCTCAAAGACCTAAAAACAGAAATACCATTCGACCTGGCAATCCCATTACTGGATATATACTCAAAGGAATATAAATCGTTCTATTATAAAAACACATGCACATGTATGTTCATTGCAGCATGATTCACAATAGCAAAGACATGGAATCAACCTAAATGTCCATCAGTGATACACTGGATAAAGAAAACATGGTACATATTGGCTGGGCACGGTGGCTCATGCCTGTAATCCCAGCACTTTGGGAGGCTGAGGTGGGCGGGTCATGAGGTCAGGAGATTGAGACCATTGTGGCTCACACGCTGAAACCCCGTCTCTACTAAATATACAGAAAAAAAAATACAAAAATGAGCCAGGCGTGGTGGTGGGCATCTGTAGTCCCAGCTACTCGGGAGTCTGAGGCAGGAGAATGGTGTGAACCCAGGAGGCGGAGGTTGCAGTGAGCCGAGATCCCACCACTGCACTCCAGCCTGGGCAACAGAGCAAGACTCTGCCTCAAAAAAAAAAAAAAAAAAAAAAAAAGAAAACATGGTACATATCCACCACGGAATAATATGCAGCCATAAAAAAGTACAAGATTCTGTTCTTTTCAGGGACATGGATGGAGTTGGAGGCCATTATTTTCAGCAAACTAATGCAGGAACAGAAAACCAAATAGTGCTTGTTCTCAGTTATAAGTGGGAGCTAAAGGATGAGAACACATGGACACATAGAGGGGAAAAACACACACTGGGGCTTATTGGAGGGTTGAGGGCAGGAGGAGGGAGAGGATCAGGAAAAACAACTAATGGGTACTAGGCTTAATACATGTGTGATGAAATAATCTGTACAAAAACCCCAGTGACACAAGTTTACCTGTATAACAAACCTGCACATGTACCGCTGAACTTAAAAGTTAAAACAAACAAACAAAGAAACAAACATTTGAAATGACCCCACTGGAAAGGGAAGAAGTTAGTATAGTTTGACGATATGGCAATCAAAGGAGGAGTGTGTTCTTTTCATACTTGGATGGAGTGAATTGATTTGGAAGTGCCCATGGGAAGCCAAGAAAATGCATATCCCATCTCCTTTCCCTAGCGTACAGGGTCAGGGAAGCTTCCATTCAGAAGAGTTGTAAGAAAAGCCATATCCTAAGAGATCTCTGTTTTTATTTAAGCATGGGGATGGGAGGAGCATCCTACAGTCATTAAGGAGGTAGGGGAATATTGGTGCTAGAATTGGGAGCTCCAGAATTGGAAAGGGTTGAGTGGGAGGTTATCTGTGAGAGAATGAAAGAGGGCTGGTGAAGGGAAGGAGTGGTCTGGATGTGGAAGCAGGTAGGACCACATTGTGGGGAGTGGACAGGAGAGGAAAAAGAACCAGAGGGATGCAAGACAACATCTCTACCTCGTGGAGTTAGGGAAAGAATACACATGTACATCAAGGCATTCACAGAGTTGTTCAGGGCTCTACATAAAATCATGCCAAAGTGTTTTGTTTATTAAATAAGTGGAGTTCAAAGGAGAAAGAGAATATGCTAAAAAGTGGCAGTGCAAAGACCCTTGGATTGAATGAGACATAAGTCAAGTAGGTTAATTTATATGAAGCACTCTGAAAACTGTGAAGTATAATATGACAACATGAGGTGATGTAATCAGGGCAATGATCTAGAACAGTTTCCAAATTCCTTTAATAAACCTGCTGCATCAGGATCTTCTGAGGTACTTTGGAAATTTTGGATGCATGGGCCTGGGCCCTACTCTTGATTTACTAAATCAGACTCTCTGATAGTGAGGCCTGGAGATTGCTGTGTATTTTGTACAGCTTTCTTTCTGAGTACACAATTTATATTTTAACATCAGATATCTACTTGATTATTTATATTATAGTTAAACTTACATGGCAATAAAAATACATGAATAGCAAGAAAAAAGATTACTGTGAAAGAATCTTATGAATACAGATAAGGAATTGTGGACAATTATTTGGAAAAATAATGGGAGGAACTTAATTTCAGAATTTTATTTTGAATGCAATGAAATACCACGGAATCATTTTGAGCAAGTAGCAATGCTGTGAATGATGTATTTTAAGAATATTATTCTGGTTCCTGTAAATAATAATTAGTAACAAAATTCTAGTGACTCAGAATTATTCTACTCATGTGTTTGGAATGAACATATTTAGTGTAATATGATTCTAAATGAGGCTTACTAAAAGTTTTGGTAAAAATGAAAACTAACCTGTATCATTCTAAGCATTATTTTTGTCTAATATTGAGAAATTTGACATTTATTATTATTATTTTAACTCACACAGCTATGTTTATCTGCAATAAAGTTTAAGCAGAGAACTATTATTTTTTTCTATAAATTGATTTCCAGTTTCTCTAGTGAATTAAAAGTTACTCATTTTTAAATTCAGAAACCAAACGTTTCTATATCAATCCTTTTCATACTAAAAAAAAGATTAGCTTTGTTTTGTGGACTTATGAATTCCTTGCAGTGTAGTAAAGGAATTAAAAATCATAATTTGGTGAATACTTCTGGGGCACATAGAATGGCATTTTATGCTTTGCTGAAGTTGTATGTTTTATGATCTTTTCTAATGCAAAAATTGGGTGCCATTTCAAACTTTTCCTTACATTTAGATCTGTCTCTGAAGCTACTTTTAAGAAATATATAATTCTGATCGAGAATTGTGTTTCTCCCTGAAAAACTTTCTTCTGTATCTGATTCTGGGTGACATGATGGTGATTACCTTTGTTCCTACTTAGACATGCTGAAATTGCTTCAAGGCTTTGAAGTTCTGAGATTTAATGAAAAGATGAAATGCAAATATGTATGTGCTGTTTTCACATGGAAATGACATTCTGAATGAGAAGTATACTTCTTTGTTGGCATACACTGGGTCTTATAGAATAAATTGAAAAGCACTTGCAACACAGGCTTCATGTTTTTCCTCATAACTACACTAAGGTACATTATTAGCTAGAGTCTAAAACTTCTAGGACTTTAAAGAATAATTGAAGTTTTCGTTAAATTTTAGCATCTTAGAATTTTAGGATTTTATTTGTTTATATCCATGTTTGGAGTGTGTCCATGTCATTCTCTGAGTTGCAGTGATCTTTATTTTTTTGGTAAGTAGCTTTATATTTTATTATTTCAGATTACTAAAGTTGTACATTTCATTGTGAAAAGTCAGGTAACACAGAAGTATAGTGGAAATTACTTATAATCTCTCCAGTCAGACTCAATCACGATTAAACTTTTAATAAACATCCTTTCAGACTTTTCTCTGCAATCACGATTAATCTTTTAATATACGTCCTTTCAGACTTTTCTCTGCCCTTAGGAATCTTTGTGGGTATAACTCAACCTGTGCCCCTCATTCTGTATTTGTCTCTGGGTGGGCCAGTCTCTCTCTTGTCTTGGCTTTCTCTCTTTTCACAGGATTTTCTCCATTTTATCTTATGAGGGCTTCCTTATCTGACTTTTATTTTTGCTTCTCTGCCCCTCATCTTTCTGTCACACTGTCTATCTTTCACATTCTCTATAGAGGTATTCATATGTGTGTATAAGTGTGTGAGTGAGTGTGTGTATGTGTGTGTGTTTATGTTTATGTGAAAAAGGATCATTAGACACATGCTGCCTTGTATTTTTTTAAAAAAACCCTTTCATAACAATAAATATAGATCTAAAACTTCAAATGACTGAATGGTAGTCTATAGTACTGGATAGTGTACTGTAGTATAGACTTTGTTTATCCCATACTTATAGGCAATTTCTTTTGTATATTTAGGTTGCTTCAATTTATTTTACTGTCTTTCATCCTTTTAATGTATTTTTATGTATTGTAGTACAATTTGTACAACTTTTATGTATTTCTTAGTAATTGAAATAAATGTGGAAGTAGTTTTAAATATTTTTACAAGGATGGGTAGATGACATATTCCTTTGCTTTTGAATTCTGATTGTTTGGGTTCTGCATATTTTAGGTTATACTCTTTTTGCTTTCTCTACGTGAAAGATAACTTGATCTTGTATAGAATAGTTAGGTAACAATGTTTTTCCCCCACAAAACTCTTTTGCTTCTGTTACCTGATCTGCAAAGGAAAAGGCTGAATTTTGCCTGCTTATTATTATTGTTATTTTTGTATTTGTTTTATTTCCTGGTTAAGGTTGATAGCAGTGGAGATGAAATGAGTGGGTAGAATATGGATCCATTTTTGAGGTATATTCAATTTGATTTTGTCATAGTGAGTACACATATGTAAACAGAGTGGGAAGTGACAAAGATGCTCAATCACTTCTGGTTTAAGGTGGTGGCCTATGCCTAAAGATTTTCTTCCCCTTCCACCTAAAATGTCTATTGATGTTTCAGAGAATAAATGAAATATAAAGATTCTGAAATACAAGGTGGAGTGCCAATTGTGATGAAATTTTTTGAGTACTTTTTGGAAATTGCAGAATCAGGGTGATGAAAAATCAGGAAAGAGAACTTTAGCCTAGAGCATCAGAAATAAAAAGACGACTGGAGAAAATCCACATAATACACCAGATTCAGTGTAAAGAAAAAAAAATTTCAAGGCCAAATTGGGATCTACATTAGCAGTAGGATGTTTAATTAACAAGGTACACTTGATACTGGGCTCATTGGGTCCCTTTTCTGCTTGCACTTTTACCTCTCCCACTTTTTCTGTTGTATCTGTCCTCCAAGAATAATTTCAAGGATTGTTATCGAAAGACAATCATTAATTTGCCTTGGGATGGCTCCTTGTGTGGCCATTAAAACCAGAGAAAAGCAGGAGAAATTCTATGTCTCCACCACAGACATGGAGGAAAGAAAGGGAGAGCAGCAACTCCCAGGTACAGAAAACACTAAATAGTCCTTTCCTGAAGTTCAATTTACTACTTAGGCTTTTTGTTTGTTTGTTTTGGTGGATCCCATCCCTGCCTGTCAACTCAACTCTCTGTCTATTCACGCTACAGGGAAGCCTTTGTTTTGACACACGCCTATACTTACACAGAGCTTATGGTCAAGACTCCCATTTGGGGGCAATGCTTAGTGAAGTTACTTAATGAAACAATGCAGGGAAACCTGCACAAATGTGAACACTTATGCATTGCCCTTTGCTTATAAATGTAAATGGTAAACGAATAATCGCCAACAGCCTAAAAGAGAAATATCAAGATGACTATAAAGAACAAGAGACCCACAAGGAAGCAGAGATAATTCAGGGTGCTGAAAATAGAGTAAGTGGAGATTATACACACACACACACACACACACACACACACACACACACACACACATAGATATATATATTAGGGACATGGTCTCACCATGTTGCCCAGGCTGATGTGCAGTGAATGGGTATTTTTATTAATATCGTCAGACTTATCTAAGTGTTGCATTTTGTAAAAGAAGAATAGGGGCAATGGAAAAGAAATAATTCATGAACAGTAAAAGAGTTTTTTAAATTTGAAAGTATTATTTTCATATTTTAAAAATGGATTTACTGAATAATAAAATGAGTATAGTGAAATTGACTTGGTTTTGGAAGTGCTAAGGTCAGAAAAATCTGCTAGAAAAAAAGCAAAAAGGCAAAGAGACAGTGAGTATGAGAACAACATCGAGATCTAGCGCATTAATGATATGCATTTCAAGAAAAGAAAACAGAGACAATGAAAGGGAAGAATTAATCAGTAAAATACTAGATGAGTATTTCCTTGAAGTGAATAAAGGTTAGTTTAAAAGGCCCAAGGAAGACCCAATAGGAAAAAGAAAATTATTCAACTAGACATGTACTGCTGATGTTTCTGAATTCTAACAATGTGAAAATTTGTAATTCTTTCCTAGAGAAAAAAATAAGTATTTTACAAGAAAGAAATAATTCGTCTTATAGTGTTTCTCCTTAGTGACAATAGATATTTGAGAAAGAAGCCATGTCCCTTTTTGAAGCAAATTTATTTTGAGTCTAGCCAAAGTATCTAGTGTGATTGCAAAATAAGGACATTATTGGACATGTTAAAACTCCCAAATTACCACCATATTGTTTCCTGATGTGAAAAAGTTATTTGATGAGCATTTGCTTTGAACACTTTGCACTGGGTATTGGCTGCCTTAGGCTTTCCTCATATCTTTGTTAATTTAATTTTAGTTGCAATTATTGTGCCTGATACACAATTCTAGTATTTTTCTTTTTTTTTATTATACTTTAAGTTCTGGGGTACATGTGCAGAATGTGCAGGTTTGTTAATAGGTACATACATGCCATGGTGGTTTGCTGCACCCATCAATCCGTCATCTACATTAGGTATTTCTCCTAATGCTATCCCTCCCCTTGCCCCCCACCCACCAATAGGTCCTGGTGTATGATGTTCCCCTCCCTGTGCCCAGATGTTCTCATTGTTCAACTCCCACTTATGAGTGAGAACATGTAGTGTTTGGTTTTCTGTTCCTGTGTTAGTTTGCTGAGAGTGATGATTTGCTGAGAATGAATGATTATTTTATTTTAATTGAGCAACAAGTTAAACCTTAGAAATTGCACATAAACATTTTGGATTTCTGTCTTCTTTCAGATAACTGGAAGGCTTGGCAGCATTGGGCCTGTACTTCCTTGTGACATCAACCTACTCTTTTTGAGAAATAGCTGCCCTTTTTAGGTGAAGAATATGCAGCACGTTTGTCACATGCCCCATCACCACCTTCTCCAATACACACATTTCCTACCTGCTTCACTTTTTAATTGTTTTCCTTATAAACATTTTAGTTTGCAACCCTCATTATAAACATTCTATGTTAGATGTTTTAAGTTACATAGACTTAGAAATTCACTGTTAGGCTAAGTACAATATAGTTTCCATGGTTTTTTTTTTTTTTGGGAAAGGGTCAATTTTCTTTAAATAATAAAATATTATAAGACGTTTCTAGCAACTATTGGTGGGACGTCACCTTTATATTGCTTGGCATTTCTAACAGTGTATCTGCTGATGGTTATGGTCTGAGCTTTTTCTCCATGTCCAACAGGGAGCAGTGTTTTGAAAATAATCGGTCAGGATTATGGCTGCTGTTTGTAATTCAAATAGCAGAATCAAGCTACACAGCCATGGAAATAGGAATGGGACTTATTATCCTGCCTTAACCACTTAGATCAATCATTCTTTTCTCAACAACAGCAGGACTTCCTCTTAAGTTTTGCCTCCCTATTCTTTATTTCTTTGTCTAAATAAACTCCAAGTTATTTGAGGCAGGAGCCTTGTTTTCACTGTGATGTTTTGTGAAATCCCATACGCACACATGACATTTTGTAGATAATAAAGCCAGCAATGATTATAGGCTGTTGGTAATCTTCTGTTGATATCCCTGCTGGTAACAATACACAAAGATATCACTTGACATTCTATTGAGTTAACAGTAACTATTGTGTTGATTTTTACTGCTGTTAAGAGCAGGAAAAGTATTGATTTTAATCAGAAGAAACAGGGAGAAATTGCTTCGACATGTGTTTTTTACTTGATCTTTGAGAATGTCATGAAATAATGAAAAGAATAAATAATAATCTATGTAGGGTTCTTTCAAAAGGGCTGAAAGGTTGTTTGAAAATAGTGACCCAAGGATAGAAATTTAGTTTTGGAAATGAAATGTTTAATCAGCCATCTTAGAGCAACCTTTTGCATGACTATTAAAGGCTTTTCATTGGAAAATTAATGTGATTTTAGTCAAACTGTGATTGAATATTTAAAAAATCCCTGGTTTAATTTGTTCATCATTTTAACATATATATATATTCATTCATTCAACAAATATATAATGAGCACCTATGATATAGCTGGTGTTGTCCTAAGTCCTGGGGGTGCAGCAGTGAGCAAAGCAGATGAAGTCCTTGCTGTAATATAACTTGCATTATTGTGGATAAAATAGACAATAAAAGTATAATATGTTCAATGGCAATAAGTATTATGGAGAAAAAAATGGATCAGGGTGATGGGGGATGGAAACTGCCAGTGTACATGAATTGTTAGTAGCCATTTTATGTAGAAGCCTTTCTTGGAGACCTAAGGAAGTGGAAAACAAGCAAATGTTGTTATTTGCCAAAAGAGTGCTCATAGCAGGAGAAAGAGCCGCTGTCCTGAGGCAAAAGTGTGCCTAAGAGACAGCAAGGAGTCCTGTGTGATTGGGAGAGTAGCTGACGTCAGCAAGGAAGTGGGAGGATTCAGACCTTATAGGGCCTTGGAGGCCATAATAAGACATTGGCTTTTGCTCTGATTGAAATGGGAAGGCAGTGAAGGCCACAAGCAGAAAAAGTGACCTGATGTTATTTTCCTTAAAAAGGATTAGTTTGGGTGCTATCAGAATAACTGGAATGGGGCCAAAGTGGAAGTAAACACTGTGGTGGCTAGTTCAAATCTAGGCAATGGGCAAGAGTGATTTGGATCAGGATGATAGCAATAGAGGGTGTGACGAGTGATTAGATTTTTATCATATTTTGGAGATAGAGGTGACATAATTTTTTGATGGAATAGATGATGGGCATGAGATAAAAGCTAGTGGCCAAAGATGATTTTAAGGTTTTGGGCCTGAGCAACTAAGATGGGCAATGCTGGAGTAAAGATTTGGTAGGGGAACTCGGCAGGTCACTTTGGGATATGTCAAGTTTGGACACTGGAGAGATGAGTGTTTACTTCCAAGGGAAAGGTCATGGCTGGACCTGAACATTTGGGAATCATCAGCATAAAATTGGTATTTAGAGCCATCAAAGTCAGGAACTAGAAGAGATCACTTAGGGAGTAAGTTTAGATGGGAAGTTCTGAGAGCTGAGGCCTGGTATGTTTCAAGGGTTAGAGATTGGAGGAATCATCAGTGAAGACTGAAGAGGAATGAGATGCTGAGATACAAGGAGAAGCAAAAGATAGTGGTGTTCAGAGGCCAAGTGAAGTAATTGTTCAAGGAGGGAGGGGCACAGAGGCAAAAACTCTTTATAGGTCTAATGAAAGGAAGATGGAGTTGGCAATGGGGGGTTATTATTGACAATTCTGTGAGTTGTTCGATAGAATGGCAGAGACAAAGCCTTTCTGGGCGGGTTCAAAGGAGAAGAAGAAGACAAAAAATAGACACAGCAAGTATAGATAACTCTTGAAGAGTTTTGCCATAAACAGGGAATGGTATTGTTGTTTCAGCCATGTTGAATGAATGGCCAGATAGCACACACACCCAGCCTGATGGGACAATGTTTATTGGAAGAAAACTCAGAGGCACAGAACCAGTATCAGAAGTGTGAACTCCCATGGCCTCATTGCATTTTAGAGCAGTGCACAGAGATCTAGCAGGCCTGAGTGTCAGACTCTAGGAGAAGGACTCTGTCATCAGCCTGGGGGGCCTTCAAGCTGCACCAGCTCCTCTCCCGATGTGATGGGATGGCTGGGATACTTGGACTCCTGTCTGATTCCTTTCATTCCTGCCTTGGCTGCTTGCAGGGCTGTGGTTCAAGCCTCTGACTGACCAGAATTCATTATTACAATAAGCACTAGCTCCCCAATTTCTATGGGAACTCTGTAGGACAACAAATTATTTTCTGGGAGCCCAGTCTAAGGGAGATCAGTCTTGAGAAGGTAAGGCTTTTATGACATAAGAAGCAGTAAAGCGGGTATGGGAAAGTTTTTCTGAACTCCTTCCCTCCCTCCCTCCTTTCCTTCCTTCCTTCCTTCCTTCCTTCCTTCCTTCCTTCCTTCCTTCCTTCCTTCCTTCCTTCCTTCTTTCTTCTTTGATGTGGAACATTATAGATTTTTGAATGCTAATGGGAATAATCTAGTGGAAACGAGAAAGCATTGAAAATGTGGGGGAAATAGTCATTGGAGAGATTTCTGTTGAGAAGGCAAGACGATTAAGATTTACCTAAGAGTGGAGAGCTTTGCCTCTGAGAGGAGGATGGATAGTGCATCTGTGTTTAGTGGGAAGCAGGCAGGGTTTGTAAGCACAGAAGTGCTTATGCTGTAGACAGAGATTGTGGGCATTCCCTTAGGGCTGCTTCTAATTTCTCAGTGAAATGTGAACTTGCATTGAGAGCAAGGAGAGAGTAGTTGTTGGAGTGATTATAACAGTGGGTGATTTAACAACCCTATTTTATTCAGAGAGAACAAATGTCATTAGGTATATGCCTTATTTAAAAAAAACTGCTTTTGTTCTCTTACTGAGGACTGAATTTTGTGGATTTATGATAGGCAATTTAGGTTAAATCCAGTTAGCTTTTGGTCAAATGTTTATGTCTATGGGCCATCTTTTGTAGAAAATAAATGTCACTTTTTATGGTATTCAGTGATTTGAGCCACGTTAGATGATTCTGACAACATAACAGAGAAATGAGCAAAACGTACATGTAGTTATATGAAATGTGGGTAGAAGAATCTGTACTTATTAAGCATACAAATATGTTTAAAATTCACAAACCTTCATGTGGCTGACAGTAGGCAAAAGCATGACATTTGAAATTGTGTCTTTATTGCCTTCTGAGGGCATGGGATGATTGGCACATCATAACCTACTTGTAACTGTGAGACTGAACCAGTTATTTACATAAATTTATTTTTTTCATGTTTGGGGCTTAGATAATTGGATTAAATCATAGCAAAATAAATGAGGCCTGGTATACTTATGCTTCCTTCAATGGATGAGATTAGCTATTCTGGCAAAATGCATGTATTTAAAAAAATGTCATTATATGTATGATTCTTTAAAAAGCAAGCAAAATATCCCTTTTTAAAATAAATAAAGTAACAGATAATAATTAGACTCCATGGCTTTTGATTTCCTCAGCTTTAATATGGAGGTCAAGTTAAGGTTGTACTAATTGACTTCTATAGACCCTTCCAATTATAACATTTTATGATCTCTAAAAGTAGTTTCAGTGGGTGAGCTATCTGTAGTTGAGTTATTAACCTGGACGATGCCATATACTAGTTTTCCAAAATATCTTTTCCTTTTTTCCTCCAAGAAAGCATTTCCTTAGTTCTTTTTGAGATAATTATGCCTTTTTACTTCAAGTTGTTAAGGTAGCTCAAATGGAATGTGGGAGTAATTTCAAACCTCATTTTTAAATGGCAGGAGTCTTGTGGAAAAATTTTCATGGAATTTATTAAAATGCAAATTTCCAGAACCCATCTCCTAAGCTTACAATTTAATGGTTTGAGACTGGGCCTGGGAGTCTGCATTTTAGTAAGCACTCAGGTGGTTCTGAGGTGGGTGGCCAAAAAAAAAAAAAATCACACACATTAAAACCCTGTCCCTGTAATCCCAGCACTTTGGGAGGCCGAGGTGGGCGGATCACCTGAGGTTGGGAGTTCAAGACCAGCCTGACCAACATGGAGAAACCGTATCTCTACTAAAAATACAAAACTAGCTGGGCATGGTGGCACATGCCTGTAATCCTAGCTACTTGGAAGGTTGGGGCAGGAGAATCACTTGAACCTGGGAGGTGGAGGATGCAGTGAGCCAAGATCGTGCCATTGCACTCCAGCCTGGACGACAAGAGTGAAACTCTGTCTCAAACAAACAAACAAAACAAACAAAAAATCTGCCTGTCTTACTTAATATATACAATTTAGGTAGCTATGTATATATGACTGATTTAGTAATACTGGACATAAGGACCCAATTCCTATGATGTTTAGCTGAAAAATCAAAAGATGCTGAAAATTAACAAAGAAATAGAAAATAAAGGAGAGTATGGCAATCTTCCCAGCTTGCTAAACCTGGAAGAAAACTGCATTAGGAGAAGGTTGAAAGATGTTGCAATAGAAGTTGTCATATGTAAATTTTATTCAAATATAATATATAGCCTTTGGCGTGAGTTGGGAGGCACCGAAATATTGACCTCCAGAAAGTGACACATCATATCATGATGTTAAAAAAAAAACAGCTCAGCTTTGTCTTCTGTTAGTGCCTCCAGACCCACACAAGACAACAGCTACTGAAAATATGGATCTTAAATTTGTAAAATAATAAAGTTCTGTATCTCCATCCTGAAATCTATGTTGAATCCAGAAAACTATCAGTTGAAAGTTATTGGAAATTAAGAATCCTGTTGAATGATGCTGCTAAGTTGCCTCCCTCCCTCCTTCCCTTCCCAACTCCCTTCCTTCTTCCATCTCTCCTTCTCTCTCTGTTTGTCCTGGTAGTGTTTTTTTCACATTTAGATCTTGTGTATGTATTCTACAGTTAAGAGGAAAGCCTTATCCATTTTTTTGTCTTCAAAAAGTTGCTTTTATATTTTTTTAAATTACAACTTCCATAAAGGTAAGAGCTATGACAAATACTGTAGTTATCTTATAAATCCTTACTATTTCCTACTGTAATGGGCAATATTAGAATTGCAACCAATATTTTAATGAGCTTTCTGCTGTTTCTTTCTATTTCTCTCTCTCTTTTTTTTTTTTTTTTGAGATGGAGTCTTGCTCTTGTCACCCAGGCTGGAGTGCAATGGTGTGATCTCTGCTCACTGCAACCTCTGCCTCCCAGGTTCAAGTGATTCTCCTTCCTCAGCTTCCCAAGTCGCTGAGATTACAGGCGCCCACACCACGCCCAGCTAATTTTTTGTATTTGTAGTAGAGATGGGGTTTCACCATGATGCCCAGGCTGGTCTTGAACTCCTGACCTCAAGTGATCCACCTGCTGTGGTCTCCCAAAGTGCTGGGATTACAGGCGTGAGCTATTTCTTTTCTTTCTTTCTTTTTTTTTTTAAGACTATTTCCTGTCTTTATTTTTGTTTGTAAACTAAAAAGTTAAGTCTGAGACTTGAACCTTTTGATAGTGAGGAAGATAACAAAGTATGTCCTTGTATTTATTTATTCATTTATTTATTTTTAAATTATACTTTAAGTTCTGGGGAACATGTGCAGAACCTGCAGGTTTGTTACAGGTATACATGTGCCGTGTTTTGAATCTCAAAGAACTAGTAGGATTCTACCCTAGCAAGAGAATGAGAAACACACTTCAAGCAAAAGAAACAGCAGAGGCATGTGTGACGGTTTGATGGATGCCTCTGCTGTTTCTTTTGCTTGAAGTGTGTTTCTCATTCTCTTGCTAGGGGTAGAATCCTACTAATTCTTTGAGATTCAATGAAACCCTTACTTCTTAAGGATCACTACCCTGCAGCCTCCCAATTCCCCTAAATTAATTGCCTTGTCCTCTGAGTTTTAATAATAGTTTTACCATACTACTTATCAGCTTATGAGCTCCTTAAATAGGATGACCATATAACTTAATTTGTTTGAGTTACTTTTCCTGGCATAAGTATTAGCAGACCACCCTTTCACTCTGTAAAATGTTACAGTTTGGACAGTAGATGATGTGTCCGTCTATTATGTCTTTTTATCTCTAGTGTTTAACCTATTACCTGATAAATGTTTAATCAAATTTTGTCAATGAGTTGTAATTGAATTTATTATATGGTGGCTGGAAGGACTATTAAAGTTCGGCAGAGGCCTTTGGGTATTTTATAGATATTATTATTTATAGGTATTAATGTTTTAAGAGAGCCACACTGGGACCCCACAAAGCTATTAGTGACTCTGAAAAAGGCAGAGAGACATAACCTTGCCCAGCCTTTGAGGATATGGCTGTAACCTAGAGCCCATTGGTTTCTAAATGCTGATCCAGAAAATGTCCAAAGGAAAGTAAAAATCCTTGAAGATCTGTTTATTGTTTCACGGCAAAAAAGAAAAAAATAAGGTGCAGGTAGTGAGTTACAACTAAATTTATTATATTTATTGGATTGTTCTTTATTTTAAGATTATAGACTATTGTTTGTATGTTAGAATTTTCTTTCTTTTCTTAATTGATGGTAATTACTTAAAACACTCTTTCCTTGTCAAAATAAGAACTTGTCAAACCCAAAGTCTGGCAAACATTGGCTAAGAAAATGCGCTGGAGATAGAGAGTGCTACCTGGACTCATAAGGTAAGAATAATGGAAGGACTCAAATCTGTCAATTATAGAAAGATCAGTCCTCTTTCCTATCCCCTTCTGGGAAACTCCCATTTGAGAGGGATAGTGTCTGTTTTGTCCACTGCTTTATTCCCAGGACTTACATAGTGCCTAGCACAATGTATTTAATAATTATTTGTTATATAAATGAATGCATAGACTCTATGAGTAAAATCATCTGCTAAGAACATCTGAAGTGGCCCAGCCTGTCAAACAGTTCAGCCACTGTGCCTGGTTGGATGTCCAGGCTTCACTGTGAGCAGGTATCAGTTACTACTCCTAGTTCTTATTTTGGTTAAAATTTTGGCTAAGCATTCAATGTTTCTTTGTGTGGGTTGTTGCAATGGTTTCTGTTTTTCAATTTTTAAAGCTCAAAAAAATTGTGGTAAAATACATATAACATTTATTATCTTAACCATTTTTAAGCATATAGTTTGGTAGCACTAAGTACATTCATATCCTTGTATTACCACCATGGCCATCCATCCACAGAACTCTTCATCAGCAAAACTGAAACTCTGTACCTACTAAACAATAATCTCCCATTCCCTCCTCCTCCCAACCCCTGGAAACCTCTATTCTTCTTGCTATCTCTATGAATTTGACTGCTCTAGGTACCTCATATAAGTGGAATCATACAGTATTTGTCCTTTGTGACTTGCTAGTTTCATTTATCATAGGGTCTTCAAAGTTCATTCATGTTGTTGCATGTGCCAGAATTTCCTTCCTTTTTAAAGACTGAGTGCTATTTCATTGCATGTATACATCATATTTTGTTTATTTATTTATTCATTAATAGACACTTTCGTTACTTCTAACTTTTGGCTATTGAGAAGAATGCTGCTATGAGCATGACTTACAAATATCTCTTCAAGTTCCTGCTTTCAGTTCTTTAGGGTATATATACCCAAAGTGGAATTGCTGGATCATACAGTAACTTTATTTGTAATATTATGAGGAACTGACATACTGTTTTCCATAGCAGCCACACTATTTTACATTCTCACCAATAGTTTGCAAGAGTTCTGATTTCTTTTTTTTTTCTTTCTTTTTTTTTTTTTTTGAGACAGAGTTTTGCTCTGTTGCACAGGCTGGAGTGCAGTGGTGTCATCTCATCTCACTGCAGCCTCTGCCTCCCAGGTTCCAGTGATTCTCCTGCCTCAGCCGCCTGGGTAGCTGGGATTACAGGCACACACCACCACACCTGACTAATTTTTGTGTTTTTAGTAGAGATGGGATTTAACCATGTTGGCCAGGCTTGTCTTGAACTCCTGACCTCAGGTGATCCGCCCGCCTCTGCCTCCCAAAGTGCTAGGATTACAGGCGTGAGCCACTGCGCCCAGCCAAGAGTCCCAATTTCTCATCTTTGCCAACAAAAGTCATTTTCTGTGTGCATGTGTGTGGGGTTTTTTTTTTTCTTTATAGCAGCCTTTTTAAGAGGTGTGTTGTAATGGTCTGTTAACTGGCCTGCTTGTCTCCAGGACCACTCTCATTCAATCAATCCTCTTCACTGTAGCTAGAGTACTTTTTCTTACCTGCATATCTGACCATGGCAAATTTATCCATGACTCTCTTTGTTTCTTGCTTTAAATTCTAAACTTCTTAACATGCTTCCTTCATAGGACTCATTTCTATCCATTCTCTTTGTATTCTAGTTGTAAATATCTGCTCTTCTTTATACTTACTGTCTTACCTGTTCTGTCATTCAAGTCCCTACAACTTTGTACTGGTGACTTTTTCAGTATGGATTACCTTAATTCTGTGTTTCCCAGATTTTGTGTATTACTTTTGTACCTTTTCCCTCATTCTTCATTTCCCATCTATAGATTACTTTTCTGTAACTTTTTCCTTTGGTAAATTGTAAACAGTTTACTTTTTAAAACTTATTCTCATTCTTAGCAAAAATATCCATGAAAAAAGGGATTTAATAAGCTGGTCATATTCTTCTTCACACATCTTAAATGAATTCATATTAAATAAAAAGTCTATCTATATATTACCAGAAATTCATCTCTGCCAGTGCTGTATGTGCCACACTTTGTAAAAAGACTATGCTAATTTACCCTCCCAGTCTACCTGATCATCTTTAACTCATCTTTAGGATGAGCTCATCCACTGGTATTAAATAGTGTAGTGAATCATGGTGTTAGCTCTGGAATTAGATGAGTGGTCCAAAGCCTATTCTGTCATTCCCTAATTGGGTAAACATGGACTGTTCCTTAACCTCAATAAACTCTGTTTTCTCTTTTGCAAAATGAATTAATAATTCCTACTTGAAAGACTTGTTGTGAGAAGTTAGAGGATAATGTATGCAGAGCTCAATATTTTCTAACTATTCTAGCTTTCCTTTTGCTGTCTATATCATTAAAAGATGATCAACATTTGCTTCAGTGAATTCATTCAAAGTTCTTCCATTATGAAATTGATGAACAAAACAGTAAAGTAGAATCAATATAAGATATGCTTTTATAGTTGTTCTAACATAAGGCATGTATTGCAATCTTTTTAATTTCAGAGCCAAATGGGATGTAAAGTTGACCCTGAGGATATTTTTCCTATCTGTTTTAGTCAAATTCTGTAAGATTAGGTAATGTATCTCTAATGCAATAGAGGCAGATGGATGTGAAGCCAAGTGTCAACAGCTGCCTCTTTGGGATCCCAGTGGCTTCAAAGACAGCTAGATAAGATTGAATATTTATTTCAGTTTCTAGAATTAGAGAACATGAGAACAGTTTTAGGAATTGCTTATATCTCTCAGCCTTGTTCCTTTCCAAGTCTCTTGCGTCCAAGTTAGATTTTTCTCTATTCTCTATTGTATTTGCTGGTTCCCTTGACAGCCCTTTGTGCTTAAAACTGTCCCCTTTCTTTACTCTTTTGTCCTCAAAATGCGGTTTTTTTCATTTACCATTTTTGCACAAATTCCCTGTGCAAAGAAACTGAAGGAAAAGGAAGAAAAAAAATGAAAATATAAGAGGAATAAAAAAGAAGAAAAATCAAGAGATGGTTGAAAGCCTGTTTTTCTGTAACTCTGACATTTAACTGAAGCATTGGCTTTCTTGTTATATGTAAATGACTTTGTTTGTATTTCTTAGATAGTAAGCCCCTTGGGCAGAACCCATACCTCTGCCTTCCCTGTATGGTGTGAACATTCCATAAGCAGTGATACCATATTATTATCTTCAAACTGAAAGACTCTCTTTGTAATATAAGAGACAGGCAATCAGAAGAATGCTATTTTTTTTCTACCAGATCCATTTTGGTCTTACATATTGAATAGAAACAAGATTTATAAGTTATTATTTCCATATTAATAAAATAGAAGGGTAGGCATGATTTTCTTTTGAAATGTTCCTTTTTATCTGAAGTCAATTTAAAAAATTAATATTTTTTCCTTAGTAGTTGCTTAATGTATAATATTTATGTATCCAAGACCTTTACCTTACAACTTTATGGACTTCTAACATTTAACCTATGTGAACATGACATTTAAGATGAAGTAGGTGGTGTGGCAGTGACACCTGAAAAACCAGGAGTGTACTATTTTTCATTTCTCTAGCTCCAAGTTCTTATGATCCCTTCAGAGACATTAGACCTTTTGATTCTAATACAATATTTTGTATTTAAAGACTAATTAGGCTATTTGTCAAGAATGCTCATTAAATGAAAGGTCATATCTTTGGGCAGAAAATATGAATTATGAATAATACAAGTGAGTTTACTAGAGAATTCAAATTATATTTCAAAAGAAGTTCACAGCTTACTTTGGTAAATGAGTTCTTAGTGCTTTTAGTTAATAAATTCTGGCAAAATAATGATTACTTGAATGCAAAAAAGAGTCAGATCATAGTTCTTTTTGTATTGATTCATTTCTGCATAATTTCTACCAAAAGTTGTGTGTGAAACAAAACTTTATTTTTATGTTGTCATAGAAAAATTTAGTAACAATTGTTATTTAAAACAATCTCCTTGAGCAGCAGAAGAGATTTAATTATATGTCTCTATAAGAACCATAACCCAATTTTATAAAATAAAATTAAAGCATTTTCAGAGTTGCTGCAAAAGGAAGCATCTTCAAGCAAAGAATATGTGAATTATGTAATGGGATGTGGGGTACCTTGGGGAAAACAGATTGCCAAAGATTTCCAATTATTAATTTTAATTAAAAGGAGTAAAATATAATGTAGCTATAATTCTTGGGAGGGAGAAAGAAGGATTAAATGTTAATCCTCACCTGCATGTTATTTTCCCATTTTAAATAGTGAATGTACTGTTCTGAATCCCTTTGATTAGCACGGGCTTACTCTACAGAGACCTGGAACCCTGGCTGGGGAGGGGTTTGGTTATTCTGAGATATACTCAAGAACATGGTCAGTTCTGTTAGACCAGTTCTAGCTTAGGATGGGATCTGGGCTGCATGGCAGCTAAGGTTCTTCTGGCAGCAGATATAAGCTGTAACTGAAATGTTCTTGTAGCAGAGCTGAAAAGAGCCTTCTGAGCAGATATCGTTAAGATTTATAAAGACTCTAGATTAGCAGCTGCCATAAGTGGCTGAGAGGTAATACTGAAAACTGACAGAGAATCAGCATTTAGAGATTCAAAAAGCCCTGGGTTGGTAGGTCAGAGAATGGCTCAATTGAGAAGCATTTTGAAGTCCAGGATGGCTCAGAGTAATTGATTAGGACCTTTAACTCCATGCCAAATTGTTGCTTCACTTAGCAGATATTTCCTCAACAAACATGCAAACAAGTCTTAATATATCAGGACAGTAGGGTTTCTTTCAAGTGGGTGTCAAAACCAAGTCTTGGAAGGAAAGACGAGTAAGAAGAGCTGCTACATAAGAAAGGTTAAGTGACACTACTTCACAGAACACAGAACAGGACAATAAAGAAACCTCGAACTGTTGCCTTGTACAGTTCTCTGCTTCAGTCCTGATAACTGGTTTGGCTCTAACTCCTTTAGTATTATAGAACACTGCAAGCATTAATTGCTCAACATGAAAAATCATTTTCACATTATGCAATATGTATAACATTTAAAATCAGCTGTAAGGCTGATCTTTCTGCCCCTCCAAATACACAGTTGCGGGGAAAGTACCAGCTCTTTGATGCTTTCTGATGTGAGGAATGACCTAATTGATGAAGACGATGAGTTATTTTAGATTTTCAACTGAAGGATCTTTCCACAGGGTAACCAGAAGGGCCGCCAATTATATTTCAGCTTTTTCCTCTAAGTCACTTTGTAAGATTACATCTCTCACAGATGAAATGATAAAATTAATGAGGGCGTATAATAATGTTTGGATATAATAAATGATACCAAATGGAATTTCTGTCATGCAGTCCAGTAGATCTGTGGTTGACCATTATTCTCTAGTGAAAGCTTTGAAAGCACAAATAAAGTCATAATAAAGTACCCTATGAGATGTGAGAAAACCTTGGCTTAAATTTACCTTCCATCTCAGAATTAATCATGTGTTAGCTGAGGCAAGAGTGTGGAGCAAAACAAAACTCATGAGTTCTCTCCTTTTAGTTTGGCTACTTGTTTGAAAAGTGTAGTAGGGAGATTAATTTTATTAAGTAATATTGATGAAGTTCTTAATATATGGAAGGAACAATAGGGAACAAAAAGGGTTAAAGCATTGCATCTCTGTTAAAGAATTTACCGTGTTCTGGGAGAGATAAAAATCTAAACAAAAGTGACTATTAAGATACGAAGGGTTGTAATAAGTGAAATCTCAGTAAATAAGACTGGGAGACCTGGAGGTCATTACAATGATATTAAGAAGAGCAGAGAAGAAAATACACCCCTTTCTAAAGACTTGGTGCTTGCTACTACTCCTTATAAATTTTTTACTAAATATATAATGTTGGTGTCTTAGTGTGAAATCTCTGTAGGCTTCTCTCATTTACCCTCCATCTTTAATCCTTCCCCAAACTAGGGAATGATAATTTAGTTGCTAAAATTCAGGGCATTGATTAGGCAGTATTTGCTAGTGTGCAAATTGGACACTGCACATTGAAAATTACATACATACATTTTGTGCGTTTTCTTCTTCTTGCCCAATGCAGCTGAAGCGATAAGCTGATCCAGGGTGCACTATCAGAATAATCCTGGCCAGATTTCATCATATATTTTCTTTCTCCTTCTTCTTTGTCAAAGAGCTTTGTCCAGATTTCTGGGAGTAAAGTTACCCATCTGTTTTCTGCTCTCTGATGTTCCGGCCATATCTGGACTTAAAGCTTTGGCCCTGTTTTATCTAGGCAACCTTGACATTAACCTTGGAAGAAAATTCCTTTTGCTTCATCTACTGCAGGATTTTGGAATGTGTGTTGGATATGACTTTCAGCATACTGCAGTGGTAAAGTCCTATACTGGGTCTGGAGGTGGTGGAAAAACACAGACATTACATATTTTTAATATGGTTAGTATGGCATGTTTACTAGTGTAGCTTTCTGTGATAGAGTGGGAACACCTACATGGAGACTTATGTTTGGGAAGTGATGTGCCTCATAGCAAGATGAAACATCTGTCTGTTTTGTGTGGCCGTCACAAAATAATCAAAGACTAAGTAATTTATAAAGAACAAAAATTTATTTCTCATAGTTAATGGAGGCTGAGAAGTCCAAGACGAAAGTGCTGGCATCTCATGAGGGTCTTCTTCCTGTGTCCCCACAGGGCATAAGAGTGTAAGACTATGAACTCATTTCTGCAAGCCCTTTATACAATGATGTTAATTCATTCATGAGAGTGGGGACCTCGTGACCTAAACACCTCCCATTAGATTCTACCTCCCAACACTGTTGCACTGTGCATTGAGTTTCTAACACATAAATTTTGGGGGGCACATTCAAACCATAACATGGAGTTTTCTGCATTGAGAAATGAAGGATCCATTTAATACAGGGACCTCAAAATACAAAGAGAAAACTGACTGGCTGTATGGAGCTAGACGAAGAGGAGTAAGAAACTACTATTTGCAAGGCTGTGTAATTCCAAGGACTGTTATTCTTGGATGCTATGATGTTTTTAAAGAACAAACTACTATACATTTGTAAGTTATTAAATTATTAATATTATTTGAGAATTTCAAATGGCTTAACTAATCAATGTGACATAGTGGGAAAATTGGGCCTTTAATTGAAGACACAATTTGCTGATTACCACTTGGTAACTTAGCCCTTGCTTCTCTAACCCTTAGTTCATCTTGTAAAATGCATTAGTTCTACTCCATAGGGGTATTGTGAGATTTAAACGCAGTGCAGCATATTAAGCACCCAGTGTAGTCCCTGATACATAGTGAAACATCAATAATAAATTGTTGCTACTGGTAGAAATCCCTTGGCGTTTGGTAGATTTCCAATAAATACTAATTCTTCTAAAACTTTTAATGATTATGTAGATAGATATATGCCTAGATCTGGTAACAAATATGCTATATCAATAGTCAAAACATTCTCTCTTAATTTTATTATGATATATATTGGAAATCTTAGTGTGGTTTTGATTATACTAACATAATTATGTGGCATTAGTATGCCAAATGTACTCACAGTTATGCCAAAATTACCTGCCCCAAATTACAGCTAATCCTTTCTTTGGTCCTAGGAGAGATACGCACACTAGGGATATCACCATAAAAGTGAAGAAACACTTTATTACTGGCTGGGCTTGTTTCTGAAATTCTAACACAGAGTTCTTATAACATGGACTTTTCCTTGCCTCCTAGTTCAAGCTTGAGGGCTTACTGTGCTCTTGCAGGGAAAGATAAAAGAAAGTGTCAGAGTGAAAGAATGGTCAAATGTATGAACTCTTCTTTTATTTATTAATTTAAATACAGTGACTCTGTTCACTAGTAAACACACCTAACCCCTGCCTTAGAGTCAGATTAACATCTTCTTTGAGGACAGCCCAAAGAAGAAAAATGCAAGGATGAAGCCTAGAGAGGTTTCCATCTCGTATACTTATATTCCACTATCTTTGGTTCTTTCTTTCAACCATTAGACTTAAACCCAACTGTATAATTAATCAAACATGTGGATATTTCCTTGGAGGAAGAAATAGAGAAGTGTCAGGGAAGTTCGACCGCCACCTAAGTGTGTCTGCTTTTTTAATGCTGCCTTATGGTCTAAAGAGATGGGTGAAAAGCAGAGTATTCATTTCAAGGCCATACTATATTATATGCCATCTATTCACTCCAGGCTGCTTGTTGTCAAGGAAGAATAAAAACCTTGATATCAAAGAGAATTAAGCTCTCAAAATTAGTTTCTCTTTCACATACCAAAGTAACCTTGAGCTTTCTAGCCTGCAAATTTCTCTCCCTTAATATTCTTTCTCTGTTCCGTTCCACTGAAAGTGATGTCACAGTGGTGTAGTTAGAGTCTGGGTTACTCTTTCCTGCAGAACTGTTCTTCAGTACCTCTAGATAGAAAATAGTCCAACATCAAGTCTTGCATGAGTTTTCCTTTACCAAAGATCTAGTAGTCTAGAAGATATTTAAAAATCACATTATTGAGCCCACATCTGCAAAAAGGAGAAGTATATACAATATTCTTAGGACTCAATACATATTACTTGTGTGCTTGTCTTTGCATGGACATGTATGTGTTTTAATTTCTCTTGCGTAAACACTTAGGGTTGGCATTGCTGACCCACATGGTAAGTGTATGTTTAACTTTATAAGCATCTGACAGTTTTCCAAAGTGACTGTACCATATTAAATTTCCATTAGCACTGTTTATGATTTCCAGTTGCTCTGTATCCTTTCCAGCAAGTGGTATTGTCAGTTTGTTTAATTTTAGCCATGATAGTTAAGTGTAGAATGATATCAAATTATGGTTTTAATTTGCATTTCACCAAAGAATAATAATATATTTGCATGTACTTATTTGTCATCAATATTTCTTCTTTGGTGAACAGTTAAAATGTTTTGTGCATTTTTATTGGGTTGTCTTCTTATTAATAAGTTGTCAGAATCTTCAGTCTGAATACCTGTTATACATTTTGCATTATTTTATCTCAGTGTGTGACTTGCCTTTTAATTTTATTAATATAATTTTTCAAAGAGCAGAAGTTTTAAAATTTTGATTGTCTCCATTATCTATTTTTTTATGGGTTGTGCTTTTGATGTTTTACCTAAGAAATCTTTGCCTAACCTAAAGCCCCAAAGATCTTCTTCAATATTTTCTTTTAAAATATTTTTAGTTTTAGGTTTCACATTTAGGTATATGATCCATTTTAATTTTTACATATGGTACAAGGTAATGGTCAAGAACCATTTTTCCTTTCCTTTTCCTTTTTCTTTTCTTTCTTTCTTTCTTTCTTTTTTTTTTTGCATATAGATGTTCCAGTGATATTGCTTAGAAGGTAATTCTTTCCTTATTTATGTATCTCTTTAGCAATTTTATCAAAAATAAATTGAGCGCATACCTGTGGGTCTGTTTTTGAATTCTCTATTCTTTTCCATTGATCTATATGTATGTGTCCTTAGACCAATAATTACTTTAGCTTTAGACTAATCTTTAAATTAGGAAGTGTTAGTCTTCTGACACTGTTCTTTTAAAAATTGTTTTGGTTTGCATTTCTATATAAATTTTATAATCAGTTTGTTAATTTCTAAAAAACATTCTGTTGAATCTATATATCAATTTGGACCTGACATTTTAATGATAATAAGTTTTCCAACCCATAAATATAACTATTAGTTTTGGTTTTCTTTAATTTCTCTCATCAATATTTTCTAGTTTCCAGTATATACAGTGTACTCATATTTCATTAAATTTATTTCTAAGTCAGCACCCTTTTAGTTTTCTGAATGTCATGAATAGATACTAAATTATGGTAAATGCCTTGTCTGGGACATCTATTGAGATGATCATATGGTTTTCCCTTTTGTAGACTGCTGACATAAAGAATTAAATGGACTGATTTTTAAATGTTGAATAATCATTGCATTACTGAGGTCAGGCCCACTCTTCAAAATATATTAAATTTTATTTGCTAATATTTTTGTATGGATTTTTACATCTGTGTCTATGAATAGTTTATTTTCCTCTAATATCTCTGTCTGGTTTCTGTATCAGGGTAATATCAGCCTCATAAAATGAGTTGAGAAGTATTCCCTTTGCTATGTCTCCTGGAAGATTTAAGGAAATTGGTATTATTTATTTATTTTTTATTTAATAGAATTGAACAGTGAAGCTATATGGGCTGAGTTTTCCTTATGGAAAGATTTTTAGACTACAATTTAAATTTATTGTATAAACATTGGGATATTCAGTTTATCTATTCCTTCCTGAGTGATGATTGGTCGTTTGTACCTTTCAAGGAATTTTGCTATTTTATTTATCAAAATTATTGGGATTATGTTGTTCATAATAATTTCTTTATATGCCTTTAACTATGTAATATGCAGTGATGTCCCCTCTTCCTATAAAATATTAGTAGTTTTCATTTTGATTAACAATTCTAGAAGTTGATCAGTTTTGTCAATCTTTAAAAATAACCAACCGGCTTTTTAAGCTAATAAGCAACTTCAGCAAACTCTTGGGATACAAAGTCAATGTGCAAAAATCGCTAGCATTCCTATGCACCAAGAACAGACAAGCAGAGAGCCAAATTATGAATGAATTCCCATTCACAACTGCCACAAAAAGAATAAAATACTTAGGAATAGAGCTAACAAGGGAAGTGAAGGACCTCTTCAAGGAGAACTACAAATCACTGCTCAAAGAAATCAGAGGTGACACAAAACAAATGAAAAAACATTCCCTGCTCATGGATAGGAAGAATCAATATTGTGAAAATGGCTATACTGCCCAAAGCAATTTATAGCTTCAAAGCTATTCCCATTAAAATATCATTGACATTCTTCACAGAATTAGAAAAAGCTATTCTAAAATTCATATGAAACCCCCAAAGAACCTGAATTGCCAAGTCAATCTTAAGCAAAAAAGAACAAAGCTGGAGGCTTCATGCTACCTGACATCAAGCTATACTACAAAGCTGCAGTAACTAAAATAGAATGGTACTGGTACAAAAACAGACACATAGACCAATGGAAGAGAGTTGAGAACCCAGAAATAAGACTGCACACCTACGACCATCTGATCTTTGACAAACATGACAAAAACAAGCAATGGGAAAAGGATTTCTTATTTAATAAATGGTGTTGGGAGAACTAGCTGGCCGTATGCAGAAAATTGAAACTGGACCTCTTCCTTACACCATATACAAAAATCAACTCAAGATGGATTAAATACTTAAACCCCAAACTATAAAAACCCTTGAAGAAAGCCTAGGCAATACCATTCAGGACATAGGCACAGGCAAAGATTCGTGACAAAGATGCTAAAAGCAATTGCAACAAAAGCTAAAATTGACAAATGGGATCTAATTAAACTAAAGAGCTTCTGCACAGCAAAGAAAACTTTCAACTGAGTGCACAGAAAACTTATGGAATGGGAGAAAATTTTTGCAAACTATGCATCTGAAAAGGGTCTAATATCCAGCAACTGTAAGGAACTTAAATTTATAACAAAAAAAAAATCCATTAAGAAGGGCAAAGGACACAAACCAAACACTTTAAAAATAAGATATACATGCAGCCAACAAGCATATGAAAAAAGGCTCAATATCACTGATCGTTAGAGAATTGCAAGTCAAAACCACAACGAGATACCTTCTCACACCAATCAGAATGGCTGTTGTTAAAAAGTCAAAAAATAATAGATGCTAGTGAGGTTTTGGAGAAAAGGGAACACTTGTACACTGATGGTGGGAGTGTAATTAGTTCAACCTTTGTGGAAGACAGTGTAGCAATTCCTCAAAGACCTAAAAAAGAAATACTATTCAACCTGGCAATTCCATTACTGGGTATATACTCAAAAAACTATAAATCATTCTATTATAAAGACAGATGCACATGTATGTTTATTGCAGCACTACTCACAGTAGCAAAGACATGGAATCAACCTAAATGCCCATCAGTGATACACTAGATAAAGAAAATGTGATACATATACACCGTGGAATACCATACAGCCATAAAAAAGAACAAGATCATGTCCTTTGCAGGGACATGAATGGAGCTGGAGGCCATTATTTTTAGCAAACTAATGCAGGAACAGAAAACCAAATACTGCCTGTTCTTAGTTACAAGTGGGAGATAAATGAGGAGAACACATGGACACATAGAGGGGAACAACACACACTGGGAACTGTCAGAGAGTTGATGGTAGGAGGAGGAAGAGGATCAGGAAGACTAGCTAGTGGATGCTGGGCTTAATACCTGGGTGATGGGATGATCTGTGCAGCAAACCACCATGGCACATGTTTACCTATGTAACAAACCTGCACATTCTGCACATGTACCCCTGAACTTAAAAGTTGAAAAGAAAAAAATTCTTTGAAGACTGGTAAAAAGAACACTAGCTTTTGTGTTTATTAATTTTCTCTATTGTTTTTCTATTTTTAATTGTATTGCTTGCTAGTCTTATTTTTATTACTTCCCAACTTTTACTTTTTTGGTTTTAATTTGTTCTTCCTCTTCTATTTTCATAAGGTAGAAGCTTCTATTATTGATTTGAGAACTTTCTGCTTTTCTAATGTAATCAATTGATAGTATAAATCCCCCTCTAATCACTGCCTTAGCTGTGCTCCACAGATTTTGATACGTTGTGCTTTCATTTTCAGTCAATTAAGGTATTTTCTAATTTCCCTTGTGATTTTTCTTTGATACATAGAAGTACTTAAAATTATGCTGGGTAATTTCCAGAACATTTTTGGTTTTCTAGATAGCTTTCTGTTACTGATTTCTAATGTCATCCTGTTTTGGTCAGAGAATACAATTTGGATGTTTTCACATTTCTCATTTTAAAAAACAGCAAAATATATATAACACCAAATTTGCCATTTTAACCATCTTTAAATGTACAGTTCAATGGCATTCCAATATATTTACATTGTTGTGCTACCATCACCATCATTCATCCACAGAACTCTTCTTATCTTTCAGAACTGAAACTCTGCCCATAAACAATAACTTCTTACTGACCCCTTCTCTCAGCTATTGGCAACTACCATCTTAATAGAATTTGACTACTTTAGATACCTCATATAAGTGTAATCACACAATATTTATACTTTTGTGATTGGCTCATTTCACTTAGCAGTATGTCCTCAAGGTTCATACATGTTGTAGCATGTGTCAGAACTTCCTTTTTTTTTTTTTTGAGATGGAGTCTTGCTCTGTCACCAGGCTGGAGTGCAGTGGCGCAATCTCGGCTCACTGCAACCTCCGCCTCCCGGGTTCAAGTGATTCTCCTGCCTCAGCCTCCCAAGTAGCTGGGACTACAGGCACCCACCACCATGCCTGGCTAATTTTTGTATTTTTAGTAGAGATGAGGTTTCACCATGTTGGCCAGGATGGTCTGGATCTCCTGACCTCGTGATCCAGCTGCCTTGGCCTCCCAAAGTGCTGGGATTACAGACGTGAGCCACCGTACCCAGCCCAACTTCCTTCCTTTTTAAAGGCCTAATAATATTTCATTGTATGTATATACCACATTTTGTTTATTCATTCATGTGGACATTTTTATGGCTCCAGATACGTTCTATGTTGGTGAAATGTACACATGAAAAGAATGTATATTCTGACATTGTTGGGTGGGATTTAATATATAGATGTGAAGTTGGTTGATAATTATATCTTCACTGATTTTCTCTCTAATTGGTTTGTCAATTACTGAGAAAAGTATTAAAGTCTCCAACAAAGCTGTGTATTTGTCTATTTCTTTCTTCACTTCTGTCAGTTTTTGCTTTATGAAATTAATCTCTATTATTAGATATATACACATTTAGTATTGTTACATATTCTTGATAAATTGTCCCATTTGTCATTATTTAATGCTCCTGTGCATTCCTGGTAATATTCCTTGTTCTGAATTCTGTTTTGTCTTGTATCAGTGTAGGCACATTTGTTTTCTTTGACTAATGTACAAATAGTATATTTTTTATTATCCCTTTACTGTTAACCTATTTATTTTTATACTTAAAGTGGGTTTCTTATAGACAGCGTTCAGTTTTTTATTCAAAATGACAATCACTATATTTTAATTGGGATATTTAGGCCATTTACAATTAGTGTAACTTTTGATATAGTTTGACTTAAGTCTACCTTTTAAATAGTTTTCTGTTTGTCCTATATATTCTTTTTTTGTTTATTTTTCATTTCTCACTTTTTTTGATAAATGTATTTTTTTATGATTGCATTTTATTTCTAGTATTGGCTTATGAGTTTTTCTTTAACTTTAATTTTAGGTTCAGAAGTACATGTGGAGACTTATTGTTATATATAGGTAAGCTGTGTGTCATGGGGGGTTTGGAGTACAGATTTTTTAATCACCCAGGTAATAAGCATAGTGTCTGATAGGTAGTTTTTGATCTTCTCCCTCCTCCTGCCCTTCACTCTCAAGAAGGCTCTGGTGTCTGTTATTCCCTTCTTTATGTTTATATGTTCTCATTGTTTCGTTCCCACTTATTAGTGAGAACATGTGGTATTTGGTTTTCTGTTTCTGCATTAGTTTGTTTATGATAATTGCCTCCAGCTCCATCCATGTTGCTGCAAAGGACATAATCTCATTCCTTTTTATGTCTGCATAGTATTCCATGGTGTATATGTGCCATATTTTTTTTTATCCATTCTATCATTGATGGGTACTTAGTTTGATTCCATGTCCTTGCTATTGTGAATAGTGTTGCAGTAAATACATGCATGCATTTGTTTCTTTATTGTAGGATGATATTTATTCCTTTGGGCATATACCCAATAATGGGATTTCTGGGTCAAATGGTAATTCTGTTTTAAGTTCATTGAGGAATTGCCAGACTGCTTTCCACAATGGCTGAATGAAATTACATTCCCGCCAGCAGAGTATAAGCATTCCCTTTTCTCTGCAACCTCATCAGCATCTGTTATTTTTTGATTGCTCAAAGCAATTTACAGATTCTGTCCTATTCCTGTCACACTACCAATGATATTCTTCACAGAATTAGAAAAAAACTATTTAAAAATTCATGTGGAATCAAAAAAGAGCCCAAATAGCCAAGGCAATCCTATGCAAAAAGATCAAAGCAGGAAGCATCATGTTACCTCATTTCAAACTGTACTATAAGGCTACAGTGACCAAAACAGCATGATACTCATATGAAAAGAGATGCAGAAAGCAATGGAACAGAATAGAGAGCCCAGAAGTAATGCTGCAACCTACCCCATCTCATCTTTGTCAAAGTTGACAAAAACAAGCAATGGGAAAAGGATTCCCTATTCAATAAATGGCGCTAGGATAACTGGCTAGCCATATGCAGAAGATTGAAATTGGGACCTTTTCTTACATCATATACAAAAATCATATCAAGATGGATTAAATAATTAAATGTAAAACCTAAAAGAATAAAAACCCTGGAAGATAACCTAGGCAATACCATTCTGGACATAGGAACTGGCAAAGATTTCAAAAGCAATTGCAACAAAACCAAAAATTGACAAACGGGACCTAATTAAACTAAAGATCTTCTGCACAGCAACAGAAACTACCAACAGAGCAAACAGACAACCTACAGCATAGGAGAAAATATTTGCAAATTATGCATCCAACAGAGATCTAATATCTGGAATCTATAAGGAATTTAAACAAATCTACAAGCAAAAAACAAATAATCCTATTGAAAATTGGGCAAAGGACATGAACAGACACTTTTCAAAGGAAGACAAACACACAACCAACAAGCATATGAAAAAATGCTCAACATCACTAATCATTATAGAAATGCAAATCAAAACCACAGTGAGATATCACCACACACCAGTCACAATGGCTCTATTAAGGAGACTTAGTAGTTATACCACCTTTAAAAATAATTACTTGTTGCTCTGCTTTCTGTACAGTAGAAGAACCTTACAGTAGTGTACTTAGCATGCTAGTGGACTCTCCCAGTTTCCTACCATTCTCCAATCATTTTTGTGTTATTCTAAACTGTGAATTTATCACAGTTATTTTAAACTTTCGTGCTAGCCCCTTAAAATTTTATCTTTTGTCTTTTCTCTTCTTACCTGCTTGTATAGTAGTCACTCCTTCCTCTATGCTCTGCTAAAGGTGAAACAATTTGTGTTTCCTGTTTACCCCCAAGAGGGGCTTGTCTCTCTGGAATTTGTTTATTTGGGTGCCTAGTGGCTTCAATTCTCTGATAGGCTCACAAAATATTATGATTTTATAAATTATACAGCTTTTAATTGTTATTGGAAACAATGGCTTAAGTGATATTATCTTGTAGCTTTCTGCATCCTTAGTGGCAGTGGAACTTCAATGATGGGATTTTGGCATTTAGATATTAAGTGAATGCTCTAAAATGCCGTGAGTAGAGAGTGGTGTTGAACTCCGAAACTCACTTTCCCTCCATTATATCATATTACATTATTAAGCTCTTTAAATATTTGAATAATATTAGTAAGTTTTATATTTATACAGGGGTTTTCCAATTAAGAACACTTTAGTTTTTACACTTAGCAACTAATTGAATCTTTGTAGTCTTGTGATTTACACATTACTAAGGTCCTCAGTTTACAGGTGAGAATTAATAACTGAAGCTGGCAAGTAATGGAGATAAAACTCAAATCTGCTTCCAAGCACATAGAGCTTTTCAAAATCCATGCCTATCTATGTGGATATTTAAAGCAGATATACCCATATGGATTATTTAAATGTTGAGTTTATTCCCTAAAAGATAAAACATAATTAGTGAGAAATTTAGTTCCCAAAATGGAAAACTAATTAGTGAGAAATGGCACTTAATAGAAAATTTATTAATTGTAGAGCTACTTATAGTCATTGATATCATCCCTTTCTGTAGGTGAAAGTCAAATGGATGATTATCTTTGGAACTGTGCTGTTATTTTGGAAAAAAAAGAAGATTTTGCTGTTCTTGTAATGAGCTGTAACTGCTTCAGAAATAATGTCAATACGTCTTTCCTAGCATTTGCCTATCAGTTGGAGACTATTATTAGAGAACAAATTAATATTTTATTAATATTATCATTTACACATCCTATTTTAATAACCCATGTACAATTATACTGAAAAATAAAAGATCACATAAAAATGTATCTTAAGGACAAAGAAAACATTATTTTTGAACTTACACATATTTTAGACATTAAAATTTATAGAATTCAAAGTTGAGGTAAGTAGATGGTTCACTCATGCCACACATATGAGAGGGCACAAATTTGAGCAGGATGTTCTTCCTAGTACATGTTTTACATGAATTGCTCTCTATTTCTAAAATTGGTTTGAAGTCACATGATGAGAAATGGTAAAGCATTGAGTTTATAGTATGGGACAATTATACCCCAAATGCCTTAATAATTTAATAGGTTTCAGATCAAGGTTCTAGAAATACTTATGAACTAGAAGCATGTAGTAAGAGTTGAAGAAAATAACAAATACTACTTGTCTCAAAATATATTCTATAGTGCCTAAATTCCTGCCACTGAATTACCTTTGCAGGTTTAGTGTATTGCTTCTAAATGGAGCCTGGAAATTTCACTTTTTATCTGAAGAGGAAAAAAAAAGTCGGGCTAGCCAGCCATCCATTTGCAAAACTGATGGTACTGAGGGACTGGGATTGTGCCAGATGACTTTGAACAGGAAACAGATCAGAAAGGGTATAAAGCTTAGGACACTTCCTCAGAGAAGGTGATCTCAGTAAACACAAGGAGATTGGACATACAAGAGAAGAGAATGTAGCAAGGAGTAAAAGATTTCAAACCGTGTGATAGTTTTTCCCAGAGACTTAGCAGACAATGTACTTGCTAACAAGGATTATATCTCGTCCTTGTCAACACCAAATGAGCAAGTATACACTATTTACCAAATCTTCACCATATTCATGACACTATTCTGGAAGCAATGAATATAAAAAGCAGCATGTTTCCTCATTTACACAGTCTGTTATATATTTTGAGTTATATTAGTACATAAAAAAGCAAAGATAGGCAATAGCAAAGATAAATATCCACGAAAGAAACTGAGAATCCCATTGAGTGTAACAGAAAAGTCTGATAGGCAATTTCTAGATTCAGATAATTGAGACCAAATTCCAGTGAGGCATTAGGATTTGAGATAATCCCTAAGACTATTCCTAAGATAAATGTTTGGATGAGTGGAATTTTGGGGTGGCATCCTCCAAAGGGAGCTACTCAGAAGAAGCAAAATTCAAGAGAAGTAGACACAGTTCTCTGGAGCAGATGATTCTCTTTTGGGAAAGTTGGAAGATTAACAAGGAGTTTTAAGACAGGATTGGATTGTGGGGTCTACTTCTCATACCTTTCTTACTCTGTTTCTTAAATGTTGATGTTGCCTTGGCCTCCAGTCTCAAGCTGCATTTCACTCTGCATACTCTCCCCAGGAACTCGTATTTTCTCCTAAGACTTCAGTTTTGAAGAAAATGTGTTGAAGGTCTTTAAGCTTATATATCTAATCATTTTGTTTGTAAATTGTTTGCTTTCCAATCTAGTATATCCAATTGCTTATCAGACTTCTATACTTGAATGTCTCAAAACCATCAGAGACTAAAGTATTACAATCTGATCTCATAATCTCTCTCAGCATCCTCTCCTAACTCCTTTTCCTATAATCTTCTCTACTTACTACCTGTGTAGCTTTGGGCAAGTTGCTTAAGCTCTTTGTATCTTGGTTTCTATATTTGAAAAAAAGGAATAAAAATATTGTTTTTTTAGGAGTTTCTGGGAGGACAAAAACAAGTTAATACATGTCAAGCTCTAAGAATAGTGCCTAGCATGTAAGAAGTCCCCAAAAAATATCATTTTTTTCCAGCCATCTGAATCAGTATATCTTATTACTTTTGTCTCAGCATATAACTGGTCACTAAGTGCTATCAAATATATGCCTCTTCATTTCCTTCTTTCAATCCCCTCTAGCATGACCTTAGTCCAGATGTGCATCACTTTTCAACTGTATCATGATAATTGTAATAAGGTGATAACACACTCTCTCCAGTTTCACTTCTCTCCCCTCTGTCTTCCAAAATGCCACCATTGTGACCTTTTGAAACTGCACTGAACAAAATGCTTCAAGGATGAATGACATTCATAGTGAGACCCAAATTCCCTTGAACAGCACTGTAGGCCCTACGGGTACCTCTTTGGATGTCTATTTCACTGCTTTCCCAATGACTCCTGGTGTTTCAGATATATTAAATATTCCCTGTCCTCTATATTTTTGCAAATGCAATTCCTTCCACTTTCAAAGTCCATTCTCCAACCCCTTTCTTCTCCTATCTAACTTTTACTTTTTCTTTATGACCAGGTCATACACTTTGTCTTCCTCACTGTGATCCTTCCCAGCCTGCTCTGGGTTGGGTGATGTATCAAGAAACCAGCAGGAAACAGGTGGCACACTCAGGTGAGTAATTTGAGGAGGATTTTATAAAGGGATTATTTACAAAGGTTTAGACAGGATTAAGGGAAACCCACAAAAGTAGAACAGAACCCCGGCAGTAGCAATAGCTTGGTGCTATTATTACCCCTAGGCCTGATGGGGAAAGAGGAGGTAACGTCTTATGGCTTATCCTGGAAAGGACCACCTAACAGGAGATGTGGTCTGTTGTACAGCCTGCAGCTATCCCTCAAGGAGGAACTGGGGGATAAATATCCTTTGCTCAGTGTCCTTGCACCCTTTGCTTACTTTCTTTTATTGTCTGAACTCAACCTGAGGCTAGAAGGTAAGGCTGTTAAAGTAGCTATAAGGTCTGTGTCCTGGGAGCACTGAACACTGTGGAGGTGCATGGAAAGGGGATCTGGAAGGACAAATGAAAAATATTCAACAGAGATGCTTTCTTCCGCAGGACCTAGTCCCTAGGACATACCTTTATTATGAAACTTAACATGCAATATTGAATACATGTCCACTTTGTCATAAATTGAGGAATCCTTTATCCTAGGGACTATCTTTTTATTTTCTCAGCATCCCTATACTTTAACAGGTGCTTGAATGAATGAATTAATTAATAAATAGCAATGTCAGGGTAAGGTCTGTGCCCTATAAAACACAAGGAATATTACTGTTTGAAGTTAATTACCTAATTCGCTTTCTAGAACTTTAGATTTGTGCTACAATTTAGGATTTTTCAGTTAAGACATCATGTCTATTTCTCTTTGGTATAATATGTAAATGAGTGGAAGTATGCACATGTGTTGTTTATTTCATAATTTAAAAAAATGATGATGGGTCAGACAAATACCAGACAATTCACAGGCTTTAGATAAATATGAGAAAACAATTTCTCTAAGAAAATCATCTCCATTTAGTCATTTATTCACTTGATTTAACCCCATGCTGCTATTAGTTATGCAGGGAAAATAGTGTTTTAATGACTCTTCAGAAAATGTTCACCACAGGAAGAAATACCATATGACTGGAATAGGCTAACAGGATATTTATCTCTCTGTGCATTTTGTGGGTCTTAATACCATCACACCTACGTGCTCCAAGAAAGATATTACAGTAGAGCAGCTGCTAACAAAGGGCTATATAATTCATATGGAAATTAAGACTTTAGAAAGAGCAAAGTCCTTTTGAACATGTTAACTAGCCTAAATATGAGATAGAAATTATGGCTGGACATGGTGGCTCATGCCTGTAATCCCAGCACTTTGGGAGGCCGAGGCGGGTGGATCACCTGAGGTCGGGAGTTCAACACTAGCCTGGCCAACATGGTGGAACCCCATCTTGACTAAAAATGCAAAAAAGTAGCTGGGCGTGGTGGCGTGTGCCTGTAGTCCTAGCTGCTTGGGGGGCTGAGGCACGAGAATTGCTTGAACCCAAGAGGCAGAGGTTACAATGAGCCGAGATCATGCCACTGCACTCCAGCCTGGGTGACAGAGGGAGACTCCATCTCAAAAATAATAACAAAAAAGAAATTACATGATCTACCATTTATATTAATCAGCATGACTATGGTTACAATTAAAGATAGCTTAGAATATGAAGAGTTAATAATATACAGTAATTATGTATCTTGGCTTTTTAAAGTAAAGCACTTTTATCAAGTGTTGTTAACTGGTTATGATAAATATAATCAACCCAAATTCTTTTGTAACAAGAAAAACAAGTTTTTAAGAGTTTGAGAAAGACATACAAATTAGAAAAAAAAAAAAAACAGATGAAGAAACTGATATCAAAGAGATCGTAACCACGTGAAATCACTTTCCAGTTGGACATAGAGATAGAACCCCTGTTTCTGGACTCCTGAGCCTAAATTCCTGATATCACATCATGCTGCCTCCTAATGCTAAGCACTAGTGGGATAAGATCATGTAAAGTTGGGCAGTCAATTTCCATAGCATTCTACGCGGGGGCTGTGCTTTCTGGAGAGAGCCAAGAACCCTGTTACAGAGTACAATGATTTGCTTAATAAGAGTTTTAATATGGAAGCCCAGATCCATTTATAAACTTATAAACTACAGAACTAGAAAATGTCTTTACTAAGGACATTTTGTTGGTGAATGGTTGTAAGATGGCATCATTAATAGCTTATCAAAGAAAAGCAGGACTTGTCCTGTGTTACTTTTTGGAAAATAGTTTTCATAAATAGAAATAACCATTTTTTAAAAAGTACCTTTTGTATTAGTCCACTTTCACACTGTTACAAAGAATACTACTGGAGACTGGGTAATTTATAAAGGGAAGAGGTTTAATTGACTCACAGTTCCACATGGCTGGAGAGGTCTCAGGAAACTTACAATCATGGCCAAAGGTGAAGGCAAAGCAAGGACCTTCTTCACATGGCGGCAGGAGAGAGAAGTACAAGCAGGGGAAATGCCAGATGCTTATAAAACCATCAGATCTCATGAGACCTCACTCACTATCATGGGAACAGTATGGGGGAAACTGCCCCCACAATCTAATCACCTCCCACAGGGTCCCTCTCTTGACACTTGGGGATTATGGGAATTTACAATTCAAGATGAGATTTGGGTGGGACACAGCCAAATCATATCACGTTTTATGGGAATTCCATTTCTTCCCTTTTGTACTATGAATTTTACTTTCCTTATGTTTTCAAAGCTCAGATTTACTATTAATTTTCTTGACCTGTTCCCAGCACCCTCCCTAGTCATTCATATTGGCTTGAAAGCTGAATAAAGGGGAAAAATGAGCTGAGAAACAACTATTCACTTGATTAAATTGAACCCATTTATTTTCATCTCACGGATGAGAACTTATCATCTGAAATCTCATCACCATTTGTTTTAATCTAGTCTATGTTTCTGGTGGCAAAGTGAGACTCTTCAAGGCTTGGAGCTATTTTTTGATGTTAATCCTTGTAAAACTAGTACTAATCTTTGTCATTTATGACAGGTCCTGACATTGGAGCTGCTTAGTGCCAATTTGGAGGAAATAGGATACAATGTTATCTGAGCCATTTTTCCCTACCTGGCAAACATCAGGGATCTCTCTTAAAATAAAACAGAGATTCTCTTTCTGCTTAGAAAGTCTTATCTCTAGCCCTTCAACTTTTCCATGGATCTCAAAGGGAGATCTCTAACTCCCTCTGGATTTTTCTCAAAAGCTTCTCAAACTTGTCTCTTCCTTTCAAAACTTCCTCTTCCATCAGTCTTCCCTAATTCAGTTACATGGAAAATATGGCCCCAATTTGGGTGTTGGGGAAGGCTAGAAGTGGCCAAAGAAGAATATAGAGACCTACACTAAACACCTAAAATCTCATCCACTGGTCTCTTTGAGAATGCAATTAAACTATGACACATAGGAAATGAATTTACAAGTCAGTTAGTACATCTACCTGCCTTGAGGTAGTGACTACACCTAAACACTCACTGATGTATGTGAAAAACCAGTCCTCTGGAGGCATTTAGAAAACATATTCTGAAGTAGGTATTATGACTTGTGTGTGAAAAGATGGGTAGAAGGTTGAATATGAATTTGAGATATGTATGAAAAAAAAAGACAAAACAACTGAAGCCTATTCCGTGAGTGGAGCAGTGTGAGTGTCTCTTAGGGAGAAGCCCTTGTACAGTGTGAAAGGAATTTTCTGCTGTCTTTGAAACTTGCTTCTCTCTAAGGTATTTTGTGAAATTATTAGGAACAGAGCAGGGCTCAGCTTTAGTAAGGTTTTGATTAGTGTTTGAAAAGCCTTCAGAGTTTGTCTTAGATGCCTATAATGGGTGAAAGTAAACTGCATATCATAAATCATACCAGTTTATTAGTAGTAGGTGGAATAAATCCTGAAGTGAGTGAACAGAGAATTAATGAGAGTGCTTTATTCCTAAAGCACTTTATAAGATATATATGCAGTGAAGCAGCTGCAAGTAAAAGGTCTGGCAAGAGGTAGAAGAGGGAGGATACTGAGTGAGGTGTCATTCTCTGAAACTACAGGTATTTGCCACCAAACACCTTGATTTGGGGACCTGGGTTGCTCAGTGTTGCAAAAATAGCAGGTTGTGTGTCTGAAGAGATTATACAAAACGACTGGCTGAAAAGGGTCAATTGTTGTTTTTAAAAGTATTTATCCTGGGTTCCTAGCATCCATGAGCTGAATTTGTTCCTCAGAATGCATTGGGAGACCGGCAAGAGACTAAAGGAAAACCAATATGTAAAATGAGAGCTCATGAGTTTTGTTACCCCTAACAACCCCATACTGCCTCTTCCTAGGAGTCACTCTTATTTCCCAGGTCTCTCATGGCATCAGGATTTTCCTCCTCCCTGGCCCTTTAACAGCTTGTCAATACACGCAAATGTCCACATACTTAACAGCTATTATAGCATCCCTTGATCTTGAGTCCCCCTCCCGCTCAATATTCTTTCTATTTTTTTGTAGCCAAATGGGAAAGAAAAGTCTATTCTCACCACCTTGGCTCTCCTCAACTTCCTGGGATTCTCACATCCATTACTGTGCGGAAGTGGGCTTCTCCCAGGTGACTGGTAGCCTCCCACCAACAATATCAGTCGCATCCTCCAGGATCCTATGGCTTTTGAGTCACTACCATCTCTCAATTTTCCTGTTAACTTTTTGACTACTATTTATCAGTCTCCTTCCAGGCTTCTTTTACTTTTTGGAAGCCTGTAAATGCTGATATTACCAAAGGATGAGTTGTTGGCTCTGTGACACTCTCATTCTCATATTCACTGCCATGATCTCAAATATCATGATTTCCACAAATTCTATCTCTAACCTAGACTTCATATCTGAGCTGCCGATTATCATCTTCACCTGGTTGGCCTTAAGGGCATCTCAAAGGTCACACAGCTAATTTCTATCTTCAGGTAAGTTTTCTCCATCCTCTTAATAGAATTACTTTGCAGTCACTCCTGCTGGAAACCTTGCCATTTTTGACTCCTCCTTTTCACACTCCCGGGAATCAATCAATGAGTCTTGCTGATAGCACATCAGAATTAACATCGCAATTTCCTTTCTCTTCCTCTGTTGTTTCTGACATTCCCTTCATATGTGTTGCCTCATTTCTCAACTAGTTTAAATAGGCTCCTAATAATGTTTTTCCTCTAGGCATCTCAATTCTTCCCTGCACTTCTACCATATTACTTTCTCTAATCATGTCTCTTTCCTTCTTAAAACAATGAATCTGTATCAAGAGCATCAAGTTAATTACCATGGTGTTTAAGGCACTTCATAATCTGTTTCCAGGCAACATTTTCAACATTGCATTGTTTTTAACATATACATTTCTTTTCCACCACACTCTCAAATCTTGTCTTGAACTCCTAAGTATTGAATCATACTAGACTACATGTTATCACCCAAAATATGCTGGGTGCATTTGAGCCTTGATTATTTTGCATATACTTTCTCCCACCCCTCATTTGGAATTTAGTGTTGCTGTTCTTTGCCTCCTGGTCTCTCCTTCTTCAAGCCCAGCTCATGTGTCCTTGCCTCTGTGTAAACTTCCTTAACTCCCAATTCCAGAGGCAGAATGAAATCCCATTCTCCCCTCCTCCCCCTCCTCCCTTCTCCACCCTTCCCTTCCCCTCCTCCCCTTGCCTCTACCTCTCCACAACTCCTTCCCCTTCCCTCCACCTCTCCTCTACTCTCTCCTCTTCTCTCGCCCTTCCCCTTTCCCCTCCCCTTCTCCCCTCCCCTGGTCTCCTTTCCTCCCCTCTTCTCCCCCTTCCCCTCTCCCCTCCTCCTGTCCCCTCCCCTCCTTTCCTTCCCTCCACCTCTCCTCCACTTCCCCCGCTGTTGTCCCCCCTCCCCTTTCCTCCTCCTCTCCTCCACTCCCTTCCTTCCCCCTTCCCTCCCCTCCTCTCCCCTCTTCTCCCCTCCTTTCCTCTCCTCTTTTCTCCTCCTCTCTCTTCTCTTTCTTATACTTCGAGAAATCATGGAGCAATGTGGAAAGGTCATGAGTTCTGATGTCAGAACAACTTCAGTGCCATTCATAGCTTCTCTACTTTCTAGCTCTGGACATTTAGTAAGTTATTTAAACTTTCTTTTTTTTTTTTTTTTTCAATTAAACCATCTGTAAAAGGGGTTGTTGATATGTGTCTACCAAAGATGCTAATATTTATTGAGAGTTTACAGTGTGCTAGTTACTCTTTGAGGCTTTTGACATGAAGTAACTCATTTAATGAAGAGTAGTTTTAAAGAGTCTATTGTATCATAACCATTATGCCAGCAGCAAAACACTTATCACACAAGGTCACTGTTCCTGATTTATGAGGATCTTGTACCCCTCCAGAATGTGTTCTTTTTGAAGGTAGAAACTAACTTCTTCATCTATCACCTTGTCTGTCTGGCAAAGCACTAGCATAAAATAGGTGCTAAATAATCACAGAGCCATCAGCAAAGCAGAGTTGGCTGTTGAACTGATATTGTATTAGATGCGACTTTTTGTTTGGCAAATGGGTTTCCATATTCATACCTAGGAATATTCTAGTGAAGAGTAAATACAAAGACAAGTTTTAAAATGCTATCTCTCTGTATTAAAATAAATACAACAAATCACTTTGTGGTAAAGTTTCTTAAATATTTTTAAATAAATGCTAATTTTATCCCCATATTGACACATGCTCTTATTTTTGATAGGACTATTTTTGTATGGGGCAGAGTAAATAATTAAGATTAAAACTGGCCAGGTTTCTAGTGAGAGAAAAAGAAAAAATGTATTGTATTTGGAGTTTTGTGAGTTTTAAAAAATTGCTTCATTTTGTTTTAATGATATCAGATTGGTGAAATGTTCAATATTGACATTTACTATTATAATTTGAATTTCTTATTCAAATGGCAAATATCTGATGGGAACTCAGAATGCTCGACTAGGCCTGTTCCATTGGGTCTTTAGTTAACCCGGAAAATGGAAGAGTCAGTCAGGATTGGGAATCTTGAGGGTCCCCATAGAGAGATTGTTCTATATTCCATATCTGTTTCATGATGATCCAAATGAGTCAGGAGAATGGGGTCTGGAGGCAGGGAACTTAAGGTCCATTTGTGATGAATCAAGGAAAAACATCAAGGCCCTGGGGCAGGGAATCTGCGGCCAATTTATGCTGACTTCCCAAAACTGGATCAAAAGGAAAACACCTGGGTCTGGGAGCAGGGACCTTAAGGCCAATTAAGGCAAACTTCCAAAAGCTGAACCAAAAGGAAAAACCCCATCTCCCCATGTCTAGTAACAAAGGGTCAAAGGCTACTCTCCCTACAACCCTACCGTTTCAGTTTCACCGCTTCTCAGATGGAAAGGGATAGTGTCCTGGATTAGCTGTGGGCCAAGCAGGGACCATCCCTTCATTTGCATAGGGCACCAATTCACCTCAGCCTTTAATTAGCCATAGGCCAAATCCTTCATCCAGATAAGGAATAACTGGTAGGAACCTCAAAAGGAGTACTTAAAACACAGAGAACTTTATAACTGGGCCCTCGAGCTGCTTGCTCGGCTGACTCCCACCCTGTGGAGTGCTTTCTCTCTTTAATAAATTCCTGCTTTCGCGGCTTTGTTCTTGTATTTTGTTCTTTTGTTACTTTGTGCATTTTGTGCAATTCTTTGTTCAAAACACCAAGGACCTGGACAACTTACACTCAAAGCTCTTCTTCTGATAATACAAGTAGACTGAGAAAGATTTGGGTGTTTTCTTTTGTTCATAAAGGAAAGGGATGTTGGGGTAGAGGCATATATCTGATTGTCCCTGATTCTGCTTGTCAGAGATTGTTTTGCACCACCCCACTTCACGGCAAAGCAAACAGAACAGGTCCTTTAAGGGGCATTCCAAAGAGGAAGTATAGGCATGTCGCAAAGTGCTAGGGAAACTCCATCCTGAAAAGTCAAGTCCCCATTAAAAGGAAAGTACTAAGTAAAGAAAAGGAATTTGGAAAGAAAATAAAATAGGACTATAACTTGGGTAGCTTGTTATTATTATAAAAGTCTCTTTTTTTTTGAATAGAAGAAGTAGAATTTAAAAGTTTAGGATCGTTACTCATTGGGGTCTGCTTTCTAACTCTCTGCTGAGATTTACTTATCATCTAAAAGCTGATGCCCCAGATCACTAGCCCAAACCTGTTTCTTCAGCTCTAGATCCATACATTCAACAGCCTAGTAGACTTCATACTTTTATGTCTCAGAGACAATTCAGCCTAAAACAAAACTTAATTCTTTCCCCCTTCCCCTTCTTTCTTCCCTTAAATTCCTATATTTCCAAGCTCGGTGGATGGCATTATTGCTTAGCCTCCTCCGAAGCCAGAAATGTAGGGATTATCCCAGATTTTTTTATTTCTCTGTATTCCACATCCGACTGGTCAGCAAACCTTATTCAATTGACCTCTGATATGGCTTGGCTCTGTGTCCCCACCCAACTCTCATCTTGAATTGCAATCCCTGTAATCACCGCATGTCAAGGGAGGCACCCAACGGGAGGTGATTTGATCATGGGGGGGCGGTTCCCCATGCTGTTCTTATGATAGTGAGTGAGTTCTCATAAGATATGATGGTTTTATAAATGTCTGGCATTTCCTGTGCTTGTGCTTCTCTCTGCGGCTGCCTTGTAAAGAAGGACGTGTTTGCTTCCCCTTCCACCATGATTGTAAGTTTCCTGAGGCCTCCCAGCCATGCAGAACTGTGAGTCAACTAAACCTCTTTCCTTTATAAATTACCCAGTGTCGGGTAGTATCTTTATACCAGTGTGAGAATGGACTAATACAACCTCTTTAGTATCTCTAAATTCAGGTCATATTTTCCCACTCTATCCTCACTGCCTTTGTTTAGACCCACGTCATTTCTTGTCTTAAAAACTGCAGCAGCCTGGGTCATCATGATATCTATTTCCTTGCCTGCATAAAATAGTGGGCCCTCCCTCCCTCCCTGCTTCCCTCTCTCCCCCCTGCCTCCCTCTCTCCTCCCTGCCTCCCTCTCTCCTCCCTTTGTCCTCCCTTCTATGCAGACAAAACACACAAGAAATAAAATCAAAGTTCTCTTTCTGAAATCTTTGCAATGGTTGTATCAGCCCTGTATCAGCCCTGCAATGGTTGTATCAGCCCTCATTGCTTTGATTTTGCTCTGTGAGGTGGTTTTGAGGAACAGTTTTATCTTCAGGCTGTGCTTTATGGGAAGGTTAGGGGAGCTTGACTCTAAATGGAATCTGGAAGAGAGTAAGATTCCAATAGCTTGTTCTGCCAGTTTCCTAAAGCAATAAAAACCACAAGCCTACCCATAGAGGGGTTGGACTGCATATAGGGGTTAGCAATTCTCCCCAAGCTGTATGTGTCTTCCCTTGATCTGCATTTTATTTCTCTGCTTGTCCTTCTTGGAGAGCCTACTTCTAGGGAGACAACCTGTCTGATACAGTTAGAGCATCCAGAAAACTCTCAGAAGAGCTCTCATCATTGTAGTTTTGTTATTTTCTCCTTTCTTTCTTTTTACATTTCATTTTGTTAGGTAGGAGGAACTAAGCCTAAAATTTGTTAGGTTAGGTTAGCAAAATGACTAGATGTTGCTACACTACTAATTTGTTTGTGAGATTCTCTTTCCAAGCTACGTAGATCCTGATTCTAATTAGCTGACTTGGAATTAAACTAGGTGAACTTGATTTTCCCCACAGAATCCAGTGAATTTTTTCTCCCAGTCTTCTGTGACTTCAGCACATCTGGGAAGTGATACTTTTATTATTCCAATTTGATACTTTCACTTTTTTTCTTAAAAGCCTTAAAAGGCATATGATTACCTTTAGTGTAAAATTTATGTTGAATGATTTGCTTTCCAAGCAGTGTACTGTGACCTGCCACGCTTGTCCTTTTCTACCTTCCATTCCTTCTGCCTAAGTTCCCCCCGCTCCTCAGTACCATGCATTTCTTCATCTGACCCTGTCTTATCCAATATTTAAAAGTCATCTCCAGTGCCATCTGGTCATGGAAGGATTTGCTTATTATCATTATTTCTTCCCACTTCCCACCAAACGTGGTGTAGGTAAATTTCCCATGCCCTCATAAAAAGAACCTGGTACTTACTTTTGTCCTAGCATTGGTGTACTTCTTGATCTCACTATCCAACAGACTAAGAAGTCCAAGATCACAAGTTTGACTTATTTGGTTTTGTTGTCTTGAGTCTAATACAGTGCCTGGGGCTTAGTAGTATTAAATATACCTTTGTTGACTAAATTTAAGAACCAAGTATAGGTCCCGGGGTATGCTGTTTTCAGTGAAATTTCAAACCATTTTTCCACAGGTAACCCGATACCTTCCAGTTTGTGTCACACCCTGTGAAAGACTCTTTGGACATTAAAGTTGGCCTAAATATTTCATGTAGTGCATCATATACAATTGAGGCAAGAAATTACCCATATAAATCTATGATGTTTTAGGTGACATGTATAAAGAAAGGATATTTAACATGATTATAAGTTAAGACTCATTAAATATTTTTAGAGTCTGACTGGATTATAGCTCCTTAGAGAAGAAAGAGAAAGTTCATAATCTACTATAGCTAAAGCTTTTTGGTTCACTTGGGATGGCACTGAATTAAGACCAAATGTTTATCCATCAATTGTACAAATAGACGACTTTTTCGTATATTATCAGAATAGATATTAACAAGGTTTGGTTTACTTAATTGTTCGCATTGAAATGATTGAATTGACTGAAGTTTTTCTGATCAGGTTCATGTGAAACAACAACACACAGGAATAGGAAGGGCAGGGGACAAAGCCCTCCGTCTCCCATATTGCTGTCTTATTGTCACTTTGTCAACCTTGATTTGTTGCATGAAAGTGGCGCAGTTGCAGTAAACTATCTCTCCATCTTTCATATTGGCCAAAAATGCTTGGTTTATTTACCTATTTTTGGAAAGTCTCAAAATGGAGGCCACAGATCTCTCATTGAGTGCCCAGTAGTGATGAGCTGAATCTGCCACTAGGTGTCATCGAATTTTCAAACAAATGGCTTTAAAGAACATTTCACTAAAAGCTAGCTTCAAGCCCCAGATTTTTGTTGATCCTTTTCATGGCGTCTTTGGAGTAAGTAATAATGCTATCATTCATCTGAACACATTTGATCTATTTAAATTTTGAAATTTATTTTGCCTTATCCAGCCCGTTGCATTGTGAACTGTTGCTTACAATGCGTGAATGGTACTTTTCATAATGCAATACTGATCTCGTCTTCACTTAAAAGATGTGAAAACTATTCAGAAGCACAAAACAATATATACTTAATAGACTTTCCATTACAGAAAGCTAATAAAAATTCCAACATGAATAGATTTTGCTTAGGAAATTACATTTCCATTTCTCTTGGGAAAAATGGGTACTTTATTTTTTATGTTCCTTCATAAATGACTACAAAAATTGCACAACTTCTGTGCATTCTAGAGTTGTGCAGCAATTTTATCAACTTTTAAAAAAGTGCTACTAAATTTTTGTTATCAATTACAAACTTTCCAATATGAACTCCTGATGTGTTGTTCATACTTTACCAAGGCTGTACATGCTGTTTTTCCACCAAAAAAAGGTAAGATTAAATGTAAGAAAAGGTAATCAGTAAAGCATAGCAATCCCTCACTTGCATATTTAATAATCTCTGATCACAGCAGGTATAATCGTTATCTAGTGGCATATCTAAATAATAGGCTTTCAAAATCAAGCCAAATGTAGTGTTATTGTGAACTGATGTATGTTTCTCATTTATGTTTTTTTGCAAAGATTATTAATAAGTGAAACTTCTTATAAAGGACTGACGTTTAGAACCGAAAATCTCATTTTCTATTGAGTTCATACATTGCATCTTTCTGTCCATTTCCCCTGTAGAAACTAGAAGTTTTCAGATTTAAACATAAAAAAGTCTCCTTTCAATACCACTGACCTATCAGATCTATCCCATTTACACATTGTGTCCTGAATGGAGGATTTTTTTCTAGAATAGTCAATTCCATGCTATTAAAACCTCTATAATAACAAAGCAATACAGGGATTATTATGTGTGGTTAGTGCCCTATAATTCTTAACAACTGCTAGCAAAGTTGATTAAACTTCTATTGGGTTAAACTCTGACCTAGGTTTATCCTGAGAACTTCTTGTCCTCTGTGGCTAATTCCGTGATGCTGCAATAAGTGTTACTTTCTCTCTACTGTGTCCGCATCAGGACAGTCACTGAAGTTGTTCATTTTGAGGGAAAAAATATGTAAGGATAAAGATTTTCACCCATAACAAGAAATCTATGGGTGACAGACAAAGGCTTAAAAATGAACAAAGATGATCAAGAACACTGCACTATACTGAGGGGTGATACTATGTCATTGATATCTTGGTATCATGGGTGCTGAAAACAGAGAAGGAACTGGATAAACATTCACTTGGTTGAATTAAGAAGGATTTTCAAGCACATGTAGAAGTTTCTGCTATTCTATGGGGTCTATGTTCCTGCCTATACAAAATTATACTGTCTTTTGAACAAGAAAGTATCATAATGGTATATAGTCAGGGTGGTATGCTTGAGTGTTGGGTAGTTGAGTTTTGGTGATAATTTTTTGGTCATACTCTCTTGCCTGTTCTATCTTGATCACTTGCATTGGTCATGAACTGGGTGCTGGGATTAGTGGACACATTTTACTTCATTTGACAGAAAGAGAAAGAGCCTCGGAAGGAGAAAGGGGCCTTGTACTTGCAAGAGAGTTGTGATTAAAGATGCAAGTACTAGTAAGTACTAGTGTAGAAATAGACTAAAGTTCAGATACTTACCATATGGAAATTAAAAACATAGTTTTCACCTCTTTAATGCAGTCTTCTAACCATCATGATCATTGATCATCTCTTGCATGTATAAAGGATAGAGTTCCACCTGGTCATTATTCTCCCACGGTCACATCACACCTACTGTAGTTACATGTGATTGCTCTGAAAATTTATTGTCATGTGGGAAAACTCCCGTTTACATTTGCGCCTCTGCTCCTGAATGGAGACCAGAAAATCAACTGTTGTCTTATTCAAACATGATTATACCCTAGGTCTGACTCTGGAAAATTAAATACAAAGGGGTCACATGTATTTAAAAATATAGTTATAAAGGAAGAGACTTCTGTCTAGCAAATTCAGGAGCAACCTCAGAGGTACTTTTCCAGATGTCCATAGATGAGATGATCTGAAGGTGGATTTCATTTAGACCAGTAGGCAACGGTCGGAAGTTCCATCATAGCCATCCACTCTCGATCAGAACAGCTCTGCTACATCTGTTTTACATGCAGAAGCAAATTGTGTAACTGGGCTCCTGGGCAGACTGGTTCAAAACTTGGCTTCCTTCCTCACAACTTGGGTGATCTCTGCAACTTAGTTAAATTCACTATTACCAACTTTCTTCAACTGATGTAAATTGGGGATAATAAAACTACCTGTCTCTGGGTTGTGCTGTAAGATTTAAATAAGCTAATACATATATTTAGAACAGTACCTGGCACATAGTAATGCTTAGTAAGCATTGGTTCTTGCTATTATCACTGTTATTATTTTGGATTTCTGCCTGCTAGTTCCTTTGAAAAATGGAACAATTTTCTTTGGCCAATAAATTTTGAAACCTACCAATCTAGACTATTAGTATATGAAAATTCTCTTTTCTCCACTCTAAGCATTTTGCCTGGTAATTGGAATGGGTTCCACAGATCAGAGCAATGAAGTGTTGAGGTCAGTGCTCAGTGAACCCTGATGAATTGTTCTTTGATGAGTTGTCATTTTCTGTTCTTAAAAGAGGCATTAAGAATTTATAACAATGTCCTAGTTGCATTATCATTTGGATGGTGTGTTTATGCTAATTTCGTCTGCCAATCCTAATTACCAGTGGTTAAATTCATTAAAAAATAATTTTTTTCCCAGACTCTTGTCTAAATCACCTTGCTTCCTAGAATATTTCAATTTCCTTTTGGTTCAATTGTCACAAGTATCAAATGATTTATTCACCAAACAGTGTAAATCAGAGGCACTTTTATTTATTCACTAGGCAGTTACTGAGTGCTTCTGTATGCTTTGTGGGTATCTAACAATTTCCTACAGAACCTTTGGGGTCATCTAGTCCAACAGATCACATATTAGAGTTATTTTATATGCTCAGTGACAGGTGGTTTTCTGTCTGTTACTTGAAGACTAGATTCTTGCCTGAGAATAGCTTATACTGTAGTTGGTAAGACATTATATAGAGTTAAGAGTAAAGTTAACAAAGCTCTCACATTTTGCAATCTGGTAACTGAAGTGCAGATGTTACTTACTTGCCCAAGTCACAAGATGTGTAGCAATAGAGTTGAGAAAAGAATTTAGATGCTCCAACTCGTTAAACACAACTTTATCATTATACCACTTTGCTCAGAGCTGTTTTCTCTTCTAAAAAGTGCTATAAACAGTACTTAGATGTTTAGATAGGCTACAAAACTAGACTTAGTACAAGACTTGCTTTTGTGTTCAGAAGTCATGGGTAAGAAATCAGGCAGTGCAAGACTTGCTTTTGTGGTCAGAAGTCATGGGTGAGAAATCAGGCTGTGTCACTGAACAGTTGTGTGAGGTACGGTCAAAACTGCAGAAGGCTCTACATCTTTTCAGTGGAAGGAAGGAAAAGATTCTGGAATACAGTTGATAGACAATAGAATTAACATTTTAGGAATGGTGAAATTGTACACCTTCTACTTCCAGTTGTCCTGGCAATGAACATTTATCTTATAATGATTTTATAATGAGAAAAATTCTTTTCTGCCTCATTCAAGAAAAATAGTAGTGTCTACTGCCCTTTGGGGAAGTGTGTGAGAGGACTTCATGGTTTTTCTTTACAAAGCTGAAGCCCAGTGAGATTTTAAGAGAGAGGGGTTTATTCCAAATTAAAGGATACTGTTAGAGACTAAAAGAGCAACAGGTAGAAGATTGTGGAATAGTAAACAAAAATAGAGGTTTACATAGTTTTACTATTTCATTTTGGGGAGAAGTTTAAGGCAAAATCTTTAATGATTCTGTGCTGGAGATAGAAGACAAAATGATGAGGAAAATACTTTTCAACTTTTGTAGTTATAGAATTAAATTCATTTTAGAGGTTTCAAAGCTCCTGGACAAAGAGCATGAATGATGTTTCAGGGCTAATCAACTAAGCAATTGAAAATCCGTGTGGTCTTCCCTGTATTTCCCATCCATTTGAGGTCTGAAAGGGACTTTGTACTCAAAAACCAGTTTTATTTCCTGACCTGTCAACTTGGCTAGAACTGCAGTGGTCTCTTGTGTGAATGCTCTTTCTGTCTTGTATTATTGGCCTGAAGCTTTGAGACTGCTAGGAGATGAAAAGGAGTGGAACCACTGAAATAACCAGCATTCTGACTTTCCTTACTCTTAAGATCAGATGCCTGTGCTTTCTCCATGCCATTCTTGGATTGTGGGACTCTTTGACCAATCTAGCAGACCCAGGGCAGATTCAGTTTCCTTGAAGTTTTATGTGACTATGGGTTGCAGTAACACTCCCAGTCCAATGGCTCATAACTCAACCTGGAGACATCCTTCTCTTTTCAAACCACATTCCTTCCAAGGTACTAAGCTTGTGAAAAGAAAAACCAGGATACTGTGCCATGAACGTCTCTTGAAACAAACAAACATGGAGTCTACTCACTGCTTCAATAATAAAGGAAAGTAAAGAAAATGTAGAGTAAACCATAAGTTATATCCTGACATGATTCTTCTCCATATAGATGGCACATACGTATTTCATCTGTAGACTGAGAACAGGCAAATGAAAACTCAGCCAAACAATGGGTCTTCTAAGTGTCCATCTGTCTCATGATCACGGAAGGCTTGGCTGGTGACCCTTTTTGCCTTGGATCATTCATCAGAGGTCTTTGCCATTTGAGTAGCTTCCAGTTTTTAGGTATTCATACTCCCAGCTGCTTCTGCTTGCCAGGAAATCTGTATCCATTGTCCTCTGGGATCCCTGACCTTATTTCATCTTCATTGGGTTCTTTTTCCCCTGAATTTCAGGCAGTTTACTGCTGGCAAATAGCTCACCTTCCATGTTGGACCAGGGGATGGTGATTTCTTCTTAGCTGTTTTCCTATGACATTACTATTTTTCTCTCTCTTTTCTCCTCACAATGTCTGGCATCATTTGTCAACTTGCATGCCAAAATTCCCTGACATAAAACTCAACTCACAAAGCATTTTATGAAGCATGCAGGGCTCTATAAGTGAGCAGTATTTTTCTGTATTAAATTAATGATATTCACTAAAACTTTGATTTTTCTCAAACAGTTGTATTCAAGGAAAATCAGTTTTAAATGGAAGAGGATAAAACAAGCAAATGATTTTGGATCTTTTAAAAAACATTAAAAATTAATGGCTCTTGTTCTTTTTGTATTTCTTATGCTGGAGCTACCTGTGACAAAATGGAGTCCTGGGTATATTGTGTGGATGCATTCTTGGCCCAAGTTCCATCAAAAGACTCAGAAAAATCTTTCCATCAGACAGTCCACAAAATTTCCACAATTGGCAGTCCAACTGCTGGTTGCCAACTGGTTGTCTAAGTGGCACCGGTGGCTTGCACAAGATTAAACATAAAAATGTTTAAACACGAATACCTCTGAGCTGCTTAAACCACGTGTCTGTACTGTGGGGAGACCTGCTTTTAGCTGTAATTCCAATTGCAAAGTTATGTTTCCTCCCAAAAGAATAAGTAAGATTGAGCCTTCTCTTTACCGGATGATAATCACAGAATGCAGAATGAAATGGCCAGGCTGTGTTGCAGAAATGGATTATGCACATGTAAGAATACCCACATAGGGCTGGGCATGGTGGCTCACACCTGTAATCCTAGAGCTTTGGGAAGACGAGGCAGAAGAATTATTGAGGCCAGGAGTTCAAGACCAGCCTGGGCAATGTAACAAGACCTTCATTTCTACAAAAAATAATTTTAAAAAATTAGCTAGGAAAGGTGGTGAGCACCTCAAGTCTTAGCTACTCAGGAGGTGAAGACAGGAGCATCATGTGAGCCCAGAAGTTTGAGATTATAGTGAGCTCTGACTGTGCCACTGCACTCCAGCCTGGGTGAGAGTGCGAGACTCTGTCTATAAAAAAATAAAAATTAAATAAAAAGAATACCCTCATGGGTTAATGAAGATAACAGAAACCTTAAAGGACCATCATTTATGTGATATTTTCTAATCGAGTGCCTGGCACATAGTAAGTGCTCAAAAAAACTCAGCTGAATATGAAAATTAAGCATATTAGAGGGAGTTCATGCCTTCTGGATGACTGTTACAAGGCTCAGAACTTAGGGTAACTAAGTGATCACTGACTAGAGATTATGAGTTCTACCCATGATTGCTTGGTGATATGGTTTGGCTCTATGTCTCCACCCAAATCTCATGTTGAATTGTAATTCTCATTGTTGGGGGAGGGACCTGGTGGAGGTGATTTGATCATGGGGGTGGATTTTCCACTTGTTATTCTTGTGATAGTGAGTTCTCATGAGATCTGGTTGTGAAAAAGTGTGTAGCACTTCCCTCTTCACTCTCTGTCTCTCCTGCTCCACCATGGGAAGATTGTGCCTGCTTCCCCCTCACCTTCTGCCGTAATTGTAAGTTTCCTGGTGGCTCCCTAGCCATGCCTCCTGCACAACCTGTAGAACTGTGAGTCAGTTAAGCCTCTCTTCTTCAGAAATTACCTAGTCTCAGGTATGTCTTTATAGCAGTGTGAGAATGCTATACGGAAAATTGTAATTTCTAATACAGAAAATTGGTAACAGAGAAGGTACCTGAAAATGCTGAAGTGACTTTGGAACTGGGTAATGGGCAGAGGTTTGAACAGTTTGGAGGGCCCAGAAGAAGACAGGAAGATGTGGGAAAGTTGGAATTTCCTAGAGACTTGTTGAATTGTTGTGACCAAAATGCTGATAGTGATATGGACAGTGAAGTTAAGGCTGAGGTGGTCTCAGACAGAGATTAGGAACTTATTGGGAATTGGGATAAAGGTGACTCTTGTGGTGCTTTAGCAAAAAGACTGGCAGCATTGTGACCCTGCTCTAGAGATCTGTGGAACTTTGAACTCAAGAGAGATGAATTAGGGTATCTAGTGGAAGAAATTTCTAAGCAGCAGAGTGTTCGAGATGTGGCCTTAAAAGACTATGCTTACTTGCATAAACAGAGAAATGACCTGAAACTAGAACTTTTATTTAAAAGGGAAGCTGAGCATAAAAGTTTGAAAAATTTGCAGCCTGACCATGTGGTAGGAAAGAAAAATGCATTTCTGGGGAGGAATTCAAGACTGCAGAAATTTGCATAAAAAGAGCTGAATGTTAATAGCCAAGACAATGGGGAAAATGCCTCCAGGGCATTTCAGAGACCTTTGCAGCAGCCCCTCCCATTCACAGACCTAGAGGCCTAGGAGGGAAAAATGGTTTCATGGGCAAGGCCTACGGCCCTGCTGCAATGTGCAGCCTCAGGACATGGAACCTCTAAATTTCAGAGGAAGTATGGAAATGCCTGGAAGTCCAGGGAGAAATCCATCACAGGGGCAGAGCCCTTATGGAGAACCTCTACTAGGGCAGTGCAGAGGGGAAATGTGGGGTTGGAGCCCGCACACATAGTCCCCACTGGGGCACTGCCTAGTGGAGCTGTGAGAAGAGGACCACAATCCTCCAGGCCCCAAAATGGTAGGTCCAGTGACAGCTTGCACTGTGCACCTGGAAAAACCACAAGCACTCAATGCCAGCCTGTTAAAGCAGCCATGGGTGCTATACCCTGCAGAACCACAGGGGCAGAGCTGCCCAAGGCCTGGGAGCCCACCCCTTGCATCAGTATGACCTGGATGTGAGACATGGAGTCAAAGGAGATTATTTTGGAGCTTTAATATTTGATGACTGCCCAGCTGGGTTTCAGACTTGCAAGGGGCCTGTATCCCCTTTGTTTTGGCCAATTTCTCTCTTTCGGAACAGTAGCATTTACCCAATGCCTGTACGCCTCTTGTATCTTCAAAATAACCAACTTGTTTTTGATTTTACAGGCTCATAGGTGTAAGGGACTTGCCTTGTCTCAGATGAGACTTTAGAGTTGGACTTTTGAGTTAATGCTGGAATGAATGAAGACTTTGGGGGACTGTTGGGAGGGCATGATTATTTTTGGAATGTGAGAACATGAGATTTGGGAGGGGCCAGGGGCAGAATGATGTGGTTTGTCTCTGTGTTTCCACTCAAACCTCATGTTGAATGGTAATTCCCAGGGTTGGGGGAGGGACCTGGTGGGAGGTGACTGAATCATGGGGGCAGATTTCACCCTTGCTGTTCTTGTAAGAGTGAGTTCTCATGAGATCTGGTTGTTTAAATGTGTGTAGCACTTCCTCTTTGGCTGTTTCTCTCCTGTTCTGCCATGTGAAGATTGTGCCTGCTTCCTCTTCACCTTCCTCCATGATTGTAAGTTTCCTGAGGCCTCTCCAGCCATGCTTCTTGTATAGCCTGCAAAACTTTGAGTCAGTTAAACCTCTTTTATTCATAAGTTACCCATTCTCAGGTATGTCTTTATAGCAGTGTGAAAATAGACTAATACACTTGGTATTGATGTCTGATTGTATACGACCCCCTAACCTTGCCCTGAAACTTATTAATATTGTTCTTAGGACAATGTTCACACTCCTTAGTAAACCATATGCCATGATTTGACACATGTTTATCTTTTCACGTTCATTTTTAGATACAGTCCCCATTCCTCAATCCAACTCTACAAAAGTTCTGTGCATTAGCCATCTCAAACAACTTGCTTGTTGAATTGATGAACAAATTATAGTACATCCATACAATGGAATAATATTTAGCAACACAAAGGCATGTACTACTGATGCACACAACATGAACAAACATCAGAAACTTTATATTGATACCCAGACACATGATTTCATTAACATGAAATTCGAAACCAGGCAAAACCAATTTATGGTAATACAAATTAGAACAGAGATTGACTATGATTGGAAGGAACTGACTGAAAGGGATACAGGCGATCTTTCTTGTAGGGGGTGGTGACGATGTTCTATATCCTGATTGGGGTGTGAAGGACACAGTTGAATATGTTTGCCAAAATTCATTCAAGTGTACATTTTACTATATGTAAATTTTACCGAACAACAACAACAACAACAACAACAACAACAACAACAACAACAACAAAACACAACTTTCTCTTTATAGATCAAGTTATGCTGTGTCAGGTCTCCACTCATTTGCTCATGCCCTCTGCAGGGAATTCTTATCTCCACCCTCAACAGCACCTTTCTGTTCCACTAGTTTATAAAACTCAGATAAAGAGATTCCTCCTCTGAAGCATTTCTTGACATTTCCCAGTACCAATCAGGCGAATTGTCTCTGCCCTTGTACAGAGGGTAGTACATTCTTTGTGTTCTCTTCACAAGTTCCTTAATTAGAAGGTACTGGGCATTTTTATGCATACTCCATGAATATATCATCTATAATTGTTGAATAATTATCCATAAATAACTATGCAGTAATGATAACTGTTCAACAACTACAACTAGTAATCTTTAGGTTATAGTTTCAGCCATTCTCAGGAAGTTCTTTTCTCAGCTATTTTCTTCACCATCCTCTTATGGTGTGAATCTTCTGGTGAGATAGTTTTCTACACTTTCCTCTACATGCTGCCTGTCTTTTCAGGAGACTCTCGGATGGTAGAAAGGCTAAAGAGTCACACAGACTCCCACAAGACTGGCTTCCCTCATGAGCTGTATGACCTTGGGACAGTAACTCAGTTTTGCTGGGTCTTGGTTTTTTCTTGCCTGAGATGGAGATAATAGTGTCCAACTCTTGACATTATGAGGAATAAATGCAAACATAGTTAACAGCTCACAGTCTAGGACTTGGCCACAATAGGTGCTGCATAAATAGCCCCTAGGGTCTGCTGCTGGCCTGATTAGATCATTGCTTTTCACTAATACGGGCTCTGTGGCTTGTTAGGCTTGCTGCCCACTGCTGGCCTGGTTTCAGTTGTGCTGTCTGCTGGTCAGATAGATATCTGCACCAAGAGCAATCATAGCTTTTCCTATGTTTCCTGACTGTTGAGGCAAGTGAGGTTATAGAGAGTTTCGGAGTTCTCCTTGGCTAAGTTGGCTTACATTTTGTTTGTTTTTAAGTACAAGCATACCTTCTATAATAGGTATTGGAGCTTTCCTCTTGAGTCATATCTTCTCTGTTTACAAGGTAAATGTGTCTAGTTTCCCAGCTAGTCACCCATAGTTGTGCCTTTCATGAAGTAACACCTCTGATCTTCTTTGGGGTACGTTTTATTGACTACCGAAGGCCATGCAGCACTGGGACGTTGATAGCACAGCCCTGCTCAGGTGTCTGCCTTGCCTCTCAGCAAGGGAAAATCCTCTTTCCTAAAGGGTAGTTTCAGATATATCTTAGGGATCAATGTCTCATCATTCTCATCATCATCTGACAAAAGCAGTCAAATTAGCAGAGGCTATTGTTGGCAAGCTACATCATCACCCTCCTTTTATAAGTCAGTTGGAGGGATGAGGTATGGTGAGGATGAACTCTCCTAGAATCAGGGCTCAGGATCCTTGCTGTGAAAAATCAGAGATAAGAATAACAACATATATGACAAAATTTCAGTTTCTCTCTTAAATAAACACACATATGTTGTTGGCACTATTGTTAAATCATGGAGATTGGACTAACTTTTCAACCCATACATAGAATGAAGAGAGGGGACATATATTTTCCTGAGGTTAATAGCTGACACTAGTGGTCAGGAACATAACTTGTTAAATGAAAGGGAGAAAAGACATAAGAAGAGAGGAAAATGATGTGCAAGGAGATGAGAGAATAGAAATTACATAGAATTACTGTTTTACTGGTGGGAAAAGCAGTAAGGGGTCACACGGCCTGTCTCCTATGCCTTCCAGAAGAAAGGAAGACAGCTCTTGGAAGAAGACACCTCTGGCACTGTCTCCTTAGTAAGGCTGTTTGTGCAGAATCCTAGGTGGGGAGGAGTGTAAGGAGCAGCTATGCAGAAGGGGAGAAAGAAGGCAAGAAGAAGCTCACTGTCTCCATGGAAAGAATCCTAGAAAGGAAGGTGGTGGATTACGTGAAATGGTTGAACCCCTTCCTTTAAATTAACCTGCAAATGCCTCTGTAATAATTCACAGGGCACCTCAGAGGATTCCATATTTGATTGGCAGCATGTGGAGGAATAGATCCCCTTAAGGCACCATTTTGTAGGAAGGGCTTCTTGCCCCATCTGTCCATCCCCTGATCCCGAGTTACAGCTGCTGCAGACACTTTCAATCACGTGGTACAAATATCCACTTAGACACTCTTATAAGTTTAGGTTTTATAAAGACAACATTAAATGTGACTAGGTGAGAAGCTGAATTCATGTATATAGTCATTGTTTTTAATTAATATACTACTTAATAAACAGAAATATTAAACTTTATACATATGGTAAACTGTATTATGACTCACAGAATTGTTATGGTATTATTGACAACTAAGGAATTGGACACTAAAGGAATGTTCTCTTCTGGATCTAGTGTGTGTCTTTTTAAAAATTTTTGTGTGTATGATGATCCTCTTTTGTGTTCCGCATGATTCTTGCAGAATCATGTGTTTCTTGAGTCAGGCTTGATTAATTGTGAAAATTCTCAATGGTTTGATAAAAATAAAATTAAAATTAAAATTAAAAAATTACAGCCTTTGTAACAGCACCATCAGTTCTTAATTTACTGCTTTGGATGTTTGACATGAGGGACCCCTTAACAACAGCAACAATAATGGGAAACGCTTATCTATTCTACGCACTCCATGTGTGTGAACAACTTAATTTAACAAAAACTTCATGAGGTAATAGCTTTTGCTATCCCCATTTTATTATTGGGAAATTTAGGTACAGAGATGTAGAGTAACTTGCTCAAGGTCTCTGTGCTGGTAATTGGTAGAGGGGTTGAACCTGGGCAGTCTGAATCCAGAACCTGTGCCTTTAACCACCATTTACCTCTTAAAAGCTTCATTTTTCCCAAAAGCATCTTTGAAACCTGGCTGTTAGTATTATCTGGAACGGTTTCTGTCCTCTACCTAGTAATCAGAAGAATTCCATGGGTCATCCTGTGTGTTGACAAAAGATTTAACATCCAACAAGACTGATACATGGTAAAGCTAATCCTACTATGCAGAAGTCTTTTTATCTTTTTTTTTTTTTTACTTTTCCACAACAGCCAAAGTCTCTATAACCTGCTGTAACTTTTAAATTCAATAAATAGATTTTCATTCCTGTTTGTATGTGCTACAAATTAAATAATCAATTTTTTTTGCCTTAATATGCATGTAATCCAAAGAACAGGATAGGATATAGTCAAAGTTTGGCATAGCACACAGGGGAGGGGGATGAGGAGTTGGAGAGAGCCCATCTGGATGTGTCTCATCCACATCTGGCTAGGGAGAACAGCTAGGGAGAGAAATGATGATGGTACCTTGATGCAGATGTTGAAAGTGGGAGAGAGAGTTCACAAATGGGCAGGGAATAAAGCATAGCTAAGTCTGGCATCTGTCTCATAAGAAATAAAGGAGTGATAGGAAGGAAGGAGCAGTGAAGTGAGTTTTGAGCCTGACCTTGAAAGAAATGATGGATTTGGACAGATAGTATGATACAGGGTAATCTGTATGGGTGAAAATATGAGCAACATTTGGAGGGAAAAATGACCAAGATGTGGGGAATCTGCAGTAGTTCTCCTCATTTTTCACCGGATGTAGCAATCTCTATTATTATGGTTATTGGTTTTTGGCTTCTGAGATAATTTTAACTTATTTTTAGAAATTTTATTACAGCTTTATCTTCATTGTGACCAGATGTGAGCAGACTCCAAGCAATTGGAATTGTCTGGATATATTAGAGTGTGTGTATAGCAGACACATAAGTCAGACGTAGACTGTGTTAGATTATCAACAAATGCCAAAACACTTTGCACAAATGACAAAAACAAGAAACAAATTAAAAGCCCTATGAAGATTAATTGTTAATTTATGTAGCTATTACATGTAGTACCATCTAGTTTAGTAAGTTGTTGTATATTTCTTATAAAATCACTGTCTTGTAAGCTAATGCTACTCATTTTTGGTCATTAATTTGCCCTTCTCTATGAGAACTAAGAGCCTTATAAAGCAATAGAATTATAAAGACTCGAGAGACAACTGAATCCAATCTTTGCATTTATGCAAATAGTCAAATAGAGGCTTAACGACATGAAATTATCGTCTTACGGTCACACAACTGGTTATCATCAGGTCTGATGCTAGAATTTTGTTGTCCTGACACTAAATGTCCTCTTTGGTGGCCTCTCTGGTGCCAATTTGAATTCAACATCTTAAGAAACTGGTATTGATTACATCATACATTATACACAAACAGTATGCTATGTTATAAGTCACATGAAGACTTTATGGAACAAAATAAAATATAACCAAAATTGAACTTTTGATCTATAACACATTAGAGAGATTGAAATTAGAAGCAAAGAAATATAAATATGAGAGTATTTTAGGGGTCTCGAATTAAAAACAAAACAAAACAAAACAAAACAAAACAAAACAAAAACGAAAAACTCGGACTAGTAGTAAACCAAAGTAGTAGATTCTTCATCAGGGAGTGATGTGATTCTTTTGCTGTTCTAGAAAGATAGAATGATCTTTCTAGAACACCATAAGAATATATATCTTATGGCATATCTTCTATATATGAATAAGACATACCATATATACGGTATGTCTTGCCATATATAGTAATAAGATATACCATAAGATATATATAAGAATATTCATATATGGCCATTTATCTTTGGCCATATTCATATATGGTCAAAATGCCAGAAGGAAACCAAGAGAGGAAAAATGGTACCAGAGGCTTCTGATGTACGCTAGGCTTGACAGGATGGTGTACCTTACAGGGATGGTGGCAGCTCTGGACCACTCTTATTATGACCGGATAAAGGCAAGAATGGGGAAAAGTGAAAGATTATTTGCCATGTTTCCTAATCAAGGCTTTGAAATGTATGAAGATTTGAAAAATGTAGCCACCCAAGCTTCAACTTTTATGATTCTGACTTTGTCTTGGGTGGATCCATCCTTCCATTGTAATAGTGTGTATGAAATGATAAGTGAGAATTGTGGGAACCAACAGAGAAAAGATATCTTTTAAAAAGCAGATTTAGAGATTCTTAGATATATAAAAGCAATTGTATTCCTTTACTTTGATAAGTTGTTTAACAAGTTGCACAAATAATGGCCGCTACCAGTTAATGTTATCCTTACAGATAACAAAGGTTAGGCTTAAACACTCCCAAACTACCAACTAGGCTTATCCATTTAGAAATGAGTAAATATTAAAAACTCAAGGATTATTTGCTTTTGAGTGTACATTTATTTGTATTTCATCTTTATTTCCTTTCTCTGTTTTCATTCTCTTCCCCAAATCCTTTGGTACTCCCTAATTTTTCTTTTAATAGATATATACCATTCTGTCCTTGCTCAGGGTCCTCTTTGCAGATAGCTTCCTCTGGGAGGAGGACAGAAAGGGAAACTAATGGTGCCAAACCACGTACCTGAATGAGAAGAGAAACAAAGTATTATGACTGCTTGATTTTAGGGCACTAGAGTGGTAGGATTTGTTTACAAGCACAGATTCTTGTCTCTGTCTACATCATTAATTTTCACACTGCTATAAATAACTTACCCAAAAATGGGTAATTTATAAAGAAAAGAGGTTTAATTGACTCACAGTTCCACATGGCTGAGGAGGACTCAGGAAACTTACAATCATGGTGGAAGGGGAAGCAGGCGCATATTACATGGTGGTAGGAGACAGAGTGTCTGAGAGCATAGGCAAAAACTACCATTTATAAAACCATCAGATCTTGTGAGAATTCATTCACTATTGTGAGAACAGCATGGGGGAAACTGCCCCTATAATCCAATCACCTCCCTCCCTCGACATGTGGGGATCATAAGTCCCTCCCCTAACATGTGGGCATTACAATTTGAGATGAGATTTGGGTGGGGATACAGGGCCAAATCATATTAACCTAATTCATCTGCTCTACTTTAGACATTCTGATCTGAAAATCTTGCTGTAAAATGTAGAAGAGTCATGGAAGGGCTCTTTAATCTTTTAAAGATTACCACTCACTCTTTTGCATTTCAGGATTATGTGTATCTCAGCCTCTACTTTGTAAACTCTGAAGGTACAGGCTGAAGATTCACAAATTCAGGTCTTCATCTTGGGCTTCTCTGAACTCCACACTTACATATTCAACATCACCACTTGTACCTGTAACAAGCATCTCACTTTTAATGCATGCATAACTGAGTCTGTTAATTTTCCCCCAAAGCCTGCTTCCCCATTCCTACTCCTCCTGACTTCCCCATCTTGATTATTTACAAGTTCATTCATACAGTCCTTTGGAACAAAAACACACGAATAAAGAAAACCCTGGAGTCATTCTTGACTAGTTTCTTTCATTCACCTTTCACATCTAATTTGTGAACCAGCAAATTCCATCCTCTAAATCTTCAAAATATACCCAGGCTTCCAGGTATGATAAACTGGCTTGGCGCTAACTAATCCTCCCAGTGAGAGCAACCAGAAAATCTGAATAAAATACAGAAAGGCATCTGCTTAGAGTCATTGGATGGCTACCAAGGCAGTCAGGATTTGAGAAGTCATAATCCTAGAGTAAAGGGAATTGCAGAGAAGTTGTCTTGTATGCCACTTTTCCTCTTGAGGCAGTGCAGGCCAGGAGGTAGAGAGGCTAAGCAGAAAGCAGCCATCTCCGCAGCTGGTAGTGCTGCGGAGATAAAACTGAAGGTAGGGTCTGCCAGGTAGACGGGTCCAGATCCTTAGTTGACAGCCTTAAAGGACTGCATGCAAAGAATAAGAGAAAATCAGAATTAGAATAACCCTGATAAAGATTGAAACCTTCAAGTCAATCAACTTAAACTCTGATTGAGATAATGGTCCTGCTCCTACTCCAGCTCCCTCCCAGAAGCTTAAGAAGCCCTCTTTGGAGACAGAACTCACCCTTTTGGATCTTTTATGACTTTTGTGTACAATGTCCTGACACATTACTAGACAAGACTACTGGAAGAAATAGAAAACAGAAACACCTAAGGTGATTCAGATATTGAAATGTAAAATAATTCTAAAAATTATGTTCAAGAAAAAGAGAAAAGAAAATGGAGAATTTCCCTGGAGAACCAAAATCTATAATAAAGAATAAATGAACATTCAAGAATCAAAAATCATCCTTTCCTGATAGTGATAATTTTTTAAATGCCCTCTCTTTTTTTCTTGATAAATTAATGGTTTTAAAAATTTTGTTAGGCATCTCCAAGAACATACTTTGGTTTTATTAATTATTTCTAGAGAAACATATTTTAATTATAGGTTTATTTCCAATAGGCAGCTATATGTAACCCAGTAAAGTACTCTAGGATTCAGTTATTACATCTGAAAAAAATGCAGGTTTTAGATTAAATGAGTATTTACAGAACTTGTGTAAAATGTTGGGTTTGAGTTGTGAAGAGAAAAACTATGTTGAAATGTGCTATAGACAGGTGGAAATTCAGAAGTGGGCTTAGGAGAGAAGTCTGGGCTAGACTTGTAGGTTATTTTAGTCATTTGCCAAGAAGTGGTAGTTAAAACCAAGAGGGTGGATAGAATCACCAAAAAAGAAAGTGAAGAGGTGAAAGGAGTAGAAAAGCAGATCTTCCAATCTTTGTATTTCAAATCAGCTTTCTTAATCAATCCCAAAGCTTGATCACCAGCTGAACTACTATAATATAATGGCAGGAAAATAGGGTGGAATGGGAAGCTACTAATCAATGGGCGTAAGTTTCTATTAAGCAAGATAAACAAGCTCTAGAGTTCTGCTGTACAACATTGTACCTATAGTCTACAGTAATGCATTGTACAATTAAGAATTTAAGAGGATAAATCACGTTACATTTTCTTACCACAATAAAATAAAAAGACAGAATTATTAAAGAGAAAAAACTCCACACATCCTTCCCTTGCAAAAATGAAACAGTTTATGTTTTCCTAAATGATTTTCTTTTTCTTTTTAAGACACTTTTTCTAACAGAGGGAATATGTGGATGTATGTATATATGAGTGGATGATATACTTCAAAAGAGTAGGGTTCTTGAGATAGGCAAAAGAAAAATGGCTTCTAAAGATACGGTGAAAAGCAAAGATTGTACAGTTTTCATCTGTGGGATCAATTAATTTAAGGGCAAAATTATTGCAGTGGCCTACATTATAGATGAATCTAAGGGACACTGACACCAGGGCATAAGATTTCCGTGGACCTGTAATTTCAAAGCAGGTGTGGTTTCTTGAAAAATAAAGCATCTATTAAAGGTATATATTTATCACAACTGAAATATTTTCAAGTGTTGTGTTTTAGTCTTTCACATCTGTGTCATGTCCAAGATTCAATGCTTTTAATTTCTTGAGCAGATCAACCATAAATACTATGTGAACTTGATGACATGTTAGTCAATGGCCTCTAATCTCAAATTGAAAACTGTGCTGATCTGGCATGCTGTGTAAGACATTTTCATCTCTCTGGTATTATCAAAACCCCGACATGCTTTTAAAAAATTGTTAAAATTAACTACGACACTTGCTTTAGTATACACATTGCCTTATAATTTACAATGTATTTGCCATGCTGAAAGATTGATTTCAGATAGGTCTAGCTTGTCTGGCTGCGGAGAAAAAATTGTCATTCTGTTTTATGGAATAAAGCAAGATTCCACAAGACACATTCAGTTAAAATGAAGCAAAAACCGCAATGTTTGAGAATGGTAATGCCTTGTGTTATCTAGATTTATTGATCAAAATAAAATCAGTGTTCCATTTCAAATCAGCCTGCAGCAGCATGCTCTTTTCAACAGCCACAATTTTTTGAAAAGCTTCCACTGCATCCCTCCACCTCTTTTGTGCTGAAAAAATCTTATAGAATTGCATACTACCTGGAAGATTATTGAGTTGGTTTCTACTAGAAAGTGGTCCAATGAATTAAAGACCCATAGGTAGAAAAGCTTTTGAAAGTTGCTTTCTTAGCACCTGAAATTTCAAGGACTTTCCATTCAACTCAACAGGTTATATTGGAATAATCTAATATTACTTTAAAAATTGTAGCCTTAAACACTATGTAAAATGTTCCTCCATATAGACTCTTAAAACCTTTTCTTTTGTGGGAAATTATGTAAATAAGCTGTTAATTTTTAACTTAACAAAACAGGAGAGAAAAAGAAAAGAAAATGATACCTATTCTGGTAAACTATTGCTGCAAACTACCACAAAAGAACAAGCATTTTATTTCTTTTCAAAATCATATGGGCCAGGAATTCAGGCAGAGTTTGGCTGGGTGATCTGCATGATGCTGATTGAGATTACTTAGTGGTACTCAGCTGGCAGATGGACCGGGCTGGAGGTTCCCAGATGTTTTCACTTGCATATCTGGCATATTGGTGTGGATGGTTGGAAGCCTTGTCTTACAGGGCTTTCACCTTTTAATGAGAGTAGTTGCAAAGAACTTACAATTATCTTTAACACAGCAAACACAGTGTCAGTATGGATCCTTCAAGAAGCCAAGATGGGGATTAGATATGCAAGAGACTTATTGAGGGGAAACACCTGTGAAAAATAAAGAAGGTGGAAGCAGGATAAGTCTTCAGACCACAATCTAGGTCTGACATCTAAAAAAGAAAAGAGAGAAAGAATTGAGTAGGAAAATACTCAAACTTCAATGCAATTCTGGCTATGTCTCAGCTCTGAGCCAAAGTTTCCCATGACGGGGCTTCCTGTGGCAGGCAGAAATGGGCTGGATCCAGCACTCCCACTGTGCTGAGTCATTGGCTGGGAGCAGACTGAGGAAAGTATTGCCTGGTGAATCCGAAGGGGCAGAAGTTGGAGCTTTCCATCAGCTATGTTTCCCACAGTAAGTTCTGCTGAATGGTAATGGAAGTGAGGCACCTCTGTGGCCACCGTATTTACCCAGGTAAGCAATGCATAAATAAGACTGGGAAGACAAGGTATGGCAATAAGATGAGTAATTAGGTTTATTATAAATAAGTAAACAGCAATGTCTGAACTATTTCATATAGATGAGTAATGAAGAAGAACCATTGTCTTGATCAGCAGGGCTTGAGGGAGTCTGAGGAGTCACACTTGCTTCCTCCTTGCTGCCCAAAGAGAAAACAGCTGTAGTCTGGCTGCAGGCACTCAGTTCTTTGGCCAGGTTTATCTTCCAGGCCATTTCTGATTTATTGCATAGCATTCTTGTCTTTGTCTTTCCACAGGTCACTGGCCTGGGCAGCAGCTGGGTGTGGGCTGAGAGCTTTGTTGGGATGCTTGGGGAATAGTGCTGTCATTGCTCTACAGAAATGTAAGAAAAATAATGCTGAATGCAGACCATAATACCATGCTAGGAACCATTATGCAAAATCACCCAGGCCAAAGCAATTCTATTTGACTTATAAATTATGCCTAGAAGAAAGGCGAAAATAAAATTTCTAGGAGCTAGAATGTTAATTTTCTGCTTTGGCTCTTCAACTGGAACTGTCCAAATGACTTCCAGGACTGGAACTGCTTTTATTTTCTGCCTTTGAGTGCTTTTACATTTCTTCTCCAAGCAAGTCAGCACTGACTAAAGTGAATTATCCTTTGTTGTCTTCAGTAGTGACAGACCCTTCTGCCTAAGATCATGAAGAGGAGACAAATAGGAATTTGTCTTTGGTTCTTGTCCTGGAATGGAAAGCGATTTCTGTCAATTCTTGAGAGCAGAAGTTATTGGATTCATTTGGATGGTTTATTAAAAAAGCAGGCACCAGGGCTCCAGCCCTAGAGATTCTGGCTCTGCAGGTGTGGGATAGGGCCTGAAGCTTCTTTCCGTAATTTTAGAAAGTTTCACTGCTAAGTCTGGTGCACACTGAAGTTTGAGAATTATTGCTGTCAAACCTACGTAAGAGAGAGGAAGCAGTTATAAGAATAATTCTCCATATCTGGTTAATCCACATTGCATTATTATATGTTAACTATGGACATAACGTATTTTCAAATAGTTCTTTTCAACAAATACATCATGAACACCTACTTTGTATTAGGATCTCTTCTTGGAGATGGAGACACTGAAAAAGAATCAGACAATCTCTCCTCAGGCAGCTCACAGTTTGGTGGAGGAAATAAGAAAATATACATTATAGTGACAAATGTATCATAAATAGAAAAATATCTATAGAATAAAAGTATATAGAAGCAGTTGATACATTCTGAGGTCACAAATGGAGACTTTACAGAGGAAGTGATATACAAGCTGGATTCTGAAGGATGCATTGACGTGTACTAATTGGATTATGGCAGGGAAAGTAATCTAGAAAGATGTACTGGTTTGTGCATAGGCACAGAGTCGTGCTTGAGTAACTGCAAGTAGTTTACTTTTGGTGGAGCATAAGATATAAGGGAAAGAGATGTAAGAGATGAGTCTGAAGAGATAATGAAGAAGCAGATTATGAAATGTCCTTATGTTCCATGCAAAATATCTTGGATTTGTGTCCATTATGTCAGTAGTTTTTGAAGCTTTACTGGGTCAAGGACTTTTCAGAAGTAATCTATCAGAATGTTTCACATACTTATTCAAAAATTTGTTTCACAAAAAATGTTTCACATACATATTCAAAAAATTTTGCATCTCATTTCAGGGAAGTCATGGTTATGGAGCCCCTCTTTTAGACAATCCATAAACAGAATCACATGGTCAGTTTGTGTTTCAGATTAATAGCCCTTGTTGTCATCAGGTCAGCAAGTTGGACTTATGAGGAAAGGCCACGCTAGAGACAGGGAGTTGAGTTAGGAGGAACTGGCCATAGAAATGAAATGGAGAGTCACCATGATCAGATTTCAGGATTGCTTGTATAGGAAAAGGAAGGAGTTGAAGACCCTGCCCAGGTTTCTGACTAGGCTTTTTATTATACAGGAGTGTTATAAAATGGAATAGGAAGCATAAGAAGAATTCTCATGGCAAAAGCAGTGTATATAAATTTGATATGGAGTAGATGTTTTGGAAAGAGTTGTATCCATGGGTCTCTTGCTTAGGGGAGAGATCAGTGTAGCACATACAGCTGGTACCCCACTACATCTGTACCATATCCATTCTTCCTTGCTGGTGGAGCTCTGACTTTGTTCCCTCAGCCTTCTCTGTGCAGCCATGTGATCTGGGAAGGTGAGACTAGCTTCATCCTCAACAAGGGATGCTGAGAGGCTGCTCAGCTTGAATGGTCAGTTCCTGTTGTGTTGATACTGTTCTTTGATTCAATTCTGGTTAATGAGAAATAAAAGGATGTTTTTTGGGCTCTACAAGAAAAGTTCCTTAATGTTTAAGAAGAGAATGAAAGAAAAAGAAGTTCTCTTTTCTGTCTCTGGCCATTGATGTGTGAGAATGTGAAGCCTAGAGCAGGTGCAACCATCTTGAAGCCAGTTGTGTTGATACCTCACAACAGATTTAGCGGGGGTAGCCGTTGCATGGGTTACACTGGATAGATAGATAGCTGTGTCTATTTGTCTATTGTGGTGAAAAACAAATGGTAAATAACAAATTTACCATTTTAACCATGGTTAAGTGTACAGTTTCATAATATCATGTATGTTCACATTGTTGTGAAACAGACCTTTATAATTTTTTCATCTCGCAAATCTGAAACTTTACACCCATTAAACAACAACTGTTCCTTTGCCCCTCCCCCAAGCCCCTGGCAATCACTATGGGTTTTATTAATGAATAAGCTATAATTAAAACCATGAAACAGAACATAATCCTTTCCAGAAAGAACACAATACTGGGAACACGGATGTTTTAGGAGTAGGCAGTGGAAGAGTTCCACAAAAGAGATGAAGAAATATCAAAAGTGGAAGGTAGAAAGAGAACTGGTAAAACATGAGGTCATGAGATCTATTAGGGAGAAGGATTGGAGGAAGGAGTAGCCACCCTGCCAAGTGCTGCAGAAAGGTATTAAAATAAGGTGTTAAAATGTCAACACTATTGAGTAATTAGGATGTCATGGGTGATGTCACATGGTGAGAGTAGCTTCAGTGGAGTAAGAAGGTTAGAAGCTGCAGTTGAAGAGTGAATAGCAACTGAGGAAAGAGGAGGTTTCACAGCAAAGGGAAAGCTACACAATGAAATTCCCACTTTTCTAAACTGAGATAAAATTGAAACTCACCCCTTTATTTATTTATTTATTTGTTTATTTATTTATTTAGACAAGGTCTTGCTCTGTCTCCCAGGATGAAGTGCAATGGTGGGATCTCAGCTCACTGCAGCCTCTACCTCCTGGGCTCAAGTGATGCTCCCACCTCAGCCTCCTGAGTAGCTGGCACTACAAGCATGCACCACCATGCCCGGCTAATTTATGAATTTTTCCGTAGAGACGGGGTTTTACATGTTGCCCAGGCTGGTCTCACACTTCTGGACTCAAGTGATCAGCTTGCCACAGCCTCCCAAAATGCTGAGATTACAGGCTTGAGCCACTGTACCCAGCTAAACTCACCCCTTTAATACACAGCTAATATGTTGCCTGTGTTCAGTTCTATGCTGTAGAGAGTGATGCCATGGGACTGGAACAAAACAGAAGCTTGAGCTTTGGAGGCCTTGCCATCCTCCCACTGCCTAAATGAGCATGTATATGCTAGGGCAACTTTGACTGTGTCAGCTTTGGTCTAGTTTTATGAGCTCTGTGACCATATATTGTTTTATACTTACATGGGTGTCTGGGAGGAGGTATTGCTTCTTCAAAAACGTAGATTTTGCCCAGTAGAGAAAACTAATTGCAATGCTGTCCTAGTTTTAGAGCTATATACCTTGGGAGACATATTTGATCCTTTCTCTAGCATTGCTTATAGCACAGACTTGTCTGCTTTGAATTCAAAGCAACATCATTATTTTTATTTATTTATTTCCCTATATCAGTTTAGGTGGAAAATACATTAATATTAGGTAGTGACAAAGGTCACTTTTCCCTCCATAAGTTTTTTCTCTGTATCTGCAAAAATGGGCATTTCACCAAAAGATTGCAGTCTGTTTAATTATAACTCCAAGTGGCTGAGATGCCAGTTTAGTGGGCTAATGCCATTCATCCTCTGAAACTCTATAAATGGAAAGAATTTATAGCAGATTCCTGGATATCCTCAGGGCTAACTTTAAACGTGACTGGCTTGTAAACTCCCTAAGCTTGACCAAAATAAATTGTTTTTATCTTCTCTTAAGGAGATTAGTGGGTGAAGATGATCTTAAACTCCACAGAATAAACATTGTCAGATAATAAAAATATCCTCACTCCTAGGAAATCATGTAGAAAATAAAATTTGGATGTTGATGAACATCTCATTTAGTCATTTAATTTATATTCAACAAAACAAACCAAGTGTCTAATATTTGTAAAGCTCTGAGGCAAGGTTTGTCTAAAGGGGTCCTCTATAAAAAACATTAAATGTTTTGTGATGAAAAAGAATCTCTTATTTTTGGAAAGTCCCATTTGCATATGTTGGGATGTTTTAGTTTGGTATGAGAATGATATGTATAGTTTAGTGGCTCTTCTCTGCTAGAAAATATTTATCTTGGCTGGATATGGTGGCTAATGCTTGTAATCCCAGCACTTTGGGAGGCCGAGGCAGGAGGATCGCTTAGCCCAGGAGTTCAAGACCAGCCTGGGCAACATTGTGAGACCCTGTCTCTATGAAAATAATAATAAAAGAGAATATTTATCTTTTCTCCTCCTATTTCAAATTGTTGCTTCCAACATCAAATAGATACGAGTGATTCTCCTGCCCATTAACATTCAGAAGTTAAATCCAGACTAAAGTGCTATTAAGATAAGATGAAAATTTGCTGAGTTACTCAGTAAAAGTTAGTATGTGAGCAGAACCATCTTTGAAATAGTATGTGAAAAAAATCTTTTGGATAGGCAGATCGGTTCACAGAACGTTTGGTGCTTTCGATGAATGAAATAAATTTTGAAGCAACTTGAGGCAGTAAAGATCAATTAAATCCCCCAAGGATAGACACATGTTTAGATGACAAAGAAAAGTTTTTGGAGGACAAACCATCCTGGGCTTCTGAATATTTAAATAAGAATGTTTCACTGTTCTACCAACATAGTGGTGTTAAATAAAAAGGCAGTGACTGAACAAAGTTCTTTTGTGTCTATTTTGCTACTTTGCAGTCAGAGTATATGCTGGGATCCAATCTAAGGTATCTGTTTATTCATTTGCCTGATTCCCAAAATGCCTCAAATGTAAAATTGCTTGCTGGATTTAGGTCCTGTGGGTTCTTACAGATTTGAGGATTTAATTACCTACCTGTTCATTTTATTATGAAGTGGTCAGCCTGTGAAGCCAGCTCTAAGCTGATAATCACCTAGGAGGAGGAACTGCTGGTTTTTACCCTGAAGATTTTAATTATCATTGGTAGCTCAAAAATAGTGAGTATCTTTAAGGATGCAATTATAAAGAATTTTTGACAGCAGGAAAAACAGGGAATATATTTTGATGTTAGAAGTGCCCAGATAGAAGGGAGATGCTATTCACAAATGAATGCACTGATTGCAGAGAAGACTATAGTTGGATGTCCTCTTTTGTTTCTCTTTCCTCAAATTCCCAAGACAACCAATTTAGCCTTTAGAAAGGCCTTCTTTGGACTAAAGGCATTATTCTCCCTATTTTTAACACTGTCAACTTATTAAAAAAGGAAACAAAACCCCAAACAAAACAAAACCATTAAGAATTTCAAACTAAATAGGCCTATGGGTTGATTTCTGCCCGTAGGCCACCAATTTTCACTCTCTGCTCCAAATCTTCCTTACTACACGTATGCAGGGGTGATTTCTTTTTCTTCTAAGTTTGTATAACAATTATTGTCTGTGCAACTCATTTGGAAGTTAATAATAAACTGCCTGATGACACATTTCATATTATATCTTGAGTTATTTAATTTTTTGTGGCTCTGGAACTTTTCACTTGTCTTGAACTTCAAATCAATTGTTAACCCTTTAGTGCAGAAACTGTGTCTGATATTTCTTTGCATTTCCCCCAGTGCCAAACACAATGAATCCTCAACAAATTAATGTTGTTTTGTTTTATTTCATAAGGATGCATAGTATTCCAAATCTATGCTCACCTTTTCTACAAGAGTACTGAAATGACAGAAAATAAGATGTAATCAGTTTATATTCATGATGTTTATTTCTTCCTGCAAATCACTGCAGAATTTTAAAAAAGATGCAAATACTCAAAAGCAAATTCAGTAACTGACTCACAAGTGCCTCAGATGTGCTTCCCACTTCCCCCTTTCTTTCACTGAAGAGTGAGCAGGTGAAGGAAAAGAAGCAGCACCATATTAGGAACTTTACATACCCATCTTTTAATTCTCACAGGTATGTATGTAGGAATTATTTTGCCCATTTTAGAAATGGGCAACTGAGATTTATAGAGGTGATGTTCAGGGTCACATAGCTGTTGTTGGAGCTTGGGTTTCAATTTTCGTTTATTTGACTTGCAAATATGGGCTTTCTCTTAGCCAAGCAGCTTCTACTTGCATGCTCCATGAAGGCAGGTGCTTATAAATTCTCCAGATGAAGGGGCTACAGGACAAAGTCAGCAAAATGCCAAAATGGTGACTTGGCTTTATCCCTAACAGTTCTCGCCTGTCTTCATTTCTCATCTTTGCACCCCGTTGGCTTCAGTTTCTTCATGCTTCGCCTGGCTATGGGAAGCCACATAGCTTCTTCTGAGGCAGGTCTCCCCAAGCCTGAGCATCAAACCTACAATTGAATCTAAATCTTCACTTTGCTGCATTCCTATTAAGGCATTAGTTCCTTATCCCATTACTGTTGTCTGTTAAGTCAATCTTCATTTATAGATTGATGGCCATTGATGAATTAATGTTATTCTTCTAGATAACATTTAAAAGAATATTTAGAAGACAACAGGTCTTTTTAGGAATTTTGGATGTGATAGAAGGCACAATGCAGGAGTTTTTGGGTTAGGAGTTGTTCATTTCCATCTTAAGACAAAAGTTCTATGATAGATGTATCTGAAAGGAAAAATGCTTTTTCTATTAGATGCTCATTTTTTTTTATTCTTCAACAAATGAGAAATTCATTTAAGTAAGCAGATTATTTGCTAACATCATGCACGTGCAACATTGAGCACATTGTGGAGGCATTTTACTTGCCCTATTCTAAGGAAACTGTCTCTTCAATAAGTGCATAGAAGGGCTTTCACAAAGCAGTAATAAAATAACTTAATGGAAGTCAGTAGGCTGAGATGGCTCCAATGTCCTGGGTTCCTATGTAAACAAAATGAAAATTAAGTTTTGCTAATCACAGATGGCCAAAGGAGCATTAAGTTATATAATAATGAATTTTTCACTGAGATAAACCATATACAAAAACTGCTCAAATTTTAACCAATGAAATCATGCTGTTACTCTGCTTCTGCATTTATCCTATAAAAGCCTTCCCTTCAAACTCCTCCCTTGGAGCCCCAAATCACTTCCCACTTAATGCTGCCTGATTTATGAATCATCGTTTGCTCAAATAAACTCCCGTTTTCTTTATTTCACTCTTCTGAAGACACATTTGCAAAACTCCTTAAATTTTAATGTGCCTCAGTTTATCATTTAACAGTTGTATTTTTATTGATATTTCTTGTATTAATACATAATATTTGTACATATTTGGGGGTTATATGTAATATTTTGCTATATGCATACAATGTATAATGATCAAATCAGGGTGATTGAGATATCTATCACCTTAAACATTTATCTTTTCTTTATGTTAGGAACATTCCAGTTCTTCTCCTCTAACTATTTTGAACTATAGAATACATTATTGTTAAGTATAGTTACCCAGCAATACTATCAAACACTAGACCTTATTCCTTCTATTTAACTGTATTTTTGTACCCGTGAATCAACTGATCTTCATCCCCCTGCTTCTCAGCCTCTCGTAATTACCAAATAACTTTCTATCTCTGTGAGATCCATCTTTATTTTGCTCCCACATATGAGTGTGAACATGTGGTATTTGTCTGTGCCCAGCTTATTTCACATAACGAACTCTAGTTTCATCCGTGTTGCTGCAAATAACAGGATGTCATTATTTTCATTGCTGAATAATATTCCGTTGTGTATATGTACCACATTTTTTAAATTCACTCATATGTTGATTTGATGAACATTTAGGTCGATTCTATATCTTGGCTATTGTAAATCATGATGCAATAAACAGGAATGTGGAGTGTAGAGTGCACATAACTCTTCGATTTATTGATTTCTTTTGTTTTGGCTGCGTACCCAACAGGGGGTTGCTGGATCATATGGTAGTTCTATTTTTAGTTTTTTGAGGAAACTCCATACTGTTTTCCATAGTGGCTGTACTAATTTACATTCCCACCAACAGGGTACAAGCATTTCTCTTTCTCCACATCCTTGCCAGTATTTGTTATTTTTCGTCTTCTGAGTAAAAGCCATTTTAACTTGGGTGAGACAATACCTCATTATGGTTTTGATTTGCATTTCTCTGATGATTAGTGATGCTGAGCATTTTTTCATATATTTGTTGGTCATTTGTATGTCTTTGATAAATGTTTATTCAGATATTTTGCCCATTTTTAATTGGAATTTTTTGTTCTGTTATTAGTTGTTTGAGTTCCTTATATATTTTGATTATTGATCCCCTGTTGAATGGATAGTTTACAACTATTTTCTCCCATTTTATGTGGGTCATCTCTCACCTTTGTTGATTGTTTCCTCTTTTGTGCAAAAGCTTTTTAGCTTGTTGTAATGCTATTTGTTTACTTTTACTTTTGCCTTCTGTGCTTCTGAGGTCTTACCCAAGAAGTCTTTGCCCAGACCAATGTCCTGAAATGTTTCTCCAGTGTTTTCTTCTAGTAGTTTTATAGGTGCAAGTCTTATATTTAAGTCATTAAATGTATTTTGATTTGATTTTTCTGTATGGTGAGAGATAGGGGCCTAGCTTCATTCTTCTAAATATGGTTATCCAGCTTTTTCAAATCCATGTATCGAAAAGGATGCCCTTTACCCCATGTATGTTCTTGGCACATTTGTGGAAAAATGAGATGACTGTAACTGCATGGATTTATTTCTGGGTTCTCTATTCTGTTTCATTAGTCTATATGTTTTTTTAAATGCCAGCACCATGCAGTTTTGGTTACTATGGCTTTGTAGTATATTTTGAAGTTATATAGTACAATGCTTCCACCTTTATTCTTTATTCTTTTTTCCCAGGATTGCTTTGGCTATTTGGGGTCTTACGTGGTTCCATAGGAGTTTAGGGATTATTTGTTTTTCAGTTTGTTCACTATTGGTGTATGGAAACACTACTAATTTTTGTATATTGAGTTTGTGTCCTGCAACTTCACTGAATTCATTGATCAGTTCTAACAGTTTTTTGGCGTAGTATTTAGGTTTTCTAAATGTAATATATCATGTGTGAACAAGAATAATATGGCTTCTTCCATTCAGTCTGAATGCCCTTTGTTTTTCTTGCCTGATTGCTCTGGCTAGTACATCCAGTACAATGTTGAATAAAAATGGTAAAGTGGGCATCCTTGTTTCAGATCTTAGTAGAAAGGCCTTCAATTTTTCTCCATTCAGTATGATGTTAGCTCTGGGCTTGTCAAAAATGGCTTTTATTGTTTTGAGGTATGTTCCTTCTATGCCCAGTGGTATGGTTAGGCTTTGCCCACCCAAATCTCATCTTGAATTGTAATCCTCCTAATCCCCATGTGTCAAGGAAGAGACCAGGTGGAAATAATTGAATTACGGGGGTGGTTTCCCCCATGCTGCTCTGTGATAGTGAGTGAGTTCTCATAAGATCAGATGGTTTTATCAGGGGCTCTTCCCCCTTCACTTGGCACTTCTCCTTTCTGCCTCCTTGTGAAGAAGGCACCTTGCTTCCCCTTCACCTTCCACCATGATTTTAAGTTTCTGAGGTCTCCTCAGCCATGCTAAACTGTGAGTCAATTAAACCTCTTTCCTTTATAAATTACCCAGTCTCAGGCAGTTCTTTATAGCAGTATGAAAACAAACTAATACACCCAGTTTGTTGAGAGTTTTTATCATAAATGGATGTTGAATTTTATCAATGCTTTTTCAGCATCTATTAAAATGATCATATGGTCATATGGTCTTTGTCCTTGATTCTTAGAAGCAGTGTTTTTGAAAGTGTTTTTCTATATCAGAATTAGAGGTAGTTAAAAATGCTGGTTCCCATGCCCAATGAACCAGACTGTCTATTTTAAGAAAATGTTCATTTAGATTGGTGAAGTTGTCTTGATAAGTTTTTCATAATCAAAATTCACTTCCTGGAAAATACATTATTTTTGGTTAATTCTGCCGCTCACAATTGCCAAATATATTTGAAGACAAAAATGCTTCATACAAAAAAAGTCCCTGGATCACCAAAGTCAAAGATAACCTACACAATTTTCTTTAGCACATTAAACAGAGGTAGAGTATACTATATTCTTTATGCTGGGTAAAACTGTCACAAATATGCTTCCTTTACATTTTAGTATTTCCCAGACAGTAACTGGGATTTCGTATAGAAGATGAAAATGTGCTGAGCTCCTAACTGCCAAACCAGTCAATTGTGCAATCACTTAAAAACCCCATTTAATATATTCTGTCTTATATCCTAAAGCTTTTTTTCTTCCCCTTTTATGTTCTTTCTCTTTTTTTTTTTTTTTTTTGAAATGGAGTCTCACTCTGTCACCCAGGCAGGAGTGCAGTGGCAAGATCTCGGCTCACTGCAACCTCTGTCTCCCAGGCTCAAGTGATTCTCCTGCCTCAGCCTCCCAAGTAGCTGGGATTACAGGTGTGTGCCAGCACCCCCGCTAAATTTTGTATTTTTAGTAGAGATGAGGTTTCACCGTGTTGGCCAGGCTGGTCTCAAACTCCTGACTTCAGATGATCTGCCTGACTTGGCCTCCCAAACTGCTGGGATTACAGGTGTGAGCCACCACAGCCGGCCTCTTTTGCTTTGTTCTTATTTTTAAATTCCATGGAAGGCAATCCTTTTAGGAAAAGCAATTGTATCTGAAATAACTTTTTGGAAACAAAAAATTTAAAAACAAGAAACAAAAAACCTTTTGAGTAAATTCCCTGATAAGGATAGCATAGTGGTTTTGCTTCATTCTCCTTAAGTTGGAGAGTGATTGGTCCATGAGTCAGGAAGAGTTAGATCCTGGCTTTCTGGTTAACAGACTTTGCAGTCTTGCTGATGTAGCTGCCTCTTGCCATGCTCCAAGTTTTCCATCTGTAAAATGAGGAGACTGGAATGATTAATTTCTGATGTCCCTTCCAGCTGTATAGTTAGGAAAGGAGCAGGAGTAGTCTTTGCAAATGTTTTCCTTGTTAGAACATGTTAATATTGTCAGGAATCTTTTCCACTTTCACTGTGAAATAATATCTATGTTTCTCTTAAAAGAAGACTCAGAAACAAAACATAAAATGGATCATTTGCATTTAAACTACTTAAGTATAACGGAAATTACTCACTTATTTAACTGAATCAGTATTTTCACTTGAAATCTAGTGTGTCTTCATGCATTTCTTAAGTTAATCACTTCAGGAAAATGGCTCTGGAGGTGGGTAGGCCAAAGTTAGTAAAAGAAAGTAATTAAAAAAAAATCCAACAATGCTTTTAATGTGTCAGTACTTGAATGAGTATTTCCTTAGGAAATGAGTTTGGTCAGCATTTCAGAGTAAATCAACTAGAAATTAAAAATTGGCATGTGCTTTTTTTTGTTTGGTTTTGTTTTTAAATTAAACTGATCTCTTCTTGCCCCTTGTTCTATTCTCTAGAAGAGTGGCCTCAATATTTTTGAGTATGCACATCTATCAGCACAAAAAAAACCCCCTCTCTCTCTCTCTTTCTGTCTCTCTCTCTCTCTCTATATATATATATATGTATATATATGTACATGACCATCTCTAGTTAGTATCTCAAGAAACAATATGCAATTAGGAAGAACTTCATTATTACAGAAAGTAGATGGAAGTGTTTGAATAATTTCAGATTTTCAGGGGGCTGACACAGGGCCACATATGATTAGATCGTTGTTATTTTTATTTACAACATGGCAAAGAACTCAAACTAAAAATAGAAATGTTTACTCTGTCATTTTTTTTCTTGACCTTGCATTGTTAGTTTTATCTTCAATCTGGCTTTCTTTGCAGAGATTGTTGTAAAGCCCTCTGACAACTTCGAGAAGATTTAGTTTAGTATAAAAATAATCTGTAAATCTATTTAATTAGCCATACACAATCTTTAACTGAATGCAACATGTTGAAAGCTAAGGAACCAGCCAACAGGGTGGGCTGGGGAAGAATTGACCTTTTCTCAATATCCTGTACATGGCATATGTGACACGTGACTCTTTGACATATAGACTGAAGGTGAGAACCAAGTTTCTCTCAACAGAAAATATTAGTAAAGCTTAATTTCCCATTTTATTTCTGGAATAAAATAAATGGAAGTTCAATGTTTTCTTCCCAAATCCCACTTCAAAAATTACTGCTCTGACAGTATAATAACAGGGACAAGCTCCCTATTGCAAATGAGAAATGCCTTTTTGGAGCCATGACTAGTAGCAACTACATAAGAAGTATAAAAGATATGAAATATGTTTTCCCTTCCCTCTTTCATTCTTCCAATAGTTAAGCATGTGCCTTTTTAGCAATAATTAAGTTGATTTTAATTCAGGTGGGAAGAGCAGAAAGGAAGAGTCTGTCTGTCATTACTATCTTTCTCTAAAAATAAGCCACTTTATGAGTTTATGTTTATGACTTTCCCTTCCTGTGTGGTTTGTGGCTTTCTTAACCAGGAATTCTTATCTGCTGAGATAGAAACACTATGATAACTGTCCTTGGTTAGGGCTGTAACACAAAAAGTTAGTTCAAGTGCAAATTGTCTATTTTCTTATAGGGACTATATTCCTTTGCACAGAAGGAAAAATAGAATACCATTGAAATAGAATATGTTACAAGGCTTTTAAATCACGATTAATATAGCTGCCCAACTGCATGTTTTGACAGTTGGAAGCCATTCATATTTTCCTTCTGTCTTTTCTGAGTCTCTGTTATTCTCTGGGGCATGTTGTGAGATATATAAAGCTAAGCTCTGCACACTGATGGTGGTTTTGCCCTGAATAAACATGTATAGTCAGCCCACATGTTTTCTTGTGTAGATTGTCTTAGTAATCTCGTGGCTGCTTTTTAGTGCAGTACTTAACTTTCTCTACTGTGAAACGTTCTGTCTTCAAATGCGTTTGGCACTTGCTAGTAGGAGAGTTAACTGAAAATAGTGCATTTTTTTCCAGGCAGTGATTTGCTTTGATCATGAAAGAACATTTCCTGGGATTACTCTGAGATAGCATGAAAAGAAAAATGATTATCACAAATACAGTTTTGATGTCCACCTTTAGATACACGTTTCACAAATGACTACTGTATACTTAAAACATGTTCAAGATACATAAACTCAGCAGAGAAGTTTATCTTATTTTTAGAACCTGAAAATCTCTGGAGCTAAATAATATAAAGGAGAAGTGAAAAGGCTTGACATTTCATAACCATTCCACGTTAAAAATGAATGTGTACAACCTACTATCCAGTACTGTCATTTTCAGAGAGGGAATAGAGGAAAGCTTGCCAGGATAAAACATAATGGCATGCTATCTGCCAGAAAGCCACGAAGAGAAGTTATAAACCCCATGCTTCTAATTAGAATCACTTATTTAAAATTGATATTTTTTCATTTAAACTATATAAGCAATACGTTCTTCTTGTAAAAAAAAATTAAAAAGTAATGTTTCCCTACCCTTCCCACAGACCATCTGCTTCCCAAATCCTGCTTCCCAGCTCTCCGGAAGGAGCCATTATTAACTATTATTAAGAGTTTCTTACACATGCTTCCATGCATTTTTGATGCATATTAAAGGGCATGTGAGAAAATATATATACACACACACACACACACACACATCATTGGACAGTGAGCTAAGGTTCCTAGAAGGGGGAGTTCTGAGTGAATCAACACAAAAAAATGTGGGCGTCATCCATATGGAGGTACATTGATTCATAGGTCATACATAAGCAATTGATTTTCTATGCTCATTTAATCTCCCAGAGTCACGTCATGCCTCTGGCTAAGGTTTCCTCCAGCTTTCCAATGATTTCAGGCAATTGTTGCCCAATCCTGCCAGATTGTAGTGACACTTCCATTAGTTCCATTGCATTAGTTCTGTGCACTTCTGTTAGATCCATGCACTTCCATTAGTTCTCAGTTATTGGATGAGGCCTTTCTTGATTACTTTTACCATTGATTCAAAAACTCTCTCACTCTCTCTCTGTTTTTTAGAGACAGGGTCTTGCTTTGTTACCCAGGCTAGAGGGCAGTGGTGTGATCATAACTCACTGCCTCGAACTCCTGGGCTCAAGAGATCCTCCTGTTTCAGCCTCTAGTAGCTAGGACTACAGGGGCCAGCCACTGCTCCTGGAGGTGTATATATATATGTGTGTGTATATATATATAAAACATATATATATATATAAAACATATATATATATATATATGTAGAATTTTTTTTGTAGATTCATGGTTTCTCCATCTTTCCCAGGCTGGTTTTGAACTCCTAGGCTCAAGTGATCTTCCTGCCTCAGGCTCCCAAAATACTGGAATTACAAGCATGAGCCACCATGCCCAGCCTCAAAAACTCTTTGAACATACCAGACTTGCGTTTTAAGCAACAATGAGACAGTTTTTATGTGGGGGGAGGGCAGGTCTAGTGCTGTTACTAACAAACCTTCAACAATTGTTATGGATTTAATTTGTTGGCTAGTATGTAAATAGCAGAAAGAAAGATCATCATAGAGCAAAAATGGAAGATACAATGGCTGTATTTATAGCTGTAGACTCATTGACTCTATTTGTACTATGTAGTCTCAGTGGTTGGAAGTGGAAAGTATAGTCTGCTAAGAAGAGACTGTCTTTGGTTGAGAGCACACAAAATGCTCAGATCGTGGGAAAAAATATATGTATTCCAGTTATCTATTGTATAACAATCAGCACAAATGATAATGGCATTGAACAACCAGTTTCCACTTCCCACAATGTCTGGGGTCAGGAACGTGGCCAGTGGCTTGCCTCTGCTCTACAAGGAAAGACTGGGAGGCTGGGGCTCATATCAACAAGAGGCACATTAGCTCACATGTCTGATAGTTGATGCTGGTTGTTGGCTGGGCCTCAGCTGAGGCTGTAAACCAGAGCACCTATAAAGGGCCTCTTCATGTTGCCTAGGCTTCCTCAGAGCAAAGCTGGGTTCAGGAGCTAGTACACCAAGAGGCAGAACATGGAAACTGCCAGTTTCTTGTGGCCTGGGCCTGGAAACTAATCTAGTGTCACTATTTTCCCTCTTCTATTGATGAAGCAGTAACAGAGCCCAGATCCAAGAAGGGGGACAGAAACTCCATTTCTCTATGGGAGGTAGGTAAAGAAACAAAAAACCAAAACACTATGGGACCATTTCTTTTTAAATTTTCATAATTATGAACATTGTACTCAAATGAATTGTTTATATATTTTCTCCCACATTAGACCAAAAAAAATCTCTAAAGAGTATTATGTTGAGCCACTCTACCTACAAGTAGTGTAGAAGCAAGTTTCTCTTCTAACCCCATACTTGGTATTATATTACATTTTGTTGTTTTACAATTTCCTTTTATTACACACAGCTTGAAATACCAATACTTATCTTTAATGTAAATTTTCTTCCCTTTTTATTGCCTGTATAGCATTCTTAATGTAAATTTTTCTTCCCTTTTTATTGCCTGTATAGCATTCTATTGTATAAATATACGGACTTATTTAATTAGTCTCTAGTTTGAATTTTAATTATTTTATACTTAAATGACACTTATCAGATAATAGGCACTGTTCTAAGCACTTTATAAATATCAATTCATTGGCTTTTCATAAAAACCTAATGACATAGAGTCTTATTATCCCGTTTTACAGATAATGAAACATAGAAACAGAGAGGTTAAGTATCTTGCCTAAAGTCAAACAGCAACAAATAGTGGAGCCCTCAGAGTTTACTCTTTTGACCATCATGCTGTGCTGTCGGTTAGCAGGTATTGATTTTTTCCCCTGTTTTTTACTGGTATAAGCCATGTTATAGTGGACAACCTTACACACACTGTGAGCACTTTTCTTGGCAAAGGTAGATTTCTTGTGAAAGTATTAAAGCTAAGCCTTCAGAACCCCTCACTTGCACAGGATCTCTGAACACTGAGAATTGCAGAATATTTTTGGTGGAGGATACCGGGATTCAACCAGAAAGCACATTGAAATAAGCAATTCTGGTAAATTTTCCCAATAGATCTTAAGACAAAAGAAAGGACCTGATTTCCAAAACTCTTCTAATTTGTTTTATTTTCCCATTAAACATATTCACTTTTTTTCCCTTAAACAACAGAAATTTAATTTTCACGTTTTTGGAGACTGGAAAATCCAAGATTAAGGTGCTGGCAAGGTCATTTTCTTCTGAGGACTATTCTCTCCTTTTTATTTTATTTTATTTTTAAAAATTTTTATGGGTACCTAGCAGGTATGTATATTTATGGGGTACATGTGATATTTTGATACAGGCATACAATGTGTAATAATCATATCAGGGTAAATGGGGTGTCCATCACCTCAAGCATTTATCATTTCTTTGTGTTACAAACATTCCAATTATACTCATTTAATTATTTTAAAATGTAAAACAAATTATTGTTGACTGTAATCACCCTTTTGTGCTATCAGATACTATATGTTATTCATTCTGTCTACCTATGTTTTTCTACCCATTAACCATCCTCATTGCCCCCTTCCTACTCCACTGCCCTTTCCCAGTCTCTGGTAGCCATCATTCTACTCTCTATCTTCATGAGTTCAGTTGTTTTAAATTTTAGCTCCCACAAATGAGTGAGAACATGTGAAGTTTGTCTTTCTGTGCCTGGCTTATTTCACTTAACATAATGTCCTGAGGCCTCTCCTCTCGGCTTGCAGGCAGCTACCGTCTCTCTGTGTGCTCACGCGACCTCCTCTATGTGTACATGTGGATGGACAGTGAGTGAGCTCTCTGATGGTCCCATCTCTTGCCCTTTTTTTTTTCCCAACTGGACTCTTTAAAATTATGATAAAATTCACCATACTAACCATTTTTAAGTGTATAATTTATTTAATACAGTGAAATGAGCTTAGCTAAATACAATTCACATTGCTATATTAAAGAGGACCTCCAAAATTACGTAAGTTTCTGGCCTCACAAAGCCTAGATCTGCCTTTGTTTCTAGGACAAATTCCTATGAATGAAGTTGCTAAGTCAAAGGTCTGCTTATTTTAAATATTGATAATGATAATAATAGCTAACACTAATGTAGAGCTTTCTTTGTGTGAGACGCAATTCTAATTACTTTGAAAACACTAATTTATTTCTTACCATACATTATAAGTAGATATTATTATCCACACTTTCAGTTGAATAAACAGAGGCACAGAATTGTTATAATTTATAAAAACAAGTATTTCCACATCATATTCTTAAATGGTTTCACCAATTCTGAGTGTAAATGAAAAGTGACTGCACGTTATAGAATATTTTAATTTTTAAATGTATTTGATAGTCAAAGCATTTTAATTTACATCTCATGCTATGAGCGACATTGAGCATCCTTTCCTATGTTCATTGGCTAACTATACTGCTTTTTCTGTAAATTGTAACTGATCTTTTAACTCTCTATTTTAAAAAAATTCCTAGATGCTTTGAGAAATGAGGTACACGTAAGGTCAGATGGACTCCAGCTATATGAGACAGGCCACTGGATTGATTCTACATTGATTTCAGGGAATGGCAGCTGATGCAGAGATGATGTGTGAAGATGTAATGGCAATGTTCAAGAGTTGTGGCAAATGAAAACATTGTATTAGGCATCTTGTTTGGTATCATCTAGACTCAATCCAAGCGGATAATCCTTATAAAAGAAGAACAGGTATAAAACACTGCGAACTCTGGAATAACATGGGAGTCACTAGCATGTGAATTATGTGAATTGCAATTTTTTTACATTAGGTCCTTTTGTATTTTCTTTTTTGAGACAGGGTCTCACTCTGTCATCCGGGCTGCAGTCCAGTGATGCAATCACTACTCACTGTAGCTTCAACCTCTCGGGCTCAGGTGGTCTTTCCATCTCAGCCTTCTGAGTAGCTGGGACTACAAGCATGTGCCACCATGCCTGGCTAATTTTTTTATTTTTTATAGAGACAAGGTCTCTCTATGTTGTCCAGGCTAGTCTTGATCTCCTGAACTCAAGTGATTCCTCCACCTTGCCTCCCAAAGAAAGTGCTTGGATTACAGGCATGAGCCACTGCACCCAGCCCATTAGGCACTTTTAAGATCCAAATTCCAAAATGTTTTGCTCATTATGAGAAGTAAAAGAATAAACAAGAACCATGAGACTTGATCAGGAGAGGCCACAGGATGGGTCCAGAGGGTTTAGTATGGAAATTTTCTATATAGCCAAAGTGGCCATCAAGAAAATATGACTGCTAAAATCACTAATAATAAAGTCAGAGTCTTCTGGAGAAGAACCCTAGAAGTGGAAGTGCCTAGTGAGAACAATGTCCTTCATTGATAAAGTCAGTGATGACCCTTAGGGGACATACCCATTACCCTAGGGGACCAAAGAAATCTTGGTCTTAAAGAGAGAACCCTGGCCAGGCGTGGTGGCTCTTTCCTGTAATCCCAGCATTTTGGGAGACTGAGGTGGGTGGATCACCTGAGGTCAGGAGTTCAAGACCAGCCTGGCCAACATGGTGAAACCCTGTTTTTACTAAAAATACAAAAATTAGCCAGGCGTGGTGACACTTGCCTTAATCCCAGCTACTCAGGAGGCTGAGGCAGGGGAATCACTTGAACCCAGAGGCAGAGGTTGCAGTGAGCCAAGATCACGCCACTGCACTCCAGCCTGGGTGACTGAGAAGGACTCTGTCTAAATAAAAAGAACCCTAAGTAGAGTAATAGGTTAGTATAGCCTGTGCAGTTAGTACACCCAGTTGCAGTGGTGTGCACCTGTAGTCCCAGCTACTTGTGAGGCTGAGGCAGGAGGATCACTTGAGCTCAGGAGTTTAAGATTGCAGTATACTATGACCACACCTGTGAATAGTCACCTCACTCTAGCCTGGTCAATATAGTGAAATCTGTTCTCAAAAAAAAAAAAAAAAAATTCCTAATCAGACACCACAGGCATTTCCAAGCCCCTTGTGCAATTCAGTGCAGTTTGTATAATTATAAAGAGACAACTATGGAAACAATATGAAAAGTAGTGATAGCAGAATACCAGAAACAGTAGCAACAGCAACAATTAAGGCAGACGGTCTTGTAGATTACAAATTGGAATTAAGTGAATTTAAATAGAAACCTACAGCTAGCACAATGCTGGAGAGTGTTGCTTCAAATACTTTTCTTTTGGAACAAGGAAGGCTATAATTTATTAATTAAACATAAATAGACAAATACTACTGAAGTCTGCACTGTAAGCTAAAGGAAATAAAAAGAAGGGCTTTGGTTCTCAAAAGTAGATAATGTCAAAGATACTTTGCTTTAAGACAGAACCTCTATTTTACCTGTGATTAGAAGAAAGTGAATAGAAATGTGACACAAAATGAGAATATATCCTGTCTTTCATAATCCATGATGGATCTAGCAAAATTGGCTTTGGTTCATCCATATTTTTATATTAGTTCATAATTAGTTTCTTTATGTGCAAACTTCCATGCTAAAAAATTATTCAGGAAAAGAAGTAAAAACAGCTGGATTATATAGACCTCCTAAAATTTTCATTTTTATTCCTTTCATGTGTTGTGGGAAGTAATATAATTGTCTTCTAGGCCCTAAGTCACAAAAGTAGCAGTTATAAAACTGACCTTTGTAAAGATACTGCCTTTCAGATGTGAATATTGCTTTACATGGGTATTGTAAAGGATTCTGGAAGCCTGCTAACAATGCATCATCTGCTATGTCTGTGGCCTGAAAATTAGTGTTAGGATTAAAAGTAGTCAACGTGTCAATTTTCTGGGCTAGCCTATGCTTGTTGCCAAAGAGGTAAGTAAAATACATAAAATGGAAGGAACAAATTTTTAAAATTATCAGCTTAAATTTTTTACCATTAAAACTATTTCCCAATGTAAAATACTGTGCTCTTCCACAATATCACTGAAGAATATTAATATTCTCTCCCTAATATCTTACTAGTGGCCTCCTTAACTCTTTAATCATTTATGCAACATATCCCTACACTACATTTTCCTGAAGCAATTCTGTATTTCCCCCAAAAGTAGCTATTTATATATCTCTAATACAATTGTGGATTTTATAGAATTAACAGGTAAGTGTGATAAATCTGTTTGGACCTTACATCACTTACTATAATTTGACCCATGAAAACTATCTCCACATTTTATTTATTTTTTATTCCTGGGAAGAGTCTATCCCAATATGGTAAACAGACAATTCTTTCAGCTTTATTAATATGTATGGCCTTCTCTGGGTAGGTTTAGTTTTCTCAAATTTATGGTGGTAGTTGGCATTGAGAATGGAATAAACAGGTCTGCTTAGCTCTCCAGAAAATAAAATAAAGTGTAATTTCATCAACTCTCTTTTTCGTTGTCAGCTCTAAATGCAACTCTCATGTTACAAGGTTAGTGTAAGGCTGACATTAAATCATTATCTAGGGCCATAGCTGAAATATGTTGAATTATGTATTTAAATGTGCTCACACATTATCTCCATATAGAATAAAACAAAGTAATCAGATTTGCATTTTATTTCTATGCCAGAACCTACAGTATTATTTTGCACTTGCTGGAGGGAATTTGGCAATGTGTTATCTCCTCAGGCCTGTTTTCACAAGACAGCAATTCAGCTGAAGTGCAGTGTAAAAGTATTTATTAAAAGCAATTCCCCTCTGGCACTTGGAAATGAAAGACAATAGGAGTGTGCTGTTTTGCTATCTGGGAAGGGTTCACATTTTGTGAGTTGATGAAAAAGTTTAGTGTATCACACCCTTAAATAAATATCTATGCTTGTGCCTGGAGAGGAAAGCAGTAGTTTTCAAAAGTTCTTGAAAAGCTTATAAGAAAAGTTACCAGAATCTTGGAGTAGGGATAAAGACAGTTTAGGTGCAGTCTTCTCCAGTTCTTTCCAATTTTAACGCTGATTCTCTGTCGCTGAAGGCTCAGCCCATTTCATCAGCCCGACGTTGTTTCCCATCCCTACTGCCCAGCATCTAAGACCATCATTGCAATGGGATATGTACTTACAGTCTCTGCCTACTAGCATTTAGGATCTGGAATTAGTCTTGTTGACAGAATCAAAATTCCAAGGATACCTGAAGCAAGCCACAAGTTTACCCATGTGCCCAATGAGTTGCAGTTTTTACCCCATGGAATCGTTCAGGTCACCTAACTGGTATTTGGCTCCTGATGCTTAGGCTAGTTCTTCCTTGAGTCTTTGCCGAGCCCTTCTCCCAGGAGGATCCACTCGGTTCTCTGTCCCCTGACTATGGAAAGTGCTCTTGAAATCTGCTAAAATTCAATGCACACGTGCTGCAGAGTTCTACTTCAATACTCCATTTGCTGGCCTGGAGTGCAGTGGCTTCCTCAAGCAAGATGTTTATGTTGGGACGGTAGTCATCAGACCAATATTCATCTTTAGTGACTAGCTCTGTACCTGAGTCAGTGGCTGGTAGGCTCTTCTATCTGTTCTTAGGCATCCTAGCTTCTTTCTCCTCACAACCAGCTTGCATTGCTTTGGTTGCCAAATGCCTCTTAGTTGTGCCTGCCCTATGGCCGGCTCAATGAATTATGAACAAGTTATTCATACTTGGTAATGCATTCATTTTTCAATGGTTTAGCATGCTTGATTGAATTGCAGTTTTACTACCTACTGAATGAGCAATTAAAACCATGCAATTAAAACAACTCTCATTTATCATTTTTAAAGTAGTAATTATTGATCAAGATCCCTGAGTCCTCTCCTCTCCTCTCCTCTGCTCTCCCCTCCTCTGCTCTCCTTTCCTCCGCTCTCCTCTCCTCTGCTCTCCTCTCCTCTGCTTTGCTTTGCTCTCCTCTCCCCTCCACTCCCCTCCCCTCCCACTTCCCCCTCCCCTCACTCTCCCCTCCTCCCCTCCATTCCCCTCCCCTCTCCTCCCCTCCCCTCTCTTCCCCTCCCCTCCCCACTCATCCCCTCCCCTCCCTTCTGCCAAAGCAAAAATTGCACTGGACAAAGCTAAATAGGCACCGAAGACTTTATTCAAGCCTATCTCAATAGGGGAGAGAGGCCAGGACTCAGTCTGAGCTCAACTCCACTGAAGCAAAGAAAGGATGAGAGGATTTTTATATGCTGGGCTGAGAGGGAGAACATAGGCTTGTTTGCTAATTGGCTTTACCCAAAGGAGAAGTAAAAGTTTACTCCTTCAAGAGTGAGTTTCTTCTTCTCTCTGGCAGGAGGTGGTTTTATAACTTGGGGCTGTCCACCAAAGTTGGACAGGGAGATAGGGGTGCCATCTCCCTTGATGATTACATGTCAAAGGGATAGTTCTAGGCCCTTGAGAAAGAGATTGCTGGATTTATAACTGAAAAGGGACTTTAAAAAAATTTACACACATTTCAGAAAGACAGAGAAATAATTTACAATCAAAAGTGTTGTAAAGTAAATGCTCTCAGAAAAGAGAGGTCCCGATGAAACCTATCTGAAATTTGGTCAAGCTGAGGGGAATCTTAAGACTCTCTGGTTCTTTTCCCTTCTGCTTCTGATGCAGGATTTTTCTTCTTGGTCACTTTGCAAGCTGGGGACTCCCAGCCAGGGACATCCCACCTGGGCCTCCCTTAGGCATGCTGGTGTGCCCCAGCTTACCTGTGTTATAGCTTGTATCCATATTTGGCGGTTCCTCTGCATGGCGCCCATGAAGAATGAGGACATGCGGGACATTGAAGGATGAGTAAGGCAGAGAAGAATTTTATTGAGTGATGAAGATGGCTTTCAGCAGAGGGGGGATGTGGGGTTGGTCCCCCTACCTGAAGGTGGGAAAGTTCTCCCCCTGTGGCTGGGTCCGGGGCCTCTTATGGACTCAGAATGCAGTGTGTGTGCTGACTGATTTGTAAGTATGCAAAAAAGGTTAAAGCAAAGACACCACTCAAAGGTGGGCACGACAGTGTAGAAAACCAATTAGAAAAGGGTAGGTATATGAAAAATTGGTGAAGGGTGGGGGACCAATCAGAGGAAAGTGCGCCAAATGGGAAGACAAGTTCTTACTCTGGTCTGAGGATTTAACTTGTAGCTTGCCTTTCGGGCTTTAAACTTTCTTTGGCTTGCAGGCGGGGTTTCGCTGGGGACCCGCCCCCACCTGCCTGTGCATTTGACTGCCTCCTGCTACTCTCACTTCCATCCACCTTCCTCTCCCCTCCCCTCTCCTCCTTTCTCTCTCATTCTCTTTACTTCTCCTCCCTTACCTTCTTTTTTTCTTCCTCTTTCTGGTTTTTCTTTCTCAGCTCTTGTCTATTACTTGCCTTCCAAAGTGTATTTATTTAACATTTTATGCCAGATTTATCTTTATACTTTCTCCCATCATCATCTTGTGATATGTCAAAGTTGTTTGTGAACTACTTTAACAGTGCAAAAGAGATGTTAAAAATATCCTGCCTATCCACAGCCTGCTTGTTCATCACAATAAAGAATCTTCTTAATGAAGAAAATCTCCCAGGCGTGTGCATTAGGTTTAACACCCTTAGAGTTCTTATACTACCTCCCTTTCTGTACAGCAAAAGAATTTTTAAAAGTTATTTAAAATAGCTAAAACATAGATGCATTCACTTGTTTCCTTACTCATACACTCATCAGACAGGTACTGACTCTCCACTTCTCTTGGTTTGCCTCTTATGAGTGCTCCTATAACTTGGCCTTTATCCTAGTGTTCCTTGTATGTTTCTCTTTAAAATGTCTCCTGTCCTAATAGAGCATTGCCTGCCCTGGTTTGCTTATGCTTTTGCAGCTTTTCTGCCTTCCTTTCTACATCTGGCAATCCATTTTCAGGCAGGTCTTTTCATTCTTATTCAGGCATCCTAGTACTAAGTACATGCTTCAAATTATGCCCAATTAAATGCTGTGAATCTGATTTACCTTGACTGTTGGAGTTGTCTTTTAAATTTTTATTTTATAGAATACTAGTTCACTTATTTTTTTGCCTGATTCTGTAAAATTTCTCCATTGCTTCGTAGATGGGAAACCCCCTGCATTTTTCTATATTTTTGAGCTATGAACCAGCAAATTCACCACATTCTTCGTGCCTTTTAAAGGTATAACCTACCTTCTATTAAATTAATTTTTGTCACTAATTCTGACTCTTTGGAGAAACTGTTTTATCAATGTTAATATCTTGTTATATGAATATACCATGAATATAATATTCCTAGTATAACTTTACTATTCATTTTGTAAGTACACAGTTCCCGAAATTCTAAATAATGAATAGTGGAAAATATGGAAGATTGTCACTGAAGACACACCTAACTAGTGAACTAGTTTTGTGAATGGCTTTGTGACGGCATTCTGATCCTAGTTTGTATTCTCTCAATGCCTGTGTGCCAGGCACTGTTTCAGTAATGGGTAGTGGGAATTCAGGGTGAATCAAGGCAGAGTCTTTGCCTTTGCAGGATTTTTCTGGAGCTTCTGTGCACCTTGTAGAGTAAAGTAGACAGTACCCCAGTAACAAGTTGTGTAGTATCTTGCTCATTCTGTCTGGTAACATTTTGTGTGTGACTCATTTTTTAGATCTTGCCTGAAATCTGAAGAAATGATAACAGATATAAAATAGTTGGACCTTATAATGGGAAAGAAACTGGAACATTAGGAAATTCCACGATATACTTGATTTGATGATTTTTTCCTCATAGAGAGCGTGGTCCACTGGAATAAAATTTTCTAGAAGTCAGTTGCATTTTTTTTAACCACTTAGGATATTTTACTTCTGATGAATGACTACATGAATAACTAGTTATTAAGTTGATTCACATTAAAAGTACTTCATGCATTAAATTGAAGAGGTGAAGGCTAAAGGAATTACTTTTCTTGAAGTAAAGAAGAACTTATTATAAGATAATGTGGCCTGGGCGTAGTGGCTCACACCTGTAATCCCACCACTTTGGGAGGCCAAGATGAGCAGATCACCTGAGGTCAGAAGTTTGAGACCAGCCTGGCCAGTGTGGTGAAACCCTGTCTCTATTAAAAATACAAAAATTAGCCAGACATGGTGGCGTATGCCTGTAATCCCAGCTACTTGGGAGGCTGAGGCAGGAGAATCACTGGAACCCGGGAGACAGAGGTTGCAGTGAGCCAAGATCATGCCACTGCACTCCAGCCTGGGTGACAGAGCTAGACTCCATCTGAAAAAAAAAAAAAAAAAAAAAAAAAGAAGATCATGTGAATTCTGCGTGAGTACAGCTACCAATTGCCTAGTACTATAGCATATTTATAAGTCTTGTCATACTCATTTCTTCTACTTGCTTCTGGATATTTTGACTTCTTTTCCTGAACCCCTTTCAGCCTTCTGAAGTTTCATCTAATTTCCAAGTTCTGTTGTTATATTTTTCCCCTCATTTTTGCTTCTGAGAATCAGTTCCTATGTTTTCTTTGATGTGAAGAATAATAATAGGCTGTCGGTTGAATATTTTTCAGGTTTATTAATATGTATTATGCCTTTTGTTACCTTTTTTCAGTTGCTGCTTGAAATTTACTTTTGTAGTTGCCTTCTGGCAGGCATAGAAATAGACAACATAGTTACCCAGGCTTTAAACTGAGAACAAGTAGATGGGAGAAAAAAAAGCAGGTAAAAATATCACTAAATTGGACTATCAAATATTTTTTACAATTTTTCATAACTTATTCTTACTACTCTGCAGTATCAGGTTTTAAAAAGTGATGTTAAAATGGAGAAAAAGAATTAAAGATAATAATTCCAAATCAGCAGAAATAACCTGAAGAAAGAAATGGATTTTTATGGTAAGGGTTGGCTTAGCACATGGCATTATTATTTGAAGAAGATTGTCAAGGAAAAGAGCAATATCCTCTGAGAACAGAGAGAGATTAAAGAGCAAGTTTTGTCTATAGGAGGGGAATATTGAAGGTTAATGTCACTCATCAATTGATGTAGGACACTACAAGTTGCTTCCAATTTCTTGAAAATAGTTACTGTAAAAAATAAGATAATTAGTGAAAAACATGAGGAAGGCATATATCAAAGATAACATTACTGAGAAAATTATTCTAACACCACTTTATAGACATTTATATGAATAAAATTAATAATTATTGGAGAAAATGTTACTGCTTCTGAAGGAAATTTGCCAGGATACTTTAGTTGGGCATTTTTTTTTCTGTTTTAAGAGACAGTGATGAAATTAATTTCATTTAATTTGAATTAATTTAATCTGTACTTAAAGTAAACTGTCTTATGTTTTCAGATGAAGAAGAAGCACCTGAAGAATAGTTTATATTTTACATTTTATCTCAACATTCCTTGAGTCACTCATTCATCATTTGTTGAGTCCCTACTGTGTGCCAGATTCTAAAAGAAATGCCTTATGACTGAGATGTTGACAGTCGTAGGCCTCAATAATTCATCCTAGAGTGAATTGGGTTTTTTGTAGGGCAAAGTATTTGGTAGTGATTCTAGAGAGAAAATATTTTAAGGAAACGTAGTTGAACGTTCAGTAATAGAAATGAGATCGGTGTCTCTCATTTAATCATATGCTGCCATATGGGCAATGACCTTCATAATTCCTACATATTCTCATCTTTAAGCTGTATACTCTTTAAGAATAGGAGTTATGTTTTATTCCTTTTGTAAATCAAATATTTAACACACTTTCTGGGACACAGTAAAGGTCAATAATGGTTTTAAGTGAGTCCAAGGCTCATTGTTGGTTAGAAAACAAGTTGCATTTTAGTCCTTTTTGAAGGTTCAACAATTGTTGATTTGCTTTTTAACAAGATCAATCAGTGAAATTCTAGGGAATGTAAATGTTTCCTAAATTATTGAGAAACCTTCTTGCAATACTTTATTCTAACCCATGAACATGGTAAAAGCACTGTGGTTTTTTAAAAAAAGCTGTAAGATTTATCTTAATAACGAAATATAAGCCTTGATCTTATGTCTTTAGATCACTGTAGGCAAAAGTATAATAAAATTAAGGGAGATTGAATTGAAGAGTTTAAAATTATAAGTATACTTTGTTAACTATGTAATGTGTACTATTACATATTATAGTAAAAATATATATTATATATATAGTATTATCGTTTAAAAACTGATAATATAAGGGAGAATAAAACACTAAAAATAAATGCATATTTTTAAGGATACAAATATCTTCACTTTTATCTCCAAATTTCACAACTGTCCACAAATGTATTTTCTCCTAATGTTAATTCATGGGATAGACAATAATGTAAATAGCTTTAAAAATGACAAGAATAAGATTTTTAAGTTAATGAAATATTCTCGTTTTTGTTCCAGTTCAGAGATATTTCTGCTGATAAAAGAGGTGATTTACCATAAGATGATTTCCAATCTCTATTAATTTATAGAAAAATGATGTGTCTTTTACAGTCTTGCATCATTTCATTTGTCAGCCAAAAAAGCTAATGAAAGTTTGCCTAAACTCTCCCATTTTAAATGGGCAGACTTAAACTTTTCACATATTAATATAAATTAGATGACTTTTGTCCTTGCCTGAAGTGACAATGTCAATGTCTGGAGCTTACATCTTTCATGACTGTCAGCTAATTAGAATGCAAGAGAGCTGTAAAGGTCTCCTCTCTAATCCGCCATCCTGGATTACATCTAGTGTTAGCACTCCTGTCAGTCATCTCAGAGCCCTGAGCTGCATTTCCCAAACCTACGATAAGTATAGTTTCCATGAGAATCAACAGCAGGAGGTAAAAAAAACCCTACATTTTTATATATCAGAATTTAAAATAAATCTGATAATCGCACTACTCTAAAGTCCTCAATCTGCTGCCACTCAACAGATACCATCTTTCTGCGGACTAAAAGATTGTCAGTCAAAGAAGTGCTCTTGCTGTTTCTTGTTTACATACTTTTGCACAACTAGAAATCGTGTTTCCTGAGAGAAGTAATTTTTTGTTTAGTGACTTCTCCTGAGTTGCAGGAGTATGTTGACTTCACTTACTGCTCTCCTTTCTAGCTCTCAGCTCTTCTTCTTCCATTTGGCTTTCCCAGTCTTCATCTGAAGGGCAAGTGCCACAAAACGGTGTCTCTTTCTTTCATGCTCACTGTCTCACTCCAATCTTCTGTTAACATCCTTGCAAAAGTTCATGCTGCAGCCTCAATTTTCTTTACAATCATAGTCTTTGCTGACTACCTTCTTTTTTTAACTGGAATTTATTAGTAAATTCAGGCTGCTAATGAAACTTATTTGGAAAGCTTTCCTCCAAATCTTTAATCAGTAACCTCTCTACCACCTCCCTGTGTCTCCTGGGTCAATCATGAGCTCCAGGTATCCATTGTTTTTTCCAGATGGGTTTTCTTCCAAAACATGAACAGACATCTACCTGCCTTTCAGACTCCCCAGGTTATATCACCCTTTAGTAGTCTCAAGGTCTCTCTTTTCCAGATGCATTAAAGAAATTAATACTCAGTTAAGTTTTCCTCTCAACTCAAATCATCCTCATCCAACGTAGCCTCAGTGTCTCCAGGGAGGACCCACTTAACACTCTATCTGTTCTTCAAACGAGGTTCTTTGCTACTTGACTTCAGGCACTCATGCCCGTGGCACTCCCTAAACCTTATCATCCTCAAACACTAATCCATTTCAGAAATATGAGTCCTTGAATTTCCACAGTTTTATTTCTTTCTACAGTTCTGTGCCTTTCTTAGACTGCATTTGGATTTCCTGGAGATCTCTAAGTTCTTAAAGTTCTTACTACTCAAAATGAGTTCTGTGGACCAGCAGTGGGAGTGTCAGCCTTACCTGGGAGCTTGTTGGAAATGTAGGATTCTCTGACCCCTCTTCACACCTTGTCTGCAATTTAGTAAGGTCCCCATGTGCTTCATACACACATGCATGTTTTAGAGGACTGCTCTGACACTGACAGTCTTTACTCAGTTGCTTTCCCGCGTAGCCTGTATTTCTAGATCAAACATTTCAGTTTGTTCTCACCAGCATGCTTATCTGTCACTGTATTCTGCCTAACCTGCTGAGGGCTGCTAGTATGAATGACCACACTGAACTGGGACTGTTGCTTGCTCATGGTTTGTAAACTTAACTAGACCTCAAGGCTGCTCAGTGCTGTTTCTGAGAACTACTCCTTCCTACTTTCCAATACTTGTATACCTTTCCTCAGAGGTCCCATTATATGTCTCCAAACACTCTTTGTTTTCTTTTAAAGTCCTGCCTCCCATTTAGAGAGAATGAGATTATTTTGCCAGAAACAATCTTAATATCTCTCCTACATGCCTACAAACATCTATATTCATCCTATTTTTCCCTTCTTTCCTTTTGTCAGTAAGGAAGTATCTTTTTAAATATCTAAGGCTACACCTCCATTGTACTGATTCCACTTAACCACTGTCCCCTCCACCTTTATAAATAAATTTTTATTCTGATATAATTTGTTAGTTTCAGAAAAGTTGCAAGGATTGTGCAGAGATTTCCGAAATATCCCTATAGTGGGTTGTATAGTAACTCAAAAGTTTGTCTTGTACCTGTGAATGTGATCGTAATTGGAAATAGGGTCTTTGAAGATGAAATTAAAGATTTCAAGATGGGATCATCCTGATACTAGGGAGGACTCTAAATCCAATGATGAATGTCCTTATAAGAGACAGAAAAGGAACAGACACAGACATGGGATGTGGGGGCCGGAGGAGAAGTCTTGAAGAAGGTCATGTGAGATTGAAGTGCAGTTACAAACAAAGAAACACCAAAGATTTTTAGCAGCCAGCATGAAATGCTTCTCCCTCAGGCATGAAATGGCTTCTCCCTCAGATCCTCCAGAAGGAAATCGCCCTGCTCATACCTTGATTTCAGACTTCTGGCCTCCAGAACTATGAGAAAATGTGCTGTGGTTTTCAGTTTGTAGGAATTTGTTATGGCAGACGTAGGAAACCAGCACAGCCCCTCACTCGGTTTCCTTTAATGTTTACATCTTACATTACCAGATACATTTGTACAAACTAAGGAACCATCCTTGGTATATTGCTATTAACTAAACTCTTGTCCTTATTTGGATTTCCCTAGCTTTTACACTAATGTCCTTTTTGTGTTCCAGGATTCAATCTAAAGGGATACCACATTGTGTTTAGTCATCATGTCTCTTTAGTCATTTGTGATATGTGATGGTTTCTCAGTCTTTCTTTGTTTTTCAGTCTTTACAGTAGTGAGGAGTAATGGTTAGTTATTTTATAGAATGCTCCTCAATTTGCATTTGTCTGGTGGTAGTCTCATAACTCGAGGTTATGAACTTTTGGGAAAAACCAACATCACAAAGTGACATAATTATGTTATACCAGGAGGTACATGAGATCAATGTGGCATCACTGCTTATGTTAACATTAATCACATGGTTAAAGTAGTGTTTGCTAGGTTTCTCTGCTGTAAAGTTACTATTTTCCACTTTCTATCCTCAATTATTTCAAAGAGAGTGATGAAGTCCAGCTTACATTCAAGGGAAGAAGAGCATTTCCATATATTATTTGGAATATTTCTGTAAGAAAGATTTATCTCTTCTCCCACATTTTTTGTTTATTCAATCATTTATTCATATTAGTATGAGTCATTTCATTTCATATGAATCGTTTATTCATAACAGACTCATGCCCCATAAATTTGTAACTAGTTCTATTCTGTTTCCCATCCTAAATAATATCTCTTCTGCCCTATTTTTTCCTTCTAGCAATACTACTTTCCCAAACCCCATAATCTTTGTTTCTCTCTCCCCACCCCTCTTTCATTTATTGGTTAAGTGAGAACCAGACACTAACTGTATCTTAAGGATAAAGTGATAAATAACATATAGTTCATTTTCCGTAGGATTTCACAGCCTAGCAAATTCTGCTATGTGCTGTTTACCATGCTAGGTTCTAAGGATGTAAAGGCATTTTGGGGGCACCCAAAAGGAGATAATACTCCACTTCTTCACAGTCAGTCTTTCCAGTTTCTTACCTGTATTTACTCCTCCCTCATTCACTGTTTACAGATTTCCTTACACTGCATGGTTTCTTTCCATGGAAATTATATTATTTGCTTAGTTTCTACTGCATGCTAATGATCCTCAAATATCTTTCTCACTCAGAACTCTCTCCTAGGCTCCAGACTTGTTTATTTTACTACTACCTGGAATAGCACAGAGACACCTCTAATGACCTCCAAATATTTTCTCCTTCCTCAAAGCCTACACCCTATTAATTACACTATTATAATTTCCTGGGATTCATTCTGAACACCATCCTATTATCTTCTAAACCCACTCAGCCACTGTGATGGTTAATTTTAGGTGTCAACTTGACTGGATTAAAGATTACCTAGAGAACTAGTAAAGGATTATTACTGTGTGTGTCTTGACAGTTTCCAGAGGAGATCGGCCTGTGAGGCATTGGACTGAGTGAGGAAGATGACCTCCAGTGTAGGTGGGCACCATCCAATCAGCTGTGGGCCCAGATATAACAAAAAAGTGAGTTTCTTTCTCTTCTGGAGCTGGAGTGCACATTTGTTTTTCTCTTGTCTTTGGACATCAGAACCCCAGGCTCTCTGGCTTTTGAACTCCAAGACTTACACCAACTCCCTCCTGAGACCCCTATGCCTTGGGTTCTCAGGCCTTTGTCCTTGGACTGAGTGTTACACCATCATTCTGGGTTTCACCACCTGGTTCTGAGGATTTTGGGCTTCAACTGGACGATTTTATTGGTCTTTTCTCACACTGCTATAAAGAACTACCTGAGGCTGGGTAATTTATGAAGAACAGAGGCTTAATTGACTCACAGTTCTGCAGACTGTACTGGAAGCATGGTTGGAGGCCTCAGGCAACTTACAATCATGGTGGAAGGTGAAGGAAGCACATCTTATCATGGCAGAGCAGGAGGTAGAGAGAGCCAAGAGAGAAGTGCTACACACTTTTAAACCATCAGTTCCTGTGGGAACTCACTACTGTGAGAACAGCAAGGGGGAAACCACCCCCATGATCCAATCACCTCCAACCAGGTCCCTCTCCTAACACTGGGAATTACAATTCAACATGAGATTTGCGTGAGGACACAGAGCCAAATCGTATCAGCCATGCTACTGGCATTCTAGGTGACCTCCAGCTTGCACGTGGCCTATCATGGGACTTCTCAGCCTCCATAATTGCGAGAGCCAATTCCCCTAATAAGTCTTCTCTTACATATCTATATATCCTATTGGTTCTATTTCTCTGGAGAATCCTGATTAATATGGCCACATAGCCTTTAGAATTTATATCCTAGGCTGGGTGCAGTGGCTCACGCCTGTAATCCCAGCACTTTGAGAGGCCGAGGTGGTCGGATCACGAGGTCAGGAGATTGAGACCACCCTGGCTAACACGGTGAAACCCCATCTCTACTAAAAATACAAAAAAAAAAAAAAAAAAAAATAGCCAGGCGTGGTGGCAGGAGCCTGTAGACCCAGATACTCAGGAGGCTGAGGTAGAAGAATGGTGTGAACCTGGGAGGTGGAGGTTGCAGTGAGCAGAGATTGCACCACTGCACTCCAGCCTGGTTGACAGAGCAAGACTTTGTCTCAAAAAAAAAAAAAAAAAAAGAACTTATATCCTAAATATTTTTCAAGTAATAACTGTACTTTTTCTCAATATCTCTGCTTTTGTGTGCTATCTCCATTAAATGCCGATCCACATTCTGTAATCTTTCCGGAGTTAGCATTCTAAAACGTAAATTTGAACATATTCCTTTCTGATTTAAAATACCTTTTAGCATTTCTTTTCCCCAGGATAAGGCCCAAACATACAATATCCTATTAAATGTGATTTTCATATTGTCGTGGCTCAGTGCTTTCATGGTTTAGTCACACCGAGCAACATACCCGTCCACTTTCAGGTTCGTGTGACTTTGTGCACATCCTTCCTCATTCCTGGATGACCACCCCCTCATTTCCCTTAAGCTCCCATTCTGTCTTCATGACCACCTCGAATATTTTCTCTGTGTCTCCTTTCCCCAAATTCTGCAGAGACAGATACTTCTCTATGCCTCTATAGCATGTCGATATCTGTTAGGCAATTTTTTACATTATCTACGTTTGTAAATTTTCTTTACTAGGCTGCTACAAGAAAATAGGGACAATGTTTTTATTTATCTTTATATACAGTAGTCCTCCTTATTTTGGGGGAATATATTCCCAGACCCCCAGTGGGTGCCTGAAACTGATTGCCATCAGGTGGAACACATTTCTGTTCATGTCTTACACCCATAAATTTAATGCCTTTTCCATTTTAGTTTGGCACTTATCACGCACTATGGCCATAACTTTTGCATTTTGGGGCGTGACAGCAAAACTAGCACACATTTCTTTTTTCTTCTTCACAATTTCACAGATAGAAGATTCATTCCTACCGTAGATCTTAGCAACCTCACCATACAAATTTTTTGCTTGCTTTATTACCTTGAGAACTTTTACCTCTTCACTTATAGAAAGCACTTTACAGATTCTGTTCGGCATAGTCAAATTGCCAGCATCACTACTCTTGCATTTTGCAGCTGCTGTGAAATAAAATAAGTGTTCTTTGAACACAAGTATGGTGATACAACCATAGTTGAACTGATCATCTAAATGGCTACTAAGTGGCTAGTGGGAGGTAGTGTAGACAGCATGGATTTCCTGGGCAAAGGGATGATTCACATCTCGAGCGGATGGAGTTGGATGGCGTGAGATTTCATCATGCTACTCAGAATGGTGCGCAATTTGAAGCATATGAATTGCTTATTTCTGGAATTTTTCATTTAATATTTTCAGATCATGGTTGAATGTGGATACCTGGAACCATAGAGAGAGAAACTATGTATACCGGGGAGACTGCTGTACACAGTGCTCACCACATAGTAGCTGGTTTTCAATGCACATTTGTTCAAAGAATGAAGAAATACAAGCCTGCAAATATCTTATTTCCTTCCTCATCAGCTAGATGTTAGTACTAGGGTGATATTTTCTATTATAAAAATGTATTTTCTGTATAATTTTAACTTCAGCTGATTTCTCTTATTAACCAAAGAGAAAGCCTATTGTCCAAGGTGTAGGCTATAGAAAAGGACCTTTGAGTTTCAGAGATGGTTTTGGCAGCTGCTGGTTGAGACGTTCATTTTAACAAACATCATCGAATTGTTGAATTTGTAACATACTCTACATAGACAAAAAGGGCATGTTAAATCTCTCCCACATGGCTTTTTCTAATGCTCTCACTTCCCTTGTCATTGCCATGCTCCGGATTCCTGGTGTTCTTGTTCCTTTGTCCATCAGCCACCCGGTACTGTCATGCTCCTTGATTATTCTTCTAAACATTCCTCCCTACTTCCCCACTTTTATCTCTTCCACCAGCTCACTTGGCTCCCAAAGCTGGAATTTCTTTGATACACTCTATTAGGAGGAAAGTCATATGCGTTTATCTTTGACGTTCTTATGATACCTTGGAGTTATAGCCACAGTTTTCTGTACATTCTCATTTGATCCTGCTTCAGGGGGCTATTATCTCTAATTTTCAGACAAGCTGATCGAGATTCACTGAATTTATGCTTTCCCTAATATTCCCCTACAAAAAGAGTTGGACCTGGAATCCTGATTTGACTTAAAATCCCACATACTTTTCAACTCAGAGAAATCAGGTCCTGATGACATCCTTTGTGCCCTGGAAAAGTAGTATCTAAACCAAAATTATACAGGAATGTCTCAGTTATAAGAGCCAATATTTTTTTCAGGAGCAAGCGTAAGTCAGGTTTTCTGTCTACATGAGACCTAATTGCAATCAAAATATTCTGGTCAGATATAGCCTTTACAGGTTTTGATTCTGTGGTTGGTGAATATTAACAAGTGTGATTTATAAGGCATCTGAATGTGTATGTCTCTGTGCTTGTTGCAGAAGAGGGAAATATAGAAGTGTTGTCATATATTTCATTGCCTTCTCTGTGACAGAAAAAAATCAACCATGAAATGAAAATGTTCTTTTTCAATAGAAGTGTCTCTGCATTCATATATTTTCTTGAGTGTTTTAGATTATTGTTTCTTTCTTTGTTTAAAACCAACTTAAGTTGAATATAAATATGTTGGCTCAGGAAGTGATGAAAATATAAATATACTTCTTACATATCCTGGTCACCATTAAAATTACCACTTTCAGAAAGAACCAAGACAAGCCTACCCCTGTCATTTTCTCTCTCAGTGTAACTGACACTATTCCTAGTAGCCCAGTTCTGTCTCTCTGGAACAGCTGTAGGAAATGTGGGCAAATGTCCCAGCAAAATAGTATTAAGATGCATCAAAGAAAGTCTTTTGATTCATAAGCAGCTTAGCTCACTACTGGATTTTTTTTTTCACTCTACTCATTACAGCAGAAATACTGAATCAATACAGTGGCAGCCTGGTAGATAACCCTAGGGTTTTGCCCACAAATTGCCCTCAGCACATAATCTATATGGCTTGATTTAATCTAGGTAATTCAGAAGTAATCTAGCCTCTGAATTTTTCTGTGTTTGTTTTGCTTCATTTGTTTACGAGGGAGTGAATCTTCATCCTAATCCTGAGAGAGGAATAGTTTGTTTGATAAGTGTTTCACTCCCAGAAACAAGAAATGCATATGTGTCTTTGGATTTGAAATCAATGTTGATATTTTCATGGGCTTAAATTGGCTCCCAGAATGTTCTTAGGTGGTGCCAGGAGGTCAGATTTCAGAGTCAGTGTTCTCCTGGATGCCCTCTCTTGTGTGAGCTGTTTTCCCACTTTGGCTATGCAGTACGCCAGCAGTTATTCTTCCCCAGAAACCTAGCAAGCCTTGCTTTTTAGTTGGAGCTGATGTCTTTAATTACTGTTCTTTTTAAGTCTGACTGAAAGATACATCCTCCAGTCATTTGTTTTGTAGAACAGAATTCACAATTTATCCAAGTCTCATGCTAAAATCATATCGACTTTTGAAAATGGCATTTGTAGTAAAACACTGCAGAAGTAAAGTTCCCAAAATATCATTTAAAAATTCTGCCCATAGACATTGATTTTGTAAAAATATATCAAAATAGAATTTTTAACAAACCAAATTTTCAGTTTTCAATATTCTTAAATGTCATCAACTAAACAAAAATGACTTCAACAGAAATCTAGACAAATAAACTGAAAAAATGCTACTAAAAGATGATGTGAAAGTAGGAAGTTCAACAATTTTTAATTCAAATTTGTGAGATTTCAAATATCAGCATTATCACTTCTTGGCTCTTTTTCCTTCAAGAAATTAGGTTTATGTAAATAGAATTCCTCATGTGAAAATGAAGGTAATGTTAAGTGGGGCTATTATGAGGTTAAGAATAATATACATAAAATGTCTGACACATATTGGGACTCAATAAATGTAATTATTTTTATTACAATAATTTTTAATACCTTCATTTCAGGTTTTCATTGTGACTAACATTGTGTTAATTGGTCCTGTTACATATATCATCAAGTGAATTTTTAACACTCTTCCCAATATCATATTTATAATAGTGCAAGGAGAAACATATCAATAGAATATTTATTATACTGAAGAATAAGAGTGTATGAGCATACTAATAGTGTTATAAGCCTATGCTACAGCATTTCTTGCTCCAAACACTGTAATAGGAGTGTACTTAGAAGTTAGAACATAGAAAAATACCATGAATTATACACATTTTCAAGAGCTATAATAGTCTTTGTCGCAAGTGAATTTTTATAGAGAAACTTAGTCTATTTCCATGATAGTTTCCCTGGAAGACTTGGCCTTCCCTATAGGAAACTCCTTCATTCATTTTAACATGAATAGTTATTCAAGATGAACCAGTGTTCTTTGATAATTTGATCTGATTCTTTTATATAGGTTTTTAGCTAAAGTATTCCCCCACTTTTGGAGGCATTTTTTTATATGAGTTTTCACTGTCAGTGAATCCCCTTTCAGACACATTCATAAAAAAAGCCTGTCAGATTTGTGTTAAGAAAGCAATTCTGCATCAGAAGTAAATGAGATAGCCACCAAGAGAGCGTCAGGTAACATTTTATTACTTATGAATAGTAATTCATAATAACTACATGAATTTGCTTGTAAATACTGATATTGCCTGCAGAGACTTTTGAAACTATCACTCTGGGTGATAGAGGGTTAAGCTCAGGCAAGGTGACGGGTTGCAACTGTTGTCAGATGGGTTCTTAGTGCACATGGTTTTGATAGCAGCAGGAGGCAGACAAATCCTAGGCAGACAGGGACAGGTCCCCAGTGAAACTCCACCTTCAAACCAAAGACAGTTTAAAGCCCAAAGGCCAAGCTGCAAGTCTCAGATAAATCCACAGACCAGATTGAGGACCTGTCTTCTTGTTTGGCTTGCTTTACTCTGATTAATCCTCACCCTTCACATAGGTTACATATACTTACCTTCCCTAATTGGTTTTTTACACTGTCATTGCCATGTTTGAATGCTGCCTTTGATTTACCCTTTTTTGCTTACTCACAAACCAATCAGCATGCACTCTCCATTCTGAGCCCATAAAAGCCTCGAAGTCAACCACTCTGAGAAAGAGACCACTGGACTATGGGTGGTGGACCATGCTCATGTCCCCTTTCTGCTGAGAGCTATTTCCTCACTCAATAAACTTCTTCTCCCCCCTCCTTACCATTCAATTGTCAATCTATTCTCATTCTTCTTGGATGTGGGACAAGGGCTCAGGACCCACTGAACACGGGTACAGAAAAGGCTGTAACGCTGTGGCCCCCTGCCCTCTGCCAGTGGAGGGCAGCTGCCCCATGCAACAGAAAACAGCAGCAGAACTGAGCCAGCCCCAGAGCCACAGGTTGGAGCAGAGCAAGGGGCTGACAGAGCTGTTAATGCACTGACATCCGTTGAGCTGTGAACAGCAGGACTGAAAGAGCTAATTAGCATGATGTAACACCCCTGCTCTGGGGCTTCAGGGTCGTGGGCACCCCTGCCTGGGAATCCTTATGTTCCCGTCATCTGGACACTGGAGTTCACTGTGTCAGTGGCTTGCGACATGCCTTGTCCAGCTGCAAGCCCTGCATGGAGCCTGTTCTTGTGCTGGCGCATGGAATGGACAGCCAGACCTGGCACTCACTTGCTCACACACCCACTCCCACTGGGGGCTGAGCGTGCAGTTGCAGTGACTGCGGGATCCATGCTGGGGGTCAGGCCAGGCACAGCCCAAGGGACTGAGTGGACAGGGCATCTTCTGTGGTGAACCCCATCTTGAACCCCTGGGAAGTGGTGTTGCTGGCTGGAGGTCTCCAGCTAAGTGACTGAGAAAAACCCTGCATCAGTTTTAGTAGTAAATCCTAATTTTTGATATGTTCATTTAAAAAAGCAAATTCATGTCACATATTTGTTACCTTTTCTTCAGCTTAAATTACCCAGTATTCTTAAAATACCTTAAAATTCACTTTCCAAGTCTTTAATTACCTTTGTTATTTTTCTCTGGACCTTTTACAATTTTTAATCCAGGGAAAGTCCAATGCTGAGAAAATTTAAATGTCCCTGAATTTAATCACTGCTGTCTGCCTATTTGTCTTTTGAGGGCCTTTTTTGGAGGGTTCTGGCCTTTTTGCCTTTCACTTCTAAATTCATTTCCTGTACAAGTTTGTACTTCTTTGGTTCTTTAGAAAAAGACTGTGTTTGAATCGAGGTGTTACCACATAAGGCTCAATTCATAGATAATTCAGGTTTCTTCAACACTCAAAAGGGTGCAGCAAACATAAATCAGAGTGGTGGTTGCTCACTGATGGTGTTGCTCAGAGGCACACCTGGTCCGTGGAGTTACACTACTAACCTAGAACTGGGTACTCCATTCTAGAAAGAATTTGACCTTTGCCGAGGTAAAAGGCACTATTTTACTTTTGTCAATATGGCTTGAGGTAGTGCACATAAACTAGTATTTTGGCCTCACAAAGTATTTAAAGGTACCTATTATTGTTTCAGGCTTAATTTGAGAGAAGTCGAGGTGGATCAAGTATTTAACAACAAATTCAACAACCTTCCTCTTCTACTTTTTTCATTTTCCTGTTCAGAAAACCCACAATGGCTTCCTGTTTCTCTGTGTCCTTTTTAAATCTCTCCAGTGGTCTCATGTTACTCCCCAGGGAAGCTTTTCAACTTCATACTTTTGGAAATTATTGTTGATTCAAAATTTAAATATTTAAGTAAAATTTCTAATATACTTTCATTTGTTTTGTGTTACTCTAATATGCATGCCTAGATTTTTGAATGGTATAAGCCATTTTCTCTTGCACTTTTAAAATATATTGAGAATCCAACCACTTCTTATCTACTTCATTGCCATCATCGTAGTCTAAAACATCATCGTCTTTCATCTGGATTATTGTAATTACTCCTAATATGTCTCCTCATTTTATTATACCTGCCCTACTACCATTATTGTCCACACATCAACCAATGTGATCCTTCTAAAAGATAATACAGTTCTTGTTATTCCTCTGCTCAAAACTCTCCTTTGTTTTCCCATTTCAGTCAAGTAAATGCAAAAGTGCATATAATTGCTTACAATACTCTTCATCATTTGGCTCCTCTCTGACACCATCTACTACTGCCTTTTATGTTCTCTCCATTCCAGCCACACTGATCTCTTTTATCTCAAGCAAGCATGCTGGGAATGGTCCTATCTCAAAGTCTTTGCATTGCTCTCTCTTCCACCTAGCTACATGCAGGACTCATTCATTCCACCACCTCTCTTGAATTCCTGTGCAAATATCAGTGAGGTCTTCCCAGATAACACTAAGTAAAAGTACAGGACTTATTGCATGTCCTAGCCCCATCCTTGCTTTATTTGTCTTTGCTATCATCTCAGCATGGTCCCCAAAATTCATGTGTTGAGACTTAATGGTCAATGTAATAGTATTAAGAGGTGAGGCCGTTAGGAGGTGATTAAGTCATGAGGACAAAGCCTTTATGGATGGGATTAAGGCCCTTATAAAACAGCTTGAAGGAATGGGTTCGTTCTCTTCTGCTCTTCCAGTATGTGAGGGTACAGAGCACAAGGCATCATCTTGGATGCAGAGACTGGACCTTCTGGTGCCTTGGTCTTGGACTTCCCAGCCTCCAGAATTATGAGAAATAAATTTCTGTTATTTATAAATTATACAGTCTCAGGTATTTTGTTATAGCAGCACAAATGGACTAAGACAGACTTCATAGACTTTGTCACCAAATGACATATTATATATTTGTCTTTTCTTTTTTTCTGATTTTCTATAGACTGTAAGCTCCATGAAAGCAGTGTTGTTTGTATGTTGTATTCCCAACTATATCTACAGCATCTTATACACAAAGCCAGTCAATATTTATTAATTAGATAGGTCAATGTATAAATGCCTTTCTTGTTAGTATTCTATATATGTAGTGTTAAATTATTTGTTGGGTAAAAGGAATTGGGTGAGATAGTGATGGGATATGAAGAAGACTTGGGTATGTTCCTCACAAAATTCTAAATTAGTAGTGACAGTGGGAGTCATATTTTAACAAAATCTGGACACATTTTGATCTTGCAGGTTTAGATGAGACATTTCAAATATACTAGGTTACATATTTTGCTCTTTAGGCAATTTCTAAAAACTAGCTTTTGAGCCAAACAACTGGTTACCAAAATAAGAACTCTAAATTATTCCTCTACTCAGTAATAATTCCTGTACTCAATTTACTTCATCAATTAAAAAACAACATCAATGGCAGGTATGTTTTAGAAATTACCAGGAGATAGCAATTAGCTTCCTTAGATATAATTTAGCAATTTTCCCCAGATAATGGGAGTAAAATTTGGGCCTTAGATATAATTTAGCAATTTTCTCCATATAATGAGAGTAAAATTTGGGCTTCTGGGGACCTTTCCAGTCCTAGGAGAGAGGGATTCCTTCAGATAATAATTCTTGGCCCTATGAAGCTACTGAGGTTCAAGAAATTATCTGGGTGGGATGGAGATGACGATCATGATGACATTGATAAAAATAACAATAGCTTAAAGCATATAGTGCTTACTATGTGCAGGTACTATTCTAAGTGGTTACTCTATTAATATATTTAATCCCCTCAACAACCCTGTGAAGTATGCATTAGTATTCACATTTTGCGAATGAGGACACTCAGGCAGGAAGATATTGAATAATTTGCTAATGTCACACAGAAAACATAAATGCAGAGATGGAATTTGAATGCTTGGCATCAGAGCCCTCTTTCCTTTAGCCTCTGAGAGATATTGTGTAAAACTCCTATATAGTGAATAAGTAGAACTACAAAAAGTGTATGTGCATGCATGTGTGAGTGTGTGCATGTTCATGTGTGTGTGTGCAAGAGTAAGCACATGTGGACATGTGCATGAATGAGGGGTTGATAGTGTCAATGGAACTGTGTTAATGATGAATGTGATAGAGCTTGAAAGAGACTGGAGGTGAGAAAGTAAATACCAGTGTTAAGCCTTACATTTGTTACTTTACTTAATCAGTATAGCAAGCCCTAGGAGGGAATATTGCATTCTCTTTTTTATTAGATGAGATATTACAGGATCAGCGAAATAAGAACCCCACCCTTGGATAAGGCCTGCCTGGGCAGAGACAGTGAGCTTGGAAGGAAAATCTCACTCTGCTCTTTAAGGATAGAGCTGACAGCTCTTCTGGAGTTACATAGGAGGCACTCTTTGGCTTCCCTGTCAATATCCTCTGTACCCAGAGACATCTGTCTGTTTTCTGTGTTGAGGGAACACCAATCAAGAGAAAACAATGGGTCAGCATAGGACTATGTAGTCTGGGCTAGGGTGGCCGAATATTGCACAGGGCATGCTTATACTAAAAAGTATGTGTTGTTATCTGAAATTCAAATTTACCTGGGTGTCAATGGTTTTTTTTCTCTTAATCTAAATCTCGTAAGTCTACCTGGTGCTTCTCTATCTCTGTTAGGAGTGCTGAGCAGATCACAAGAAGAGAGACACTGCCTTGGACTTTGTGAATTCTACATAGATTCATCAACTGTTCATTTAATCATACATCATACATAGAAACAATGCCTACCCAGCACTTACCACAGCCAGGCAGAATGAGGCAGAGGAGTATTCACTCCTAGAACTTGCTGTGTCTAGTACAGTGGTTCTCAAATTTTAGTTTACATTAAAGCTTGTTAAAAATGCTTGGAAGCTTGTTAAAAACGTGAATTCTAAGTCCCAGTTCCGGAGGTTGTGATTCTAGGATTAGAACCCTGAAGTCTATTCTTTAATAAACATTACAGATGATTTTGAAGTGAGTGGTTCTCTAAGCATACTTTGATATTGTCTTAGTTCTTTTGTGTGCTTCTATAACAAAACACCTTAGACTGGGTCACTTATAAAAAGCTTGTTAAAAACGTGAATTCTAAGTCCCAGTTCCGGAGGTTGTGATTCTAGGATTAGAACCCTGAAGTCTATTCTTTAATAAACATTACAGATGATTTTGAAGTGAGTGGTTCTCTAAGCATACTTTGATATTGTCTTAGTTCTTTTGTGTGCTTCTATAACAAAACACCTTAGACTGGGTCACTTATAAAAAGCTTGTTAAAAACGTGAATTCTAAGTCCCAGTTCCGGAGGTTGTGATTCTAGGATTAGAACCCTGAAGTCTATTCTTTAATAAACATTACAGATGATTTTGAAGTGAGTGGTTCTCTAAGCATACTTTGATATTGTCTTAGTTCTTTTGTGTGCTTCTATAACAAAACACCTTAGACTGGGTCACTTATAAACAACAGAAATTTATTGCTTATAGTTCTGGAGACTGGGAAGTCCAACATCAAGGTGCAAGCAGATATGGTGTCTGGGGAGGGCCTCATTCCTCATAGATGGCACCATTTTTGCTGAGTCCTTATATGGTGGAAGAGACAAAGGAGCTGACTTGAGCCTTTTTTTAAGGTCAGAAATACCATTCTGGAAAGTAGAGCCTTCATAACTTAATCATACCCTAAAGGCCCCATTTCTTAAGATACTATCATATGGGGTATCAGGTTACAACATATGAATTGGGGTGCAGGGGGTAACCAACATTCAGACCATAGCAGATATGCACTGGTCTGCTAGATGGAAGGAGACTTCGTCTAAACATGATATGACATTAGGAATTACTTCTCAGTGAGATTTGAGACACAGGGACATTGTGTGATTTGAGTTCCTCTAAGGTGTTAATGTAGATTATAGAATATTACCGTGTTGTAGGTATTACACTTTTTAAAAGTGAAAATATCTTCTGATACAATTTAGTTAGTGTGCTATAGTAAGCCCATATCGACTGTGGACCTATTAGGTTCCCCCAAAGAGAGGTTTTCCTCAGGTTCCTGATCAGATCCTAAGTCTAATGAAGTGTGGCATTCTTATAAAGTAGCTTAGACTCCTTGAGCCACAGTCAGTTCAATTCCAGAGTCTTATATGAAAGCCTTGTTTCTGGAAGGAAAATGTTCACTGTGTTTCATAGGGTTAAAAGCAGGACCTGAACCTACAATTTTTCAAGCCAGTTCTGTATTTCAGCTTAATGTTTGTGGTACTGATGTGATGTGTGCAGGCATTTCTGTATTAGTTGTTGAACACCCTGACTGCTGAATCCTCTACAAAGTCAAGTCAAAGCAGTGAGCATTCTGGGAGGGAAGCCAACAATAAATTGTAGTAATCTAGCCTTGTTGTTATAAAGGCATGAATCAATAGCTCAGCATCTTGCTGAGACAGCAATCGTCTTAACCTTGTTATACTCCTGAGATGGTAATATGAGGTCTTATCAATATGGTTGATATGGCTCTCAAAGGAAAGCTGAGGGTCAAAAATGGCTGAAATTTATCATGGAGAATATTGCTTTGTGGGAAGTCCAGCTGTAGAATTGTGACTACCTATTAAATCCTTTGTGAAGCAAGAAATATATGGTCCACTGCCTGTAGGATAAGAGAAGGGGAAGGAAGTGGAATCAAAAGTGAAATAGAACTGGTCAAATGAGATGAAAGTCTGATATCTTAATTTTCAGCTGTAGGCATCAGTTTTTGAGATTACCCCTTAGGCAGCTTCTGATTAAGTGAGGATAGTTCCATGCCATGAAAGATTAAAGGCTTTCTGGGTGGCTGTATTTTAAGTGGTGAAATCTTTATCAAAGAGGCTTTTGTTTTTGTAATCAACTCTAGGCTGTGTACATGTGAAAGGCAAGCTACAAGTGACCTAGACAATTAATAGCATTTAAATTAGCATACAAAACAAGACTGCTGTGATCTATGTGGTCTATTTTTATTTGAGCTTTATATCTAGCAACTTTCTTAGAAGTCAAGCCAAAATTTATTCCAGGAAGACAGAGCTTTCTTTAGAAATCATCATTAGTATTCAGTTCTAACCTCATACCCTCCAGGAAGAAGGACATGATGCAGAGTGTTCAAAAGCACAGGTTTAAAAGTTGGAAAGACCTGGACATGAATCACAGCTTTGCCATTTCCAAGTTGTGAGACTTTGAGTAAGTTACTTAACATCTCTGTGCCTCCATTTCATTAGCTATAAAATGCAGGTAATACAATGAAGCAGGAAATTTTACCTGACCCCTTCGCAGGTAGGAACTGAATTGTGGGCACTGGTGCTAGCTAGCCTCTTCAGCACCAGCACAGACAAACTCCATTCATTCCAACCCATTGCGCTCAACCTATTGTGCTCACCTGTGGGATGCAGCATGCAGGTGAGCGGGTGCAGGAGCCGGGGTGAGTGCTTTTGGGTGCCAGCAGGAGCAAAACTTCATGTGGGCCCCATGGCAGCATCTAGGGAGGAGTACCTGCAACCACTGATACCCCAGAAGAAGTGTTACAATCGGCACTCTTTTAGCTTTGCCATCCGCAGATGGTTTAAGTGTTAACCACTCAGTGGAGGGTCAGTGTGACAGCCTTTTGCACCCACACCTGAGTTCTTGTTCAGTGTCCAGGAGGAATGAGGTTGCACAAACAAAGTGAGAGGTGGTAAATGTGGAGGATTTTATTGCCGATGAAAGTGGCTCTCAGTGGGGAGGGAAGCTGAAAAGGGGATGGAGTGGGAAGGTGATTTTCCCCTGGATTCTGGCTGTCCCTGGCCAAACTCCTCTCTGAAGAAATGCCATCAAGCCATCCCTTTGAAATCAAGCTGCTTCTCTCCAATGTCCAACTGTTGTCTCCAATGCCCAGCTGTTCTTTTTTTTTTTTTTTTGACATGGAGTCTCCCCCTGTCACCCAGACTGGAGTGCAGTGGTGCGATCTCAGCTCACTGCAACCTCTGCCTCCAGGGTTCCAGCGATTCTTCTGCCTCACTCTCCCCAGTAGCTGGGATTACAGGCACCTGCTGCCATGCCCAGCTGATTTTTGTATTTTTAGTAGAGATGGGGTTTCACCATATTGGCCAGGCTGGTCTCGAACTCCTGACCTCAAGTGATCCACCTGCCTCAGCCTCCCAAAGTGCTGAGATTACAGGCATGAGCCACTGTGCCTAGCCCAGCTGTTCCTCCTCTTATCTGCTTTCAGCTAATGGAGCCTGGAGTTTTTATGGGCACAGGATGGGGAGCAGGGTGGGTCACAGGTGGTTTTGGAAAAGGCAACGTTTGAGTGCGAAAACAGAAAGGCATGATCTCACTTTGGGCTGTGGTTCCAGGCTTGAGGGTAGGGCCCAAGGGGGCTGCCTTCTTCTGTCCAGAATTTCCCTGTCTCCTGTCCCTATCACTAGTACTTGCCTCATAAGATTTTTGTGAGGATAAAATGAGATAATTTATGCAGAATATTTCTGCTGTGCTTGGCACATGGTATGCAGTCTATAAATATTAAAAGTTGAGACTCTGAAACCACCCCCCAAAATCATACCCTTCTTTTCCACCCAGTTTTTGAACAACTTGGGAAATTTGGGAAAAGCAAATACAGAAGCAAAATGTTACCTCATTACTTGTAGAGAAAGGTTGGAGAATGCAGTTTAGTTTGAGAGGCAAATTGGCCAGCTAAATGCACCCTAGAATTAGGTAGACTTATGCTTCCTGTCATAGTGGCACCACCTGGGGTATGTTTACCATAAAAAGAGAAGAAAGTCCCTACAGGAAGCTGTATTCCAAGAAGACTGGTAGAACTAGGCTGAGCATGTACAGGTATTTTTTCATACTAACCAGAGACATCACTTCCTATCACCAAGGCCCAAGAGATATAAGGGTCAGGAGAGGCCAGGAGGGTGTCAGATAAAAGTCCTTCTCATGGAAATCAAGACTGTGGAGAAGATGTTCTCATCTAATGTAGGGTGTTATTATCATCGTAATCATAATAATTCATTTCCATTATACTTCTTTACATTATTTTATTTTTAAATTCTTTTCAGAAATAGGCTGTTGCTCTGTCCCTCAGGCTGGAGTGCAGTTGCAAAATTATAGCTCACTACAGTCTCAAACTCCTGACCTCAAGCAATTCTTCTACCTTAACCTCCTGATCTGCTAGGACTACAGGTGTGTGCCACCACAACTGGCTAATTAAAACAAAAAATTTTAAATTAGAGACAGATGCTTTGGCTATGTTGCCTAGCCTGGTTACAAACTCCTGGCCTGAAGCAATCCTCCTGTCTCAGCTCCCAAAGTGCAGGGATTACAAAGTGTTCCCAGGCATGAGCCACTGCATCTAGTTTATTCCATTATTTAATTTGGTGTTACCTTCTACATTTATCTTTTCAAAACATATGACTGTATTCATTTTCTAATATGGCTGTAACAAATTACCACAAACTTAGTGGTTGAAACAATACAAATGTATTCTGTTACAGCTCTGGAGGACAGAAGTCCAAAACCAGTCTTATTGGGCTTAAGTCCAGGTGTTGACAAGGCTGATTCCTTCTGGAGGCTCTTAGGGGGTATTGTTTCCTTGCCTTTTCTAGCTTCCACTGGCCACCTGCCTGTGGCCCCTTCCTTGCTTCTTTCCAACCTCATGATCATCATCACATCTCTTATGCTGCCTTTGACCTTCTTGCCTCCCTCTTTTAGGGATCTTGGTGACTAAACTGGCCTATCTGTATAATATAGGATAATCTCCCATGTCAAGATTATCAATCTAGTCACATCTGCCAAGTCCCTTTTACCATGTTATGCAACATGTTCACCTGTTCCAAAGATTAGGATGTGGATATCTTTGGGGAGCCACGAATCAGCTACCACAATGGCACTTCGATTGTCTGAATTTGCCTTGTAGCTATTTTTCGAATAATTTGATACAGCATTCTTTTTAATATTTCCTGAATCAGATTGTAAATTCCTCAAGGGTAGACATCAGGTCTTCTAAGATTTTATACTTTTCGTACTTCATTATCTCTCATATTAAAAGCAAAGCATCTGCTCATAATAGGTGCTTAGTAAAGCCTATTGATTTAAATCAGAAAATCTTCAGAAAGGAGGCTTGGATCTTATCTACTTATGTTCCAGGACAGACAAAATCTTAGCTTTGACTTTTGATTCCATAAACATTCGGATTATGTTGGAAACAATGTACTTAAGCCAAAGCATTAGAATGTGACTTGTTTTCCAGAATTCTCAGAATTGTTGGACTGTAGAGAGGCTTTGGGACAGTCAATTAAATGTTAAGATTTACCAGAAATCCATAGGCTTATTCTTGCAACACTCTCCTTCCTTCAAATAAAAGAGAAGAAATATTGCAATTCTTGTGAGTGGATGTGAAAACTTACATTGCACAATTTAACCTGCTCTCTCCATTAAACTTTAGAGAAATGAGGATTATTACACATTGGAATATATTTCTGATTTTTGGTGCAATGGTTGATAAGAAGTATACTGTAACTTGAAATGAATACAAATGCAAAATAATTCCAGCTCTCAGACATAGGTACATTTTGAATGCATGATTGTTCATTAGTTATGGGTTGAATTAGAAAGTTATGGAGACCAATATGTAATTTTAAGGTATTCAATTTAGGTTAATAGATATCTAAATGAACCATAGAATTAGCTTTAAAACATAGCCCTATTCACTACTCATAATTTTAAAAGTTAGTGATGCTATATAGTAGCCTTGCATATAATGTTTTGTTATATTATTAAGACAAAAAGATTATCTTTGTCCTTAGCCCTGATAATTTGAACTTTTTAGTACTTGACCTATGTTACTTTTGTATCTTCTCCCTCTGTCCTTGAGTTTTCTTGTCTAGGATGGCGGAATGTGAATTGTAGAACTAGAAGGGGCCTTAGAAGGCATCTCGTTAACTTGGACACGTAATAAGAAAGAACATTGTTTTAGAGACGTTAATTGACTTGCTTAAGGTCATACAGCTATTGACAAACTTTATTAAAAGCTCAGGTTTCCTAATGATACAGACGGGAGGCAGGGAAATACTGGTAGAAGAGGGCGGTTCCCCACAAAGGCCCTACCCTCAAGCCTGGAAACCCACGGTCCTAAATGGGAACAGGCATTTCTGTTTTTGTGCCCAAATGTTGCCTTTTGGCCCACCACGTCCCCCTATCCTGTACCCATATAAATCCCAAACCCCAGGCTCCACAAGCAGAAGAGCAGCAGAGCAGCACACCAGAGAAGGAGAGAAGAGAAGGAGCATCTGAACATTGAGAGGAATTTGACTGGGGATGGTTGGAGAAGAGATCAGCCACGGGATGGCCAAACTCCAGGAGAAGATCATCTTCCCACTCCATCCCCTTTACAGCTCCCCATCCATCCTGCTGAGAGCCACCTCCATCACTCAATAAAATCTCCACATTCACCATCCTTCATGTCCGTGTGACCTGGTCTTCCTGGATGCCAGACAAGGACCTGGGTACCAAGACGGCAGGGTGTAAAAGGCTGTCACCCTAACTCTCCACTGAGCTGGTTAACACTTAGCCATCTGCAGAGAGCAACTGTGGAAATAGCATTAATTGTAACACACCTCTGTCACAAGTTCTGTGATGGGGTCTAAAAACTCTCCTGTCTCAAGTGGGGGCTTGTCTGGGATCCAGCACAAGGGTGAGTACAGATGAGGAACTGTCAGATCTGCCTCTTTTCTAAGACCCTGCCACCACTCTCTTTCCTTTGGGTAAAAGGAATATTGACTCTGTTTCTCTTCACAGAGGTCAAGCTGTCACGTGGGACTGGAGTAAAGTCCTGGGGCTACTGAAGGTATCTTTTGTTGCAGGAAGGCCCCAAGACTGAACTCTGTAGGCCAGGACCCTCAGACTTTGCTATGGTATATTTTGTCTTTTCGTAGCTTGAAATGGCTCGTATCTCTTTTATAATGTTAGTGTTTTATAACTCTTTTATAATCTCAGCAAACTACTGAGATGTTACTAAGTACATATGCTTGGCTCAGCCATCAGAGGTGCAGTTCAGAACAATGTGGTTTCCATTTGTTCTTAGAGGTGCCACCCCCACCCTGACAGCCACAGGTGTGTACGGTGCATGGCGGCTTCCCTCCTTGCCCCCTCCCCTCCTGGCTCAGGCACCTGGGCATACCCGCAGCATGCAACAACCACACCCAATTGTCACGAGGGGTGGGAGAAAACTGAGGCTGCCAATGGGACCTCGTGTGGCTGGCTGGCTGGTGCCTCCTGCAGCTGCACCAGAGGGACCTTTCCTTTCATGGCCGAGGGGTCCTTACTAGTCTGAACTGGGGGAGGGATACAGTAATTGAAGGAACTCATTTGCACAGATCAAGAAGTTCTTTTCCCCAATCCTTTTTTGTACTTTAAGCTGTTTCCTTTTTCTTTTCTAAGTGAGAAGGTTCTTTTCCTTTCCTCATCACTCTACTTATGATAGGGAAAACAAGGAGGAGCGACCCCTGCTGGCTGATACTGCAAATTCAGCAGGGCCCATTAGAGATGTAATCTAAGCAGATACATGCAGCCCCTGAAATACCTTTTTGTCCCAAACTTGACTCGAGGTTTCAGGTTGAGGCCCTAGAAAGAAAAACCAGATCTGAGGGATCCAAAAGCCAGACAACGGACACAATGTAAATGGGCAGGACCAATTCTTGCTGATTAAACCCTTGCTTCATGAAAGCAGGCCATGCTCCTTGACATAGACAAGGCCCAGGGAACTCAAATGTTGTCGACAGCCAGGGAGATAGGGCATACAAGCATAAGGGTGGACACTTCCACCCCCAGACCTCCCGTTAATGTGGATGAAAGCCACTTTTGCACCCATGGGTGGCACCTGCCAAGGTTACTGGGACTTGGGGACAAAAAGATGGAAGAGAAAGGGGGGATGCCCACTTTCTCTCCATCACACCCTAGGTTATCACTGAAAGAAAGAAGGGAAATGAGGGACACCTCTATTTCCCTGTCTTTCAGAATGGGCAACCAGCTATCTTCACCAACCCCAGCTTATACTCCTCTAGAGTGTATCCTAAACCCTGGGACTGCTTTGATTCTTGGACTCTGAAGGAAAAACACCTTATAGGCCTCTACACAAAGGTTTGGCCAAATTATGATTTACAAGAAGGACTAGCTTGGCTTCAGGGAGGCACTGTTCATTTTGATACCATCCAGCAGTTGGACCTTTTTTGGAAACGTGAAGGCAGATGGTCTGAGGCCCCACCTGTGCAGGCTTTCTTTACCTTGCCGGGCAACCCAGACCTTTGCTGACAGTGTAGGATTGATACAGCCCTCCTGTTTGCCGTCTCAGGAGAGGCTGCAAGAGGCAATCCCAGGGAACTAAATCCCAGAGGCATCCCCAGCAGAGAAGCCAGCTCCCTTCAGCCCTGCTCCTCCAGGTCCACCCTGACCTCCCTATCCAGCTTCAGTCTCTCACTTGCCCCCTCCTAGAAATCTTCATCCTAGACAAGCCACAGTCTCACTGTTGCCCCTCCAATAGATGCCTGGTGAATTTGGCTCCAGTAAGGTCCAGGTCCCCTTCTCTCTACAGGACTTAAAGCAAGTTAAGGAGGATTTTGGCAAGTTTTCAGATGACCCTGACAGATATATAGAGGCTTTCCAGAATTCAACCCAAATATTTGTACTATCTTGGAGTTCCAATTATGTTACTTTTGAATCAGACCCTGATGAACACTGAGAAGAATGCTGATCTGCAAGCAGCAGAGAGATTTGGGGATGAGTTTTGTATAACATATAGCATCAGGGAAGGGGTTGAACTTTATCCAACTGAAAGAGAAGCAGTACCAGTGAATGACCCTGGATAGGATCCCAATGATGAGATGGGAAACTGGAAGAGGAGACTCTTTCGGGTGTGCATAAGGAGGGCTTACACAGGACTAGGACCAAACCCCTGAACTATACCCAGTTATCCATGATAGACCAGGAATTTGATGGAATCTCATTGCCTTCCTGGAAAGCATAAGGGAGGCCTTGGTAAAGCACATTACCCTATCTCCTGATTCAGTCAAGGGACCACTAATCCTGAAGGATACATTTATTATTCACAAAGCCCCTGTTATCAGAAGGAAGTTGTAGAAATGGGCCCTGGGACCAGATAGTACTTTAGAGGACCTCCTGAAAGTGGCCACCTTCATCTTTCACAATAGAGATAGGGAGACACAAGAAAGAGGCAGAAGTTTTTTTTTTTTTTTTTTTTGAGACAGAGTCTTGCTCTGTCGTCCAGGCTGGAGTGCAGTGGCATGATCTCGGCTCACTGCAAGCTCCACCTCCTGGGTTCACACCATTCTCCTGCCTCAGCCTCCCGAGTAGCTGGGACTACAGGCGCCCGCCACCACACCTGGCTAATTTTTTGTATTTTTTTAGTAGAGATGGGGTTTCACCATGTTAGCCAGGATGGTCTCAATCTCCTGACCTCGTGTTCCACCTGCCTTGGCCTCCCAAAGTGCTGGGATTACAGGCGTGAGCCACCGCGCCCAGCTGGCAGAAGCTTTAATAGCCACCATGCAAGCCCACAAACCTCAGAATTCCCAAGGTGTACCTGTTAACTGCTACAGATGTGGCAAGAACAGTTCTCTCTCTTCTAAAGTTTAACTGCTTCCATACAAGTTTAATTTCTTTCACCAGGGTGACCCAACTCAGGGTAAAATGTTGTTAGTATATTTCACTTCTTATTTCTGTAGTCTTTGGCACTAGATTCTTTCCTTGTATAATACACATTTAATGCATGCATACTTAACCTTACAGGACTTGTTTTTTTTTTTTTTTATTTCTCACCTAGAGGCCATCAAACTCCAAATGGTCAGGCAACTGAAACCTTGGACAATGGCTCCCTTTTGCCAGGGACCCTTAGATAGACCTCTGGGAGAAAATTGACTGCCATTTTCCCCAAAACAACTCCCCCTGTCAGCAGGAAGTAGCTAAGATTGGTCATCGTCCATATTCTAATGGCAGTTGATATGCCTCTTCAGAGAGGGGAAATGATATGGACAGGAGGCAGGAAAACACTGGATAGAAGAGGGCGGTTCCCCGGCAAAGGCCTCACTCTCAAGCCTAGAAACCCATGGCCCTAAATGGGAATAGGCATTCCTATTTTCATGCCCATATGTTGCCTTTTGGCCCACCACACCCCCCTATCCTGTATCCGTATAAGCCCCAAACCCCAGGCTCCACGAGCAGAAGAGAGGCAGAGTGGCAGAACAACAGAGAAGGAGAGAAGAAAAGGAGTGTCTGAATGTCGAGAGGATTTAGCTGGGGATGGTCAGAGAGATCGGGTGTGGGATGGCTGAACTCCAGGTGAAGGTCATCTTCCCACTCCATCCCCTTTCCAGCTCCCCATTCATCCTGCTAAGAGCCACCTCCATCACTCAACAAAATGCCTGCACTCACCAACCTTCAAGTCTGTGTGACCTGATTCTTCCTGGACACTGGACAAGGACCTCAGTACCAAGAGAGCAGGGTGTAAAAGGCTGTCACCCTGACTCTACACTGAGCTGGTTAATACTTAGCCATCCTGGACAACAACCACTAAAAAAACATTAATTGTAACACACCTCTGTCACAAGTCCCACGAGGGGGTCAGGAAATTCTCCTCTCACTAACTCTCTGTAACGATTGTTTCCTGCTCCTCTCTCTTATTTAGGTAAAATAATTTAAGAGTGAAGAGAAAAAAAAGAGGCATAATTGAGTAGCAAAGCAAAAAAAGGTGAGAGGATTATGGAAATACTTGGCTTAAGGGAGGCACAGTTTTCACTTAGTCACCCTCTTTCTGGAGCTTCTTAGCTGTTAGAGCCAGAGGAGGAAAGATGGGCCTGCCCTGAAGGACGAAAACAAGGTCACAGGTGAAGGTCTAATTCTGATAGAGTGCTGGTGAAGGGCACCCACAAATCAAGGTTACAGGCCTAAAATAAAGGAAGGATTCAAGAGATACCAGGAAATTGCAAAAATAAGAAAAAAAGGAAAAAAAAGGAAGGTATTGCAATTTTAATAATAGAAAAAGAGGCAGGGAAAGTTTAAAGTACTAACCAAGATAGGGAAAGATATTTTGCAATTATAAAGTTACAAAATTAACACTATATGAAGGTACTACGACACCACACAACAAAAGCACCACAGAACAATACAACAGCTAAATATAAAAAGTAATGTCTATTAGATATTCAAGGATAAATTATAAAACTAAAATTATAATGGGATACCCTTAGAACTCATTTTTAAGAATTAGATAAAAAATAAAATAAGCAAATTAAAAGTGATATAAATACATTTTCTCATGTACAGAGAGCAAGATAAAAAGATTTGGAAATGTATATTCTTTTAATTGAGAGTACAAATTATTTTCTATATCCATGGAAACTTTATAAAAATAGATCACATAATTGACCTTAAAGCAAATCTTGATAGAATTTAAAAAGCGAAAATTTTTACAGGGTACTTTTTATGAGTATAATAAAATAAAATTAGATAATAAAATAGTGATCCTCTTTCCCTGCTCACCTCTGTAATAGTAACTACTTGGAAATTAAGAATGCACTCATTGTTAGCCCATGGATCAAAGACAACGTGAAAACTGAAATTATAAACCATCTAGAAAACAACAAAAAAGGATGAATATCCAAACAGAACACAACAAAACTGAGAAAATTTATAGCCTTACATTTCTTTGATAAATGGTAAAGTAAAAAGGAAAGAGAATGGAACATATTTCAAAGCCTAAAGAAAATTTATAAAGAAGTATAGAGCTAGAACCAAACAATTAGGGCTGAAGAAGTGAGAAAAGTAATTAAAGATATTAGATCACCTACCACCAGGGGTGGGGGAAAAAGAAGATATATCATTAGAAAAGTCATTGTGAACATGTGCACAGGCATACCTTGCTTTATTAAACTTTGCAGATATTGTGTTTTTTACAAATTGGAGGCGTGTAGCAACCCTGGTCAAGCAAGTCTATTGGTGTCATTTTTCTGACAGCGTGTGCTCACTTTGTGTCTCTCCATCACATTTTGACAATTCTTGTAATATTTCAAACATTTTCATTATTATTATATCTATTATGGTGATTTGTGATCAGTGCTCTTTGATGATACTATTGTAATTGTTCTGGGGCACCACGAAATGTACTCCTACAAGACAGAAAACTTTTTAGATGTGTGTGTTCTGGCTGCTCCACTGACCATCCACTCCCCCCTCTCTTTCCTTTTCTTTAGGCTTTTCTATTCTCTGAGACACAGTAATATTGACATTAGGCCGATTTATAACCTTACAATGACCTCTAAGTGTTTTAAGTAAAAGGAAAAGTTGTACTTTTTAACTTTAAATCCAAAGCTAGAAATAATTAAGCTGAGTGAGGAAGGCATGTTGAAAAATGAGATAGGCTGAAAGCTAGGCCTCTTGAGTCAAATAGTCAGGTTGTGAATGCAAAGAAAACATTTTTGAAGAAATTTAAAAGCACTACTCCAGTGAACACACAAATGACATGAAAGTGAAACAGTCTTATTGCTGATATGGAGAAAGCTTTAGTGGTCTCGATAGAAGATCAAACCAGCCACAACATTCCCTTAAGCCAAAACCTAATCCTGAGCAAGGCCCTAACGGTCTTCATTTCTATGAAGGCTGACAGAGGTAAGGAAGCTGCAGAAGAAATTTTGAAGCTGGCAGAGATTGGCTCATGAGATTTAAGGAAAGAAGCCATCTTCATAACATAAAAATGCAAGGTGAAGCAGCAAATGCTGATGTAAAAGCTGCATTACATTATCCATAAGATCTAACTAAGATCATTGATGAAGGCAGCTACACTAAACAATGGATTTTAAATGTAGACACAATGGATTTTAAATGTAGACAAAACAGCCTTCTATTGGAAGAACATGTCATCTAGGACTTCATAGCTAGAGAGTAGAAGTCAACACTTGCCTTCAAAACTTCAAAGGACAGGCTGACAGTCTTCTTAGGGGCCAATACAACTGTTGAATTTAAGCTGCAGCCAATGTTCATTTACCATTTCAAAAATCCTAGGGCCCCTAAGAATTCTGCTAAATTTACTCTGCCTGTCCCTATAAATGAAACAACAAAGCCTGGCTGACAGTACATCTGTTTACAGCATGGTTTAGTGAATATTTTAAGCCCGCTGTTGAGAAATACTGCTTGGAAAAGAAGATTGCTTTCAAATCATTACTGCTCATTCACAACACACCTGGTGACCCAGTACCTCTGATGCAGATGTACAAGGAGATTAATAGATAAATAGATAGAAGATATAATAAATAAATTGATTTTCTATCAGCAATTAAGACCTAGAAATAAAAATGAAGGAGAGTCCATTTAAATAACAATATAAGCATAAAATTCATAGAAATACCCTTGCCGAGAATAGCATAGAATTGTTACCCAAAAAATTATAAACTCTCTTTGAATTGTATAAAATAGTACTAAAAAAATGAAAAGGGTAATATTCTTAGGAAGATTAAAATGTCAATTCTGCTAAAATTAAAATAATAATTTAATGTAATTTTATTTAGATTCCAGAAGGTCATATTCAGGGAGAAATTTTATAAGATGATCTTAAATATGAAATAATAAATGCCTGAGAATGGTTATGAAAATATAAGGAAAAGAAGAGCTGAGATAGAAGACGTACCTTACTATTGTTAGAAGTAAGATGGCATTGTTCTAGAATTAGAAAATTAGATCATAATGTCAAAAACAAAGTTAAAAAATTTTAAAGTAGGTTAAAAAAATAAAAATTTGTCAAATGATTCCAGTACACATAAGCATTTAATATATGACAAAGTATTTCAATTTCATTGGTAAAAGATGAATTATTTAATAAATAGTTATATAACAATTGACTCTCCAACTGAAAGAGAATAAGTTTGGGCTCTTATTTTAACACAGTATCTGGAATACATTTCAAATGAAGTAATAACAAATGCAAAAAAATTAAATATATTAGAATTACAGCTAGACTACACATGTAATCCAGGGTGGAATGACTTTCTTAGGTAAGATAAGAAACCTGGATGCTCTAAAAGATTACATATTCAGCTAGACAAAATTAAGGCCAGGCATGGTGGCTCACATCTGTAGTCCCAGTGCTTTGGGAGGCTGAATCGGGAGGATTGCTTCAGGCCGGGAGTTTGTGACCAGCCTGAGCAACACAGCAAAGTCTTGTCTCTCCAAAAAAAAAAAAAAAAAAAAAACAACAACAACAACAACAACAAAAACAACTAAAAACAAATCCATAAGTAAAGATGATCAAGTTTTAGTATGTATACTATACAAATGGACAAGAAAAATAATCTAATTGATTAAACAATAAAAACAAATATTTCATAGTAGAGAGAAAATCTACATGGCCAATAAACACCTGAGAAGATGCTCAAAATGTAGTCAGAGATGTAAATCAAAAACACTTTAGTGTTATTTATATCCATTAGATTGGCAAAAATGTGGAAAGAATAATAACATTATTGCTAGCTATAATATGAGGAAATGGGTATTTTCATATATTGGTAGACAAATGCAATTTTGCAGGCTTTTGGAAAAGAAATCGGATAACATCTACTAATATTAAATATATATGTATCCTTGACACCACAGTATTACTGCCACGTATCTATCCTATAGTAATAAAAGTATCAGCATATAAAATTATATGTGCAAGTATATGTATCACAGAATTTTTCAAATGTGCAAAAATATGGAAGTGTGGGAATATAAAAAATGCCTATCAATAGGAGAGGGCTTGAAATAAATAGTGGTTTGTCTGCATTGTGGAATACTGTGCTATAAGGCATTGATTAGAAATAGTATATTAGAACTACTCTAGTTGATTTAGAGCAATGTACTCAAGGCATTTTTGAATGAGAAAAGTTAGATGAAGAAGAGTGTATATTATATGATCTAATTTGTATAGTCAATTTTAAACTTCTTATCGATTTCATGTGGGGATGTGTGTGTGTGTGGGTGTGTGTGTGTAATTACATGATCCTGAAGTATAGCGTAGAAGTACACAGTGTTGTTAACATAGGTTACCAGCTTGACTGACAGAGGAGCAGTGAATCTGGATGAGTTGGAGAGAAATGGTGGAAAGAGGTAAGATTGGAGAAGAGCTGGGTGGGGAATAGACAATTAGCTTTTACTTTATACATCTTTGTATATTTTACTTATTAAAACAAATGTGTTAAATCCATAATTTGAAAAGTACATCTATAAAAGAACCTTTAAAATATTGAGTTAAGTTAAACTTTTTTGAACACTCCAGGGGTTTGAATGGTGGCTTCCCAAAAGATATATTGACCTAGAACCTAAGAATGTGACCTTTTTTGGAAAAATGGTCTTTGCAGATGAAATTAAATTAAGATCTCCATTGGAGATCATCTTGCAAAATCCTAAATCGAGTGACAAGTGTCATCATAAGAGAATAGAAGGGGAGAAGACACACAAAGAGGAGAAGGCTATGTGAAGGCCGAGGGAGGGATTGAACTGAGAGTCACATGCCAAGGACTGCCAAGAGACACCAGAAGCTGAAGGAGGCAAGAAGCAGAATCCCCCCTCAACCTGCTGCAGGGAGTATATAGCCCACCCGTTACCTTCATTTTGGACTTCTGACCTCCATAACTATGAGAGAATAAATTTCTGTTATCTTAAGCAAGTAAATTTGTGGTAATTTGTTACAGTAACCTAGGAACTTAATATACATATGAAACTTTTATTTCAATGGAAATTTTCTGTGAGTTCCAATATGTAAAAATATTAGAGATACTCTGCCTCATGAATGAGACATCCTGCCCCACCATTCCCATCCTTGTGTCACCAAAGAAACACCAGGGATACTTAGGTCACAGCTTGAACATCACTAATTTAGTCCAATCCCCTTTCTGTACGGAAGAAAAGAGTGGAACTTGAAGAATGTTTCCCACCTTTTGATAAGTTATGCAAACTCAAAGGAACCTTGTGCCCCTTTCTGAATTTGTTTCTTGTAAGGCTTAGGATCATTTTAAGTATCTTATGACAGGTTACTGTAGTTCAGTTAGCTTTTGCTATTTTTATACTTTTGACACATTCATTTCACTGCCACACAATCATTTTTGTAAAGTTTTATTCACTTTTTTCCTTAATTTCCCATTTCCTTTGGAAAAGATTTTGCATAACTGATTGGTTTCTTGTGGACAATCCGTAGATATGCACCTTTCACTTGAGATATGTATCCCTCATGAATTCTAGTTCTGTATCTCTGATCCATCATGTGACGATATTGAGCTGAGAATTCCTCTGACATCACTGGATGCAATGGGTCCAGGGCATAAAAACACTTGAGAAGGCATGACATTTGTGGTGCAGAAAGAATGAGTACAGCCTATGTGCAATGGAGAAAAAGAAAGAGACTGAATGCTGATCAACGGCAGTTAAGGTGCCACGTCTCACAGTAGGGCACCAGGTTTATGCACAATGAGTCAGGCTCATTCCTCAACATGGAAGATTCTTTATTTCTACCAAAAAAAAAAAAAAAAAGAAAAAAAGAATTCCCACCTTACCTGAAACAGCATTGCAAGGCAACTGAGGCTCCAAAGTCTCTGATGAGTGAGATGAGGTACAGAGAGTTGAGAAAGACCATCACTGGGTGTCATCACAGCCATCATTTTGCAAGGTTTATATGGATGTCATTGCATGTTTGGGATCAACATATGTTTTCTGTAGTGGAGAACAGAATTAATTAGATCTGAAGAAGAAGTTTATAAAGACCTTCAACTTGACATTTTTGCAATCACACACACAGATACTCTGAGAATTTTGAATAACAGGCTTCAAACACAATGATTATTACATATTAGCATGGAGCACACGGAAAACAAAGGGTAAAGAGACAATGAAAAATCAGGATGACCAAGACAGAAATAAATGCAAAAATGAAGAAGGTGGAGATTATTCTATTTATCACAACTAAGGGTTTTATATACATAAAATATATCAATACTTATATATTTATAACTAATATATGTTTCATATATTTATAATTATTGTGAGCATATTTGTAGTTTCTAATACACACACACACACACACTGTAACTCCCATTGTTGGGTTTGAAAGATGGCGTAAGTTTGTCCCAAATATTTCATGGGACATATTTATAAAAAAATTTGTTGTTTATTTGATGTTCAAATTTAACTGGATATTCTGTGATTTCATTTGCTAAATCTGGCAACCTTTTTCTTAAGTTAATTTGTGTTCTATTTTTAATACAGACACCTTTTTTACTTCTCAGTGTCTAAGTACAGTTGGTGTAATGCCCACTGTTTCCACTCTGTGGAAGTCCCAAGAGGTCTTCATATTTCTAAAAAGTTTACAGGGAACTGGTATTCATAGGTTTCTCCAGATCTTTGTGTTTCTACTTCCTGGCATACTATATGTCTCATAACTCCTCCATCTGACATGAAGTTCAGCTCTTTCTTCAGTTTTCATGAAGAAATGTTATCACACATACATGCAAGAATTTGATATTTTTTGTTTGTTTATTTGGTGCATCATCATGAACAACAGTAACATCTAAAACCCGACTTTCCTCCCCTACTGTCATCTGTTGTCCTCAAGTTTCCTCTTCCTGGTAGCCCTTGAACAACTAAATTCTTCACTGAAACTTTGGGGGTCAGCTTTTTTTTTTTTTAGGCCTTGATGGTGGAAATGGGGAAGAGAGAGAATCTCACCTTCAACTCTAAAAAATTAAAACATTTTTCCCAAGACAGACTGATTTTTCCTGTGGAGGAATTCTGCTACCGGCTGTGAAGATAATACATTTTCTCCATCTTATTACGTATTTAATATAAGCATAAAAGCATGTCTACAAAAAAGTTAGTTTCGGTAATATGTTACATTGGAAAAATCAGTATGAATTCATGTCTTTAAAAGATTTATTTTCCAACTCTATCATTATTATAAATGGCCCAGCAGCAGGGACACTACTCTAGTGTATTACCAATCCTCATGTGCACCCCAGCACACACATTTTGATCCCTGGAGGGTAATTGGCTTCAAGTTTGTTGTAAAGACAAAATAAGATGGAGTCAAAGCAACCTGTTGTTAACCAGAAATCAAGGCTGCTACTTGGAATATTAGGGAGTAGTGTTTCAATAACAAAAACATAGCAAATAATAACCAAAGTAATAATGCTAATTGCTAAATTGGAAAAAATTAAGTATCTAAAAAGCCACAATTTCACAGTAACACTCGAAAGAAAACACAAGGTATGCAAAGAGCTACTTGCATTACAACAACAGAAAGATTCTAACAGGCTCTTTCCATCCTTATTGATTTAAAGAAGTAGGAGAGTATTTAAATATGATGTTTTCTTCTTTTTGTTTAGGGTATGTTTCCATATGTTCAGCACATATTCTTGTTTATATCTGTGTAAGAAAGAAGATATGTGAATGAACCAATATGAGATAGGATTTCTACACAATGAGGTAGACCTTTTTCCTACTATAGAAAAGATCACAGAAGGAGGGATATTCTAAATACTAATGAACTCATCAGCATTAATGATCTTATAGAATAATGACTTCCAAGTTTATTATAGTTGATTACAGCTATGGCATACAGGTATACACAATGACTGTGGCAAAACAGAATGTGGTGAAATTATAAGTGGATAAAATGTTCTGAAAAGGAAAAGTAAGCACAGAGATTCAATCCTTCATCTCCTAAGAAATGAAGCATCTACTAATTATAAATAAACCTTTATGAATGTTAATAAAATACTAATGAGAAATACATATATTTTAATAATTAAAACAGACTGGATCAATCTATCATAATTTTAAGGCAATGACATAGATGCTTCTGGCTATAAGAAAACTTAGGAAAGATAATAAGTCCTCAAAAATTAAAATTTATGTCAAAGACAAGGATTTATGGGATTCAGGATGTAACAAGTGAAAGTTTGATATAAGAAGGCACTTGGTATATTGTGGATACTGAAGTTTTCTTCACTTTGGACCATTCTATCAAGTCTCATACTCGAAACATAAATGAACTATCCAACAACCTGGACTCTGATATTCTGAGATGGCATTTTCTTTTCTTTTAGATCTGGAAAAATTTACACAAATTCCCTAGAAAGATTTTAAACATTGGTTGTGGTAAAGCTACAGAAAGTTTACGAAAATATTTTAAACAATTAGAACCCTGGCATGGTGAAAAAATAGGAATTACAGCAAAGTTTCATTCATGATATTAGCACTTTTGCCATTTAGTACTATTATTTATTTATTTTTAATATTTATTTATTATTTAATTTCCATAGGTTTTTGAGGAATAGGTGGTGTTTGGTTACATGAATAATTTCTTTAGTAGTGATTTCTGAGATTTTGGTGCACTCATTACCCGAGCAGGGTACATAATGTATAGTCTTTTATCCCTTACTCCCTTCCCACCTTTTCCCCCAAGTCCCCAAAGTCCATTGTATCATTCTTATGCCTTTGCATCCTCATAGCTTAACTCCCACTTATGTGTGAGAACATATGATGTTTGGTTTTCCACGCCTGAGTTGCTTCACTTAGAATAATGATCTCCAATTCCATCCAGGTTGCTGCAAATGCCTTTATTTTGTTCCTTTTTATGCCATTAGTATTATTTTGTAGTTTTGATTAGTTATGGAATCATTGAACCATCATGTTTATGTATATTTATTTGCTACTGAGAATATTTAAAATATTCAAGGGTCAGCCACACAAATACTAATTACAATTTAAAATTATTAAAAGGAATTTAATCAAATGTATAGTCAATAATGCTCACAAAAGTTGACATTCTTTAGAGAAGAATGGAACAAATTTGAGATCCATACAAAGGATCGATGAAACCAAAAGTTTGTTATTTGAAGGGATAAACAAGATTGAGAGACTGCTACCTAAACTTACAAAGAAAAAAAAGAGAAGATCTAAATAGGCACAATCAGAAATGACAAGGGTGATACTACAATGAATCCAACAGAAATACAAAAGATCCTCAAAGACTATTATGAACAGCCTTGTGCACACATACTTGAAAGTCTAGAAGAAATGGATAAACTCCTGGACACATACAACCTTCCAAAATTGAATCAAGAAGACACTAAAACCCTGAACAGACCAATATTGAGTTCTGGAATTGAATCAGTAACAAAAATCCTACCACCTGAAAAAAGCCCTGGACCAGACTGATTCACTGCCAAATTTTACCAAATGTACAAAGAAGAGTTGGTACCAATTCTACTGAAGCTATTCCAAAAATATTGAGGAGGAGAGACTCCTTTGTAACTCATTCGATGAAACCGTCATCACCTTGATACCAAAATCTGGCAAAAATACAACAAAAAAGAAAACTGCAGACTAATGTCTGTGATGAACATAGATGCAAAAATTCTCAACAAAATAATAGCAAACCAAATCCAGCAGCACGTCAAAAAGGTAATTCACTGTGACCAAGTAGGCTTTATTCCTGGGATGCAAGGTTGGTTCAACATATGCAAATCAATAAGTGTGATTCACCACATAAAGAGAATTAAAAACAAAGACCATGTGATTTATCTCAATTGATGCAGAAAAAAACTTTCAAGAAAATTTGACATCCTTTCATGATAAAGTCTCTCGACTAACTAGGCATCAATGGAACATACCTCAAAGTAGTAAGAGCCATTTATGAAAAGCATTTAGGCAATGTCATTCTGAACAAGCAAAAGCTGGGAACATACCCCTTAAGAACTGAATAAAACAGGGATGCCCACTGAACACCACTCCCATTGAACACAGTGCTGAAAGTTCTAGCCAGATAAATCAGGCAAGAGAAATAAATAAAAAGCATCCCAATAGGAAAAAAAGCCAAGTTATCTTTCTTCACTAATGATATGATTCTATAACATAAAACACTAAAAACTCCACCAAAAGGCTCCTAGCATTTTTTTGTTTGTAGGCCACTTGTATGTTTTCTTTTGAGAAGTGTCTGTTCATGTCCTTTGCCCACTTTTTTATGGGGTTGGATACACTACTTCCATAAAGTTTCAGGATAGAAAAATCAATGTATAAAAATCAGTAGCGTTTCTATTCACCGATAACGCTGAAGCCGAGAGCCAAATCAAGAATATAATCCCATTTACAATAGCCACACATACAAAAATATCTAAGAACACATTTAACTGAGGAGGTGAAAGGTCTCTATGAGGGGAAATACAGAACACTACTAAAAGAAGTAATTGATAACACAAACAAATGGAAATACATCCCATGCTCATGGATTGGAAGAATCAATATTGTTGAAATGGCCATTTTGCCCAAAGCAATCCACTGATTCAATGCTAATACTATCAAACTACAAAAATCATTTTTCATAGAATCAGAAAAATCTATTCTAAAATTCATATGGAATGAAACAGAGCCTAAATAGCTAAAGCAATCCTAAGCAAAAAGAACAAAGCTGGAGGCATCACATTACCTTACTTCATGCTATACCATAAGGCCTCAGTAACCGAAACAGAATGGTGCTGGTACAAAAGCAGACACATAGACCAATGGAAGAGAATACAAAACCCAGAAATAAAACTGCACACCTACAACCATCTGATCTTTGAAAAAGCTGACAAATATAAGCAATGGGGAAATGTCCCCCTATTTAATAAATGCTGCTGGGATAACCGCGTAGTCGTATGCAGAAGAATGAAACTGGACCCCTATCTTTCACTATATACAAAAATTAACTCATGGTGGATGAAAGATTCAAATGTAAGTTTTCAAACTAAAAAATCCCACAAGAAAACCTAGGAAATACCATTCTGGAAATCACCTAGGCAAAGAACTTAACAGCAATTGCAACAAAAACAAAAATTGATAAGTGGGACCTAATTAAACCAAAGAGCTTCTGCACAGCAAAAGAAACTATCAGCAGAGTAAACAGATATTCTACAGAATAGAAGAAATTATTCACAAAATACACATCCAACAAAGGTCTAATATCCAGAACCTATGAGAAACTTAAACAAATCAACAGGCAAAAAACAACCCCATAAAAAAGTGGGCAAAGGACATGAACAGACACTTCTCAAAAGAAAACATACTAGTGGCCTACAAACATTAAAAAAATGCTCGACATCATTAATCATTAGAGAAATGCATATCAAAACCACAATAGGATACCATCTCACACCAGTCAGAATGGCCATTATTAAAAAAGCTTAATAGATTCTGGTGAGGCTGCAGAGAAGAGGAAACACTTATACACTGTTGCTGAGAATGTAAGTTAATTCGGCAGTTTTGAGATTCCTCAGAGAACTTAAAACAGAATTACTATTAGACCCAGCAATCCCATTACTGGGTATATACCCAAGGGAAATAAATCATTCTGCTAAAAACACACATGCACTTACTTGTATATTCATTGCAGCGCTATTCACAATAGCAAAGACACAGAATTAACCTAGCTGTCCATCTTTGGTGGATTGTATAAAGAAAATGTGGTATATATACACCATGAAATACTATGCAGCCATAAAAAAAGAACCAAGTCATGTCCTTTGCGGGAACATGGATGGAGCTGGAGGCCATAATCCTAAGCAATTTAATGCAGAAAAACAGAAAGCTGAATACAGCATGATCTCATTTATGAGTGGGAGCTAAACACTGGGTACATGTGGATAGAAAGAGCAGAATAATAGACATTGGGAACTACTGGAGCAGGGAGGGAGGGGAGCAAGGGCTGAAAAACTACCTATTGGGTCCTATAGTCCTGTACTTGGTACCTGGGTGACGGGAATGAATCATATCCAAACCTCAGCATCATCCAATATACTAATGTAACAAACCTGCACATATACCCCCTGAATCTAAAATAAAAGTTGAAATTTTAAAAATAAAATATAACAAAATGAAAGATTTTTCATTAATAAAAAATGAATGAAAGATTAACTTTGAAAAAATAAAGTCATTGTGTAAAAATTATATTCTAAGTTTTACTTTTTAAATGTGGATTTAATGTATTAAGTATTCAGTAAAAGGAATCATTACATTGAACCAAAATGACTCCTGAGATGTAATTATAAAACAAATTTTTTCTTTCACTATTTCTTTAAATCTGTTTTATAAGGCTAGTTCTTTTCCTGCCCCTGCTGAGAATGAGGGCATGTTCATGGTTCTTCTGAATAGTTGCTTCCAGTTCAGACAAGGTCTCTAGTTAATAATTAAAATATTCAGCCACATGTACTAATCAAAACTCTGTTTTTTTTTTTTTTTTTTTTTTTTTTTTTTTGGAACAGAGTCTTACTCTGTTGCCCGGGCTGGAGTGCAGTGGTGAGATCTCAGCTCACTGCAACCTCCGCCTCCTGGGTTCAAGAGATTCTCCTGCCTCACTCAGCCTCCCAAGTAGCTGGGATTACAAGTGTGACACCACGCCAGGCTAACGCCCAGCTAATTTTTGTAGTTTTGGTAGAGACGGGTGTTTGACCGTGTTGCCCAGGGTGGTCTTGAATGCCTGACCTCAGGTGATTCTCCCACTTTGGCCTCCGAAAGTGCTGGGATTACAGGCATGAGCCACCATGCCCGACCCAAAACTCTAAATTTAAGTCTGAGATTTCTACCCATTCTTACCTTGAGCCTGCTGCATGCAGGAATCCTACAGTTGGGAAAATATGTGGTTGCTCACCTCTCTAGCTCTCCTATTTCCCATCTTCATCCCCTTCTCTTGATCTGGCTTTTGACCACTTTGTAGTTAGAGTGTAGTCAGAGAAAGAAGGATGGAGAGTTTTTAAATGACTGATACTACCATTAGCTGGTACCATGCTGTCTGGGACTGTAAGGAGATTAGATTCCTTCTCTGTTAAGGGTACTTTAGAAGCCCTCCCTTCTCTCAGCTTTGGAGGGCATCTTACCTGAAGTTTTTTTGACCCTAATAAGTGCATCGCTAGTTTGGATAACTTCTCAGTCTTTTCTCGGGCCTTTAACATTTCTTGATACCTTCAAATTCTCCCTGTTACAGTCAACTGCCATGTGGTTCTCTTGGGCAGGACGTCTCTGCGCTAGGTCTTCTGTGTGAGTCTCCCATCTGGTCCATGGAAAGTATTCACGCATTTTCTGCTCCAACTGAGTCTGGATTTGTAAGCCAATCACATTTTTTTTGCTTCATTGTCAATAGCAAGCTACCTTCTCTCTCATCCTTTCGATTTCTTACATGTGAGTCAGACAGTTGTCTACTGCGTCTCTAAACATCAAGGGACACATATTAAGCTCTCCAGGTGGTCTTGTTAACCACTCTTACAAGATTCATGGTGAGAGGAGGTAGCTACTCCCCTAACCTTCCCCTTGGGAGGGTTAGGTAGCACTTGGGCACAGTTCTTCTCAGAGAAATCTTCCACTCCAAAGTCTCTTCAGATGTTGAACTCTTGATCCATTTAAATTCTTCTAATGGGTTTGTGGTTAAAAGACATGTAACCAGTATCCAGAACCTCTGTTTTGAATTCTGTATATAGTCTAGTGACTCCTTTTGAATACAACATCTGTTATATTATTATATATTATATTATGTTATTTTCCTTGGCCAAACTTCCATTTTAATATGTAGTAATACAAAGTACAAGTTTAGTGAGTTCCCTATGCCATACACAAATCTTCTCTTTATCAGAGACTACCACAACATTTGTAAACGTCTGAGTTAAAGGACTTGTTAAACAAAGGACAGATTATAAATATCTGCCAATAGCTACATAAAGTGGGGGGACCGCTCAATGAAAACTACAGTTAACATTTTGGTGCTCAGGAGAACATACAGCAAATTAGCAGCTATACTTAGTGAATAAAGCTTGAATAAGATTTTTTTCCTAATTTTCCATTACCATGGTCTTTTATGTTTCCAATTAAGTTATTAGTGCTGGGAGATCAAGTTAGAGCTACTTAGGAGCTTTTCAGTGGTGGGGAGATCATGGGTCTTTGCTGTTAATTAACAGCACAGGAGTATTCCTGTCTCCTTAGGTCTGTAATGGGAGTTTCTGCGTGAAGCCTTAGCACCTTTACTATTAGAAAGGAACCGTGAGGTACCAGGTGATATTTTTTCAATTTTCAAAGGCATTGATGAGTACCAAGTAGATTTTTTTCCTTGAAATGATTTTAACTTGATGTTTAATACCTTTATTTTGGAATCGCCTTGCTTTTTTAAATTAAACATGAAGAATTCTAGACCACACCCCACATAAATATGATTCAGTAGAACTGTGAGGGGCCCCAATTGTCAATATTTTAAATAAGGACTGCAGATGGTGTAAAGGACACACTTTGACATAGACTTTTTTCTTTCTTTAAAGATATCAAGGCTGGGCACAGTGGCTCACACCTGTAATCCCAGCACTTTGAGAGGCTGAGGTGGGAGGATCACTTGAGGCCAGGAGTTTGAGACCAGTTTGGGGAACAAAATGAGACCCTCATCTCTACAAAAATAAAAAATATTATCACATTCTGTATTTATTTTTTCCATGTAAAGTATAATTTTATTACCTAGAGTTGTCATGTTGTACGTTAGATTCCTGGAACTATACTTTTTCTATTTGGCTTTTTTCACTCAGCAAAATGTCTTCCAGGCTCATCCATGTTGTGTCAAATGGCAAGATCTTATTCATTTTTAGGGCTAAATAATATTCCATTGTATATAGGTACCACAGTTTATTCATTTCCTCTGTCGTCTGACACTTAGGTTGTTTCCATATCTTGGCTATTTGAATAATGCTGCAATGAACATGAGAGTGTAGATTTCTTTCCAAGGTAGTGATTTCATTTCATCTGGATATATATCTGAAAAAGGGATTGTGGGTCATATAGTAGTTCTAATTTTAATTTCTTTAGAAATCTCCATACTGTTTTCCATAATGGCTGTACCAATCTACATTTTTCACCAACAACATACGAGAGTTCCCTTTTTTCTACACCCTTGCCCACATTTGTTATCTCTTGACTTTTTGATAATAGCCATCCTAACGAGTTTGAGATGGTGTGTTATAGTCGTTCTGATTTGCATTTTCCTGATTTTTAATGATGTTAAGCAACTTTTCATTACACCTGAGCATTGGGAAAGAAGTCGAGATACAGCCAGGCAAATACATTCCTTTATCTTTACTTCTTGAATCGACTACTTCCAGGGACAGTTTCTCCTTGCATGGTGTTCGAAGAAGGGCCCCTCCTAAGTAGCCAGGCCTCTTGGACATGCTGCATTCTCTTCACTCTGTGCCTTGCTCTTTGTGATGTTAGATAGTGCACAAAGCCTCCTTCCATTGCATTGATTTATATCTTTTCTTTCTTTCCTTGCTTCCCTTTTTCTCATTCTTGCTGCTCTTGCTTTGCACCTTACAAGTAAAGCGTCATTACTTTAATCTTTGGCTCTGGTTCCATTTTCTGGAGAACTCAAGCTAAAATGTGTGGGAATTATAATGGCTCTGTCTTTACAGTGGATTATAGGCTTTTCATAGCACTTAGGGTGTTTCCTGATTTATAGCCCATATTAAGCAAAGTCAAAACTTTTGAATGTCTATGTTTGCCTTTGAATAGGCAAAAAATTATATAGGGCTAAATGTAATGCATGTATCATGTATAAATGGAATATAAAAAATATATAATTATATAATTTATTTCTAGGTATAAAACACACAGAAATACATAATTTATTGATTGTCATTAGTTGTAATGAGGAAACAGTATTCCCTAAGTGGGAAATATAATCAGGTCCTTTATTTCTGTATCAAGATTTAATTTCCAATGAGTGGTTCTAGTATATTCCTGAGCTGTCCTCCTGCTGCTCCTAGCACTGTAGAAAGAAACAGGTAGTGACAGCAGTTGCTCTTTTTTTTTTTCCTCTTGATTGAAATCTCATGTAAAGTGTTCTCCTTTTGTATTGGAAATAAGGGCAATTGAGCAACCAACAAGTTATAAACCTATTTTTCTCCTTAAATACAACTTTGGTGCTTTCAGAATTGTAACTGATGGACCTAACAGACAATAGCAGCTTTCACAAGAATAACTTATTTTTGTGGGAACTCTGGAGCATAAGAAATCATATGAACTTTTATTTCAAATAAGGTAATTTTTGGGCATAAGGTTAATGGCTGGGAGAGGAGTAATTTTGCGTTGTAGCATTTACATTGAACCTAATATGTGGCTACAAGAACACAGTTCTGAACTATACTGTTTCTTTCTCTTTAACTCTTACAAATATTTGCCATTTTAAAGTGAATTGCACTTTCATCGCCACTGAAAACCAATAAAGACATGGGTATTGATCAACTATAATGGTTGAGCTTGATTGTTGTATTTCATAAGCTTTCCAATAGTAGTGTTTTTAGAGAAAGCAGTTAAGTTAGCTTTCATTTTCTTTCAGCCTTGAAACTAAAACAGGCCAACAAAAAGATAAATGACATTTGGCAATCAGGATTTCCACGTGTCAGATTTCAAACTACCACAAGCAACAAGAGCATGGTCTTATTTGGCCATATATGTACTGATATAGATGCACACATATACACATGTACATTTGTTTGTGTAGAAAACATGACACTTGTCATTTTTATAGATCTCCCAGTAGAGAAAACCAAGTTGGAGGTACTAAACTAATTGGATCCCTAGGGTTTCCCCAAATCCCTTTCCTGGTATATTGATAGCTACATTCTTGTTCACTTTCTGAAAATTGAAAACTTGGGTTAGCTTTTTACCTGCTTAGATTTTAAACCTTTTTATGCTGAACTGAAATGTTGACTTTTATCTTTTAAGAAATAAACTTATTTTGCATGATTATTTTTTCTTAAATTCAGTTACTTGACATGATTTTAACATGACTTTAATTTTTTCCATTAAAAATTTGCCTAAAAGTCTGCCATTTTTTTTCATTTCCAAAATGGCTATGCACCTCATAGGGGATTATTTCTGTTTAAATACACAATTCAAGTAAGTGGAGCACATGGGATAGGAATTGAACTATTAAATTTTTAAAACTTATATGTTTTCCATTTTAGAAAGTAAGTCCCATTTCTAAAATAAAATATTATATTAAGATATTATATTAAAAGTTTGGAAGTCTACTGTGCTGTAAGGACAATATTCTTTAATACAGCCAAAGAATGATGTGAAAAATGTACTACCTAAAGAAAGACACAGTTATACAAGGTAAAGACTATCCCCCTTTCCCCTTTTATTACTGGTTACTGCTAGATAAAACCTTAATAAAGGAAATACTTACCCCTCTGAAAATGAGATGAATCCCTTAACAAAAAAAAAAGAAAGAGAAAGAAAGAAAAAGAAGGAAGGAAGAAGGAAGGAAGGAAGAAAGGAAGGAAGAGAAAGAAAGGGACAGAGAAAGGAAGGAAGAGAAAAGGAAGCTATGCATTATATTTTCCTCCTAGGGCAGAATATCTTGTCCTTTGGTTGTTTTTAGGTAAGGAGCTTTGAAATCTTGGGTGATGGAGCACTCTGTCCATAAATGATTCTCCTGGCTGTCTTACTCTAGTAAGCCCTTTGGAAAATACTTGAACAAATCATCTTGAGGTTCACTACCTCCCATGTCACTAAGATAAAAAAAGAAATTAAATATATTTTGATACACAAATACATATCTTAATGTATATCTCATTAGTTACTTAGAAAGTCTAATATATCTAAAATAGAAGTTACCTATTTAGCAACAATAATTGAGATGAAAAATGTTCTAAGGTGATGTTGGAGCTTCATAATTAGTTCATTTGTTTGTTATCCAAATATTTGCATGATATTACAGTGCAGAACTAGCAAATTCAGTGATGTCTTTAAGAGGCTGAAGCATAATAGGGTACCATTTTGGATGTCCAAAGTATGGCATTTATTAATTGCTTACAATTACTGAAATTATCATCAAATTGAGTAATTGAATGTACTTAATTGAAGCTACATCTTGGCAAGCATCTCTTACGTGTAGTATCGTTTTTACCAGTTAAATGGAACCTTCCATGACTGCTTTGCAAATCAATTTTATTAGAAATGATCAAGTAACTTTGATTGTTTTGGCTTGTTGCTAATGTATTAATAGACTCTGAATCCAAATAATTAATGGAGTTGATTTGGTATGCTTGAAAAAGATCTCTGATAGTAAACAGCTAGTGACTGAAATATTTACTTACATTTTAATGGTGGCATCCTTTTTCTACTTATTTTTGCTTTATCAGCTGCTTAAATAATGAAAATATTGGGTAGGATGAGCAAAATTTAATTAAAAATTTATATTCTAATGTTTTTAGTATATCTATCAGTTCAGTTATTTCCACTTCTACCATGTTGTATGTGTATCAGCTGCTATAACTGCAAAGAATATGAAAGCACAATTTAATTGACATAATTCAGACTTCTATGCTACTTGCCTTTGAAACATCCAAGTAGCTAAAGGAAACAGATGTTTTATTATTTGCATTTTTTTGGTATCTGCCTTGTTTGCTCACTCTCACAGATATTTGGGCAGTAATGAGCTGATGCAAATGGAAAGTGAGTATTACAATTGTACAAAACATTTTTTTTACTCTTACTTGCAAGCTAATATATAACACGTTAAATTAAAAGTCTAACATCAAAATACATGTTACCATTTGAACCATCAGATGTGAATATGTATTATTAAGTTATAATGGTTGAAGTAATGATGTAACACAGTACAAGAATAGAAAGTTAAATCAGTGACAATGAATTAAAGGTCTGCGGGAAAAGGCATATATAATAAAAGTGAGACTATTCAGGAATGATACTCTAATCATTGAGTAATAACTTGATTGAATTTCTACCTTACATGGTAGGCCAAAATAAATTAAATATTTAAATGCAAAATTGAAATCAAAGAACTAGAAGAAAATGTAGTTCTATATTATCTGAATTCATATATGAGAAGGGTATGGCACTAAAAAAAGGCATTATAAAGGTAAATTGGCAGATTTGACAAGTAAAAATGAAAAACTTTTCTAAAAACATTGTAAATGAAATTAAAAATATAAAACAAGGAAAAATTACCAAAGTAGATAAAAGATAAAGATTAAAATGTAATGGACTCATAAACAGCTCCTATATGTCATTAAGAAAGCCACACTAGAAAGAAAGGCAAAAGATATGAGTATTTGAAAAAAAGAAAAAATATAAAAGATCAATGAGCTTAGGTTAAAAAGTCCAGTTTTACCAGTGATCAAAGAAATGCAAATTAACATAATGAAATGACATTGTAGCTTATCCAATTTACAGGTTTTTTGTGTGTTTTTAAAAATAAATACAAGAATATTTTTCTGGTGGAAATTAAAGTTGGTATAACTTTCCTGGTGGGCAATTAACTTTGCCTTTTAAAAAAACAGGAAATTTACAGTGTTATAAATAGCTCTGGGATCAAAATGCCCAAATTATAGATAGATAAATATTCTTTCCGATATTATTTTAAATTGTTTCTCTAGATCCTGATACACAGACACATTGAAAGGTAAAACAAATATTCTTGATGAAAACATGATAAAAACAAATAAATTGAAAGGTAAAACAAGTATTCTTGATAAATATTCTTCATAAAACCATTTTTGGAACTATTTGCCTAATGTTGATATATTCAGGCAGACATGAAAATGTGTCTTACAGGGACTTGGGGAGACATAAACAAAAAAGTCTCACTTAATAAACTTTACAAACTAATATATTATGTGTCTCAGTTGTTCAAGTTAGGTAAACATTTTCTAAATAATTTTTTATTTTCCTTATCCTCGGGCTGTTGTTCTTCCTGATTCTGTCTGGATTGTTCTTATGTGTCTTATCCTTGGTAAACATCTTTTCATCATTTAATGTCCAGCGGGTGCATCCTCTTATCTAGGACACATCTTCCCACCCAGGTTGAATTGGCTACCCCCTCTCCTTATACTTTTCAGTTCACCTGTGAGTCTCCTGCTAAATGATAAGCTTATAGAAGGCTGGGAGTATGTCAAATTCATCACCCCTGCTCTAGCAACTGAAGATAGCACCTGGCCAAATACATAGTGCTTCAATGAGTTAATAAAATAATAATCATATGTCAAGTTCATATCTAGGGATTTTGAAGGCTGTTGGCTGGCTCAGTAGAGTATAAGAAATAATTAGAAGGCAGTTACAAATTATCAGTGTTTTCATTTGGTAATTTAACCTAGAATATTGGAAACATCATCAGTCATAAGTTCAGGAGTTTGAATTCATAGTAAAAATTTAAGAAGAGAGGCTGAATACATGGAAGCACATGATAATGGAGCATATTATGTGGCAGCATAAATGAAGCATGCCAAGACTTAAAGCCAAGAACTGAAGCAAGGGTGGATTTAAAAGCTGCATTCCAGGAGATCAAAAGTATCTCCAAACAATTGCTTCCTTTAGAGTTCTTTTTTATAAACGAGAGAGTATATTTTTTGTTGTTGTTCTGGTAGTCATAGGTCTTATTACATTTCTCTAATTACTGAGCTTAATCATGACTTTCTGAGCCTTTTGATTTATACTCCTGTGTTTTTACTAATCACATCTCCAGATTTGCCACATTTAATTTGCAGTATTAAATTACAGAAAACTAGCACCATTTCTTAATTAATTCGTTGCTATAAACTATACTAATGGAATCACCTGAATTACATCAATGTACCAGATGGATGCCAAATTTGCCAGCCTAATTATGATGTTTTAATTACACTTCACTAGAATTGTCTTAAGATGGGTTCCTAATAATGGGAGGCAATATTCATTTATTCATTCACACCTGCTGTATGAGTCTTCTTGGGTTGCCATAAGAAAATATCACAGCCTGGGTTACTTAAACAACAGAAACGTGTTTTTCTCACATTTCTGGAGGTTAGAAGTCCAAGGTCAAGGTGCTAGCAGGATCGGTGTCTGGTGAGTCCTTCGTTCCTGGCTTGTGGATACTGCTTTCTCATTGCGTGTTGACATGACCTTGACCTTATCTTTATGCTTGCAGAGAGAGTGAGCTCTGATATCCATCTCTTCCTTTTGTAGGGACACCAATCCTATTGGATTAGAGTTCCACTCTTTTTTTCTGAGACAGAGTCTCGCTTTGTCGCCCAGGCTGGAGTGCAGTAGCCCAATCTCGGCTAACTGCAAGCTCTGCCTCCCGGGTTCACGCCATTCTCCTGCTTCAGCCTCCCGAGTAGCTGGTACTACAGGCACCCGCCACCACGCACGGCTAATTTTTTGTATTTTTATTAGACACGGGGTTTCACCGTGTTAGCCAGGATGGTCTTGATCTCCTGACCTCGTGATCCGCCTGCCTCGGCCTCCCAAAGTGCTGGGATTACAGGCGTGAGCCACCGCGCCCGGCGGAGTTCCACTCTTATGACCTCATTTAACCTTAAATACTTCCTTAAAGGCTCCATCTCCAAATAGTCTCACTGGGGGTTAGGGCTTCAACATATGAACTTGGCGGTGTCGTTGTGGCGAAACACACAATTCAGTCCATAACACCAGCTGACCAACGCAGCCTAAATGTCCCTTCAGCCGAGTAAACTTTAGATAGGCTTCTTTCTGACTGCAGGCCCTGACTGCCCTTTTCTTAGAGCGTGTACTTTTAACTTGCACTTTTGCAAATCCTTTCTCTACCCCTTTGAATTGTAAAATTTTTAAGTCTCTTACCAGTGTTAAGACCATAGAATATTTTTCCCAAGGTCTATGGGCCCTTTGAAAGGTGATCAAGGAAGGTCACACCACTGTCTCCCAGTCGTTGTGAGAGGGAAGGAGCCCAACTTCAGTGAGCACCTTGCTCCAAATTGTAAAGCTACCTCTTGTTACAAAGATACGAAAAAGTCTACTTTTCCACTGGGTAAAGCCAATTAGCAAATGCAGATGACCTATTGTCTCCCCTTCATCCCTCCCCTCTCATTCTCCCACATCAGCGACTCAGCAATTAAAGATCTGGAGGGTTTTTTTTTTTTTTTTTTTTTTAAAGGAGTCTTGCTCTGTTGCCCAGGATGGAGTGTAATGGCGCGATTTTGGCTCACTGCAATCTCTGCCTCACGGGCTCAAGCGATCCAAAAACCTGGAGCGTTTTTTATGAAAGCCTGCAGTGTTTTTAGTTTCATGCAATAGCCTTGAATGAAGTTTTCTTTACCTGTTTAATTTTTTTTGCATTGACATTGCATTAAAATGGTGCAATTTCTGCTTTGACATTGCAGAAATCCATAAATGTTAATTCTACTAATACTAACTGTGTTAGTGGTAATAACACTTATTTTACACTTTCGTCTCTTAAGGTGCTCTACTATGCAGCTACTTTAAATTGCCTAGGCTTCAGGGGTACTGAGACTTTGCTTTAGGACTGCCAGACACATTTTTAAATGGTTGAGAAGCACCCCTCAGTCAATTCTTGCTTAATATTTATCTACGTAGTTATCATTTTTTAACTCATCTTTTGTTTCTCTTTCATCTTTCACCTTTAGCATGTTCCTTCCATCTAAAGGACAAGAGGGTTTGTTGGTAGTGTGCAGATTCAGTTTCTTTCTTTTTGTCTGAAAATGGCTTTATTTCACCCTCATTCTGAAAAGATTATTCTGCTGTGTATACAGAATTTTATGCCAGTAGTTATTTTTCTCTTGGCCTATTGTGATGTTGTTGCACTGTCTTTAGTTTCCACTATTCCTATTGATCAGTCTGTTATCATGCTAATTGCAGCTCATTTACAGGGGTATTGTATTTTCTCTCTGATTGCTTTTAAAATTGTTTTGTGATTTTCAGCTTCCCTAGGATGTGCCTAGGTGTGGATTTTTAGAAATTGTTATTTATTCTGCTTGGGATTCATTGGACTTCCTGAGTTTGAGAATTGATAGAATTCAGTAATTCTGAAAAATGCTGAACCATTTTCTCTTTATATACTGTATTGTCATCATCTAGTCTATTATATGCTTCTAGAAAGTTGATTAAATATGTTAGAGATTTTCACTTTATCTTCATTATTATCAATTCCTCTTTTATGGTTTGCTCTCTTTTATGTCTTTGGTATAGGCTATAGATTGCTTTCCTTGGGACTGTATTAGTCAGGGTCCAGTCAAGAAAACAAAACCCCCATTGGGTGATTCTACTGATGGAATTAGTTGAAAAGGTATTAGAAGAGCTAAAAGATAACCTAGGAAAAGTAAGGCAAATAATTCAGGCAATAAAAAATTCACACTATCAAATTGTGTGAGGTTGACTTGTAGTTACAAATACTCAGGGGAAATTAATTTTTCTCTCCATCCAGTTTAAGATTTGAGGCTGATAATTTTCTTTATAGTCCCCTTCTCAGTGGAGAGTTTTTCATTCCCCCTACACAGAGTATGTAGCCCATAGGATGGATATCAATCAATTATTAACACAATAATGCAATAATACATAAGAAGTCACCCAAAACTCAGTGGCTAGGAATGACAATTATTTTCTCTTCTCCATCTGTAGATGTGAATTGGGTAATCAAGGCTGTATATGGCTGGGTTGGCTCCCAGCTGCAAGTCTCTTATCCCGTGCTACCAGCAAGGCCCGAAACTTACTCTTCTCATGGCAGTGGTAGAAGTAAAGGAGAGCTTGTCACACTGTGCAAGAAGCAGTCAAACCTTTGCTTTCTTCTTATCCTCTAACATCCTGTTGGCTGAAGTGAGTCACTTGGCCAAGCCTGATGTCAATGGGGTCGTGACTATTTGTTAAAGAATAGCCCTAACTATCACCAAGGATTCAGCTTATCCAAGAGATGTCTATTACATTTTCTAACTTGGGTAAATTTTATGTTTTATTATTTTTTCATCTACTCTGAGCCTTGTATAGCCATTGAAGTGCAAAATCTCTGGGATTCAGCAGAAACCCTCAAAAACCTAACTGACTTTCCAAGATCCTGTTTTTATTTAATATTTGGCTTCATTGGATTCCTTATCTCATGTCAGCTAAATGATATACTTAAAAATATTTTCAATGATTTTTAATTAACCTTCTATATGTTTGCATCAGGAGGATCATTCAGGCTACAAGGTCTACCTTATGGAAGGATATAGAAGTCAGGCTTCCTTTTTATAGAACCATCATCTTCATCCTCATCTCGATTACTTTCTTTTTCTAAATCCAGTTGGGTAGCTGGGATGACACTTTTTTATTTGTACCTTGGGAATTAAATAGGTTTTGTTTGGCTCACAGACTTCTTAAAACATATGAGCAGTGAGAGAGAAGAATAGTAAAGTACAACTCATAAATTCTCAGTTCCAGTAGCTGAGTGGTTATAGTCACTCAAAATTCAACAGATAATGTAGGAGGATGAATAACTTCTGATTGAGAAGAGTTAATAGAAACATTTAGAAATGCTGAATTTCCATCCTCCAAATGGTTGTTAGGTATGACAACCTCAAATTTGGAAGAGATTTAGCTTGGCAAATTTGGAATCAAGATAGTGGATGTAATCAGCTAGAGAATGGATCTAGAGCTGTGAATGAGGATCTGTGCGGTAGTCCTTGAGAGCACTGTATTAGTAAAAGTAGGAAAGGCTGTGTGACATTAAGAAATGATCCCTTAAATTGAAGCCTGAAATTTAGCAAAGTCTTCGTTGATTGGTGGGTGCTGTCCTCCAGTTGGTGACTCTGGGATCCAGACTTCTTCCACCTTGTGGCACTGTCACTTCACAGGTGGCTCCCAAGTCACTATACAAAAAAAGATAAATATAGAGGAGATCCATCAGATTTTAATGGCCTCATCCTGGAAGTGATTAATATCACTTATATTTATATTAATATTGGTGAAAAAGTCACTTGGCCCCATTCTCATTACCTAGTAAAATGTTCTGGGGATTATAGGGGAGGCCTTATTATATTTAATGAGCACTGTCTCTGTGCAAAGGATGGGCTCTGGAGTCAGAGTGTCAGGGTCTAAATATTGGTTGCACCATGTATTTGCTGCATGATCTTGGACAAATAACTTAACCATAGTGTACTTCGGGCCCCCAACTCCCGGAAGATGGGACAAATAATAGCACTTATGTTCTTGAGGTCTTATGAAATATAAATTAGTTGATATGGCTAAATATCTTAGAACAGTGTGTGGCAAATAGCAAGTACCGATAATGCTATTGCTATTATTATCCTTCTTGTATTATTATTATCATTGTATTATTATTAAAGTAGTGAGCAAAGAGATAAACTGTTAGGAGAATTCTCACAAGTAAAAATGATAGCTGAGAGAAAAAATAACTGTCCGCAGAGAATTCTAGAGAGTTCCCTTTCTTTAACATCTAGATGTCATGTTTCCCAGAATCAGATCACTTTGGAATCATTATTAAACTCTTTGTGGACTTTGGCTGGTGACTACTATCACCAGCTATGAAATTTATCTAGTGAAAATATTTATTCCATGTTTTCTTGTTGCCTCAGATTTAGAGATTATGTGAAGCAGCTTCGTGAGTAAAATCCCGACTTCTGTTCCCTGTATCCTTGGGCACTGCCAGAAATTACACAATGGCAGGGAGCTCTAATCACACTGTCTTCTGTGTAAGGAGCCTGTGGAGTTGTACAATGTAGTAATGATGCCTCTGGGTCTACTCTGGACAAAGATGGGTGAACTTGCATACAGTTTGGAAATTACTTTTTAAAGAGTTAAAGAGAAAACCAACTCTGCCACTGGATTACTTGTTTCTAAAGCACAAAATAAGGAGAATGAGAATATTTAATCTATCACGGCACTTTGAACTTAATTCTCAACCTAAGTCTCACAAGGAGAGCATGACTTACTGAGACTCCATTATACTCTTTCTAGAATCACCTTCCCTACACTTTATTCTGGGGCTAGGCCCTTGGCCTTTATTAGTGGTCATTAAAAGAAATAACCATAAAAATATGTTACAGCATTTGCTATAAATGCAAATGTATCAATAATGTTGAAAATATTTTCTATTACATCTGTCTCTTTCCTCTATATAAAATTCTACAAGACCACGTCTTTTAGAAGTTAGTTAAGAAAAGTTGCCTTGAGGAACTCTTTTTCCTTCTTTTTCTGGCTGTCAGGAAGTTCAGAACCAAAATGTGATCATAGCACCTATGTTGTCTCTTCTGGGATTTATATTTGTATGATTATTTTCTTCTGTCCTAATTTTTACCTAGTTGTATGATTTTACTGAATTTAAACCGGCTTGAGTCCTCTGTAGAAAAATATAGGAAACAAATTATTATTTTCTTGGTCCTGGGCTTCATAAACATTTTAATAGTTCTATTAGCATCCTGTTTAATTTTAGACTTGTTCTGATATCTCATGATAGCCTTAAATCTGGTTTTGATATCTTCTTTTTTTATACTTAAAATCTACCAGAAGATTGGCCTGGCAAAACCTGGAGTATACTAATGCTATAGAATAGCACATCCATAAACACTTGTCAAAGCAAAAATTGTGCAAGACAAAGTTAAACCAGTGAGGAAGACTTTATTCAAAGCTATTGCAATGAAATACACTAGAATTCAGTCTGAGCTCAACTGCACTAACACAAGGGGCAGAAGAGTTTCTAAGAGTTGAGCTAGGGCATCTGTGTTTGCCAACCAGCTTTACCCACAGGAAAAGTAATCTTCACAACAAGAGGTAGCTTTACAACTTGGAGCAAGGCATCCACCAAAGTTAGTCATCCACCCTCCCACAGAAACTAAGGGATAGGATAGGGCACTATTTTCTTTGATGTTTACATTTCAAAGAGATGGCTCTTACGTATCTGAGAAAGACATTTTTTTGTGTCTTAAAACTGGCAAGAAGCTTTTTAAAAAAATTACATCTTAAAGGGGTAGAGAAAGAATTTACATTTTCTAAAGTAAACACTGTGAAAAAAGGGAGGGCAAGTGCCTAGAGTCTGGAAGAAGTTTAGACTAAAGTTTAGTCAATCTGAGGGGAACATGAAAGCCCTTTCAGTCACACCATAGCTTAACTAAGGAAGGTTGGGGACAGTCAAGGGAGTTCTAATGAGACTTTTTTTTCCTCTTCAACAACAACAAAAGGTCTAAATCCTGATTCCTTCATATAGAAAGCTGCCATTTATTTGGGAGTTTGAATCACCTGCTTTTTAATCACATTTCAATGTTGTTCAATGGTGGTGCAACAGTAAAAATATTTAACATGAATTTTCTAAAGATTCAGACTACATTCTGATGGAAGAAGAAGTACTCAGTAACTCTATATATAAAAAAAGATTTCAGTATTTTACAATTCAACACAACTAACTCCCCATATAACAACAAACTGTCAAAAATAAATTTCTCACTCAAGCTGAGAGCAAATGAAAGGAAGACAGCAAGAAGCAGTAGCTGCAGGAATGAAACTGATTTATTATTTCACAAACAGAACACTTCAGGAAGCAATATGAGCTGATAGTGATTCCTCTGATATTTGGGTGGTTTTTGTCTTGCAGAGTAGCCAATGTGGAAATGGCAAGTTTTAGGAATGGAAACTGTACCAAACTTGATGTCTGTTGTTGTTATTTGTTGTTAATTTCTGTAAAATGATAGCGGAAGTTAAACAAAGACCAGATATGAATATTTTGGAAGGAAAGAAAAAGTTTCCATAGTTCATCAATACTCAGTTTTTACTTTGGAGGTATCTCAGAGTACAAGACTGAAAGAAAACAATTGTTTCAGAGAGAGAGAGGAGAGAGAAGGCCCAACTTATTATGTTGGACATAGTAAGGCTTTGCAGGGGAAAAGTGTATTCATTTTAGAGATTTTGGACGCTGAATTAAAATGTGGTACAGTTATTGAGGCTAGTTTTCATTCTAAATAAATGGTTCACTTTAGTGAAACTGTATTTAGACTCAGGTCATAACTTTTTTTTTTCCACTTGATTGCTTCATATATCCTTAAGAGACATCATATGGACAATTGATGAAACATATTTACCCCAGATGGCAATATTAAACTCCTTACTCAAGTGCCAGGTGTCAGGTTTTACATGACACAGAGTTATACTCACATTTACTAAAGGGGCTAGAAATACAAAGTAGAAAGAACATTTTGTGTTCTTCCCCTCCTGGAAAATGTCCATTTTAGCTTCTCTATTTTACTTTCTCCCCCATCTGATTGTAGGAGTCCATTCTGATATATGGGCAATAAAGGAATTAATTAATAATGGACTTCATAATAATGTCTAATCCTCAGCCTAGTGGGACAGCTTTTCAAACTCCTGATTGCTTCACCAGGCTCTCTGTGTAAGTGAAAGAACACTTCAGATCCTCACCAGGCTTTGGAAATAGGGACATTTACCCTGATGATTAATCCTCAGGGCCTTAGCAAGCCTCAAAGAAGGTTGCTGGGATGATATTTGCTTGCTCACATCTCCTCAACTTTGGCTCTAATGTTGTATTATTCTAATAATTTCTATGTTCTTTTGATTTTTCATGGTTTCTACCTGCTGTTTACATGGTGCAATTGTTTGACTCACCATCCCCCACTTCTCGATCCTCCCCCCTCCCTTTTTACTCACTCCTTTGATTTTCACTTAATGATTTTTTTGTGGCAGGTGATGGGCGAACCCGCAACTAGAACACTTGCCCCAGCTTTGTCCAGGAGTTCCTTTTAAATCTGGTATTGGGAGTTCTTCCCGAAGTTAGCAACTTCAACATTGAAGACAGGTCATTCATTTTATGACAGCTGCTGAACAATATTTTACCCTGAGGCTTTGTTCAGAAGCTCCATGTCCCAAGGACTGTCCCTTCTTCTATCCAGTATTTCCTAGATGGTGTTTTGTGAGCCACAACTCAAGGTGCATTTGGGCATTTCTGATGTTAACACAAACCTCACACACATTCGTCCTATATTTTTAATAGTAAATTCTGTAATTACCTTCTTAATTATAGATTCAGTGCTAGCTAAATAAGAATGTGCTATATTTATTGAGAAAATAATATTGAGAGGGATAGTGTCTATAAAAACAAGCATATGGCCAATAATAATTTGGGAAAAGCTGAAAAGCTTCCTTTTCCTTATTTTTTTTTATTGTAGTATATCTGCAGTAAAACCAGGGAAGGGAAGCAAAGAACTAGATATATGTATCATAAATTCTTTGTCTTAATTTCACCTCCTAGAAAGCAATCAATAGTATAGATTTGTTTTTTAAAGGACTTTTTTTTTTTTGCATGTGGGATGATGATTGAGTTCAAGGATGCTGAAATAATCATGTAACATTATGTATCTATAATTATATTAGCATATGTATTATACTTTTTGATTTTGTTTTGTCTTTTTAATAAAGTGGATATGAAGCTCTGACTAAAAAAATAAAAACATTTGTTGAGATTTCTATGATTCTTCGTGTCAGGCACCATTTTTCTACTGTGTTTTCAGGAAACTTCAGAAGATGGCAAACTGAGCATATAACTGACCGACTTGGCTATAACCGAAGCATGACAAAACTTATCTCTAGGATAAGCATGTTTTCTCTATTACAGTGCCACATTCAAGGAAGGCTGTGGCAGTCCTAGTCCTTGCCTGGTAGTTTTAGATTACTTTAGGTCAGACACAAAGGCAAAGGGATTTGACCAGGCAGTGTGAAGACATCAACCAAGGGACTTCATGCTGAACAGAAATAGAGAAAGAGGTAAGCATGGCTTTTTCCTACTCCAAAACTTGGGCTCAAACTTTGCTCCTGTAAGTGTGTGGATTTGGCCCACTGATGCTGAAATTCAGTTAGCTGTAGGGCAGAACATTGCAGTGGTTGTATAAAACTTCACAGAGTCATGCAGTAATCCTTGATGTAGTGAAGAAAAGAGGCAGAAGAAGCAATACTTAGAGATGATCTAAGCATTTTGCAAGTGGAAACACGCTGCATTCCAAGGGACAATCTGTAAGGGCTGATATAATCAAGACTTTCATTTACTTGCATTTTCCTTTCCATCAATTACCATGTGATTATATAACATCCTCTGTGTACCAGCTGGAATATAAAAGATACATTTCTCTGAAGAGATTATCTTATGGTTGACAAAGGAAGAATTACATTCTAATACATCAATGGAGAAAGATAAAAATTAGATATCAAGTTTTAGATTATGGAGTAAAGATTTAGAGAAAGAAGGAGTCTGCAGTCTTTGAGAATTTGGGTATGAATGTGCATGTGCTGAGGTCAGTACAGAGATGTGTGGGGGGCATGAATCCCGTGAAATTGTTATCAATAATTTGGAGGTAGAGATGTATATTTCTTATGCACGTTTTTCTGGCAAAGAAGATCCATAATTTTCTTTTTCTCTCTTTATTTATTTTTAAATTTCCAAATGAAAATTGTATATACTACAATTATATCTGTCACATACAACATATTTTGAAATATATATACATTGTGGAATGACTAAATTGAACTAATTAACATATGAATTTTCTTACATACTTATCTTTTTTTGTGTGGTAAGAACACTTAAAATCTACTCTCTTAACAGTTTTCAAGAATGCAATACATTTAACTATAGTCACCATGTTGCACAACAGAGTTCTAGAACTTATGTCTTCTACCTGCGACCCACAATTTTCTAATTCAAATTCAAAAAGTGATCTATGTGAAAACAGTTAAGATTCAATTATTGTTTTACAGCCACTATTTTTAATGAAAAAAATTGAATCAATCATTGGGAAGAAGAGATTTTTTTAATTCCACAAATGAAGAGGTACATTTTCTCATTTTATTTTAAAAATTATCTGCTATTTCAGAAAACATTTATATAGGCATGGAGTATTAAGCATAATGTAAACTATAGTTGTCAGGATTAAATGAGGTATTCGATAAATACGAGCTCTATTTCTAACCGCCTGTGTCTGCCTTTTTGTACCAATTATCATCTAATATTTCTATATGTGTTTTTTCATTTTAGTCAGTGCCCTCTTGTACATAGTCAAGCCATGCTTAATGGAATTTGGCTAACAGGTTGATTGGCTGACTGAAAACTGAATAACTAATTTTATTACTTGGATTGACAAATCATCCTATGCCTACATCCCTTCTGAAGCCAGCCTTATCTCTCTAACTCAGTTTGCTGGTCATTTAACCTGTTCCTATGTAAGAAGCAGAGATGGTAAATTGATATGAAGGGTCATTGTAAATGACAGGCAGAAATATTTAAACTTATTGCGCAGAGCCCTCTTATTGATCCTCCTTTCTCTACCCAAATGTTATTTAATCAGTGAATCCATTTAAAATAAATATCAAAGGCATTTTGAAAAAGAAAAGTCAGTCATATGTGATAGCCTGTGGAGTACATATGTGAAAGGTAGAGTGTTCTCCTGATTGTATTGTCTTGGATGACGGCATTGTGTTATAATTTTAAAAGCCTTGGAAAGTTTAATTCCTTCTTCTATATCTCATGTGATACTGGTTAACTCCCTACACCAGTACCCAGCTAACCATATTATAGAGTTCCCCAAATATTGGTCTGGGGGAAATTGTGGCTGTAAGAAAAATTTAGGCTGTGTTCCGACACAGTTGGTTTTATTCTCTTCAAATATACGAAATAACAATTATCCATGAATCATGGAAGGAAACATTTTTCCTAATAGCAACAGTCAAAACCTACTGAAAGTTGCCTGAAAATATGGGGAAAAAACCTGCTAAAACTTAGATAAAAGCTGTGCAAACCTTATAAAATGAACCTCACACCCCATACTCATAATTATGCCATAGTTTTAAATATTTAAAATTTCTGGGAAATTACAGAATATTAAATGGGGCACTTGCAAACTTTGGTGCTTTTACTATCCTTGCTGATGCACTGGTTAGACTGAAAATAATAGATTGTGGAAAAGTGGACTCTAATCCAAGAGAAAAATTTATTTGTCTGAGCAAAGTTTAGTCACAGCAAGCATATGACCCCTTCAAAGGAAAGCATAGTCATAAGATATAGGGGTGACTCCTATTCTGCATAGATGGAACAATTACTATGTCAACATAAAGCTGTGGCACTTGAAGACCTCAAGCGGTATGAGACAGACTAAATGCATAGGAGAGAGACAGAAATAAAAAACAGAGGGTACAAAACAATGTAAAAAGTTCAGTTTATTATATTAATGATAGTGGTTTCTTCCAAATGGAAAGAGTTTAAGTTATACAAGTAGATAGAGATAATATATGTACGTTAAACATGTTAGTATGACAATACACCTTTACAAAATGAAACAAATCAGAAACAGTTCTGCAAATCCAATCCAGAGTCTGAGCTGTCCTTTCTTTGCGGACTGGTATTAATCTTTTTACTAGTGAGAACTAGTCTAAGCTTTGTCCTATTTAGATTGCAAGAATCAAAATAGCAGTGACTTCTCATTCCTGGAAACTCTGTTTAGTTACCTAATATCATGAGAAATAGTCAGATGATTTTATGCAATTTGTGTAATTCTTCCCAAATGACTAAGCAAGACTTAGTCTCCCACTTAGTAATGGGGACTCATGAACATTAGTTTTATGGTAAAATAGAAAGTGTAGAGGCTGAGGTACCAACATTTAATATAGGATAATAAATAAATGTGAAATCAAGTCTTGGGAGGATAATAAATAAAGAAGTAGCAACCTAGAAACTAACAGTTATAGATAATTCAGTGAAATTGTTGTGTTGTAAGTCTGCAAAAGTGTCAGAAGCAGCCATGCTAATTATCATTACAAATCAGACTTTTCTCTCTTAATTGTAGAGACAGACCCAATGCTTATGAATAAATGTTTGGATATATAAATAAAATGTTCCAAAATTTTAATTTAATTGAATTAATGAATGAATTAATTTAGGAGATAGTGTCTCACTTTGTCACTCAAGCTGGAGTGCAGTGATGTGATCATAGCTCACTGCAGCCTCGAACTCCTGGGCTCAAGTGATCCTTCCGTCTCAGCCTCCTGAGTAGTTGGGACAATTGGCATGTGCCACCAGGCCTAGCTAATTTTTATTTTTAGAGATACGGTCTTGCTATCTTGCCCAGGTTGGTCTCCAGTTCCTGGCCTCAAGCAATCCTTCTGTGTCAGCCTTCAAAAGTGCTATGATTACAGGCCTAAGTCACCATGCCCAGCCCATAATTTTAGATAATAGAACTAATTGTCTCACTTTTGGTCACAAAGAGGAAGAACCATGGACATGTACAGCCACTGTGAAAAAATAATTTAGCAGAAAGAAGCACAGTGGACTGTGCAGGTGAGTATGTGGTGACAGTGAAAAGATTTTTGTTTTGTTTTTGTGAGTGATTTATTTAGAGCCTTGGTTTATGTGTTGAATATTGACAAATAACTTTACTCCTGGTAGGAGATGGGGTTGGGGGAGGGTGGAATCATTTTTATGAATTCAGATATCTTTAACAGTGTTTTAAAAATAAATTATATGTATTTTCATCTGAGAATGAATGATAGCATATTTTGGGAAGAAATTAGGCAAATAAAAGAATGGGATGGGAAGAAAAAGAAATCAAAGAGTGAGGGAAAGAGAAGAATTTAATCGTGCTGAGTGCTGTGGTGAGGGCATGGATTTAGGAATCTGTTTTTGAGTTAATGCTCTGCTCTTCTCTAGTTGTCACTTTCTTTCACTGAACCTTGGTTTCCTCTTTTATAAAATGAAGAATGTTATTATGTAATTCATGGAATTGTTAATAATGAATGATACATAACATATGCAAAGTACCTTGTATAGACTCTGGCACATAAAAATGCTCCCTAAGTGGCAGATCTTCTACCTGTATTGCTTTCATAATATGAAAAGACTTGCTGCTTCTAAGTGGATTTTATGGCCCAGTGGTCTAGCTAGTTCATGTATTTTCTCTGATCTATGGGAAAATGCCTCTTTCCTGCGGTAGGGTAATACAAATTGAGTTGACCACATTTCCTCCTGCACAGAAACCTTATGCTCATATGTCATTATTATGAAAATATAGAAATAGAATTGCTGATAGTGACTGTTTCTAAAATAGTTAATATCTTTATTTAGTTTTGCAGATTAAAAAAATTTTGCCCTCCTGTGTTGTTATTTTAACTTCAAATAGGTAAAATGAATAGAGATGGTTTAATAAAATTTTGATATTTTGGATGCTGTGTATAAATATAATGTGCTTATTTGGTCCATCTTTCTTCATATTACATCGAGGGATAGGCACTTCTACTCTTTACTAGGTTCAGACTGCTTATTTTAAAGGCTAAATTTTCTATCTCTACAATAGGAAAGAAAGGAAGTGAAGATACTTCATAGGAAATAAATGTAGTGAAGACACTCATTTTTTCCTATTGTAGAGAAAGAGTCAAAGTGACTTCTCATTTCAGAATAACTAGAGATCTACTTTATAACGAGTAAAGAATAGAATATCTCTCTTCGAATTAAAAAAATTTATTCCATAGTTTGTTTTAGCAAATCCTAGCTTAAATGTCTTAAATAACACATTTTTTTATTTTTTTAAGGCTTAATTAATATAATTTTATATAATTTTTATTTTTAATTTATTTGAGTACACAGTAGATTTATCGATCTCTGAAGTATATGAGATATTTTGCTACAGGCATAAAAATGCATAATAATCACATCAGGGTAAATGAGTATAAGTTAGCTCAAGGATTTATCCTTTCTTTGTATTACAAATAATCCGATTATACTCTTAGTTATTTTAAAATGTACAGTAAGCTATTATAATCATTCTGTTGTGCTACCAAATACTGGATCTTATTTATTGTATCTAACTATATATTTGGACCCATTAACCATTTCTGCTTTTCACCCCCAGCCCCCAAACCATTCCAGCCTCTGGTAACTATTGTTCTACTCTCTACGTCCAGAAGTTCAGTTGTTTTAATTTTTAGCTCCACAAAAAACTGAGAACAGATGAAGTTTGTCTTTCTGTGCCTGGCTTATTTCACTTTACGTAATGACCCTTCAGTTCCATTCACGTTACTGCAAATGACAGAATCTCATTCTTTCTTATGGCTGAGTAGTACTACATTGTGTATATGTATCACATTGTCTTTATCAACTCATCTGCTGATAGACACTTAGATTGCTTCCAAATTTTGGCTATTGTGAATAGTGCTGCAATAAATATAGGAGTGCAGCTATCTCTTTGATACACTGAATTCCTTTCTTTTGGTTATATACCTAGCAGTGGGATTGGTGGATCATATGGTAAACCTAATTTTAGTTTTTTTGTGGAACCTCTAAACTGTTTTCAATAGTGATTGTACTAATTTACATTCCCCAAAACAGCACTTGAGAGTTCCTTTTACTCCACATCCTTGCCAGAATTTGTCATTGCCTGTCTTTTGAATAAAAACCATGTTAACTGGGGTGAGATGATATATCATTGTAGTTTTGATTTGCATTTCTCTGATGATCAATGATGTTGAGCAGCTTTTCATATATCTATTTGCCATTTGTATGTCTTCTTTTGAGAAATGTATATTCAGATCCTTTGCCATTTTTTAAATCGGATTATTAGATTTTTTCCTATAGAGTTTTTTGAGTGCCTTACATGTTCTGGTTATTAATCCCTTATTAGATGGATAATTTCCAGATATTTTTTCCATTCTGTGGTTTGTATCTTCACTTTGTTCATTGTTTCTTTTGCTGTACAAAAGCTTTTTAATTTGATGTGATCCCATTTGTCCATTTGTGCTTTGGTTGCATGTGCCTGTGGAGTATTACTCAAGAAATCCTTGCCCAGTTCAATGTCCTGGAGAGTTTCACCAATGTTTTCTTTCAGTAATTTTATATTTTGAGGTCTTAGATTCAAGTGTTTAATCCATTTTGATTTAATTTTTGTAGATGACAAGAGATAGGGGTCTGGTTTTATTCTTTTGCATGTGGATATCCAGTTTTCCCAGCACCATTTATTGAAGAGACTGTCTTATTCCCAGTGTATGTTCTTGGCACCTTTGTCAAAAATGAGTTCACTGTAGATGTATGGCTTTGTTTCTGGTCTCTATTCTGTTCCATTGTTCTATGTGTCTGTTTTTATGCCAGTACCATGCTGTTTTGGTTATTATAGCTCTATAGTATAATTTGCAGTCAGATAATGTGATTCCTCTGGTTTTATTGTTTTTGTTTAGGAGAGTTTTGGCTACTCTGGGTCTTTTGTGGTTCCATATAAATTTTAGGATTTTTTTTTCCATTTCTGTGAAGAATATCATTGGTATTTTGATAGGAATTGCATTGAATCTGTAGATTGCTTTGGGTAGATGGACATTTTAATAATATTGATTCTTGCAATCCATCAACATGGAATACCTTTCTATTTTTTGGTGTCTGCTTCACTTTCCTTCCTGAGAGTTTTATAGTTTTTATTATAGAGATCTTTCACTTCTTTGGTTAAGTTAATTCCTAGATACTTAATTTTATGTGTGGCCATTGTAAATGGGATAACTTTTCAAATTTCTTTTTCACATTGTTCACTGTTGTCATGTAGAAGTGCTACTGATTTTTGTATGTTGATTTAGTGTTCTGTAACTTTACTGAATTTGTCTATCATTTCTTTTTTTCTTTTATTTATTTATTTTTATTTTTCCCATAGGTTATTGGGATACAGGAGGTGTTTGGTTACATGAGTAAGTTCTTTAGTGGTGTTTTATGAGATTGTGGTGCGCCCATAACCCAAGCAGTATACACTGCACCCTATTTGTAGTCTTTCATCCGTTGCCCCCCTCCCACCCTTCCTCCCAAATCCCCAAAGTCCATTGTATCATTCTTATGCCTTTGCATCCTCATAGCTTAGGTCCCACATGTCAGTAAGAACATACGATGTTTGGTTTTCCACTCCTGAGTTACTTCACTTAGAATACTAGTCTCCAATCACATCCAGGTCACTGCAAATGCTGTTAGTCCATTCCTTTTTTATGGCTGAATAGTATTCCATCATATATGTCAGTTTCTTTATCCACTTGCTGATAATAGGCATTTCGGTTGGTTCCATGATTTTGCAATTGTGAGCTGTTCTGCTATAAATGTGCGTGTGCAAATATCTTTTCCATATAATGACTTCTTTTCCTCTGGGTAGATACTTAGTAGTGGGATTGCTGGATCAAATGGTAGTTCTATTTTTAGTTCTTTAAGGAATCTCCACGCTGTTTTCTATAGTGGTTGTACTAGTTTACATTCCCACCAGCAGTGTAGAAGTGTTGCCTGATCACTGCATCCATGCCAACATCTACTGTTTTATGATTTTTTTATTATGGCCATTCTTTCAGGAGTAAGGTGGTATCTCATTGTGGTTTTGATTTGCATTTCCTTGATCATTAGTGATGTTGAGCATTTTTTCATATGTTTGTTGGCCATTCATATACAATCTTTTGCGAATTGTCTATTCATGTCCTTAGTCCACTTTTTGATGGGATTATTTTTTTCTTACTGATTTGTTTGAGTTCGTTGTAGATTCTGGATGTTAGTCCTTTGTCAGATGTATAGATTGTGAAGATTTTCCCCACTCTGTGGGCTGTTTGTTTACTCTGGTGACTGTTCCTTTTGCCATGCAAAAGCTCTTTAGTTTAACTAAGTCCCAACTATTTATCTTTGTTTTTATTGCATTTGCTTTTGAGTTCTTGGTCATTAAATCCTTGCCTAAGCCAACATCTAGAAGGGTTTTTCCAGTGTTATCTTCCAGAATTTTTATAGTTTCAGATCTTAGATTTAACTCCTGATCCATCTTGAGTTGATGTTTGTATAAAGTGAGAGATGAAGATCCAGTTTCATTCTCTTACATGTGGCTAGCCAATTATCCCAGTACCATTTGTTGAAAAAAGTGTCTTTTCCCCATTTTATGTTTTTGTTTGCTAGGTTGAAGATCAATTGGCTGTAAGTATTTGAGTTTGTTTCTGGCTTCTGTATTCTGTTCTATTGGTCTATGTGCCCATTTTTATACCAGTATTATGCTGTTTTGGTGACTATGGCCTAATAGTATAGTTTGAAATCAGGTAATGTGATGCCTCCAGATTTGTTCTTTTTGCTTAGTCTTTCTTTGGCCATGTGGGGTCTTTTTTAGTTCCATATGAATTTTAGAATTGTTTTTTCTAATTCTGTGAAGAATGATAGTGGTATTTTGATGGATATTGCATTGAATTTGTAGATTGCTTTTGGCAGTATGGTCATTTTCACAATATTGATTCTACCCATCTATGAGCATGGTTTGTGTTTCCATTTGTTTGTGTTGTCTGTGATTTATTTTCGCAGTGTTTTGTAGTTTTCCTTGTAGAGGTCTTTCGACTCCTTGGTTAGGTGTATTCCTAAGTTTTTTTTTTTTTTTTTTGCCACTATTGTAAAAGGGGTGGAGGTCTTGATTTGATTCTCTGCTTGGTTGCTGCTGGTGTATAGAAGAGCTACTGATTTGTGTATGTTAATCTTGTATCTGGAAACTTTGCTGAATTCTTTTATCAGTTCTAGGAGCTTTCTGAAGGAGCTTTTAGGGTTTTCGAGGTAAGCAATCATATCATCAGTGAACAGTGACAGCTTGCCTTCCTCTTTACTGATTTGGATGCCCTTTATTTCTTTCTCTTGTCTGATTTCTATTGCTAGGACTTCCAGTACTACGTTTAAGAGGAGTAATGAGAGCAGGCATCCTTGTCTTGTTCCAGTTCTCCAAGGGAATGCTATCAACTTTTCCCCATTCAGTATTATGTTGGCTGTAGGTTTGTCATAGATGGCTTTTATTACATTGAGTTATGTCCCTTGTATGCCAATTTTACTGAGAGTTTTAATCATAAAGGGATGCAAAATTTTATCGAATTCTTTTTCTGCATCTATTGAGATGATCATGTGATTTTTGTTTTTAATTCTGTTTATGTGTTGTATCACATATATTGACTTGCATGTATTAAACCTTCCCTGCATCCCTGGTATGAAACCCACTTGATCATCGTGCATTTTCTTTTTGATATGTTGGTGGATTCGGTTAGCTCGTATTTTGTTAAGGATTTTAGGATCTATGTTCATCAGGGATATTGGTCTGCAGTTTTCTTTTTTGGTTATGTCCTTTCCTGGTTTTTGTATTAGGATGATGCTGGCTTCATAGAATGAATTAGGGAGGGTTCTCTCTTTCTCTATCTTGTGGAATAGTGTCAAAAGGATTGGTACCAATTGTTCTTTGAATGTTTGGTAGAGTTCTGCTGTGAATCCATCTGGTCTTGGACATTTTTGTGTTGGTAATTTTTTAATTACCATTTCAATCTCACTGCTTGTTATTGGCCTGTTCAGGGTATTTAATTCGTCCTGATTTAAGCTAGGAGGGTTGCATTTTTCCAGGAGTTTATCCATCTCTTCTAGGTTTTTTAGTTTATGTGCATAAAGATGTTCATAGTAGCCTTGAAGGATCTTTTGTATTTCAGTGGTGTCAGTTATATCTTCTATTTTGTTTCTTAATGTGGTTATTTGGATTTTATCTCTTCTTTTCTTGGTTAATCTTGCTAGTGGTCTATCAATTTTATTTATCTTTTCAAAGAACCAGGTTTTTGTTTCATTTATCTTTTGTATTTTATTTCAATTTCATTTAGTTCTGCTCTGTTCTTGGTTATTTCCTTTCTTCTGCTGGGTTTGGGTTTGGTTTGTTCTTGTTTCTCTAGTTCCTTGAGGTGTGACCTTACAATGTCAGTTTGTGCTTCTTCAGTCTTTTTGATATAGGTGTTTAGGGCTATGAACTTTCCTCTTAGCACTACCTTTGCTATATCCCAGAGGTGTTGATAGGTTGTGTCATTATTGTCATTCAGTTTAAAGAACTTTTAAATTCCCATCTTGATTTTGTTTTTGACCCAGTGACCATTCAGGAGCAGGTTATTTAATTTCCATATATTTGCATGGTTTTGAAGGTTCCTTTGGAGTTGATTTCCAGTTTTATTCCACTGTTGTCTGAGAGAATGCTTGATATAATTTCAATTTTCTTAAATTTTTTGAGTCTTGTTTTGTGACCTATCATATGGTCTATCTTGGAGAAGATTCCATGTGCTGTTGAATAGAATGTGTATTCTGCAGCTGTTGGATGAAATGTTCTGTATATATTGGTTAAATCCTTTTGTTCCAAGGTATAGTTTAAATCCATTGTTTCTTCATTGACTTTCTGTTTTGATGACCTGTCTAGTGCTGTCAGTGGAGTGCTAAAGTCCCCCACTATTATTGTGTTGCTGTCTATCTCATTTCTTAGGTCTATTAGTAATTGTTTTATAAATTTGGGAGCTCTGGTGTTAGGTGCATATATGTTTAGGATTGTGATATTTTCCTGTTGGGCATGGCCTTTTACCATTATATAATGTCCTTCTCTGTCTCTTTTAACTGCTCTTGCTTTAAAGTTTGTTTTGTCTGATATAAGAATAGCCACTCCTGCTTGCTTTTGCTGTCCATATGCATGAAATGCCTTTTCCACCCCTTTACCTTAAGTTTGTGTGAGTCCTTATGTGTTAGGTGAATCTCTGGAAGGCAGTAGATTGTTGGTTGGTGAGTTATTTTCCATTCTGCAGTTCTGTATCCTTTAAGTGGAGCATTTAGGCTATTTACATTCAATGTTAGTATTAAAATGTGAGTTACCATTGAATTCATTCTGCTATTTGTTGCCTGTGTACCTTGGTGGTTCTGTTTTTGCTTTTTAACTTGTATTATTTTCTTTATATATCATGTGTGATTTATGCTTTAAAGATGTTCTGTTTTGATGTGTTTCCAGGATTTGTTTCAAGATTTAGAGCTCTTCTTAGTAGTTCTTGTAGTGGTGGCTTGGTAGTAGCAAATTCTCTCAGCATTTGTTTGCACGAAAATTAGTGTATCTTTCCTTCATATGTGACGATTAGTTTTACTGAATACAAAATTCTTGGTTGATAATTATTTTGTTTGAGGAGGCTGAAGATAGGGCCAAATCCCTTCTAACTTGTAGGGTTTCTGCTGAGAAATCTGCGTTAATCTGATAGGTTTTCCTTTATAGGTTACCTGGAGTTTTTGTCTCTTAAGGTTCTTTCCTTTGTCTTAACTTTAGATAACCTGCTGACAATGTGCCTAGGCAATGATCTTTTGCGATGAATTTCCCAAGTGTTCTTTGTGCATGTTGTATTGGGATGTCTAGGTCTCTAGCAAGGCCAGGGAAGTTTTTCTTGATTATTCTCCCAAATATGTTTTCCAAACTTTTAGATTTCTCTTCTTCCTCAGGAACACTGATTATTCTTAGGTTTGGTTGTTTAATGTAATCCCAAACTTCTTGGAGGTTTTGTTCCTATTTTCTTATTCTTCTTTTCTTTGTTGGATTGGGTTAATTCAAAACCTTGTCTTCTAGCTCTGAATTTCTTTCTTCTACTTGTTCAATTCCATTGCTGAGATTTTCCAGAGCATTTTGCATTTCTATCAGTGTGTCAAGTGTTTCCTGGAGTTTTGATTGCTTTTTCTTTATGCTGTTTATTTCCTTGAATATTTCTTCCTTCACTTCTTGTATTGTCTTTTTTTGGATTTCCTTGCATTGGGCTTTGCCTTTCTCTGGTGCCTCTCTGATTAGCTTAATAACTAACCTCCTGAATTTTTTGTCAGGTAAATCAGGGATTTCTTCTTGGTTTGGATCCATGGCTGGTGAGCTAGTGTGATTTTTTGGAGTGGTTAAACAGTCTGGTTTTGTCATATTACCAGAGTTGGTTTTCTGGTTCCTTCTCATTTGGATAGGCTCTGTCAGAGGGAAGGTCTAGGGCCAAGGGCTCTTGTTCAGATTCTTTTGTCCCACGGGGTCTTCCCTTGATGTAGTACTCTCCTCTTATTCCCATGGATGTGGCTTCCTGTGAGCCAAGCTGCAGTGATTGTTATCTCTCTCCTGGGTCTAGCCACCTGACAAGTCTACCCAGCTCTGGGCTGGTACTGGGGGTTGTAAGCACAGAGTTCTGTGATGTGAACCATCTGTGGGTTTCAGCCATGGATACTAGCACCTGCTCTGGTGGAGGTGGCAGGGGGGTGAAATGGACTCTGTGGGGGTTCTTAGTTTTGGTGGTTTAATGCTTTACTTTTGTGCTGATTTGGCCTCCTGCTGGCATGTGGTGCTTTTTGGAGAGCATCAGCTGTGGTAGTATGGAGAGGAACTGGCAGTGGGTGGGGCCTTAGAACCCCCAAGAGTATATGCCCTTTGTCTTCAGCTACCAGGGTGGGTTGGAAAGTACCATCAGGTGGGGGCAGGGCTAGGCGTGTCTGACCTTGGACTCTCCTTTAGTGGGTCTTCCTGTAGAGTATTTGGAGTGTCTCCTGGGTCCTGCAGGAGCACTCTGCTTTCTTCAGAGGGTCTGAGGGTCTTCTCAGGATTCCTTGTTAGTTCTTGCAGTCATTCTGGAGCTAAAATTCATGATGTGAGCCTCCGTACACTGCTCTGTCCATCCGAGTTGGAGCTGCTGTCTAGTCCTGACTCCCAACTGCCATAATCCTGAAATAATATCTCCTCAGCAATTCTTAAGGGCTATTGGCTCTCAGGAGGTGGAGAGTGACCTTCCTGATATGATGTATGACATTATTTTATTTGCATATGTTGAACCATGATTTTGTTGAATTCAGTTTGCAAGTATTTTATTGAGGACCTTCCTGAAATAGTTTCCAAAGACTCCTGTCCTCTAGAAGGATCTGAACTTGTCTATCATCTGAATTTTTTTGTAGGGTCTTTAGGTTTTTCCAAATATAAGATTATATCTTTAGGAAACAAGGACAATTTGACTTTTTCCTTTCCAATTTGGATACTCTTCATATGTCTCTCTTTTCTGACTCCTCTAGCTAGGACTTCCAGTACAACATTAAATAACAGTGGTGAAAATAGGCATCCTTGTGTTCTAGATCTTAGAGGAAAGGCTTTCAGTTTTTCCCCATGTAGTATCACACTAGCTGTGGGCCTGTCATATAAGACTTTTATTGTGTTTAGATATGCTCCTTCCATACCCAGTTTTTTTTTTTTTTTTTAGATGGAGTCTCAGTCTGTCACCCAGACTGGAGTGCAGTGGCGTGATCTCGGCTCACTGCAACCTCCACCTGCCAGGTTCAAGCAATTCTTCTGCCTCAGCCTCCCAAGTAACTGGAACTACAGGCATGTGCCACCATGCCCAGCTAATTTTTTGTTTTTGTATTTTTAGTAGAGATGGGGTATCACCATGCTGGCCAGGCTGATCTTGAACTCCAGACCTTGGGTTTTTATCATAAAGGGATGTTGAATTTTATCAAATGCTTTTCTGGCATCAATTGAAATGGTCATATGGTTTTTGTCCTTTATTCTTTTGATATCACATTAATTTATTTGCATATGTTGAACCATCCTTGCACACGTGAGATAAATTCTACTTGGTCATGGTGAATGATTTTAAAAGATATATTGTTGAATTCAGTTTGCAAGTATTTTGTTGAGGATATTTGCATCAATATTTATCAGAGATATTGGCCTGTAGTTTTGCTTTCTTTTGATGTGTCTATGTCTGGTTTTGATATCAGGGTAATACTGGGCTCGTAGAATGAGATTGGAAATATTCCCTCATCGTCTATTTTTCAGAATAGTTTGAGTAGGATTGGTACTAGTTTTTTAAATGTTTGGTAAAAGTCAACAGTGAAGCCATCGGATCCAGGGCTTTTTCTTTTGGCTTCCATCTTGTTACATATTTGGAGCTTGTTCAGGTTTTGGGTTTCTTCATGGTTCAATCTTGGTAGGTTGTATGTGTCTAGGGGGTTATTAATTTCTTCTAGTTTTTCCAACTTGTTGGCATACATTTTCACAGAGTAGGCTCTAGTGATCCTATGGATTTCTGTGCTATTGGTTGTAATGTCTCGTTTTTGTCTCTGATTTTATTTATTTTAATCTTCTCTCTCTCTTAATCTGGCTAAAAGTTTGTTGATTTTTGTTAATCTTTTTAAAAAATCAAGTATTCATTTTGCTGATCTTTTGCATTGTTTTCTTCATTTCAAATTCATTTATTTCTGCTCTGATCTTTATTATTTCTTTTCTTCTACTAATTTTGGGTTTGGTTTTCCCTTGCTTTTCTAATTCTTTAAGATGCATCATTAGATTGTCTATTTGAAGTTTTTCTTCTTTTTTTGATGCAGATTCTTATAGGTATAAACTTCCCTTCTAATACTGCTGTCACTGTATCCCATAGGTTTTGGTGTGTTGTGTTTCCATCATCGTTTGTGTGAAAACATTTTTTTCAATTTTTTTCTTAATCTCTTCATTGACCCAGTGGTCATTCAGGAGTATATTGTTTAATTTCCATGTATTTCTATAGTTTCCAAAATTTCTCTTGCTATTGATTTCTAGTTTCATTCTATCATGGTAAAATAAGATACTTGATATTATTTCAATTTTAAAAAACGTTTTAAAACTTGTTTTGTGGTGTAATATGTGGTCTATCCTTGAGAATAGTCCATGTTCTGAGTGGAAAGTGTGTATTATGCAGCTGTTGGATGAAATGTTCTGTAAATGTCTTCTTTCAGGTCCATTTGGTGTATAGCGCAGATTAAGTCTGATATTTCTTTGCTGATTTTCTGTCTGGATGGTCTCTCCAATGCAGAAAATGGAGCCTTCAAGCCTTCAGCAATTATTACATTGGGGGTCTATCTCTCTATATTGTTTGAATAATATTTTCTTTATATATTTTTCGGTATATATATTTAAAATTACTATTTTGTCTGATATAGCTACTCCTGCATTTTTTTTGGTTTCTGTTTGCATGAAATATATTTTTCCATTCCTTTATTGTCAGTCTATGTGTATCTTTATAGGTGAAGTGTGATTTTTGTAGGCAACAAATCACTGGGTCTTGCTTTTGTTTTATTCATTCAGCTACTCTATGTCTCTTGATTGAAGAGTGGTCCATTTACATTCTTTTTTTTATTGATAAATAAGAACTTATTCCTGGTATTTTGTTGTTTTCTGGTCTTCCTTTTTTTTTCTTTCTTCCTGTTTTCCTTTTAGTGTAGGTGATTTTCTCTGGTAGTATGTTTTAATGTCTTGCTTTTTATTTTGTATGTGTATGTTGCATGTTTTTTAATTTGAGGTTACCATGAGGCTTGCAAATATCTTATAACTAATTGTATTAAACTGATGACAACTTAATGCTGATTGCATAAGACACCAGCAAACAAACTGACAAACACCAAAGAGAAAACTAAAAACCTCTACACTTTAACTTTGCCCCCCTGTTTTTTAGTTTTTGTTGTTTCTATTTTTATCTTATTATACTGTCTTTAACCTGAAAAGCTGCTGTATTTATTTTTAATCAGTTTATCTTTTAGTGTTTCTTCTCAAGATATTGGTCATTTACACACCACAATTGCAGAGCTATAATATTGTGTGTTTTTCTGTGTATTTACTGTTACCAGTGAGCTTTGTACCTTCAGATGATTTCTTATTGTTCATTAATGTCCTTTTCTTTCAGATCAAAGAACTGCCTTTAGCATTTCTCGTAGGACAGGTATGGTGTTGATGAAATCCTCCAGCTTTCATTTGTCTGGGAAAGTTTTACTTCTCCTTCATGTTTGAAGGATATTTTGCTGAATATATTCTTCTAGAATACAATGTTTGTTTGTTTTGTTTTGTTTTGTTTTGCTTTTTTTCCCTTCAGCACTTTAAATATGTCATGCCACTCTCTCCTGGCCTGTAAGTTTTCCATTGAAAAACCTGCAGCCAGATGTACTGGAGTTCCATTATATGTTATTTGTTTCTTTTCTGTTGCTGATTTTTGGATCCTTTCTTTATTTTTGACCTTTGGGAGTTTGATTATTAAGTGTCTTAGGATATTCTTCTTTGAGTTAAATCTGCTCTGTGTTCTATAACATTCTTATACTTGAATATTGGTATCTTTATCTAGGTTTGGGAGGTTCTCTGTTATCATTCATTTGATTCAACTTTCTACCCCATCTCTCTCTATCCCCTCTTTAATGCCAATTACTCTTAGGTTTGCCATTTTGAGGCTATTTTCTAGATCTTGTAGACATGCTTCATTGTTTTTTATTCTTTTTTCTTTTGTCTACTCTGACTGTGTATTTTCAAATAGCCTGTATTCAAGCTCACTTATTCTTTCTTGTGCTTAATCAATTCTGCTGTTAAGTGACTCTGATGCATTCTTCAGTATGTCAGGTGCATTTTTAAGCTCTAGAATATCTGCTTCATTCTTTTAAATTATTTATCTTTATTAAATTTATCTGATAGAATTCTGAATTCCTTCTCTATATTATCTTGAGTTTCTTTGAGTTTCCTCAAAACAGGTAATTTTTTTCTTCAACTTTTATTTAAAGTTCAGGGGTACATGTCCAGGATGTGCAGATTTGTTACATAGGTAAATGTGTGCCATGGTTGTTTGTTGCACAGATCATCCCATCACCTAGGTGTTAATCCCAGAAACCATTAGCTATTCTTCCTGATGTTCTTCCTTCCCCCACAGAGGCTCCAGTGTGTGTTGGTCCCTGTCCCCACCATGTGACTATGTGTTTTCATCATTCAGATCCCACTTGTAAGTGAGAACATGTAGTGTTTGGTTTTCTGTGTTTGTGTTAGTTTGTTGAGGATAATGCCTTCCAACTGCATCCATATTCCTGCAAAGACATGATCTCATTGCTTTTTTATGGCTGCATAGTATTCTATGGTTTATATATACCACATTTTCTTTATCCAGTATAACATTGTGGGTATTTAGGTTGATACTATGTCTTTGCTATTGTGAATAGTGCTGCAATGAACATATGCATGCATGCATGTATCTTTATAATAGTATGGTTTATATTCCTCTGGGTATATATCCAATAATAGGATTGCTGGATCAAATAATATTTCTCCTTTAGGTCTTTGAGGAATTGCCACACTGTCTTCCACAATAGTTGAAGTAGTTTACACTCCCACCAACAGTGTAAAAGCATGCCTTTTTCTATGAAATCTTGCCAGCATCTGTTGTTTCTGGACTTTTTAATAATCACCATTGTGACTGGCATGAGATGGTATCTCATTGTTGTTTTGGCTTGCATTTCTCAGACGATCAGTGATGTAGATCTTTTTTCTCAGGTTTGTTGGCTGCATGTAAGTCTTCTTTTGGAAGTGTCTGTTTATGTCCTTTGCCTACTTTTTAGTGTGGTTGGTTGTTTTTTTCTTGTAAATTTGTTTAAGTTTCTTATTGATGCAGGATATTAGACCTTTGTCAGATGGATAGATTGCAAAAATGCTCTCCCATTTTGTAGCTTGACTGTTCACTCTGATGATAGTTTCTTTTGCTGTGCAGAAGCTCTTTAGTTTAATTAGATTCCATTTGTCAATTTTTCTTTTGTTGACATTGCTTTAGGTGTTTTAGTCATGAAGTCTTTGCTTATGCCTATGTCCTGAATGGTATTGCCTAGAGTTTTTATGGTTTTAGGTCTTACGTGTAAGTCTTTAATCTATCTTGAGTTAATTTTTGTAGAAGATATAAGGAAGGGGTCCAGTTTCAGTTTTCTGCATAGGTTAGTCAAGTATCCAAGCAAAATTTAGTAAATAGGGCATCCTTTCCCCATTGCTTGTTTTGTCAGATTTGTTGAAGACCAGATGGTTGTAGGTGTGTGGTCTTATTTCTGAGTTCTCTATTCTGTTCCATTGGTCTATGTGTTTGTTCTTGTACCAGTACCATGCTGTTTTGGCTATTGTAGCCTTGAAGTATAGTTTGAAGTCAACTAGCATGATGTCTCCAGGTTTGTTCTTTTTGCTTAGGATTGGCTTGGCTATTCTGGCTCCTTTTCAGTCCCATATGAATTTTAAAATATATATATTTTTCTAATTCTGTGAAGAATGTCATGGTAGCTCAATGGGAATAACATTTAATCTTTAAATTACTTTGGCCAGTATAGCCATTTTCAAGATATTGATTCTTCCTATTCATGAGCATGGAATGTTTCTCCATTTGCTTGTGTCCTCTCTGATTTCTTTGAGTAGTGGTTTGTAGTTTCCTTGAAGAGGTTCCTCACTTCTCTTTTTAGCTGTATTTCTAGGTATTTTATTCATTTTCTAGCCATTGTGAAAGGGAGTTCATTCACGATTTGGCTCTCTACTTGCCTGCTATTTGTGTATAGGAATGCTAGTGATTTTTGCACATAGATTTTGTATCCTGAGACTTTGCTGAAGTTGCTTATCAGCTTAAGAAGCTTTTGAGCTGAGATGATGGAGTTTTCTAGATATATGATGATGTCATCTGAAAACAAAGATAATTTGACTTTCTATCTTCCTATTTGGATATGCTTTATTTCTTTCTTTTCCTGGTTGCCCTTGCCAGAAGTTCCAATACTATGTTAAATAGGAGTGGTGAGAGACAGCAAACTTGTTTTATGCCAGTTTTCAAAGGAAATGCTTCCAGCTTATGCCCATTCAGTATGACATTGACTGTGGGTTTGTCATATATGGCTCTTATTATTTTGAGGTAGGTTCCTTCAATACCTAGTTTACTGAGAGTTGTAACCTGAAGGAACGTTGAGTTTTATTGAAGGCCTTTTCCACATCAATTGAAATAATCATGTGATGGTTTTTGTCTTCAGTTCTGTTTTTGTGATGAATCACATTTATTGATTTGCATATGTTGAACCAACCTTGCATCCTGGTGATGAAACCAACTTGATCATGGTGAATAAGCTTTTTGATGTGCTGCTAGATTTGGTTTGCCAATATTTAACAGAGAATTGTTGCATTGATGTTATCAAAGATATTGGCCTGAAGTTTTCTTTGTTGTTGTTGTTGTTGCATCTCTGGCAGCTTTTGGTATCAAGATGTTGCTGGCCTCATAAAATGAGTTAAGGAGGAGTCCCTCCTTTTCAATTTTTTGAAACACCTTCAGTAGAAATTGTACCAGCTCTTCGTACCTCTTGTAGAATTCAGCTGTGAATTCATCTGGCGCTGTGCTTTTTTTGCTTGGTAGGTTATTTATTACTGTCTCAATTTTAGAACTCGTTATTGGTCTCTTCAGAGATTCAATTTCTTCCTGGTTCAGTACTGGGAGGGTGTATGTGTCCAGGAATTTATCCATTTCTTCTAGATTTTCTTGTTTATGTGCATAGGGGTATTTACAGTATTCTCTGATGGTTGTTTGTATTTCTGTTGTGTCAGTGGTGACATCCCCTTATCATTTCTGATTGTATTTGATTCTTCTCTCATTTCTTCTTTATTAGTCTAGCTAGCGGTCTATTTTATTATTTTTTTCAGAAAACCAGCTCCTGGATTTACGGATTTTCTGAACAATTTTGCTTGTTTCTATCTCCTTCAGTTCAGCTCTGATCTTGGTTATTTCTTGTCATCTGCTACTTTTAGGGTTTGTTTGCTCTTGGTTCTCTAGTTCTTTTAGTTGTGATGTTAGGTTGTTAACTTGAGATCTTTCTACCTTTTTGATGTGGGCAATTAGTGCTATACATTTCCCTCTTAACACTGCTTTAGCTGCATCCCCGATATTCTGGTACATTGTCTCTTTGTTCTCATTAGTTTGAAATAAATTCTTGATTTCTGCCTTAATCCAAGAGTCATTCAGGAGCAGTTTGTTGAATTTCCATGTAGTAATGTGGTTTTGAGTAACTTTCTTAATCTTGAATTCTAATTTGATTGTGCTGTGGTCTGAGAAAGTGTTATAATTTCAGTTCTTTTGCATTTAGCAAGGAGTGTTTTACTTCTGACTATGTGATCAATTTTAGAGTAATTGCCATGTGGTGATGAGAAGAATGTATATACAGTTGTTTTCAGGTGGAGAGTTTTGTACATATTTATCAACTCCACTTGATCCAGAGCTGAGTTCAAGTTTTGAATATCTTTGTTAATTTTCTGTCTTGGTGGTCTGTCTAATATTGACAGTGGGACTTTAAAGTCTTCCGCTATAACTGTGTGTGAATCTAAGTCTTTTTTGTAAGTCTCTAAAACTTGCTTTGTGAATCTTGGTGCTCCTATATTGGGTGCATGTATATTTAGGATAGTTAGGTCTTCTTGCTGAATTGAACCTTTTGCCATTATGTAATGACCTTCTTTATCTTTTTTTGATCTCTGTTGGTTTTAAGTCTGTTTTGTCAAAAACTAGGATTGTAACCCCATTTTTTTTCTGTTTTCCATTTGCTTGGTAAATTTTTTTCTGTCCCTTTATTTTGAGCCTAAGTGTGTCTTTGCATGTGAGATGGGTCTCTTGAAGACAGCATACTTATGGGTCTTGGCTGTTTATTCAGCTTGCTATTCTGTGTCTTTTAATTGGAGTATTTAGCCCATTTACACTTAAGATTATTATTGTCATGTGTGAATTTGATCCTGTCATCATGATGTAATCTGGTTATTTTGAAGACTTGTTTATGTGGTACTTCATGGTGTCACTGGTCTGTGTACTTCAGTGTGTTTTTGTAATGTCTGGTAATGGCTTTTCCTTTCCATATTTAATGCTTCCTTCAAGAGCTTTTGCAATGCAGGCCTGCTGGTGATAAATTTCCTCAGCATTTGCTTCTCTGAAAAATATCTTATTTATCCCTCACTTATGAAGCTTAGTTTGGCTGGATATAAAATTCTGGGTTGCAAATTCTTTTTTCCATGAAGGTTGAATATTGGCCCCCAATCTCTTCTGCCTTGTAGAGTTTCCACTGAGAGGTCTGCTGTTATTTTGATGGGTTTCCCTTTGTAGTTGACCTGGCCTTTCTCTTTGGCTGCCCCTAACATTTTTTCTTTCATTTGATCTTGGAGAATCTGAAGATTATGTGTCTTGGGGTTTATTTTCTCATGGAACCTCTTACTGGGGTTATCTACATTTCCTGAATTTGAATGTTGGCCTGTATTGCTAGGTTGGGGAAATTCTGCTGGATGATATACTCTGAAGTATGTTTTCCAACTTGGTTCTCTTCTTCTTGTCTCTTTCAGGTACTTCAATCAGTAGTAGGTTTGGTCCCCTTACATAATCTCATATTTCTTGAAGGTTTTGTTGATTCCTTTTCATTCTTTTAAAAATATTTTTATCTGCCTGTCTTATTTTAGAAAGACAGTCTTCAGCTCTGAGTTTCTTTCCTCCACTTGGTCTATTCTGCTGCTGATGCTTGTGATTGCATGGTGAAGTTCTCGTATTGTGTTTTTCAGCTCCGTCAGGTCAGTTATGTTTCTCTCTAAATGGGCTATTCTGGCTATCATTCCTGTATTGTCTTATCATGATTCTCAGCTTCTTTGCATTGGGTTACAACATGCTCCTTTATCTCAGTGAAGTTTGTTATTACCCACCTTCTGAAGCTTACTTCTGTCAATTTTGGTCATCTCAGCCTCAGCCCAGTTCTGTGCCCTTGCTGGAGAGGTGTTGTGGTCATTTGGAGGAGGCTTTTTGAGTTTTCAGTGTTTTTGTGCTGATATTCTTGTATCTTTGTGGGCTCATCTATCTTTGAACTTTGAGGGTGCTGATCTTAGAATGAGTTTCTTTGTTGGTTTTTGTTGTTGTTGATGATGTTGTTACTTTTGTTTTCTGTTTGTTTGTTTGTTTGTTTTCTTTCAATGTCAGGCCACTCTTCTGTAGTGCTGCTGTGGTTAGCTGGGGGTCTGCTCCAGACCCTAGTTTTCTCACTTTATTCTGTACCTTGAGTTATCACCAGCGAAGGCTACAAAACAACAACTATGGCAGCCTGCTCCTTCCTATGGAAGCTCCATCCCAGGAAGGTACTTACCTGTTGCCAGCCCAAATGCACCTGTAGGGGGGTGCTTGAGACCTTTTTGGTCTCACCCAGTCAGGAGGAATGGGAATCAGGGACCTGCTTAAAGAAGCAGTCTGGCTGCCTTTTGGTCAAACAGCTATGCTGTTTTCAGGAGGACCCTTTGTCATCTGGACCCTTTGGACTCTCCAAAGCTGACAGGCTGGAATGGCTGAGTTGACCAAACTGCAGAGATGGTTGCCACCCCTCTCTCTGGTGCTGTCTTAAAACCAGGGCCTGGTGTCAGAAACCTTAGGAATCTACCTGGTGCTCTATTCTACTGTGGTTTAGCTGACTCCCAAGCTACAAGACAAAGTCCTTTCTACTCTTTCCTCCCCTTTTCATAAGCAGAGGAGGATCTCCCCATGGCCACAACCATTACAGTCCCATGGAGAATATTGCCTGGTTACTGCCCATGTTCATTCAATGCCCAAGGGCTCTTCAGTTAGCTTTTGGTGCATGATGCCTGTATTAGTGCATTTTCATGCTGCTGATAAAGACATACCCAAGATTGGGCAATTTACAAGATAAAGAGGTTTAACTGGACTTACAGTTCCACATGGCCGGAGAAGCCTCACAATCATAGTGGAAGGCAAGAAGGAGTAAGTCATGTCTTACATGGATGATGGCAGGCAAAGAGAGAGAACTTGTGCAGGGGAACTCCTTTTTTTAAAAACCATCAGATCTTGTGAGACTTATTCACTATCAAGAGAACAGCACAGGAAAGACTTTCCCTTATAATTCAATTACCTCCCACCAGGTTCCTCCCACAACATGTGGGAATTCAACATGAGATTCGGGTGGGGACACGCCAAACTACATCAATGGCAGACCTGAAACTCTTCCTTAGGAGGAAATGGGGTCTGCACTGGCCCAGGGAAACTCCAGAAATGCCATCTAAGAACTGAGACATGGAATTGAAAACCCCAGTATCCTACCTATTGCTCTACCCCACTGTGGCTGAGCTAGTACCTAAGCTGCAAGGCAAAAAGTACCCTTTACTCTTCCCTCTCCTTTTTTTAAGCATATTGAGTCTCTCCCCATAGCCAGCACAGCTGGAAATGTGGTGGGCTATACCCAAAGCCAGCACATCTCTAAGTCTTACCCAAGACCCGTGGTGAGTACTGCCTGCCTGTCACTGTTGATTATTCAGGGCTCAAGGGCTCTTTAGTCAGCAGGTAATGAACCCTGCCAGGACTGGGTCCTTTAAGGCAGTGGGCTCCCTTCTGGCCCAGGGTGTGTCTAGAGATGTTGTTCTGGAGCTAGGGCCTGGAATGGGGACCTCAGGACTCTGCTTGTTGCCCTATCCTACTATGGCTGAGCTGGTATCCAAGTTGTAAGACAAAATCCTCTTTACTCTTCCCTCTCCTCTCTTTGAGTGGAAGGAAGAAGTCTCTCCCAGAGCTATGAGCCGTGCTGCCTGGGGTTGGGGAAGCAGTGGCAGAAGCACTCTCTTGGTTATGCTGGCTGGTGTCTCACTAGGTTGTGTGCCCCCCAAGTCCACTGGCTCCAAGCCCAGCACAGCACTAGGGCTTGTCCAGAAATCACCTAGACTGCCTTTTATGTTTACCTAGGACCCAGAGCACTTTAGCTGATGGTGGTGAGTCTTGCTGGATCTCAGATTCAGACTGCTGGGATGGGCAATTCTCCTCTGGGTAGGGCTGGCCTAACTGTTCCCTCTGTGGGTGCTGGCTGAGTTTCGCCTGGTGTTGCTTCTGCTGTGATAGGACAGAATTGAGTTCCAATGCAAAGTCTCACAATCACTGTGCTGCTCTCCCTCCCACAAGCTCAGGGATTCTCTCTCTGTGTCATGCAGCCACTGCTGAGGGATGAGTGAGACACGGCATTGGCAATTCAAGACTATCTGTCCTTCCTTTCCCTCTTCAGTGCCTCTTTTGGCAATATGAAGTAAAAACCAGGTGCTGTGATTGCTCACTTGCTTTTTGTTCTCATGAAGGTGCTTTTTTTGTGTGGATAGTTGTTCAATTTGGTGTTCCTGTGGGCAAGGCAAAAGGTGGAAGATTCTACTCAGACATCTTACTCTACCTTCAGCATAAATAACATGATTTCAAATATGATTATTTTGTGAAAAATGGTAACCTGAATAAAAGATTTTAGGCTCAACAATTGAAATAAAAATTTTAAAATATTGTCTAACAAATATTACATAATTACATTTGATAGCTACTTCAGCATACAATACTAGGCAGATGACTATTTTCAACCAAATTTAAAGAAATTATTCAAAAACATAATTAAGTCTCATTATTTCTTTATGTCTTAATATGTCATGTTAAAAATGTGACAGTTGGTAGTAATATAGAGTTTTGTGTAAATAGGTAATTCAATATATAAAATGTATGTCTATCAAAATTGTTTTTCTCTAATTTTTTCCATGCAAAATGCTTTTATAATAAACTCTATTGACACAAATAGAACAGGTTTTTTCTTTATAAAAAGAAACAAAAAATAGAAATATTTTTATTATAGCAGAATAAATGGAGCTATAAAAATTGGGCTTTATAGTTCATTTTAAGAATAAATGATGAGACTTGAGAATAAGTCATTTGGAACTTTTATTTCATCATCACACCTAACAAAGAGTCAGAGGATGTGCTCCACATGTGGGGCATGAAATATGAAAACACAAATTTTTAAAAAAATGCAGTGAAATTATTTTTGAGTAATACTACTTAAATTTATTTACTTGTTGGGATTTTATTAGGATGTTACTTCATGAGTTTCCCAGAGGGCCAAGATTATGTCTAATTTGTGGTATAGACCAAAGTACTGTATCTGCAGTTGGGCTTCAAGTATATTTTTTTCATAGGACATTTCCTTGTAGCAAAGGATTCAGCTCCTAGATCAGCCAGTGATGTCTGTGTAGAGACAAACACCAGCTTTTTATACTAACAGAATTAAAGTATTTATTATACCACTAGTGGACCTATGTTACCCTCACCAACCCCTTCCCCTCTTTTGGGCATGAGAGCAGTATTCTGCGATGTTACAGATTTGAGAATATTGTAATCAAGGTCAATTAATTCATAGTAGCAAACAATACCATCTTGTGAACATTTCCAGTAACTTTGAAAACTCATAGGCTGTGTTTGATTATATGCATAGTTCTTTTGATAGCTCTTCAAATATCACTGGAACTTGATAAAAATGACATGAAAATCTAAACAGGGCTGTAGTTCATTTGCAAATAGAAAGGACATCATGTCAGGTAGTTATTCATGAACCCTGAAGAAAGTCTACTAGTGATGACAAATGGCTCTGAGGTGCCTTCCTCACTAAGTAAATGGAGCAGAAACCAGAGAAACCCTAACTGACAGTGATGAAAATGGCTACACAGTGCCGGGGACAAAATAACAACTGAAGCAAAAGTAACTGGAGAGATCAAGAGGAGAGTGTGCCAGGGCTGGCAAACTTTGCTGCAAGAACAAGCAGAGTGGGCCGGGCACGGTGGCTCACTCCTGTAATCCCAGCACTTTGGGAGGCCGAGGCGGGCGGATCATGAGGTCAGGAGATCGAGACCGTCCTGGCTAACATGGTGAAACCCTGTCTCTACTAAAAATACAAAAAATTAGCCAGGTGTGGTGGTGGGCACCTGTAGTCCCAGCTACTTGGGAGGCCGAGGCAGGAGAATGGCGTCAACCCGGGAGGCAGAGCTTACAGTGAGCTGAGATCACACCACTGCACTCCAGCCTGGGTGACAGAGCGAGACTCCATCTCAGAAAAAAAAAAAAAAAAAAAAAAGAAGAAGAAGAACTAGCAGAGTGGACTGAAAGTAAATACAAATCTGTATCTAGTATTGCATTTAGATGGTATATTTGTATGCATGAGGAGGAGTGAATGGCTGATGATGATGTAGTCACTCATGTGGTGACAGGATGGAGAACAGTGTGAAAGTGAAGATCCTTTTAGCAGGACCTGATATAGAGAAGCTAATCCTGTGCATACGGGAAAAGTTTTGAGTGATTAAGTTTAGAATTCATTACAGAGAAGGAGGACTGATGTGGGGAATTGTTGTAAGGAAAAGGAAGGCATAATAGTAACTAGTGGGTTGCAGAATGAAGGCAACAATTTTGGCTTTTTCATTTGTAGATGGGAAATTATGAAAATGATGGCAGGCTCAGAGGTAGAATTTAGTAGAGAGAACAGCAAACCAAAAGGTTAAATTTTGAAGGAAGTTTGGAATGCAATTGACATTCTATTTTTTCTGAGCATGTTTTGATAAATTATAGGTCACTGTCTGAAAAGGAGAAAAAAGAATACATGGGATGATGACAGTGGTGGTGGCAGTGAGGAGTGTGAGTACAGAAAATAAATTTTAATTTTAATTTATTTTTCTGCAAGCAAGGAAAACTACAGGCCAGTATTCTTGATAAATATAAATGTAAAAATTCTCAAAAAAGACTGGTAAACCTAATTCAACAACACATTAAAAAGATTCATACATAATAATCAAATGGGATTTATCTCTGAGATGCAAGGATGGTTCAACACATGCAAATCAATAAATGTGGCTACCCTAACAGAATGAGGGATAAAAATTATATCATTCTAATAAATGCAGAAAAAGCACTTGATAAAATGCAACATCCTTTCATGATTAAAAACTCTCAAAACACAAATAAATGGAAAGATAGGCTGAGTTCATGTTTTGGAAGAATTGATACTCTAAAAATGTCTACGTGACCCAAAGCTATCTACTAATTCACTGGAAGCTCTATAAAAATGTCAATAGCATTTTTCACAGAAATAGAAAAATAATCCTAAAATTTGTATGGAACCAAATAAGACCCTGAATAGCCAAAGCAATCTTGAGAAAGAAGAACAAACCTGGAGGCATCACACTACTTAATTTCAAATTATATAAAAAAGCTGTAGTAATCCAAATAGGATGGTACTGACATGGAAACAGACACATAAACTTTGACAAAGGCACCAGAAGGTAAAAAGGATTGTCTCTTCAGTAAACTGTGTTAGGGAAACTGGATTTCCACATGCAAAATAATTAAATTGAGCCCTTATTTTACATCGTGCACAAAAATCAATTCAAAATATATTAAAGATGTAAACAAAGTCCCAAAACTGTAAAACTCCTAGAAGAAAACAGAGCCTTGACACTGATATTGGCAATAATTTTTAAAATGTGACGCCAAAGCACATGCAACAGAAACAAAAATGAACAATAAATAAACTACCTCAAACAAAAACATTTCTGCACAGCAAAGGAAGCAATCAACAAAATGAAAAGTCAACCTATGGAATGACAGACAATATTTACAAATCGTGTATCCAATAGGTGGCTAATATCCAAAATATAAAATGAACTCATTCAGCTTAAACAGCCAACACAAGAAAGGAAAGTCTCTTTTATTTAACAAATGATGCTAAGAAAACTAGATCTCTATATGCAGAAGAATAAAATTAGATTACCATCTTTCACCATATATGAAAATCCACACAAAATAAAGACTTAAATGTAAGACCCGAAACTGCGAAACTACCAGAAGAAAACGTTGGGAAAATGCTATAGGACATTGGTTTGGACAAAGATTTTTGGGGTAATACCTCAAAAGCACAGGCAAGCAAAAGTTACAAGTTAAGCAAAAGCTTCATGTAATAAGATTACATTAAGCTAAAAAGCTTCTGCACAGCGAAGGAAACAATTAACGAAATGAAGAGATAACCCACAGAATGGGGGAAAATAGTTGCAAGCTATTCATCTTACAAGAGATTAATAACCAGAATACGTAAGAAAGTCAACAACTTATAATAAAACAAAAAACCCAATTAAAAATGGCAAAATACCTGAATAGACATTTATCAAAAGAAGACATACAAATGGCCAAAGGAATACATGAAGAAATGCTTTATATCACTAATCATCAGGGAAATGCAAATCAAAACCTTAATGAAATATCATCTTACCTAGCTAGAATGGCTGCTATCAAAGGACAAAAAATAATAAATGCTTATGAAGATGTGGATAAAGGGGAATGCTTGAACACTGTTAATGGGAATGTACAGTAGTACAGTCATTATGGAAAAGAGTATGGAGGTTTCTCATAAAACTAAAAATAGAACTACCATATGATCCAGCAATCCTACTGCTGGGTATACATTAGAAGGAAATGAAATAATGCACCTGGTAGAGATGCCTGCACTCCCATGTTTATTGCAGCATTATTCGCAATAGACAAAATATGAAAACAACTGAAATGTCTGCCACCAGATGAAGGACTAATGAAAATGTCATATATGTTTCTAAACATATACATATATATGTATACACAATGAAATATTAATTCAGCCTTGAGAAAGAAAGGAAATTCTGCTATTTGTGACAACATGGATAGATCTAGAGGCCATTATGCTAAGTAAAAAAAGACAGAGATGGAGAGACAAATACTGCATGATCTCACTTATAGCTAATCTTTAAAAAAAGTCAAATCCATAGTAACAGCGAATAGAACAGTGGCTGCCAGGGACTAGGGGGTGGGGGAAATAAACAGATGTTATTTAAAGATCACAAGCTTTCAGGTGTAAGATGACCAAGTTCTGGCGATCTCAGGTGTGACATGGTGACTATAGTTAATAATAATGTATTGAATACTTGAAGTTTTCTGAGAGACTAGATCTTAAGTGTTCTCTCATGCAAACAAAAGGTCAACTACACCTCAATAGAGATGGAAAAACATTCCTAGAAAAAAAGGCAGTATCATCTTCCTATTAATATTTATTGACTATTTTCTGTATACCAAACACTGTGCATTTTATCATTTAAATCTCACAACAATCTTTTGTTGTAGGTAAAAGCTTTTGCTATTCTCCCAAATTTATGGTGAGGAAACCAAGGCTCAGGGTGTTTGTGTCACTTGACTGCAGATACACAGCTAGGGAGTGTCATACCTGGGATTCGATCTGGGTCTGTCTGCCTACAAACTCCCATTTCTAAAGATACACTTAAGGATTTAAGCATACACTTATCTTTTAACCATAATCCCATTTGTGTGTGTGTGAGTGTGAAAAAGGGGATCTTTGATTTATTATGTATGGATTTTCTTTTATTATTATTATTATACTTTAAGTTTTAGGGTACATGTGCAAAAGGTGCAGGTTTGTTACATATGTATACACGTGCCATGTTGGTGTGCTGCACCCATTAACTCATCATTTAACATTAGGTATATCTCCTAATGCTATTCCTCCCCCCTCCCCCCACCCCCCAACAGTCCCCGGTGTGTGATGTTCCCCTTCCTGTGTCCATGTGTTCTCATTGTTCAATTCCCACCGTCGAGTGAGAACATGCTGTGTTTGGTTTTTTGTCCTTGCGATAGTTTGCTGAGAATGATGGTTTCCAGCTTCATCCATGTCCCTACAAAGGACACGAACTCATCCTTTTTTATGGCTGCATAGTATTCCATGGTGTATATGTGCCACATTTTCTTAATCCAGTCTATCATTGTTGGACATTTGGGTTGATTCTAAGTCTTTGCTATTGTGAATAGTGCCACAGTAAACATACGTGTGCAAGTGTCTTTATAGCAGCATGATTTGTAATCCTTTGGGTATATACCCAGTAATGGGATGGCTGGGTCAAATGGTATTTCTAGTTCTAGATCCCTGAGGAATCACCACACTGACTTCCACAATGGTTGAACTAGTTTACAGTCCCACCAACAGTGTAAAAGTGTTCCTATTTCTCCACATCCTCTCCAGCACCTGTTGTTTCCTGACTTTTTAATGATCGCCATTCTAACTGGTGTGAGATGGTATCTCATTGTGGTTTTGATTTGCATTTCTCTGATGGCCAGTGATGATGAGCATTTTTTCATGTGTTTTTTGGCTGCATAAATGTCTTCTTTTGAGAAGTGTCTGTTCATATCCTTCACCCACTTTTTGATGGGGTTGTTTGTTTTTTTCTTGTAAATTTGTTTGAGTTCATTGTAGATTCTGGATATTAGCCCTTTGTCAGATGAGTAGGTTGCAAAAATTTTCTCCCATTCTGTAGGTTGCCTGTTCACTCTGATGGTAGTTTCTTTTGCTGTGCAGAAGCTCTTTAGTTTAATTAGATCCCATTTGTCAATTTTGGCTTTTGTTACCATTGCTTTTGGTGTTTTAGACATGAAGTCCTTGCCCATGCCTATGTCCTGAAAGGTATTGCCTAGGTTTTCTTCTAGGATTTTTATGGTTTTAGGTCTAACATGTAAGTCTTTAATCCATCTTGAAATAATTTTTGTATAAGGTGTAAGGAAGGGATCCAGTTTCAGCTTTCTACATATGGCTAGCCAGTTTTCCCAGCACCATTTATTAAATAGGGAATCCTTTCCCCATTGCTTGTTTTTGTCAGGTTTGTCAAAGATCAGATAGTTGTAGATATGCGGCATTATTTCTGAGGGCTCTGTTCTGTTCCATTGGTCTATATCTCTGTTTTGGTACCAGTACCATGCTGTTTTGGTTACTGTAGCCTTGTAGTATAGTTTGAAGTCAGGTAGCGTGATGCCTCCAGCTTTGTTCTTTTGGCTTAGGATTGACTTCACAATGTGGGCTCTTTTTTGGTTCCATATGAACTTTAAAGTAGTTTTTTCCAATTCTGTGAAGAAAGTCATTGGTAGCTTGATGGGGATGGCATTGAATCTATAAATTACCTTGGGCAGTATGACCATTTTCATGATATTGATTCTTCCTACCCATGAGCATGGAATGTTCTTCCATTTGTTTGTATCCTCTTTTATTTCATTGAGCAGTGGTTTGTGGTTCCCCTTGAAGAGGTCCTTCACATCCCTTGTAAGTTGGATTCCTAGGTATTTGATTCTCTTTGAAGCAATTGTGAATGGGAGTTCACTCATGATTTGGCTCTCTGTTTGTCTGTTATTGGTGTATAAGAATGCTTGTGACTTTTGCACATTGATTTTGTATCCTGAGCCTTTGCTGAAGTTGCTTATCAGCTTAAGTAGATTCTGGGCTGAGATGATGGGGTTTTCTAGATATACAATCATGTCATCTGCAAACAGGGACAATTTGATTTCCTCTTTTCCTAATTGAATACCCTTTATTTCCTTCTCCTGCCTGATAGCCCTGGCCAGAACTTCCAACACTATGTTGAATAGGAGTGGTGAGAGAGGGCATCCCTGTCTTGTGACAGTTTTCAAAGGGGATGCTTCCAGTTTTTGTCCATTCAGTATGATATTGGCTGTGGGTTTGTCATAGATAGCTCTCATTATTTTGAGATGCGTCCCATCAATACCTAATTTATTGAGAGTTTTTAGCATGAAGGGTTGTTGAATTTTGTCAAAGGACTTTTCTGCATCTATTGAGATAATTATGTCGTTTTTGTCTTTGGTTTTGTTTATATGCTGGATTATGTTTATTGATTTGCATATGTTGAACCAGCCTTGCATCCCAGGGATGAAGCCCACTTGATCATGGTGGATAAGCTTTTTGATATGCTGCTGGATTCGGTTTGCCAGTATTTTATTGAGGATTTTTGCATCAATGTTCATCAAGGATATTGGTCTAAAATTCTCTTTTTTTGTTGTGTCTCTGCCAGGCTTTGGTATCAGGATGATGCTGGCCTCATAAAATGACTTAGGGAGGATTCCCTCTTTTTCTATCGATTGGAATAGTTTCACAAGGAATGGTACCAGCTCCTCCTTGTACCTCTGGTGGAATTCGGCTGTGACTCCATCTGGTCCTGGACTTTTTTTGGTTGGTAAGCTATTAATTATTTCCTCAATTTCAGAGCCTATTATTGGTCTATTCAGAGATTCAACTTCTTCCTGGTTTAGTCTTGGGAGGGTGTATTTGTCGAGGAATTTATCCATTTCTTCAAGATTTTCTAGTTTATTTGCATAGAGGTGTTTACAGTATTTTCTGATGGTAGTTTGTATTTCTGTGGGATTGGTGGTGATATTCCCTTTGTCATTTTTTATTGCATCTATTTGATTCTTCTCTCTTTTCTTCTTTATTAGTCTTGCTAGAGGTCTATCAATTTTGTTGATTGTTTCAAAAGACCAGCTCCTGGATTCATTGATTTTTTGAAGGGATTTTTGTGTCTCTGTTTCCTTCAGTTCAGCTCTGATCTTAGTTATTTCTTGCCTTCTGGTAGCTTTTGAATGTGTTTGCTCTTGCTTCTCTAGTTCTTTTAATTGTGATGTTAGGGTGTCAATTTTAGAACTTTCCTGCTTTCTCTTGTGGGCATTTAGTGCTATAAATTTCCCTGTACACACTGCTTTGAATGTGTCCCAGAGATTCTGGTATGTTGTGTCTTTGTTCTCGTTGGTTTCAAAGAACATCTTTATTTCTGCCTTCATTTCGTTATGTACCCAGTAGTCATTCAGGATCCGGCTGTTCAGTTTCCATGTAGTTGAGCAGTTTTGAGTGAGTTTCTTAATCCTGAGTTCTAGTTTGATTGCACTGTGGTCTGAGAGACAGTTTGTTATAATTTCTGTTTTTTACATTTGCTGAGGAGTGCTTTACTTCCAACTATGTGGTCAATTTTGGCATAGGTGTGGTGTGGTGCTGAAAAGAACGTATATTCTGTTGATTTGGGGTGGAGAGTTCTGTAGATGTCTAGTAGGTCCCCTTGGTGCAGAGCTGAGTTCAATTCCAGGATATCTTTGTTAACTTTCCATCTCATTGATCTGTCTAATGTTGACAGTGGGGTGTTAAATCTCCCATTATTATTGTATGGGAGTCTAAGTCTTTTCATTAGTCACTAAGGACTTGCTTTATGAATCTGGGTGCTCCTGTATTGGGTGCATATATATTTAGGATAGTTAGTTCTTCTTGTTGAATTGATCCCTTTACCATTATGTAATGGCCTTCTTTGTCTCTTTTGATCTTTGTTGGTTTAAAGTCTGTTTTATCCGAAACTAGGATTGCAACCCCTGCTTTTTTTCGTTTTCCATTTGTTTGGTAGATCTTCCTCCATCTCTTTATTTTGAGCCTATGTGTGTCTCTGCACGTGAGATGGGTTTCCTGAGTACAGCACACTGATGGGTCTTGACTCTTTATCCAATTTGCCAGTCTGTGCCTTTTAATTGGAGCATTTAGCCCATTTACATTTAAGGTTAGTATTGTTATGTGTGAATTTGATCCTGTCATTATGATGTTAGCTGGTGATTTTGCTCGTTAGTTGATGCAGTTTCTTCCTAGCCTTGACGGTCTTTACATTTTGGCATGTTTTTGCAGTGGCTGGTACCGGTTGTTCCTTTCCATGTTTAGTGCTTCCTTCAGGAGCTCTTTTAGGGCAGGCCTGGTGGTGACAAAATCTCTCAGCATTTGCTTGTCTGTAAAGTATTTTATTTCTCCTTCACTTATGAAGCTTAGTTTGGCTGGATATGAAATTCCGGCTTGAAAATTCTTTTCTTTAAGAATGTTGAATATTGGCCCCCACTCTCTTCTGGCTTGTAGAGTTTCTGCTGAGAGATCAGCTGTTAGTCTGATGGGCTTCCGTTTATGGGTAACCCGACCTTTCTCTCTGGCTGCCCTTAACATTTTTTCCTTCATTTCAACCTTGGTGAATCTGACAATTATGTTTCTTGGAGTTGCTCTTCTCGAGGAGTATCTTTGTGGCATTCTCTGTATTTCCTGAATTTGAATGTTGGCCTGCCTTGCTAGATTGGGGAAGTTCTCCTGGATAATATCCTGCAGAGTGTTTTCCAACTTGGTTCCATTCTCCCCATCACTTTCAGGTACACCAATTAGACGTAGATTTGGTGTTTTCACATAGTCGCATATTTCTTGGAGGCTTTGTTCATTTCTTTTAATTCTTTTTTCTCTAAACTTCTCTTCACGCTTCATTTCATTTATTTCATCTTCCTTTGCTGATACCCTTTCTTCCAGTTGATCGCATCGGTTACTGAGGCTTGTGCATTCATCATGTAGTTCTCGTGCCATGGTTTTCAGCTCCATCAGGTCCTTTAAGGACTTTTCTGCATTGGTTATTCTACTTATCCATTCGTCTAATTTTTTTTTCAAAGTTTTTAACTTCTTTGCCATTGGTTCGAACTTCCTCCTTTAGCTCAGAGTAGTTTGATCTTCTGAAGGCTTCTTGTCTCAGCTCGTCAAAATCATTCTCCATCCAGCTTTGTTCCATTGCTGGTGAGGAGCTGCGTTCCTTTGAAGGAGGAGAGGTGCTCTGATTTTTAGAGTTTCCGGTTTTTCTGCTCTGTTTTTTCCCCATCTTTGTGGTTTTATCTACCTTTGGTCTTTGATGATGGTGATGTACAGATGGGTTTTTGGTGTGGATGTCCTTTCTATTTGTTAGTTTTCCTTCTAACAGTCAGGACCCTCAGCTGCAGGTCTGTTGGAGTTTGCTGGAGGTCCACTCCAGACCCTGTTTGCCTGGGTATCAGCAGTGGTGGCTGCAGAACAGCGGATATTCATGAACCGCAAATGCTGCTGCCTGATTGTTCCTCTGGAATTTTTGTTTCAGAGGAGTACCCAGCTGTGTGAGGTGTCGGTCCGCCACTACTAGGGGGTGCCTCCCAGTTAGGCTACTCGGGGGTCAGGGACCCACTTGAGGAGGCAGTCTGCCTATTCTCAGATCTCAAGCTGCGTGCTGGGAGAACCAGTACTCTCTTCAAGGCTGTCAGACAGGGACATTTAAGTCTGCAGAGGTTATTGCTGTCTTTTGTTTGTCTGTGCCCTGCCCCCAGAGGTGGAGCCTACAGAGGCAGGCAGGCCTCCTTGAGCTGTGGTGCGCTCCACCCGTTTCGAGCTTCCGTGCCGCTTTGTTTACCTACTCAAGCCTGGGCAATGGCGGGCGCCCCTCCCCCAGCCTCACTGCAGCCTTGCAGTTTGGTCTCACACTGCTATGCTAGCAATGAGCGAGGCTCCGTGGGCGTAGGACCCTCCGAGCCAGGTGCGGGATATAATCTCCTGGTGTGCCGTTTTTTAAGGCCATTGGAAAAGCGCAGTATTAGGGTGGGAGTGACCTGATTTTCCAGGTGCTGTCTGTCACCCCTTTCTTTGACTAGGAAAGGGAATTCCCTGACCCCTTGCGCTTCCTGGGTGAGGCGATGCCTCACCCTGCTTTGGCTCACACACGGTGTGCTGCACCCACTGTCCTGCACCCACTTTCTGGCACTCCCCGGTGAGATGAACCCGGTACCTCAGTTGGAAATGCAGAAATCACCTGTCTTCTGCTTCGCTCACGCTGGGAGCTATAGACTGGAGCTGTTCCTATTCGGCCATCTTGGCTCCACCCCCTATTATGTATGGATTTTCTTCTCAACTTTATTAAAAGCTCCTTGTGAAAAGGGGCCTTGCCCTGATTTGTATGAAGCAGATAATTTTTGTTGCTACACTGTAAGCTCTTTCTAAATTTTTGTTCTTGACAAAAGGTTTTTCTAGCCATTTCTTCTCTATAAATATTAATCAAGGTGGTATTTTATAATCTAAGTATTAATGAAACAGTCCCTCTGTCATGGATTTTGGAGCAAGCTGGAGAGAACATCTCCATATTGACTGATTCTTTCTATGCCTTTCATGTTGTCATTGGGCTTAGAGGCATTTTATGACCTTGGATGACATTTCTTATATTAGACTTTGAGTATGAATAAAATCACAGAGGTAATTTTTACCCAGTATCTGCATGCCATTATATAAATTAAATGCTATTAAGAAAATAGAGTCCTTTTTGCTTTACTTAGTAGAAACTTCAAATTTGTCAAATGCTGTACATGTAAATAACCCAAAGAAGTTAGTCACAAAGGACTTTCAAATATTAAAAAAAAATTCTCCCTCCATACTACCACCACTATTCCATAACTGTGTGGAAATGTGCTTAGGGATCTAATGTTCCCCAGACCAGCGTCAAAGTCAAAATCCCATTTTGCAAGGGATATAAATCTCTGAATTTGAAATAGCTTTTGAAAATGTTTGGAGTTTTAATTTCATACTTGCCTAATTTTAATGTGGGTCAAGAAAATGGAATGGCAAATGCAGCTGGTAGTTGGCATAATGAGACAGCATGATTAAAAGTCAAAAATAATAAGTAGAGAAGACAGAGAGAAAGAGATAACATCAAACCATGTATTTCATGTATGTAAAAGATAAATAATTGTTTTAATTAAGTAAAACTGCATTATTTTGAGGTTAAGTGCTACGTTGTTAATTGAAACTGATGATTTTTTATTAATTACACATCTTTGACCCATCTTTCATTTACCCACCATTGCTTTTCTTCATTAAAATTATCTTCTCTGATTTTAACATCCTGCTCTTTTCCTCTTCAAGGTTCTTACACTTTTGTCTTAGCAGTGGAATTGCTGGCAAGGCTTGCCTTCATTTGCACGTCATCCTTTCTACTCTTTAAATCATAGTCTCCTTCCTCTGTCCCACTGAAATCTCCTAAAGACTTTGAAGCTAATTTAAAGTGATACTTTCATTGCCTCTAATTATTAAGGAGTAATAGGTGATGATGATGAGTGTACTCCACAACAGAGTGAGCCTGTTGAAGTCAGTGCCCTCTTATTTGCTGTTTCTCCTCAATTTAATAAAGTCGATTGACTTATAAAATTTGCTTGGTAGGAAAAGTGTTTTCCAAGTAAATTAATTGCTCAATGTTTCACTGTAATTTGCCTACATACTCTTTCTGTGGATTTCAAGGTGATCCTGCTTTTTAGTAACAGATGGTTGATCAGAAATTATATATGTTTATGCCTGCAATATAGTACCAACACCCATTAGAATACCATTGCTATCAAATTTAGATGTGTCAGGATAATAATTACCAAGCAGTCCTTATAAAAGGGAAATGCAGAAGAAGTTGATTGATTCCATGGCAACTCTGAGGTGCACGTTACTGCTCCACTTCTACTTGAGGAGAGATGTTATTGCTCCTTGGATTTCTTCTCTGCACATGAACTGTGGAGACAATCTCATTTCCACTTCATAGGCATAGTGGTTGATTATTAGTGAAGATCAGCCCTGGCAAAGAGTCTATCATGTGTGTCAATGACAACTGACATAACTGCCATATTCCCCTCACTCCCTAAACCCTTCCTCAGATCAGCATTTTGGACGTTGGTTTGAAAATATCTGTGACATCAACTAAAGAAGAGCTGTGCTGATAGTTATTATTTTCACCGTGCCTGCACTGGCTTTCTGTGCACATCATGCATCTCTGAATATGGACTAAATGGAGAAGAATGCTTCTTTAATCTCATGTTGATGTCCCAAATAACAGAGCGTATTTGTAAATCTCTAAACGTATAATACCTGCATCTCAAAACAACATTTCCCCTAATAAGCCAGTCAGTTAAGTCTGCAAGTAATTTTGCATCCTCCCAAGAATATTTGAACGATTTTAGCTTCTTGGGGCTCTTTAGCACTAAAGCCAGCGTCCACATTTCTCCTTCTTTGAAGGATAGTCTATCGCTTCAAAGCAGCTCATTTTAGTCTGCTCATGCAACTATAACAAAATACCGCAGACTGGGTAATTTATAAACAACAGAAATTCGTTTCTCATAATTCTGGAGGCTAGGAAGTCCAACATCAAAGTGCTGATAGATTCGGTGTCTGGGGAGGGAGCTCTGCTTCCAAGATGGTGCCTTCTTGCTGCATCCTTAACATGGCAGGAAGGCAAAGGCGCAAACCTTGTGTCCTCATGTGGCAGAAGAGACGGAAGGGCCAGGAAGCTCTCTGAAGCCTGTTTAATAAGTATATTAATCCCATTCATGCCAGGTATGGTGTCTCATGCCTGTAACCCTAGCACTTCGGGAGGCTGAGGAGGGAGGATCCCTTGATGCCAGGAGTTTGAGACCAGCCTGGGCAACATAGCAAGACCCTGTCTCTCCAAAAATAAAAGGAAATTAGCTAGACATAGTGGCACACACCTGTAGTCCCAGCTACTCAGTAGGCTGAGGAGGGAGTATTGCTTGAGCCCAGAATTTGAGGCTGCAGTGAACCATGTACACGCCACTGCATTCCAGCCTGGGGTGACAGAGTGAGAGCCTGTCTCTTAAGAAAAAAAAATCCCATTCATGAGGGCATAGCCTTCATGGCCTAATCACTTCCCAAAGGACCTACCTCTTAATACCATCACCCTTGGGGATTAAGTTCCAACATATGAATTTTGTGAGGACGCATACATTCAAACCATAGCACTATCTGGTGAGTATAATTGTTCAAAGTGGCTTCCCCTTGTCCACCATTTGTATCTAATTCCTAACATGAGGTTTTATTATAAATAATTGGACGCCCCTTTCCTTCTGAGTTGTCAGAATGTTATCTTGTTTAGTGGCCTTTTGCGATGTTGTGATACCTCCTATAGCTTCCTTGCTTTCCCCCTGAGTTACTAAACATCTTCGTATTTTCTTGGTGCTCTTTATCTTATGACAGATTTTCTCTATAAAGCATTTGGTGGCAAGGTAGATTAAGTGAACCATATAAAACCAACATTTATTGCTGTGTGTAACTTTGTTTTATTAGCTAATCAATGTACTTTCCCAGTGTAACGTCTCCATCATTTCTCCTTTAGGCCCACTAGTAGCCTTCAATTTTCTGAAAAGATTAATTTCAGAAGACATAGGAAGTTGATTGAGACAGAGACAACTCAGGTTGGTTGACGCTTTACCTTTGGCTGAAAAGACATAATTATTTCTGATAGGGTAATATTTCACAATTAGTACCAAAAATAATTTACCTTAGTATGTGAAAATAATAATTGCAATTCAATGTCACAGTGATAGTTGCTAATTGTTTCCACCTCCTACTCCCCCAGACAGACACACATACACATTCAGTAGCATCAGTAGCAGTTATAAATTTCTGTCAGCCCAAATGCCTGGTTACTTTTGAGCCTTTTAAGATGTTGGTACATGGTTAATAGCATAGGTAAAGAGCATGGTGGTTTCATTTCAGAAATTAGGTTTGACACCAACATCTGCTACTTATTAACAGTGCATCTTTGCGCAAGTCATTAAACGATTCTGAGCTTCAATTTTTTCATCAAAAATAGAGGTAATGGATATTTTACCTATGTTATAGGACGTTTTCTCTCTTATAAGAGATTTTTCTTGCCAGCATCTCATGACTTTCATTGCTTATTCTGAGATATTTTAACACCAAGGTGATACAAATTCCGGTGTTCCCAAATTGCCATTTCTTGGGCATGAGGAAATCATATCATCCCTTAATGAATTGAAAAGTAGACTGATTTGCCTTGAAGCTCTGAAACTAATTCACAAGAGCTCAAAGGATTTACTTAATTACTAATCCTGGTCATGGGTCCCATGAGTTTGGCGAAAGTCCCAGTTTTGTAAAAGTCCCTATCATCACTTTAAGGTTTTAAAGACATGTTTTTAAAGGACTTCTTTCTTGCCTTGCTTCCATTCTGAGGCCCAAAGACTTTTCCAACAGTCTGTGTCTCACATCAATCAAACCCTTTACTTGCCGTAAAAAGTTACCGTCTTTCAACCAACATTCTCAAGATTTAACATACTTTCCCCTCTGTGAAGCACTGGGGGAAAGTGACACAACACACAGTTCCTGGGAAAAACTGACAGGGTAATCACAAAAAGTATGTGTGGAAAGTTCTAAGAAGAGGGATATACATAGGATTCCATTAGCACAGGGAAGAGAGCAACTAACAGATTGAATACAGGACAGGGTGTGATGACATTGGAAATAAGTCTTAAAAAGGAACAAGTGTTATCCAGGACAAGGAGAAAAGAAGGCATTCTGTATTTAGGAAAAGGCATCCACAAAGGCACAGAAGCAAGAGAGTAGAATCTGTTTGGGAAGGAACAAATGGCAAAATAAACTGGACTGAAGGAATTGCTCAGGTGACTAGAAATGGTATCACAGAGGGACACAGGGACCAGAACAAGAAGGACATGGTAGGCCATTCTACAAGGTTTGTCTTTTATCCTAAAGGTGATAAGAAATCACTTAATGATTTCAAGTAAAGGAGTAAAACAAACAGATTTATGTCATTTGAAGAGTGATCACTGTAGCAACAGTATGACAGATGATAGTTTTCTGGTGAAGGCAGTTTACCCAAGTCAACAAGACCAGTTAGGAATATTGCATTAGTCCTGATAACAGATTTCAAGGGCTTAAGGAGTAAAAGTCATGCATATAATAGGTTTTCAATAAGTGTCAAATAAATAAATTAATTAAATCATCCCCTTTTGAGATGCCTGATCCTATGACTGAAGGATAGGCAGTTTAGGTTTATTGTAGACTTTAATATAAAAACGCGTCACCAGAGAGAGGGCAATTAGTATGCTGCAATAATGTTTAGTGCTTTAACAAAGAGCAACTCTAGTCAATACTCCACCAGAGTTCCCTAGAATGGATACTACAGAGGAAGGATGGTGTGTGTATATGCATGTGTGCTTGTGTGCACATGCATGTCAGTATGTGTGTGTGCGTGTGTGTGTGAACCCATCTAAGCAGACTAGAGATGGAGGGAGGAATAGGAAATTCAGTCAGTGAGAGAGAATGTGAGCCCAGGCAAACTTTATATTAATTATCAAAGTTTACAAAGATAAAAAGGATTATGTCAATAGAGGGCAACTCATAGTTAAGTGAAGGTTTTATCCATAAGGCGTCTTTGATAGCAAATACTGTGCTCACAAATGAAGCCGAGTAATGCATTAAAAATTAATTACATTAATTTCAGCTGTGAAAAAAAGGATATGCGAATTTCATCCTAGGCATCCAAAAGACTGTAAGACTTGACATGGCTCGAAATAATGAAAGATACCATTGCACGGGTAGCCATTGCATAGGCGGGGTTTTTGTTATTGGCAATTTATAATAAATAAGCCCACTAATATTACACTTGAAAGGACCCTTAATAAATATTATAATTTATAACATTTTTGTAGAGAAATATCTAATTCTCATTTTTCTTTTGCCAGAAAGTTTTGATATATCTTTCAACTTGGAGTGAAACTGCTGATAAAGTAGATTTTAAAGAGTTGAACATTTAGAAAAGAAAGGGCAGAAGATTGAGAGATATACATGTGATTTATAAATGGAGACAAAAGGTAGAGTGGAAATTAAAATTCTTTTAGATTGTAGTATGTTATTTGAATAGAGTGCAATTTCCATGAACCAGAGGAGAAAATCAATGTCAGAAGAGTTTGAAGTGTATGGAAATGCTTATGCAGCATGGGCTCTCTCAGTTATCCTGACCCTCTCCTTTCTGAGGTTGAAAAACTGATGGGAAGTCATGAAAGAACACTAATTTCTCCCAGGAAAACGCTGTGAGGATTGAGAACTGCTTAATAGTTCAAACTAATAGATTGCTGTGTATAAGAATTCAATATCCCAAGGCTTTGTAAATGAAGGGAAGTTTTAATATCAGCCTAAGGGATTTTTCCATTAAATTTTTAATTTGGGAACATGTGGAATTCAATATGCATGGATTCGGTAAAAGCACATGTCACTGCAGTTTGGGTATAACGAAGCTAAAAAGGAGCAATGCTTCTATGCGAGGAAGTCTTCCAATTTATATTTCATCAAAATTATATTACATTTGACTGTGTTGCTACATGCATTTATCTCTAAACATTGTATTAGAAGAGATTTTTTTTTCGATTCCCCTCTCAAGTATAAGGTTCACTGTAAAGGTTTTAAAGAGCTAAAAATTGTAATATTTTCATTGCTAAGGCAAGTATTTCCTTCTTTTAAATCCCTATAACACATGTAACTATAAAATTATTTCTTGAAACTTCCCATTATTACATACATAATCTTGCTAATAGAAGAGAAACCTTGTTGACTTCTTCTGAAATTACACAAGGACTATGTGTTTTTTTTTTTTTTTTTGAGAGTCTTGCTCTGTCGCCCAGGCTGGAGCACAGTGGCCAGATCTCGGCTCACTGCAAACTCCGCCTCCCGGGTTCACGCCGTTCTCCTGCCTCAGCCTCCCGAGTAGCTGGGACTACAGGCGCCCGCCACCACGCCCGGCTAATTTTTTGTGTTTTTAGTAGAGACGGGGTTTCACCATGTTAGCCAGGATGGTCTCGATCTCCTGACCTCGTGATCCGCCTGCCTCGGCCTCCCAAAGTGCTGGGATTACGGGCGTGAGCCACCGCGCCCGGCCACACAAGGACTATTTTAAGATCACTTGGAGAGATTGTTTCCTAGAATGCCTGACAGTTTTCTTCAGAACTACTGCTTTGTAGAGAAAATAGTAATTGTTAAACCTTTCTGCACGAAGCATACAATTTTTCGAATGTGCCCTGCCTAGGTGTATTTTAAGAAAAGTTTCAATTTGGTTGCATAATTTCAGGCTTTGCTAGGCCCATGGTGATGATAACATTGAAAAATAACTTGGTATGCTGCTTGTTCTCCTACTGCTAAGATTTTATCACAAACTGCTAGTTTGCTAGAGATTAGCTGCTAAAATGCTCTCCTGATTAATGTGCTAATTAATTAATGCAGCTGCTAAATTGTAATGCTGATTAAAATACACCACACAGAGAACACTGGAAAAACTCCCCAAATTAGTCAATCATGCCAGGTGCATTTCCAGCCTAGAAAAAGCTCAGATGCTGCACAGAATAATCTCTATTGCCACTTATTGAAGCAACTGGAAGATCTGTTAGTCAGGTCCCCAATTCTTTTACCTCAGTCCTTAAATTGACTTCATGGTCAGAACCCAAATATTACACATAGGGAATAATTACGACAATCTGTTCTCTTTTTCTATAGCCAATTAGTCTTCTCTAGTAATGACCACAGTGAACCAGGAATGAAACCTTGCAAGGCATGATGGCATCTGTAGTGCCCATGATGTGCCTTGAGTTAAAACCCAAGTCCAGACTTAGCTTGATTGGCTCTTTGGAGGTTAGGAGCAATAAACATTCTTTCCAGGTGACCCAAATTGTGGTATTTCCTCTCTGACAGCTTTGTTTTCAGGAGTTAGTTTCTGCCTAAAAAGGAAGGAACTCTTAAGTATTTACCACATACAAGGCATTATAATAGGTAGAAACACAGACATTTTTATTCCCTTTGAGAATTTTATTTTTTAATTTTGAGACTAAGAAATGTATCTTAAAAGTATGTGCCATTACCAGGTAACAAACAAATAAACACCAGATCAGTAGAATTGACATTGAAAATTACAGAATACATAGGAAGAATAATTTGGAGTTGTGATCTATTCCTCAATTAAATAGAAATTGAGATAAATCATGAAAAATGGATGGATTTGGATTGATGGACTGATGAATTGATGGATTGCTAGCATGTAGAAACCATATGAATAAAGATGTAAGAACCTGAGAGAGAACAGGCCTAAAAATGAATGAAGTTTAGTCAGTTCAACAAAGATGAAGCTAAATTGCAAGTTGTCAGCATTGGGTCTCAGAATTCTGAGTTTACATGGGCCAGTGTAGAGCTTGCCTTGAATGCCAGGCAAGAAGTAGGCCAATGAGTTCCTAATCCTCTGGAGAAGAGTGACTTGTTTTGGGAGTATCTATCTGTCTACAATAAGAAGACAGAATTGGATGAGAAACACTGGAGAGGAAAAGATAAATAGGCAGAGTTTTCCAAATATCCAGGTATGCTATTTCTGACTTAAAAAAACAAAACAGGTAATCCAAAATTTTAAAGTGTATAGATAAGTTATTCTGGACAATGAACCAAGAAAGCCTGTAATAAAATGAGAACACAGGCTGTGCAGACCCTAATTCTTCCATATGTAGGTAACAGAGAATAATACTTCTTACCAAATCTTGAGGGATTGTGCATTAGAATTTCTACAGAGACATGGTCCCTTGAATCACACTGAGTACATTTAGATAGTGACAGCCTTTAAGACTATTTGCATTGTTATGGATTGAACATATTGATATGTTGAAATTCTAGCCCCTGGGACATGTAAGCGTGACCTTATTTGGATAGGCGTTTTGCAGATGAAATGCAGATGTTTATATGAAGTTTTTAGGATGAGTCTTAATTCAATATGACAGGGGTCCTTATGAGAAGAAGAGAAGAGACACAGAAGCAAAGGCACACAGGAAGATGTGATGATGGAGGTAGAGATTGGAATGATGTGTCTAGAGGTCAAGGAATGCCAAAGATTGCCAGCAAACACCAGAAGCTGGGAGAATCAAGGAAGGATTCTCCACTGCAGGTTTCAGAGGGAGCATGGCCCTGCCAACATCTTGAAGTCAGACTCCTAGGCTCCAGAACTGTGAGACAATAAATTTCCATTGTTTTAAGCCTCCCAGTTGTGGCATGTTGTTACAGCAGCCCTAGGAAACTAATACATCCAGTAAAAATTCTAACAGTTACTTTCTGATGAGCTTTTACTGTGCACCAGAAGCTATGGTGAGCCCTTTTCACACATAACCTCACTCAATTGTCACAGTAATACTCTCTGGTAGATATTATTATTACCCTTATCATATAAATAAGAGAGAGAGGTACAGAGAAACGGAAAGGCTTGTCTAAAGGAAGTCACAGTCTGTCTGATTTCAGTGCCCGTGCACTATAACCTCATAAGGCAGGGAAAATGAAGTCTCATGCTGTTTCCATAATTCTGAAGTTTTCAGACTTGCATGCATCACAAAGCAGAGCAGGGTCAAAGTCTTTGTGAGCAAGATTATGAGCAGTTGTCAACCCAGGCTTCCTAGACCCCAAAGAGTGAGGAAATCAAGCTGTGTTACTAGCCTCCATCCTCTGCTTTTCTCGTTGCCAGACTCAGGGAAGAATACCTGTCATCTCTTCCTTGGAGATGCCATAGCCACATTGACTTGGATATCAGTCAACATCTATTCCAATATTCTTTCTTAACAAGTGAAGAACCAAGGCTGAAGGTTTAGGGTAGGGGCTTACGATCAAAACTAAGTTTCATTTGGCTCAGAAATAGGAACAGATCCAGCTGCACAGTCCAGTGGGGTTTGTTTGCATGTTTTTTTTCTTACCGACTTCATGATTTCTATCTATTAGTGGAGAAATTGAGATGCAATTTCAAAATGGGAATGTAATTTATATACATATACTTCTATTACCTGAGAAAGCACATAGATTATTTTAAAAATTAATTTAATAATTGTATATTGAGCATTTACTGTAAGTCATAAGGTCCCATGCGAGGAGGAGGGGATACCAGCATGAATGTTATGTTGATTTTATATCTCAGATGGGAGACTTCTATTCTGCTGAAATGTCATATATTAGTGATCTATCACCTAGAATGAATCTGTTTATCCTCCTTAACCCCAGTTGCTGAAAGCAGGGCTTAGTCCCTAAAGATAGAAAATGACGTCTAAAAATACATAAATTTTATTCCTGGCTAGGGCTTCTGTATCAAAGGCATAGCTATTTTCTCTCCTGATGCGAACTTAAAAAATAGTATTGTTTAAGGGCATGAGGATGAGCAGTTGAAAAATAGCTAAGGGAAAGCAACTCTTCTTGAAATGCATCGTTTAGGTTTTTCTTTCATGGTATCAAAACCTCAAAAATTGCGTCTCAAGAAGAAAGTCAGCCACTCTAGGAGAAGACAATCCCTCCCTGGGTCTTTGAGATTTGGCTTCCTTGATATGGCCCCAAGAATTCCACAGTCCAGCCTGTTGGCCTCATTGTTTTGCCCATGTTTTCTTATCCCATACTGGAGCTTCAACTTGAGAAGGATGAAGGGTAGCAGTGATGGTAAATATCGAAAAAGGGCATCATTAAGAGGAAATGAAATGTGATCAGTAAATACAACATCATGTACTAAGTGTGTTAATAGAGGTATGGATGAGGAGTGAAGGTTGTTCACATAGAGAAGTGAAGAACTTTGCCTGAGAGTGTTGGCAAAGTTTTCATAGAAGACATATAAATTGGATCTAAGGGTTGTAAGAAGGTCCTGCAGAGGAAAGAGAGGGAGACAATGTCTGATGAATTAATGTATCCAGACCTAAAAGTTCATTTGAGCAATTACTGGAAAGTGGGGGAAGAGTGATATACCCATGGCAAACTGTAGGAGAATTTCACCCTGGGTCAGACAGCTATTTAGAACTTGTAACAAGAGGGAATTTTTTTTTGTTTTTAATTTTTTGTTTTGGTAGAGAAGAGTATTTTTGTCTTAAACAAATTGCTGGCACATGATGATAATATGAAGCAGACTGACTTTCAGCAGGTTTTATCATGCATTTTAATGTTCTACAGAAAAAGTTCCCACTTATTGCTTGCAACTAAAGTGCACCACCCTCATAACCCTCCCTGGATACATTATTATAAGGGGAGATTATTATGCTAAAGTATAGAAGGCAAAGAGGGAGGAAGTTTACATGAGATTAGTGCATTTTTCCTAAGGCAGCTGACGCCATCAGAAGACTTTGTTTAATTTTTATATTTTATGCTTGTTGATTTCCCTTATGATAAATAAATATACACTTATTGTCAAAAATATAAAAAATATAGTAAAATATAAAGGAAAAGTCAGTTACTCTTGTTCCTATCCATGTAAGATGACGTTATTATTAGCTACTTCTGATCTAGTAATTTTGTCATGCATATATACTACAAATGTTAATATTTTACATTTATTCTCATGATTGTAAATTCAGTTTAATATACTCATTTTCACTTAAATGTATATTATGGAAATTTTCCCATATAAGTTAAAATTATCTAATGTCATTATTAATGTTCCTTAGTATTCCATTATTTATATACATTATAATTTTTATAATATCATAATATGTAATGCAAGAGAAAGAGTCTGTGGATTAAATTCAATTTGGATAAGCTGCAATAAGCCTTAAAGTGTGAAACTATGATCATTACCCTCCCTAAGCTTAAAATCTTTTAAATTTTATTTATTTATTTAGAGAGAGTATCTCTCTGTGTCACCCAGGCTGGAGTGCAGTAGTGCGATCATGGTGCACTGTAACTTCAAACTTCTGGGCTCAAGTGATCCTCCTGCCTAAGCCTCTTGAGTAGCTAACACTACAGTTGCATGTCACCACATCCAGCTACATTTTTACATTTTTGTTGTGGTTGTTGTTGTTGTGGAGATGGGGCCTCACTCTGTTGCCTAGGCTGGTCTCAAACTTCTGACCTCAAGCAGCAATCCTGACTTGGCTTCCCAAAATACTGGGAATACAGGCATAAGCCACTGCTCCTGGCCTTTAAGCTTACAGTCCAAAGTACTCACCTAGAAGCTCAAACACTAACTCAGCTAAATTTGCTTCAGGGGGCCAATCTCCATTTGTCTTGCTGCCAGTTGGGTCTGGAATCGTATTAGATAACAGTAAATGTACTGAGGTTATACTTTTTTATTGACACAAGTTTCTTATCTATTTCTTGAATGTTTGGAAAAAAGATATATTGAGGAAAAGTAAAGTACTCAATATAAGAAAGCAGATAAAAATGATTTAAGTAACAATATTTTCTTTGACTTTGGTGTATAGTCAAACTGGTGAGGAGTAACATAATTTCAGTAGTAGAATAGGTTAGGTACTGCAGTATAAACTACCCCCAAAACTATCATTGTTACCCTTGTCTAACATTTAAAAGGTGAATCTTTACATGTTGGTTTTTGATTCACGTATTTACGTTTTTCTTTCTCACTGATGAATCACTCTGCCTGCTCTCTACCTGGTCCAGATCTGATTGCACAAAGGATGAGAATATAAGTGAAGATATATACACACATATGCATGACTAAACCTAATTTGATAAATGGGCTGCTTGATGCTGAAGTGGCTCAGAAGGGATCACTTTGGATTAGAAGGGAATAGTTATGGGGCATTGCCACCTGCAAATTTGTTCATGGCTTTGCCTGAGTTTACAGCTGAGCTTTGGTCCGAAAAGCTCTTAAACATGATTTATCAACAGCCTCCAGAGTCTCCTTGGGGTCTGCACTAATTCAACCAGGAGTTTCCGCTACTGAAAAGAATTTAAGCACCACTTTCCAAGGGCACCCAAGATGTTCACAGATCAATTTAACAGGTCACTTCAAAGTTAAAAAACAAAAAAGTATTTTTAAAGCCACTAGATAATATATTCTTAATCTAAACTGCAGTCTCATTCACATTATGTCACAATATACCAGTTAGAATTTGCTTCGTTCCTATTTTCTGTAATACGATTTCTGTCACAGGTTTATTTTAATGTGAAATCACTTTCTCAGGGTTGTAAAATCTACTCGTCATATCAGAGCTTAATTTTAGGGCAAGGTCAGGGCTTCATGTGAAATAGCAGAGGACTGTAACTAAGATACCACTAACTATGTAATAAAATAGTTTGTTGAATTGTTAGCTTTGTGACTTAATTCCATTAATTGTCCAGGAAGAAATGTAAGGATGAAACCATTCAGATAACAAGTTTGAATTCTAATAGTTTGAATTTATTTTAGTAAATACTGAAATAATAATTGAATGAATGCATTTAGAAAATAAAGTATCCTTTTGGCTATTAATTTGATCATAAATATAAAAATAGTTTCTTTTTTACTACCTGGCATTTGTATAAAGTTTTCTTCTATTTCAAAGTATTTTCTCTCACGTAAGCCTTCTAGAAATGATATGAAATGAATAAGTCAAGGAAAAAGCCTTTATTATCATTGGACATGAAAGGAGGCTTAGAAATCTTTTGAATGACTTTTCCTGGTAAAAGAACCTATTTCTTTAATGGTTGAATTTACATAATGGCTTGAATTCTCATAATGGGAGATTTTAGAAACAGGTCAAAGTCAAAACTGCATTGGGATCTAATTCATCTTTTTTGCCTTTGAGAATCTTAAGACTCTTGTGTTAGTCCATTCTCACATTGCTGTAAAGAAATACCCGAGACTGGATAATCTATAAAGGAAAGAGTTTCAATTGGCTCACGGTTTTTCAGGCTGCGCAGGAAGCATAGTGGCGTCTGCTTCTGGGGAGGCCTCAGAAAACTTCCAATCATGGTGAAGACAAAGGGGAAGCAAGCATCTTACATGGCAGGAGCAGAGTCAAGGGAGAGGGAGAAGGTGCTATGCACTTTTAAATGATCAGATCTCATGAGAACTTATTATCACGAGAACAGTACCAAAGGGATAGTGTAAAACCATTCATGAGAAATCCACCCCCATGATCGAATCACCTCGTAGCAGGCCCCACCTCCAACAATGGAGACTAGAATTCCCCATGAGATTTGAGCAGGGACACAGTTCTAAACCACATCAACTATTGTGAGTAGAAGGGAGAAGTTGGCTTTTAGTCATTAGTTTTCTTCTATCAAGGCAATCTTGGATGAAAGAGAAGCTATTCTTAGTAAATTGACACATGATGAAGGAGACATAAATTTCCTTTGTGTGACTATGTGTTAGTCAGAATAGGCTAGGTACTGCAGTATAAACCACCCCAAATTTCAGGCCCTTACACCTGTCCTATGTCTTTATCCAGTTTGCTCTGGTTCTGCTTCCTTTTTTTCTTCACTCTGAATTACTGTTGGTTTCATGGCAGAGGGAAACTGACAGGGTAATCTACAAGCTATCTCTTAAAGATACTAATTAGACATAACCAAATTCATTTCTGTCCACATTTCATTTATGAAAAGAAGTCACATGGCCAAGGTGATGGCAGTGAATGCAGGGATGTATTTTGCTGCTGCTGGTTGAAAGCTAATAACTGTAAATATTAAAACTTACCATAACCTTCTTGAAAATGAAAAAAATGTTTTGGACTATTATTTCAAGAAACAATATTTGACTTCTGCTTCTATGTCTGATGGAATGGATTGTCATAGACAAGTGCTTCTTGTGAGAACCACTAAAATAGCTGGATTAAAAAAAAAAAACTTTTAAAGGATATCAGAAGGCCTCTGAAGCAGACAGGCCCTAATGGCCTGAGATCCTGGAGAGAGAAGAGAAGAGAAGCTCATTGAGTTGGACCAACATTTTGCACATTGCTTTCTGCTGGAAGGCATTTGCTGGCTCTTAAGCAGCACATGGTGAGAGGCTGAAAATCCAAAGACAGGTCAGTTGATGAGGCTGAAACACCGGCAGAGATACAACAATCTCATGGGACTGAGGAGACAAGAATTAGAGCTTGAGAGTGCTAAAACAGCCAAGACTTGAAAGCCTAAAGTCATAGAAGAGAGATGCAAAGAAGAGAGCCCACGGTACAGTACGTGATAGTTCCTCTCACTGGGGCATTTGATGAATTTAAACCATGCACAGCAAGAGACTTAGAAGCGGAGATAAGCCCTAAACAAAGCTAAGCAGAGCTGAATTTTCAACAAAACAATGGAAGTAAAAAACAAATTAAATGATATCTTTAAAGTGTGGATAAAATTAGCTGTCAATTTAGATTTCTGAATTAAGTAAACATATCCTTTAAGAAGACAGACAAAGGCATTTCATACAAGAAGAAACTGAGTGAGAAAATTTGTTGCCAGAAGACCTGAATTAAAATAAATATGAAAGAAATTTCTGCAGGCAAAAGAAAAATGATAAAATAAGAAAAAATAAGACAAATGGAAAAGATGGAAACGTGAGCAAATCTTAGTAAAAATTGATGATGAGAACAAAAATACAAGTAATGTCTCATGGCATTTATCCAAATGTGAATCAAAATTGTGACAATAATAACAAAAAAGGTAGGAAGCAGGAAAATAAGATTAAAGTGTACTAGGAACATAGCGTTTTCTGAGAAATAATACAACTCTAGTTTATGTTAGATTATACTATGCTAAGAATTTTTGTTGTAACCTCCATTATTTTCACTGTAAGTAAAAGAATGTATAAGCTGTTAGGCTTTCTTGCAAGAAAAAAGTAAGAAAGACACATAAGAAATGTGGGGAAGCTAGAAGTAAGTAATAAAATGGCTATTTAAATCTAAGTATAGAAGTAATTACGTTAAATGTAAACAAAATAAATTATTAGACTGAATAAAACCCAAAACGTCTATAAGCTGCTTAAAATACATATACCTAAAATAAAAGGATACAGAAATGTTGAAAATCAAGTGTTAGAAAAAATTACAAGTATATATTAACTAAAAATGTGTCATTATAGCTATATTTGTATTAGATTTATACTGGGCTTTAAGATTTTCTCTATGGAATACGCTGGGCTATTAAGAAAGTTTTAATACATTTCAAACTACAAAAATCATGAAAACGATCTCCTTTGATTATATTAGAATTAAAACTAGGAGTCAATTGCAAAAGAACTAGAAAATTTCTGAGTATTGGGAAGAAGAAATACACTTTTTTAAAAGGACAAAACTAAAGGCCAGGTGCAGTGGCTCATGCCTGTAATCCCAAAACTTTGGGAGGCCAAGGTGGGTGGGTCACTTGAGGTCAGAAGTTCAAGACCAGCCTGGCCAACGTGGTGAAACCCCACCTCTACTAAAAATATAAAATTAGCCAGGCTTGGTGGCGCATGCCTGTAATCCCAGCTACTTGGGAGGCTGAGGCTGGAGAATCAGCTGAACCCAGAAGGCGGAGGTTGCAGTGAGCCACGATTGCATCACTGCACTCCAGCCTGGGTGACAGAGTGAGACTGTGTCAGAAAAAAATAAAATAAAATAAAGAAAGAGAACAAAACTATGAATAAAACAAACACAAGGCAGTGAGAAGGTATTTTTAATTGGCATTAAAAAATAGGACATAAACTGTGGAATGCATAAATATCAAAAGAAGAAAGTCATATTGATATCTTAAAGATAAAGCTACACACATATGCTCACTTATTACAAAATTACTCTACCATGCAGGGAGAAAAGTATGAGTTTTTGCAGAAATTGACAAATTCAATAAATTAGATATCTGTATTTTAAAAAGAATATTTACTCCCTACCTCACATAAAGATACAGTCAAATTCCAGTTAAATATAAAATGAATGAGTAAGACTTCTAAAGGAAAATTTAAAAGGATGTCTTTATGTAATAGCATACAAAAAGCACAAACAAAAAGGGAGGGTTGATACTTGGACCACACTAATTATAAGAAAGGAATAAAATGGTGCATAAGAATAAAAAGGCAAGCCACAGAAACAGCATTGGGGAATACATTTTTAATGCATATATATATATATATATATATATATATAGAGGCAGAGTCCCACTCTGTTGCCCAGGCTGGAGTGCAGTAGTGTGATTATAGCTGACTACAGCCATGAACGCCTAGGCTCAAGGGATCCTCCTGCCTCAGTCTCCCAAGTAGCTGGGACTGAAGTCATGTGCCACTATGCCTGGCTAATTTTTAAACTTTTTTTTTTTTTTTTATAGATATAGGTTCTTGCTATGTTGCCCAGGTTGGTTTGAACTCCTGGGCTTAAGTGATCCTTCCATCTCCTTTTCCCAAACTGCTGGAATTATAGGTGAGAGCCACCATGCCTGGCATATATATATATATATATATGCATATATATGTGTATATACACGTATATACATATGTGTATATATATATATTTTTTGTGACTAGCTTACTTTATTTAACATTATGTCCTCCAAGTTCATCCATGTTATTACAAATGGCAGAATTTACTTCATTTTTCAAGGCTAATTTTTCTTAACTATTGATCTGTGGCTGGACACTAAGTTTGATTCTGTATCTTGGCTATTATGAGTAATGTAGGAGTAAACATGGGAGTACAAATATCTCTTTTTTTAACAGTAAGATTAATTTATTTTCTTTTTTTATTATTATGCTTTAAGTTCTGGGATACATGGGCAGAAGGTGCAGGTTTGTTACATAGGTATACACGTGCCATGGTGGTTTGCTGCACCCATCAACCCATTGTCTACATTAGGTATTTCTCCTAATGCTATCCCTCCCCTAGCCCCACACCCCCTGACAGGCCTCAGTGTGTGATGTTCCCCTCCCTGTGTCCATGTGTTCTCATTGTTCAACTCTCACTTATGAGTGAGATGATGTAGTGTTTGGCTTTCTGTTCCTGTGTTAGTTTACTGAGAATGATGGCTTCCAGCTTCATCTATGTCCCTGCAAAAAACATAAACTCATCCTTTTTTATGGCTGCATAATATTTCATGGTGTATACGTGCCACATTTTCTTTATCCAGTCTATCATTGTTGGGCATTTGGGTTGGTTCCAAGTCTTTGCTATTGTGAATAGTGCTGCAATAAACACGTGTGCATGCGTCTTTATGGTAGAATGAAAGAACAAAGTTGGAGGCATCACACTACCTGACTTCAAACTATACTACAAGGCTATAGTAATCAAAACAGCATGGTACAGGTACCAAAACAGATATATAGACCAATGGAACAGAATAGAGGCCTCAGAAATAATGCCAACATCTACAGCCATCTCATCTTTGACAAACCTGAGAAAAACAAGCAATGGGGAAAGGATTCCCTGTTTAATAAACGGTGTGGGGAAAACTGGCTAGCCATATGCAGAAAACTGAAACTGGACCCCTTCCTTACATCTTATACAAAAATTAATTGAGATGCATTAAAGACTTAAATGTAAGACCTATCACCATAAAAACCCTAGGAGAAAACCCAGGCAATGCCATTCAGGACATAGGCATGGGCAAAGACTTCATGACTAAAACACCAAAACCAATGGCAACAAAAGCCAAAATAGACAAATGGGATCTAATTAAGCTAAAGAGCTTCTGCACAGCAAAAGAAACTATCATCAGAGTGAACAGGCAACCTACAGAATAGAAAATTTTTGCAATATATCCATCTGACAAAGGGCTAATATCCAGCATTGATAAAGAACTTAAATGAATTTACAAGAAAAAAACAACCCCATCAAAAAGTGGGCAAAGGATATGAACAGACACTTCTCAAAAGAAGTCATTTAAGTGGCCAATAAACATATGAAAAAAAGCTCATCATCACTGGTCATTAGAGAAATGCAAATCAAAACCACAATGAGATACCATCTCATGCCAGTTAGAATGGCGATCATTAAAAAGTCAGGAAACAACAGATGCTGGAGAGAATGTAGAGAAATAGGAATGCTATTACACTGTTGGTGGGAGTGTAAATTTGTTCAACCATCGTGGAAGACCGTGTGGCAATTCCTCAAGGATCTAGAACCAGAAATACCATTTGACCCAGCAATCTCATTACTGGGTATATACCCAAGGGATTATATTCTTAATAGAACTTAAAATCTGCAAAGAATTCCTACAAATCAGTAAGAAAAAGAAAGACAATCAAGTAGAAAAATGGACAAAATACTTGAACAAAAATTTCATAAAGAGAATATCCAAATAATGATAAACATATGACAACATACTTTGATCTCATTAGTAGGCAAGAAAATCTAAATTAAACCCAAAATAAGATACTACTACACACCTGCCATGATGGTTGAATTTTAAAAGACTGGCAGTACCTATTTTTATGAGAATATGATATAGAACAATGGGAATTATTTTTCTTTTCTTTTCTTTTTTTTTTTTTTTTTGAGACAGGGTCTGGCTCTGTCACCCAGGCTGGAGTGCAATGGCATAATCTCGGCTCACTACAACCTGTGCCTCTCAGGTTCAAGTGATCCTCCCACCTCAGCCTTTTGAGTAGCTGGGACTGCAGGTGTGCAACACCATGCCTGTCTAATTTTTGCATTTTTTTTTTTTGAGACAGAGTCTTTCTCTGTCGTCCAGGCTGGAGTGCAGTGGCACGATCTCGGCTCACTGCAAGCTCTGCCTCCCCAGTTCATGCCATTCTCCTGCCTCAGCCTCCCAAGTAGCTGGGACTACAGGTGCCTGCCACCACGCCCAGCTAATTTTTTGTATTTTTAGTAGAGACGGGGTTTCACCATGTTAGCCAGGATGGTCTTGAACTCCTGACCTCAAGTGCCACCCACCTTAACCTCTCAAAGTGCTGGGATTACAGGCATGAGCCAAGGTGTCTGGCCCAGGGACTCTTACACACTGCTGGTGGGAGTGTAAATTGATACAACTTATTTGTAACACTACTTGGCAGTTATCTATGCCTACCACTTGACCAGCAATCCATTCTTGTACCCTACAGAAATGTGTATGCATATGCACCAAAAGACATATTTAAGAATATTTGTAGTACCATTATTTGTCATAGCCCCCAGCTGAAAACAACCTACCTATCCATTAGCAGTAGAACAGATAAATAAATTGTGGCATATTTATACCAGGGATTACCATATATCAGTGAGAATAAATGACTACTATTTAATGCAACAACATGGATAAGTCTCATAAACTTAATATTGACTAAAAACAATCCAGACACTTAAAAAGTTTATCCTGTGTAATTCCATTTATATGAAATCCTGAAACAGGCAGAGCTAATCAATGGTGATAGAAGTCAGAAAGGTTATTATTTTTGGAGAAGAAAGTATATTGATTATGTGAGGTCATGGAGGTAGCTTGGAGATGCCATCATTGTCCTATTTCTTAATCTGCAAATTGATTACACAGGTGTGTTCGCTTTGCACAAATAATTTATTGAGCAATACATATGTGTACATTATACCTAGATATTATCTTGTTTTGTAATCAACATTTTGGCTTGGGGGGCAACATATTTTTAAGATCTATTTGGTGCCAGGTAGAGAGAGGTTCATATGTAGAATGTAATTCTGATTCCCTTTATCGTGTTATTTTTTTCTTTTCCTTTAGAAGTAGAAGCTTATTTAGTTTTCTCTTCCTTTACCAGAAATGTGGCGAGTCTACAATAAATGTTACCCTCTCTTCTCTGGATTATCTTTGTGAAAAGTATCTGGATTCATGCCTCTGGATGTATATAAAACGCCTATGGAAAATCAGATATCGAAATGAAATCGAAATCGAAATGAAAAATCGAAATGAAAAAGGCACAAAATGAACTAGTTTCTTTTACTTTGTAACTTTTAAGAATATGAATTGTGTACCAGAAAGTTTTAGATTTTAGAAAGTTTTAGATTTTCTGAAAGTCATAAAAAGGAAAAAGTAACAACAGCAGGATTATCAATGCTTTAAGATAGTAAAGGGGAGGTTTAGGTAGACTGAGCGTAGAATGAGCAGGGGAAGATAGGTAAAGATGACAAGGTATTCTGAAAGTTGGTTTCTCCACCACTGGGACTGCAAACAGATATCAAGATAAAATATTTATTTTTTTCTAGGTGTAACATGCTCTCCACAGTGGCTTTATGACAGATCTTATTTCCAATTTCTATTTGAAATAATCACCTAGTGAGGCTTTTGCTGATATCGTGGCTGGGCTAATGCTGTCTTGTGTGTAGCCTGCTGCCTAGCAGGAGCATGACGGGGGCATGTAGCACAGTCACATAGGGCCACTGAGACAGACAGGAGCAAACCCAGAGTGGGTAAAGAGTGAAGAGTTTTCCTGCTGTCTTGTGATCATTTACATTACTGTTATTTCTGTCTTTGTTGCATTATTTGACTTTTAAATTTTTACATTCTGGGAAAAATAAATTATATCTTAAGCTGTAACTCCAATTATTGCAATATGATAAACACACCAAGAAACAGCTATTCAGTCTGGGACATAACTAGGGTGGCCAGGCATCGCATCCAGCGTTACCTGTCTATTTAGAGGTCTGATTTACTATCAAAAGGGTCCCAGTTTGGTCAATAAATTATATCGTCATCCTGTATCAACCTTATTGACTTTGACCTTAGATTGGGGCTCAATGGGTGATTGCTCTGCTAAATCAACAAAGAAATAAGCCATACTTTTATGCTGAAAAAGTTATTTTCTAAGAAGCAACATTGAACTTGTTTTAACAAGATAATGTAGAGTTTTTTTTTTTCTCAATAGACACATCAAAGTGTGTTCTGTCACATAAACTTTATATGACTAGGAATATATACTTATATACAAGATACATATATAACACAAGACTAGAACTATATACAGCTGTTGGCATTCATAGCAAAGGGAAACCACTTTTATGCCAAATCTATGTAAACTTTATAAAATGGTGGATATTTTTAAAGGTAAAGATAAAAACTAGAAATATCAAATGGCAAGCCTGAACAGGAGACTCCAGAAGTCCAACATTATTTTGATAATGTTTGGAACTCCACTTATTGCATATCTGCTAGCTTGTTTGATCTATGTATTAGAGTTCTCTAGAGGTACAGAACTAATAGAATATATATATGTCAAGTATTAACCCACAAGATCACAAGTTCCCACAATAGGCCATCTGCAGGCTGAGGAGTAAGGAGAGCCAGTCCAAGTTCCAAAACTGAAGAACCTGGAATCCAATGTTCAAGGGCAGGAAGCATCCAGCACTGGAGAAAGATGTAGGCTGGGAGACTAGGCCCTTCTCTCTTTTCATATTTTTCTGCCTGCTTGTATTCTAGCTGCACTGGCAGCTGATTGGATTGTGCCCACCCAGATTAAGGGTGGGTCTGCCTTTTCCAGCCCACTGACTCAAATGTTAATCTCTTTTGGCAACACCCTCACAGACACACCCAGGATCAATACTTTGCATCCTTCAATCCAATCAAGTCGACATGCAGTATTAACCATCACAATCCAGTAAACAGTTTGAGTTACACATCTATGGGCTAAATTTTTCAAAGATATTGAATGTTCTCAGATGAGATTTTACTACTATTGCATGAATTTGCTTTATTTGTGTATGGATTTTTCATCAAAAATAATGATAGAATGCTTTCTGTATAACTGCTGTTTGTACAGAAAACGTATAGAAACCATAGCTAGCATAGATGGCTATGGGATGCCTCCTCTCCTTAACCTTTATTACCCTTAAATTCTTTACTATCCAGAAGTAGAATCCTGCTTTTGGCTTTTGTTCACAGCTGAAGATGATTGACTACGTTCATGCATAGGAGATGGATAATCACGTGAGGCTTGTGTGCCTATTCCCTTTAGGGCTGAGAGCAAGGGGAATGTCCAATCTTGCCTGTTGCCATGCAGGAGGCAGCAAGATCCCTGGTGGTTATCCTAGGTTTGGCTAATTTTTAAACTACCATTTATATTTCTCTTTTTCTTCTCCCTGAGCTGACTGACTTACTTGCTCATAAAGGATTTTTATGTTCAAGAAGAGCTACAAGGCTTTATGAGAACTTGAGTGTTCTCTGTTTTATGTTCATGTGGAGGGAAGAAATCTTACAGCTTATCATACACAGATACTCTTAACACACATGCATTCATGCACATATAGGGACTCAAAGCACCTACCTTGTAAAAATATAGTATGTAAATAGACTTTTGGTGCTTAAACTTCCATTTATTTTTGAAATTCCTTTGATTCATATTTAAAGGCATAGCTTGTTTTTAGTATTATGATGGTGCAAATTACAGCCAAAGAGTCTAGTTTATTTTGTATGTAAAATAGAAATCAAGTTCCAAATGAGAAGGGAGCAGCATATGCAGTCACAGCTAGATAACCTCTTCCAATATTTTCCCCTCTCTAATAACCTCTCCTGGGCCCAAGCAGAGATGTCAACCGAAACCACCATCTCACTGGCCTACTTCAGGTATAATACTGCTCTTCTTCTAGTTTAACTGAGATGGGGGCAAAACAAGGTCAAACTCTCTGAAACAGAATTTTCTATAGGAAACTTAGGAAAATGAAAACACAGAAAAATACTGACATAAATGATTGTAAAACCCCCACCGATTTCTAATCTTTACCAAAGGTGCACAAAGGGGCTGGGTAGGCAGGGCTCACATGACGGAGAGTGCTTGGCCTTTGTACTAGCCATACCTCATTTCTTTGGGAAATTCTGGTTGGGGATGTACCTCAAGCCCTCTGTTCAGTCTTTGCACCTTTTTCCAGCTTCTTTATTTTCACTCTACTCCTACAGTTGCCTATGTAGTGGAGAAAGAGCCTTCCTTCTCTTTCAGTGAAGATCCACGAGCCATCCACTGTTAGAAATGATGACATGATGAATATCTTTGCATGGAAGTCTTTGCCTGGACTTTTTGAGGTGTACTACCTAAATGTGTTCCACAGAGGTTATACATGTTCCATTCCACTGGTATGAATATGTCCATCTTTACCAGAAATAACTATTTTTAAGGTATATGTTCCAATTCGATAGGTCGAGAATGTGTATACTAATCTTGAGGGGGGATATTAAAAAGCCTCTAGGGACTGCTTACTTTAGGAATTTACTGTTTTTGTTTTTTGCTCATTAAAACGTGTCAAGAGTATTTTTTAGCCCTGATTATATTTTTAACCTCTTTTCTGAGACTTTTTCTTCCTTTTCCCCCTCTTTTTTCCTACCTTCCTTCCAATCTTTTTTTATTTCTTCATATTCTTTTTCATTTTTTCCTTCCTTTCTTCCTTCATTCTATTCTTTCCTCCCTTTCACTGTCTTTTTCTTTCTTCCTTTCCTTCCCCTTCTTCCATCTCTCATTTTTTCTTTCTTATTTCTCTCCCTCTCTCTAAAGAGGTTTTGTTAGAAATATTTTTTAAAATAATATTTAAAAACAGTGCTTACAAGTTGAAAAGATTTTTTTTGTTGATTTTGATTTACAATTTGGAATATGTTTATAGTGCTTGTCCCTCTTAAGAAATAAAATATTTTCTCTTCAAAGTGTGAAACAAAGGAAGAGATAGAAACCTAATAGTAAGTTAAATTGTATTTTTTTTAAACTCCTTATTTCATGGTCCTTGATAGTAGATCTAATAGTATTTGTGATTGAGAGATGTATTTTCCCCTTTTTTTCCTTCCTGCTTTGACTTAAGCTCAATTAATACAGAACCTGGATTCAATAGTGTCTTTATTAATGAATAGGTTAAAAGCAGTGACATTTATACACCATAGTGTAAAATAGAAGACACAGAGATGCATTTCACTCTGTGAATTTCTTTTTTGATTCATCATGGACTAAAGGCTACTGTCATTCAAATTTACCTATATTATGGGTAGGAAGAGTTGCCAAAGTTAATCTTTCTAAGCCTGAGATTTCTCACACATAAAATGGGGATCCTTGTGGAACTGGGAGGTTTTTTTTTCCTAAGTTTTTAATTTGAGGTAATTGTAGGGTTACATGCAGTTATAAAAATTCATGCAGAGTGGTCTCATAGGCCCTTCACTCAGTCTCTCCCAATAGCAACACCTTGTATAACCACAGAACAATATTACAACGAGGAAATTGACGTTGGTCCAATCCACTCACTTCATTCTGATTTCACCAGCTTTACGTGTGTGTGTGTGTGTGTGTGTGTGTGTGTGTGTGTGTGCGCGCGCGCGCACTATTTGGTTCTATGGAGGCTTATAGTTTTTAATTATCTGGCACAGTGTCTGTAATGTAGTATTTCCTCAAAAACTATTTAATAACAATCTTTGCCTACCTAATATTTCCTATCTCTTTTTTCCAAAGAAGAACATCTTAGAACTCTTGACCTTTGATGGCTCATCACAATTAAAAAGATCATTTGTTTAGTGATGCAGAACTCACACTAAACCTCTTACTCTACTCCCTCTAGGGAGGAGGAAGCTCAGGGTTGGTTAGTGGCAGAGTCAGGGCTTGGCTCCAAACTAAATCATCTGACTCTTTCCATGATAACCATTTCCCAAAGTTGTTAGAATATAAAAATTATCTGATGTGCCACTCACACCTCCGTGTGTATACAAATACATGAGGATCCTGTTACATGACAGGTATAGATTCAACAGGTCTGGGGTGGAACCTGGAATTCTGTATTTCTAACAAGCTTCTAGATGATACTGATACTACTGGCCCACCAACAATACCTTATGTAGCAAGAATCTCAGACACTAGCAAAAAATTCAGACTTCCAGCACCTTCTTTCTAAGATTTTGCTTCAAAAAGGCTAGAGGGGAGTCTAGGGATTTATATTTTTATCTAATATCCGAGGCAATTTTTAGGATACATTATTTTCGGCAGACAGCTACTATTTCTTATACTGCTTTCGTCCAGAGTTTCTGATGTCTCCTGTTTTCTTTTAAACTTAAAATTATTATTTACCTTAATATTGTAATTTAATTTAATGCACTTGGTTTTTTTTTTTTTTTTGCTCTTGTCATTTTATTTTGCTTAATGTGTTTTTTTGTCTTTTGTAGGCTAAAATTCTAGAAGGAGAATCAGACTCTTGCTGAAAGTTTAATTCAACTCATAACAGCTTTAAGCTGTTAAAATAATTTGAGTGTTAGTCCATTTGACACACAGAGACTTTATCAGTGCTTTAAAAATTCTTCCTCCACCTGTATATAATGGCTCTTTTTCTGATCTAAATAAATAACACATTGGATTTGCAACCAGAATTTCTTATCATCTCCGAATTTACTCTTCCCAGGTCCAGATAAAAAGTAGTGCTTAATCCCCTGAAGATATAGACAGCTATGTGAATGGGTCATATTGATAAAAGAGAATCATGGCCACGGAGGAATAGCTGGGTTCAAGTGCAAAAGCTGAAGCTGTATAAATTATCAAGTAATATGAGAATTGGAAAATATCATTATAAGTAACTTGTGAAAACCCCTGATGTTTTAAATTAGCCATGAAATGTGACTTACTTTGTAATATTATGAAGCTTCTAAAAATCCCAGCTTTTAAATCAAACTTTTGCTATTCGGTAGAAACACAGCAGGACTTCAAAATAATTTACAGCTATTTGCTGTGTTAGTAATTCCTTTAAGGCAACTCTTGAAGGGAGAAAATCATGATTAATCCCCACTTTATGGATGATGGGACTGAGGTATTAAGATGGCTTGAAGCTTTGTTTAGGCAACACTTGCATTTTTTAGTCTCAGTCCAAAGCCCTCATCTCTACTTTTTCCAGGGTGCCTGCTTTTATTATTTTGGCTTATCTTGATGAATGACATGGAATCAATTTTCAGAAGTTGACTTAAACCACTTAGAACAGTGAGGTAAATTTAGCAATATTGCTTTATCAGATTGATGGACAAAGGTTAGTTTTGTGGGGCTACTATTTTAATTTTTGGATTTTTTAACGTTTTGTTTATTTTCTTCAAATAATTCATATTTAGGACCACTATTTTAGATAATTGTCCTTCAGTCATTGTCAACAATCAAGTAAAGGAGAGAAGACATTGCAATTCTAATTGAAGTACATATTTGTACATTATAAATCCCAGAGAATTCCCTTGACATTTGGTTCTTTAGTAAAATAAACACCTTACTTTGGTGTTTTATGCTTTGGGAAACATGTTTTTGCATGCAGATATTTTAAAAATATTCTGCATAACCCTGTGTTTTCTGTAAGACAGATCTTAAAAGATGAGGCTACTGGTGTTTGTTCGGAATGCTAAAGAGACTCGCTCAGTGTAGAGGCAGGAATAGAGCTCACTTGTGGTTTCTGCTTCAATTCTCTTCTTATGTCAAAGGAAGTAACTGAAAGTAACTGGTCAACAACCCCCATTCCTGGACACAATACATATTTTATATAGTTTGGCTATGTCCCCAACCAAAATCTCATCTTGGATTCTAATAATCCCCACGTGTCAAGGGTGGGACCAGGTGGAGGTAATTGAATCATGGTGGAGTTTTCCCCATGTTGTTCCCATAGTGAGTGAGTCTCACAAGATCTGATGGTTTTATAAGCATCTAGCATTTCTCCTGCTTGCATTCATTCTCTCTCCTGCAACGCTGTGAAGCGGTGTCACTGCCGTGATTGTAAGTTTCCTGAGGCTTCCCCAGACATGCAGAACTGTGAGTCAATTAAACATCTTGTCTTTATAAATTACCCAGTTTTGGATATTTCTTCATAGCAGCATGAGAATGGGCTAATACCATATTTCACTAAATTCATAGTTTATGTAATTGTTTTATCAAAGTGTGGTACCCAGACAGTCAATATCAGAATAACCTGGAGTTCTTGATTAAAAGAAATATGCTTTCATTGCGCCTTGAGGTTACTGAAAGAGAACTTTTTGGGGGGCAGTCTTGTAATGTGCGCTTTGAGAAGGTCCCCAGGTAATTTTTGTGATTACTAACATTTGAGATCCACAGCATGTGAATAAGAGGTTTGATTTGTTCCTCTCATAGAAACTAATCTTTTGCTCATAGAAACTGAGACTTGTAAGTAATGCTGAGATTGCTGTGTTTCTCTACAGAGGAATTTTTTATCAATAAATTTTTCAATTGCTTTTTTTTTTTTTTTTTACAAAAATAGCTTATATCTAGCAAAACTACTGGAACAGCATAAGAAATGTAGGTTAGCAAGATGGCTGGAAGTTCTCAAACTTTTTCATTTACCATTTTGACCCAGGTGGGTGAACTTCTTTAAGGGAAACTTTGCTTCTCAGGTTAAACACCTGTGACTAGCATTAGATTTATTCCTCCTACTGGACTTCCAGGCAGTGGCTAATGGTGACAGAACACCTGTGTTTGTTGTAGAGGCTGCAGTAATTTTTCTTGGCTAGGCAATTTGCTCTAACTTTCCATATATCAATAACCTTCTTATTCCAAGTGCTAAATATGGAAGCTCCATTAAACTCTGTCAGAGTTTGCTTCCTTGCATTCTGCCCTCTGTACTTCTGTTCCTTGACCTTCTAGGAGATCGCGTTCTGGTTACCTGAACCAGTATAGGAAATGAAAAAACTTTGTAAAGTATAACACGCTAGAGAAATATAAGGCAATATTATTGACATTGTTGTCAAGAAAAGTGATGTAAAATGAAATTCTCTTATGTTTGTTTAAAGGGGCAAAAGCAAGCCATTTTTTAGAAAAAAATCCTAAAATACTAGATTCCATATTTGTGAAATATTATAAGCTGATGCAATGTCCCCTGGTTTTCAATCTTCCAAGGTCTCTTCAACCAGAAAGCTATTTCTATCAGCCTTATTTCCATTGCTGCATACATGGTTTTGGGCATTGACCCAAACCTCGGACAATGAACTGGAGTAAAACAGGGCCAGCTGTCTAAGCAATGCCCAGAAGTTTGCCAAACCTAATGGGTATTTATGGCCTTGGCACAAGCACAGGAGGAAGAAAAAGAAAACTCTGGTGTGATCTGAGCCAACCTTCTCAACCTTCTTGAATTTCTCCTTTATAAAATCAAAGCGTTGTGTTAGATTATCTTTAACATGTTTAAAAGCTCTAAGGCTTTGAGTCTCAATGAAACCTATGAGAAATGGGAAAGGAGAAAGGGAGAGATGAAAAAATGAAAAAGAGGAGGAAGGAACAAAAGAGAGAGAATAGACATACACAGGGTTGAGAGAGCATCACATTAATTAATTACCTTGGAGGTGATTCAATGATATAGAGCAAGAAAGCACCTCATCTGGCGTTCAAAGGAACTGAATAAGCAAATAAGTAAATAAACAAACTACAAAATTCTTAACTCATTTTCTCACTGGTCAAAAGTGATTTAATGTCCACTTGACACTTGGTTATTATTCATGTATCCCTTTGGGTTACATCTTTAGTTAATCTAGTTATATGGCATCACTGATATTGGCATTATCAATGGCTTGTAAAAGCCATTAAATTGGAGGCAGTTCTGGGAAGAATGAAAATATGACTCTGAGAAATCTAAAAAGATATCTCAGTTTCTGAATAAAGTCTCTGAAATATGAAGAACAACTCCAATGTAAATGGTAGGGCATTTACCCTATCTACTTTCTTTGTTGGCTAATAATTATGAAAGTAAACGTTCAACTGCAGAATCACAAAGTTTATAAATAATAACCATAAATGGGTAGTTTGTCAAAGTGAAAATTCCTTGACCATGTTTCTTTTTGTTGATACTGTCCTCTAGATAGGCTATTAGAGGATAAATGAAAATGGATATTTAACAAGATTTTAGGAGAAATTTATATGTATGTGTTACTGTATAAATTTAATTTTAAAAGGAAAAAATCTGCATTGAGAAGGCTAAAGCTTAGATGTATTTGAATGTAGAGAACAGTTGGAAAGAAAGGGTGTTTTGAAGTTCAATCAATGAGACAGATCACTGGAGGGAGCTCTAACTTCACAACAAAGGCAGAAAGGAACTTTTCCTTTGTTCTCAAATGTCATGTACAGCTGAAGGACCCACCCCCATACAAATCAATAATAAATATGAAAAGTGTCCAAAAAAGAAGTCTTTTTGGACATTGTATACCATTACAAATGAAGACAGGACTGCTATTCACAACTGGCAATATTTAAACAAGTCAAAAACACAGGATTATATACAGCGAGAGCCTCAGTATACCTTTTGTATAAAAAAAACTTAAAAATATATTCTTTATAAGTTCTCCCCACTTCCATCCTTCAATGATAACAATGTAGACTCTCAGCAATTATTGCTGATTATTGAGGTCAGCCCAGCAGGCTCTAATGATTCTCTGGATCTGACCTTAACAGAGTTTGGGTGCCCCACGGAAAGGTGGGGACTTTTAAGAGGTATGGATGTGTCTTGGCCCCATCCTTAGCAACAGCACAACTGTGTTTGTACCAGACAAGCTCTGTAAAGGGCACTTAGTTTTTCTATAGCAGAGTGGTGAGCTTGACAGCACCCTGGACTGCCAACCAGAATACCTGGATTTTGGTCACAGCTGACTTCCTAACTACATGTGAGCTTTTGGGCTTTCTTATTTTCAAGTTCCTGGTGAAGTAGAAACAGAAGTTTGAACTACATGCTTTCTACAGTCCCCTCTAACTTGTAAGCTATCACATTACAATGTTCATTTAATTTTTTCGTACTAACTGTTTATGGTGTATAGTCATAGAAAGTGATATTTAGAGTTCAGTTCTGCCTTTTAGAAGCACAAAATTCATGCCGAGTCTAACTTAAAAAATCCACAAAACATTTTCTAAGAGTTTTTCTGTATCCTTCCCCATACACACTTTCTTCTCCTCTCATTACTTACCTTTTAAAGTTGGCTCCTAAGAAGCAAACCTGTAGTAGCTTTCTGAAAAATGATGCTAGGAGGCTGAATTTATTCGGGATTGGCACAAGCTGATCCTGCATTGGGAATGCTGGCTAAGCAGATGGACTATGGAACAGTCTTCAGGCTGAGTTTTATAGAGTGAAGGTGTTCCCTCCAGCCAGCTACATAATTTGTGGGGACCCTGCTCAAAAATCGTTAAGAATTTTCAGATAGTGATAGTGTAGTATGAAAGCCAGCACAGTGCCCTTTTGAGTGTGGTGCCCTATGTGACTGCACAGGTCACACACTCATTAAGTTGGTTCTGTCTGGAGAGGTGGGGACCCAAGATTCAATAAGATAGATGCATAGGGCAAGGTTTAACTCCAAAAGTATTATTCACTGTAAAAAACCAAATACAAATAAATAAAATATAGTAAAATACAAATCAACTCCTGCCAGTTTATATTTTAAAAGGTGAGAAATCGTTTCAACAAAGAAGCTGTGATTGTGTTTGGGCCAAACCCTTAAAGAAAATAATTAAATAGTTTTGGAAAGAACATTGCAGAAAGGGGAGGTGTTGAAATCATACAATAATTATGTTTACATCAATTAAAAATCTTCAGTCTGGGAAGATGTAACGACTTCTTCCAAACAGTTTCAAGATATTGGAAAGCCAGCTGGAGATACAAACAGTGGCACAAAGAGTGACAAATTTCCTTGAGGGGCTGCCAAAGTGGAGGCTTTCAAAATGCTGGAAGCATTTAGTATAACTCTCCTACCTACAGCTTTAAAATAACTGAAATAAAGTAGCAATAGTTCAACTATGTAATTTCTTTGTGTTTTTTCTAGTATTTTATATTTGTCTGATTTCAAATAAAGATATTATTCCAGTGGGAGAAAAGTTAGCTTGGAGATGAATATACTGTATTGAAACTTTTGATGGGATACATTGTGGTTTTAAAACAACTTTGGTGCTATTTTTCCCCTCCAACAATAGCCATTATTCTGCATCGATTGACTTTATGACAGGTCTCTTTGGCATATATTTTTGAGATTAGAACTCCAAGTAAATTGTGTGAATATTTCAGATAGCATCTTTTAATTGGCATCAGCTAAAATTCAGAATAAGCTAACTCACAGCTGTAAATTTGTTTTTCCCTTTTTCTGCATAGTATGACTTTAAGGCATCCCAACTGCTTCAGAGCCATCATCACCCTTGATATGTTGTCTTAGAAGGCTTTCCTCTTGAACAGTTTTAAGCAGGTGAAGTTCTCATTAGTGCCTCTGCCACTATCTTCCTCTCTTCCCAGACCCTAACTCTCCTATTACTCTTTGCTTTACTCTTCTCCCTAGAAGGGAGCTGATACTCTTGGACTTTCGAGTTCTTCTTATCCTATACCAGTTCTCTCTCTCTTGAGTTTAAAACTAACCAATCTAAAAAATTAATCTTCCTGGACTGTATATTAGTGGACTATGTGCATGGGTTTCTTAAGCAATATATTTGCTTTTCCTTCGACCCTGCTGTTATCAGGAATTTGAAACACAGTAAGTGTCTGGAAGGTAGGGTTTATGTCATGGGGGAAGGCCAGAAGGAGATGTGAGTCAAGGCAATCCTATTTCTTAGATATTACATTATCCCTTTGAGGATAAAAGTCATGTTGGCTGACCAAGAATAATTTGGAGAAATTGAAATTTAGGGATCTGAAGACAGGCCGTAATTATGGCCTTTGTACTTTATTCACAGTGATATTAGATTGAACTTGAACTTCTCAATAGCATAGCCCTCAGGGCTAATACTTTTGGTATAAACTTAAAATGAAACTGTTTCATACTGAAACCCATTTGTTATTTCTTTAACAAACCCTCTAGGGTATTACCCCTTCAGCCTACCTTTCCTGATTCTGCTGTATTTATAGCATTATGACAAGGTCCCAAAGAACACTGTGGAAGGCAATCTGTAAAAGCACTTTTTACCTAGAATTTTAGAATCAAAAATTACTCTGGAGAAGAAAACATGGTAATTATAGCTTAGCATAATAATGTAGAGGAGACAGACTGCAATGAAGTAAGTTCAATCATTATTATTATCATAGTTTTGGAAAGTCACTAATTACTGTATTTTTAAGCACTTTTTTACTAAGACAATGGTCTTATTTATGCAAATGATGCCATCAAATAAGTGTTCTTTGGGTGGTGAGGAATTATGCTCCTCATCACAAAACCTTCTCTTAAGCATGCTGCAGAGAAGTATTTCATTTATAGCTAAAGTTTACCCAATTGCATAAGGAAAGAACGTGCATTTCTACCCAGGGATTTGTCTTAAGCTTTCAATTTTTAAATAATTTTAGACAAAGGAAATTTGCAAAAGTCATAGAATTCTTGTAAAGCCTTCACCCAGCTTCCTCAAATGTTAATGTCTTACATAAACTTGGTACAATGATCAAAACCAAGGAATTATTATTGGTATAATACTATCAACTAAAGATGGTATTTGAGTTCCAACAATTTTCCCATTAATGTCCCTTTTTTCCTGTCACAGAACCCAATGGAGAATCCCATAGTCATTCAGTTGTCAAGTCTACTTGGCCTCTCTATGAAAGTTCCTCAGTGTTTCCTTGTATTTCACAACTGTGGTTATATTTTAAACAAGATTTATTTCTCTGAGTTGAATAATAATTAAAAACTTCAAAATCCCTGACATTTGGGAACTTTAGGGGAAAATTATATATTTTCTTTGAAATATTTTAAACTAGTATTCTTTAATTTTAAAAGTATTCATTTAACATTATGAATTAAAATCTATGGGGATTTGAAAATTTTTGGAAGAATTTTTTTTTTCACATTGGCTGTGGTTTTGTAATGATGAGTTTTGAGCAAAAATAAAACTTTTATTAGTGGCTTTTGGATTTACAATTAAGAAGATTTTTTTGAAGAAACGAAATTAGTATTAGAGGCTCTGTGGCCTCTAAAGCTTAAATTAGAAATTTTAACAATCGTATGGCATGAACTGTTTGACAACTTTACTCTTTTAAATGACTCAAAATAAATTTCAGAGTAGTGTAGTCAAATTCTGCATGTAAACACTTCTGTATATTTTGTATTTCTAACGTAAGTTTCAGTTCCTTGAAGATACTGTTTATATTCAAATTCTGTATACTCTATATGTCTATATGTGTACATTATACAATTATATATAACAAGATAATTATATATAATGTATAATATATAATTTTATATCATATAGTAATGATAAAATACGTATATAATTATATATATCCCTCTGTGTGTATATGTATGTATCTGTTTATAATTGTCTGTGGTATTAGTGGAATGCTTTACTGAGAGCATTTGAAAAATATATTCTTCAGTAAGAGCTATTTCATGTAAAATAAATAACCTACTTCATCAGATTGGAGTACAAAAGAAAGTCACAATTATTTTATAAATAAAATTAAGATGACTGCACCTCCATCCATCTCACTGATTAAAACATTTCTTCTTCCTACCCCAGGGGCAATAAGAGCTATTTCGTGTAATGTAAGTGTCCTACTTTGTCAGCTTGATGTATTAAAGTCCCAATTCTTTTTCTTTTTTTCAACATTTTTTTCCTAAATTTTAATTTTTTTATACTTTAAGTTCTAGGATACATGTGCAGAACATGCAGGTTTGTTACATAGGTATGCACGTGCCATGGTGGTTTGCTGCACCCATCAACCTGTCATCTACATTAGGTATTTCTTCTAATGCTCTTCCTCCCCCAGCCCACTACCCCCTGACAGGCCCCAGTGTGTGATGTTCCTCTCCTTGTTCATGGGTTCTTGGTGTTCACCTCCCACCTATGAGTGAGAGCATGCGGTGTTTGGTTTTCTGTTCCTGTGTTAGTTTGCTGAGAATGATGGTTTCCAGCTTCATCCATGTCCCTGCAAAGGACATGAACTCATCCTTTTTTATGGCTGCGTAGTATTTCATTATATATATGTGCCACATTTTCTTTATCCAGTATATCATTGATGGGCATTTGGGTTGGTTCCAAGTCTTTCCTATTGTGAATAGTGCTGCAATAAACATACATGTGCATGTATCTTTATAGGAGAATGATTTATAATCCTTTGGATATATACCCAGTAATGACATTGCTGGGTCAAATGGTATTTCTGGTTCTAGATCCTTGAGGAATCACCACACTGTCTTTCACAATGACTGAACTAATTTACACTCCCACCAACAGTGGAAAAGCGTTTCTATTTCTCTACATCCTCTCCAATATCTGTTGTTTCCTGACTTTTTAATGACCGCCATTCTAACAGGCAAGAGATGGTATCTCACTGTGGCTTTGATTTGTATTTCTCTAATGACCAGTGATGATGGGCTTTGTTTCATATGTTTGCTGGCTGCATAAATGACTTATTTTGAGAAGTGTCTGTTCATATCCTTTGCCCACTTTTTGATGGGTTTGTTTTTTTCTTGTAAATTTAAGTTCTTGTAGATTCTGGATATTAGCCCTTTGTCAGATGGATATATTGCAAAAATTTTCCCCTTTCTGTAGGTTACCTGTTCACTCTGATGATAGTTTCTTTTGCTGTGCAGAAGCTCTTTAGTTTAATTAGATCCCATTTGTCAGTTTTGGCTTCTGTTGCCATTGCTTTTGGTGCTTCAGTCACGAAGTCTTTGCCCATGCCTATGTCCTGAATTGTACTGCCTAAGTTTTCTTCTTGGGTTTTTATGGTTTTAGGTCTTATATTTAAGTCTTTAATCCATCTTGAGTTAATTTTTGTATAAGGTGTAAGGAAAGCATCCAGTTTAAGTTTTCTGCATATGGCTAGCCAGTTTTCCCAACACCATTTATTAAATAGGGAATTTTTCCCCATTGCTTGTTTTTGTCAGCTTTGTTAAAGATCAGATGGTTGTAGATGTGTGGCGTTATTTCTGAGGCCTCTGTTCTGTTCCATTGGTCTATATATCTTTTTTGGTACCAGTACCATGCTGTTTTGGTTACTGTAGACTTGTAGTATAGTTTGAAGTCAGGTAGCATGATGCCTCCAGCTTTGTTCTTTTTGCTTAGGATTGTCTTGGCTATAATACGTGGTCTTTTTTGCTTCCATATGAAGTTTAAAGTAGTTTTTTCTAATTATGTGAAGAAATTCAATGGTAGCTTGATGGGGATAGCATTGAATCTATTCTCTGATGGTAGTTTGTATTTCTTTGGGATCAGTGGTGATCTCCCCTTTATCATTTTTAAATTGTGTCTATTTGATTCTTCTATCTTTTTGTCTTTGTTTTTTTTTCTTTGGCTTGAAGTCTTATTCTGGCTAGCAGTTTATCTATTTTGTTAATTTTTTTCAAAAAGTCACCTCCTGGATTCATTTATTTTTTTATTTTTTTTTCTTCAGGGGTTTCCCGTCTCTATCTCCTTCAGTTCTGCTCTGATCTAAGTTATTTCTTGTCTTCTGCTAGCTTTTGAATTTGTTTGCTCTTGCTTCTCTAGTTCTTTTAATTGTGATGTTAGGGTGTCGATTCAACTTTCTTCTGTGGGCATTTAGTGCTATAAATTTCCCCCTAAACACTGCTTTAGCTGTGTCCCAGAGACTCTGGTATGTTGTGTCTTTGTTCTCATTGATTTCAAAGAACTTATTTGTTTCTGCCTTAATTTCGTTACCTACCTAGTTGTCATTCAGGAGGAGGTTGTTCAGTTTCCATTTAATTGGGCAGTTTTTAGTGAGTTTCTCAATCCTGAGTTCTAATTTGATTGCACTGTTGTCTGAGAGACTGTTATGATTTTTTTTCTTTTGCATTTGCTGAGGAGTGTTTTACTTCCAATTATGTGGTCAATTTTAGAATAAGTGCTATGTGGTGCTGAGAAGAATGTATATTCTGTTGATTTGGAGTGGAGAGTTCTGTAGATGTCTACTAGGCCTGCTTCGTTCAGAGCTGAGTTCGAGTCCTGAATATCCTTGTTAATTTTCTGTCTGATCATTGATCTGTCTAACATTGACAGTGGGGCATTAAAGTCTCCCACTATTATTGTGTGGGAGTCTAAGTCTCTTTGTAGGTCTCTAAGAACTTGCTTTATGAATCTGGGTGCTCCTGTATTGGGTGCATATATATTTAGGATAGTTAGCTCTTCTTATTGCATTGATTCCTTTGCCATTATGTAATGCCCTTCTTTGTCTTTTTTTGATCTTTATTTAAAGTCTGTTTTATCAGAGATTAGGGTTGCAACCCCTGCATTTTTTTTTGTTTGTTTTATATTTGGTTGGTAAATCTTCCTCCATCCCTTTATTTTGAGCCTATGTATGTCTTTGCACGTGAGATGGGTCTCCTGAATACAGCACACTGATGGGTCTTGACTCTTTATCCACTTTCCCAGTTTGTGTCTTTAATTGGGTCATTTTGCTTGTTTACCTTTAAGGTTAATATTGTCGTGTGTGAATTTGATCCTGTCATTATGATGCTAGCTGGTTATTTTGCCCGTTAGTTGATGCAATTTCTTCATAGTGTCAATGGTCTTTACAATTAATCACCCGCCTTATGCATTTATCTCACTGGGAGCTACAGATAGGAGCTGTTTTTATTCAGCCATCTTGCCCAGGTGGAACCAGAAAGTCACAATTCTTTATAAAATAATATTAATATTATTCTTCACCTCTGTCTCACCAGTGAAAGTATTTCCTCTTCCCACCACCTTCACCATTCTCTCTGACAACCAGGCTAGAGTCAATGTGCACTGAAGTGCCCAAAGTGGTTTGATGAGTCCCTGAATTAAAAATAGGGCTCATAATACAGGGGCTCATCAAACTTACCTGGATGCCAGGTAATGAGAACTTTTTTACAGGTATAAGAATGAGAAGTGGTGTGCAGCTTGACCAACACTACTGGAGTCCCCCACTACACACACATACACACACACACACACACACACACACACTCACATACACACACACTCAGCCCCAAAAGAAAACGAAGTTAGAGGTCATTTCTATTTCCATTCCCTCCAGCCTAGGTGAATCCAATCAATCAATTGAATATTCCCATTCCAAAGGGGTTCACTTGTGTCAGCTCCAGTCTGTACTCACTTTCACTGGAGTCTGGAGCCCTGGTGTGTCCCCTTGGCCTGAAGCATGCTGTATTGTAATCTTAGATCAATCATTTCGGAGTGGATTCCTGCATTCCCCTTTCTAGCTGGGGACTCTCACTATGTCCTGTCACTACCATCTCTGAAAGGTACAGCATTGACAGCCAAAGGGTGAGTTTCTCTGCTCCTAAGGCAGCATCCCAAGGGCCCTTTCTATTTCTCTCAAGAAGGAAGACCTTGCAGAAGGAGAAGTAGAGGTCTTGTATCACTGCCACATATATACTTTCAATAGTTTTCTAATGTCTACTGATATCCCTTTATACTGTCCACTGATGATACCATTGCTTGTTGAGAAGAATCTGTGTATGTGGAGGTGGGGTGGTTGAAGTCTGGAGTAGAAAGTATTTTCCCACCACATTGTGTTCATTATGATCACCCCATACTATCATGTGACTGAGTTTCTGGTGTCATTACCTTTACCATCTTTATATTCAGAAGAGTGGCTTAATAAAACAAGAATGGGCTAAAAGGAGTTTCAGAGTCAAGGATGGGGCCCACATATTACAAAAATAAGTTCTACCCAGTGGGAGAAGTATCTAGACTTGGTGGACATAGTTAGCTTTTTAATAATAAATTTTAATCTCTTTGTGTCATTTTTTCTTATTTGAAAGGAAGGACTTTGATTATATCAGTTTCAGATCTTAAAAAATATTTGTATAGAAGCATCTACCATCTAGTAAATTAAAATAATAGAGAAAATGAAAGTACAGAGTGATAGAGGGATATGGTAAAAAATAAAAGCCCAATTGTGAGCTGGGTTGTATTGACCACAACCCAGTATGTGATAGGTCATTTTAGATAAAGGTGTCCTGCAGCCAATTACAGGAAGTGATATGGTTTAGATCTGTGTCCCTGCCCAAATCTCCTGTTGAAATGTAATCCCCAATGCTGCAGGGTGAGGCCTGGTAGGAGGTGACTGAATTATGGAGGTGGTTTCTCATCTTTCCCCCAGTGCTGTTCTTGTGATAGATTTCTCATGAGACTTGGTTGTTTAAAAGTGTGTAGCACTTACCCCATCTCTCTCTTGGTCCTGCTCCTGCCATCGAAGATGCCTGATCCATCTTTGCCTTCTGCCATGAGTAAAAGCTCCCCGAGGCCTCCCCAGAAGCAGATGCTGCTCTGCTTCCTGTACAGCCTGTGGAATGGTGAGCTAATTAAACCTCTTATCTTTATAATTGCGAAGTCTCAAGTATTTCTTTATAGCAATGTGAGAATGGACTGATAAAGAGAAGAAACACTGCTTCAAACAGGGGCTGGGGCTTTAAGTCATTACGTAGCATTCTATTTGGAAAGAGTTGAAGAAAATCATCTTACTGGTATGGAGGGAAGAAAAGAATTACCTTGAAGCTGCATTTGCAGATCATGCTTCCTCCTCCTCATCTTCCTCCTCCTCCTCCTCCTCTTATAAGATTCTATGTTAACTTGTAGCTGAGTTTGGGGCTAAATAATGAAGGAATATGTTGGAGAATAAACACCATGTTCCTCAAGGGACACCTTGGTACTCAAACCACAGAGCAATCTCTGTGTCCATACTTTGCACACAGAATTTCTCTGCAGCTCAAAAAGCTTTGTGGAAATAATATTTAATTTTTTTGTAGTAGAAATAAAACTAGAATGTAAGCTCCAAGAGGGCAGAAATTTTGTCTGTTTTTTTTTTTTTTTTTTTTTTTTTGCTGTAATTTGAATACCTAGAACTGACATACTATGGCCTTACATTGTCCATACTAAGAACTGAATAAATATTTGTTGTTGAATACATTTGTATATTCAGCAACAAATTAGCTAAATTAAATTATCAAATACATTGCAGAAATTTTTATAGTAAATCACTTTGCAGTCATTAGGATGATGTATATATATTATAAAACCTTTATGATATTAAAAGATGAACAAACTTCTTATTTGTATACATTATATATTTGGAAATTTTTATAAGTTACATATATTATTCACAAGTTATATATATGCTTATATAGATACAAAGTCATAAATTTCCATGTAAATATGTACATAGGTAATAGTATTCATATTAGCTAAATATGGTAGCATTCAAATGGAATCAGTAAGAGGTGATTTTTTTAAATGACAGTAAAGATTCAATATTATTGTATTAATATTAAAGTATTAATAGTAATCATTAGTAGACATTATTGAAAATTACAGCATAAAAAAAACCAAATAATACCCCACAAAAAGCCTTACTTCTATATTTGTAAGTTACAAAAATAAATACAAACAACACTGGAAAAAATATTGATTTTTTTTTTCCCAAGCCTAGAAATTACTATCTGGTAAAGGTACTATCTGTTTGGTAAAGGTATTAAATTGTCTTATAGACAGTGTCAACATCAGTCAGGCTATTTGGCTAATGCCTTAGATAAATAACAGGATAATGTTAATATTGTTGCTTTGTTGAAATGAACCAGAAATAATTAGAAAATGATTTTTATTTTAAATTTTTAAGTGTAAGATTTTTGGGGTTTTGTTGTTATTGTTGTTGTTGTGGTTGTTGTTTTTTTGACACAGTCTCACTGTGTTGCCCAGGCTGGAGTGCAGTGGAGCGATCTCGGCTCACTGCAACCTCTGCTTCCTGGGTTCAAGCAATTCTTGTGCCTCAGCCTCCCAAGTAGCTGGGATTACAGGCGTGCACCACCACGGCCAGCTAATTTTTTGTATTTTTGTAGAGACAGGGTTTCCCCATGTTGGCCAGACTGGTCTCGAACTCCTGTCTTCAAGTGATGTGCCTGCCTCAGCCTCCCAAAAGTGCTGAAATTACAAGTGTGAGCCACTGTGCCTGGCCTTTAACTGTAATTTTATTTAGTGTTCATGAGTCAATCAGTATAAAAATTAGCTAGTCCTGAAATTAGCTCTACCACAAATACACATATTCATTTATTTGTTTTCTACTCTTTTTCTAAGGTGCCTTGTGCAGAAAACAAATATAGCATCCTATTTGGACTTTTAAATGTTTGTTTCAAAGCCTGTCTTCTCTGTAGGTCGTGGAGAGTGATACCTGCACAGTGTAGGCATTTAATAAATGCTCATTGAATGGATTCTTAATTATCTGGGATAGGTGGAAAACAGTGGTATAGGTACACGAAAACAGTGGCACTTGGAATGATTTTAAAGGTATTATGAACCCAAATTTGCATGATAAAGTAGACAAGCTCAAAGTTTCCTTACCTTTTGCTAGCTTTCAGAAAGATCTACTGTTATATAACTTTTATTCATACACAAATTTAAATTGTTTTGCCTTCCATTCATTTTGGCAGTAACAGTTTTTCCCTCACAAACTCTTGCTATCAGTAGGTGAAGTAAAACCTTAATTCTACCTCACCCTCCAGCACCATCACTAGCTAATCGAGTTTTACAAAAAGGATGTATCTCTTCATTGCTGTATTGAATTTTTAGAATTGCTTCCTCAGTGCAGTTGTAAGGCTTTGAAAATTCTGTTTGTAGAGTTGGTGATTGGGTAACATATTTTGAGTGAAGTTGTAAACAGTCCATGAATAACAAGAGCAGAAAAGAAGAAAAAGATATAAATTGAGTCTAAGGATGTTAAAATGCAATTTTAGCTTTTCCTTTCATAACAGGCTTCTGCCTTCATTTTTTTCTACATTTGAATGAGGTACATGGAAGACTGAGCTACTTTTAAAAAAAGGCTTCATCGTGATTCTTTTTCTTTCTTCTTTTTCATTTCTTCCTTCTTTCCTTTTTTGTTTTGATTAATGTAGGCATTCTTTTCCAAAAGCTGATGTCCTGAAGTAAGTACTGTGTAACACTTTTCTTCTTTTGGTGGTTTGAGTAAATGTTTCAAATTGGAAAAGAAGAAAAAGAGGAAATTTGTATTCAGTCCTCTTGCCTTTTTGCAGCTTCGTTTGCATAAATGTGCAATTTTTGTAGGGGTGATGTACTGTATTGAGAAATTCAGAGACAGCTGCCAGGGCCATCCTGCAGGGAAGCTGTGCTCAAGTTGAAATTTAATTTAAATATATCATTTCATTATCATAGATTACAACACTAGTAGTAAACTCACTTCATTGGAATCAGCACTAATCCAATCCATGAAAATTCAATTGCCCCATCACTCCGCTTAGTCTACACGTTTTGTAACTAAAAGCAGAGAACTGCAAACTTGGCAATGGAGACTGCCTGAAAGAACACTGGACTTTCTACTTAGAAGAATCCTAATCCCAAAACTTCAGATCACAGAATTCAATTTAATTAACGAAAGAATTGTATGTATTGATGTTCTCCAGCTACATTACCAGACATGAATGCAAGTCAAGTGACATCTTTCATTTTCTACTAATCTTTTAAACAGCCATTTATTTGTTAAGTTGCTGCAATTAACTGTTGATTTTTACCTCACCTTGGGCTTTGCTTCAGATGCTGGTATCAACATCACTGAAACCAATGGTGCATGCTGGTGATTAATGGCTACTTTTTTACTCAAAAGAAATCTCCCTTTTCTTACTAATGATTATGAATTTTTTTTTAATGAAAATACCATTTCCAGAAATACATGTACTGTTTATTATTAGCTAAGATTGTAGACATTATTTGAATCCAAAAATATAGAGAAATATATTATGATTTCCCTGATATGGTAAAAACCATTATTGCTGTTATTATTGTTTTTGATGAATGGATTCCAGTGGCTTTTCCATTACCCAGCCTCATCTGGTTTAGATGTAATTCTAGCAAATTTCTTCTTGGAAATGACACTTTAACCCCAAAGGGTAATTCTGGTCAAAGGGAAATGACTTGAAGGTAATGATCTTTATATCTAATTTCTTGTAGCTCAGACTGCATCAATGGCATACCAACAGGGCATCAATGAATTAAATGCACACTATACACATACTCATACTTCTGCTAACTCTCACATATAACACCAGTGGAAAAGACATATCTTTTGGGAATATTTTTCCTCTCTAAGCTAACTACAGGCAAGATTCTATTTTTCATTTTTAGAAGGGTTGAATGAGATCCACCATCTTCTCCATTTTGGACCTTGACATTTCCGTAAACCTCTTCTCATATATAGGTTTGAATAGAGAGCAGACTGATGGAGTCAATATTCAATCCTGAAAAGACCCTGGTGGGGGGATGCAAGGAGACCTCAGAATCACCACGTAGCTAAATCAGTGTGCTTAGCTTTCCTACTGTGATGGATCAGATCTTTTTGGTCACAGGCTGTTTCCTTTCAGCTATGGAAAGCAAATTTTAACACTTTTATTAAAGACGGACCCTGTCCACACATTCATGACATTGATATCCCAGTATAAAATGCACCTTGTCCCTCTGAGTTTGGCATCTACTCTGCTGACAGTGTTCATATTACGTTTGGAAAGGATTTGCCATTGGCATTGTTTTAACTTCTGTTTTTAAATTACTTTTATTGCCACATAATTTTGAAATTTATGGACAATGTTTAAATGAGTTATAAATGGCTGGAATTATGAAGTAATAAAAATAAATGAAAACTGCTTCCTATCTTAATGATTTTTAATTGGTTCTTAGAGATGAAAGAAAATAAGGATGTGCCACAAGGGTCACAGCTTGGAAGGAGGTAAACCTTTTTGCCTTGTAGTGATATTTTCCCCCAAGTGAAAATGTAGAATAGATCCTAGGAGACTCAAGAGTCATGGCACTATGTTTGACTGGTATTGTCTTCACTGAGAGGGCTTAATGTACACAGGCACTCGTACTCGTTAACAATATTCTGCTGAGAGTAGACAAGAATAGACGAAGGCTAGAGGCATAGAAGTATGTGTGAATTGGTCCCCAACGATTCATATGATGTTTCTCACTCTTGAGGACCTCATAATTTATCATGAAAAAGAAATACACATTTGCAAAACCCAGAACAACATTAGTGGCACTGTCTTCTTAAGTTCTAGGGTCTTGGTAGAATAAAGTACTAAAGGGATTTAGAAACTAGAGAGATAGTTGTGGTCTGGTGTTATTCAGAAAATGCTCTTAAGAAAGCTGAGCCTTGCTCTGGTCCTGGAAATATTTAAGGGAAAGGAGGATGAGAGGAGATTTCAGATTGGAGATAAACTTGGAGACATAAGAAAAAATTTGTCATATTGAAGAATAGTATGGCGTTTTTTTTATAAGTGAAGATGTGCTTAATGAATAGCAGGAGATTAGTGCTAATAAAAATAACAAACAATATTTACTGAATGAGTTCTATGGCTCAAAGCAATGTGTTAAGTGCATTCCACGAATTATCTTATGTGATTTATTTTTTTAATATCATCAATAACATATTAGCTGACTACACATTTATATTTGAGCATCTTGATAGTAGGAACTAATTTAAATCTTAAAACATTGATTTGATTTGGGCGAATTGCTATGAGATGGCAGAAAAGGCAAGAAAGCAGCTGAGAAATTACTCTGAAAATCTGGGTGTCAATGAATTAAACCATTCATGAAAAAAGTGAATTTATCCAATGGTGTACTGATAAATACTTAGCAATTGGCTTTCGGTGGGGGAAAAAGCCGTGATTTGAGAATTTGGCCCCTTCTGGGATGTAAATAACAATGGCTGAATTCAGGCTACTGGTGTAAGATCAACTGGCTCACAAAATTCCTGAAAACTTAACAATTGGCTCTTGCAAGTTGGTATGAATTGGCTTCAGCATACCCTTAAATTAATTCTAGACACAGAGAAACTGAAGAAGAATGGAGATTTTAATGGTTGGGCTATATGGAAAGGGAGAAGAGAATATTTCAAAAGTGGCATCCAGTTTTATAGCTTGAGGGAAAGATCCTGGGTGTCACCAACACATGGTGGGGGCAGCACCAGCTGTGTCTGAACTGAGTATCAGTCTCACAGAGACACTACTAGTAGCTCCTGCAGGCAAATGTTTGTATGGTTTTCACTTATTTAGAGGAGAAAGTTTTTCTGCCTGGATGACTGAGGAATGAGCGTGGTATTTGGGTTAATGATAGGATGATGTGGTACGGCATTCTGTGTCCAGTAAAGATTACCAAGCCATTAAAATAGAAACGCTGAGGCTGACTGTGAGGACTCATTTTCACCAAGGATTTCTTTGAAACATAACGTGAAAAATCAATGTTATTTATTTCTCCAGGTAGAAGATATGGCATAGAGCAGGAAAAGGGGCTTGCTTTCTATTTGTGACACTGTGAGGGTTTCAGAGACATGAAACATTTTCTGGAGACTCTTAGAAATACCTGGTGGGGCAGGGAGGGGTGGGGGGAGGGGGGCTGGGAAAGTGGCCACAAAAAAAACAAAACAAAAAAAAGAAAAGAAATACCTGGGGGAATTGGAGAAACTCTCAACCACAATGAAGTCCTACTCCTGCAGGTATGAAGTGAAATTTGAATGTTAACCATGTAAATTTGTACCCAGAGTTTTCTTAAGCCTGGGAAATGTAGATCAGGAAAAAAAGACCTGAGAAATTTAGGATGGGAGGAGATGAGCATAAAAGTAATCATATTATGTCTGAGATGGTAACCAAGAAACTATGTCTTGGTATGCAGTTAAAATAAAAGCCCAGGCTAAGCGTGGTGCCTCACACCTATAATCCCAGCACTTTGGGAGGCCGAGGTGGATAGATCACAAGGTCAGGAGTTCGAGACCAGCCTGGCCAACATGGTGAAACCCCATCTCTACTAAAAATACAAAAAATTAGCTGGGCATGGGGACAGGTGCCTGTAATCCCAGCTACTCGGGAGGCTGAGGCAGGAGAATTGCTTGAACCCAGGAGGTGGAGGTTGGGGTGAGCAGTGATCATGCCATTCCACTCCAGCCTGGGCGACAAAGCAAGACTCCATCTCAAATAAATAAATTAAACAATCAAAATAAATAAAAGCCCAAAGCTCTAGTGAAAAGAGCAGAAATAAGGAGGAAAAATGGGAGTCCAACTACAACTTTTGGCTAGGAGGGAGGATGAATAATACAAGTCAGGAAGGGTGAAGGAAGGAGATCATATTGCTTCTGGTGAAGCCTTCAAGGAGAGTATTACTCTAAGTGTAACCAATATATTTGCCAGTATACAATCTTGGGTGCGTACCATCAATAAATTCATTTTCCCTATGGTGCCTTAGCAACAACCATTTCTGTGCTATGTTTATCCGCCTCTTAGTTTACAGATCTCTGTGGGCTTCTAAACTCCTCCTCACTTAAGAATATTATCAGACTGGTGCTGGGCAGCAGATATGTCAAGCTCACACTCAATAGTCCATATGTCAAAACAGAATGCCTTGCCTTCCACTGTCTGAAGACTTCACAGTACATTGTGTCTTCACTGATGTTTTGTTGGCAGGTGGTTTTTGTTGTGTTTGAGCTTCAGGAATGATTTAATTCACTTATTCCTTTGAAGGGAGTCCCATTAGCATTTTTTTTTTCCTCCTTGTCTGAGTAGAACTCAGAGCAGAGAGGTTACATCTTCCTTCTTTTCTTTTCCTTTTATTAGTGGTTGAAGATCAGGGCAGAGATCTTCCTAAATGCTTTAATCCCAAGCACTACTGGAAACCCACTTTCCTTTTTGCTTCTAGCTAGCCCAATTCCCAATGTTTGATTAGTAAATTTGACTTGAAATTTGTAATTCCCTTTTAGTCTTTTGATACAAAGCAGAGCATAAGACACACACTCACACACACACATGCACACACACACATACATTTACACACACACACAGAGTTCCAGCTGAAATGGCTAGACTCACAAGTGTTATATAAAACTTATGGTGAAAAGTAGCAGTTTCAGGTTCCTGGCCCATTCACAAAGGAAAATATTATCTAGAAAATATTCTCTCTATTGATCTTACCCCTGAAACTCATGGCCTTAGGCCACTGAATTCAGGTTTTATAATTACAATTATAGAGATTGATATATACAATTTCAACCTGCAGACATTTGGTATGTAGCTTTGTTGCTTTAACACCTTCACACTTTATTATCTTCAATTTAAAAAAAAATTTTGCTTGCATTTATGCTAAACTTTATAGCACTTGTTTAAAGAAAATATATTTTCTTTGTGCATATTGGTACTTCTTTATAAAGATTATAAATTCTGCTCAATTTCCCAGTTCCATTCCAAACCATGAGAATGATCTCAATTTGTACTTTATGAATTAGTGGTTCACTTCTTCCTGCTTTGAGGTCTCACACTTTAAATTCATGATTTTTTTTTGCTTATTTCTTTCTTTATATAGTTCACTTTTTTATTTCTGAAACTGACTCTTGCTTTCTGTGCTTACCTGGATCACCTGGAGTTTCTTTATTTCATGTTTTTCATCTTTCCCACTCAGATGCCTTCTTTTTTTCAGGGTATCATTGATGAAAAGAGTCAAACTCTATAAAATATTTGAAGAGATTTATTCTGAGTCAAATATGAGTGACCATGGCCTGTGACACAGCCCTCAGGAGCTCCTGAGAATATGTGCCCAATGTGGTTGGGATACTGCTTGGTTTTATGTATTTTAGGAAGGCATGAGACATCAATCAAATACATTTAAGAAATACATTGGTTTGGTTTAGGAAGGCAGGACAACTCAAAGTGGGGCTTGGGGGGATGGGGGGTGGGCTTCCAGGCTATAGGTAAATTTAAGCACTTTCTGGTTGACAATAAGACCTGGGATCAATAGAAAGGAATGTTCGGATTGAAGATAAAGGATTGTGGAGATTAAGTTTTATTGTGCAGAGGAAGCTCTTAGCAGACTTGAGAGAGAGTGGGTTGTAAATTGTTTTATATTGGACTTAAAAGGGTGCTTGGCTCTTAGTTGATTATCTCCAGGGTCTGGGAAGGAAGGAAGGAAAACAAAGTGGGAAGAGGATTCTCTATAGAATGTGGATTTTTCTCACAAGAGATTTTGCAGGGCAATTTCAAGGTATGGCAAATAAATACATTTTGGGATTAAGTATTTTTTTCCTCGTTTCATAATGTTATGCCAGAGTCGGACTGAAAAGTAAGTCACGATATATAGGGTCAAATAAAATCCATCTAAGACACACACGCACATGCACATGCACACACACACATACATTTACACAACACAGTTCCAGCTGAAATGGCTAGACTCACAAGTGTTGTATAAAGATTTTGGTGAAAAGAATGAGAATTTATAGTTTGTAGGCTATGACTCCCTAGACCCCTTAGGTAGGAGTTTGGGTGAGATGAAAAACCAGATCTTAGTCCTCAGTATAAACATCCTTAGATCTTTCCTATCTGCAGAGATATCTTTTCTTGTTCATGTCAACACTTTGCATATTTGTCCATTTCTTTTTCTCTACCCTTAAGCCAATTCTTTGTAAGAATAGTCTGCACAGCTTCATTGTCATTAGTTTTCTATTTTTCTCTAATTCTTCAGTTTTTTACAATTTGTTTTCTGTTCCCATTATATCACCAAAAAATGCCCTTTTGGAGATTATAATAAGTTTCTAATAACCAGTCAATATCCTTGCTTGTCTTGGTTTTGTTGATTTCTAGAGCTGTAGGATTTGACATTATTAGCAGTCCTAATTCCCCCTGAAATTATTTTCTCACTGTCTTCTGCAAATCAATTCTATCTTGTCTACATTTTTACTTCTCTGATCTTGACTTCTTAGACCTCTTCCTCCAGCTCCATACATTCTGAAACTTTATTTTATTTTTAATTGAGAAATAATAATCATACATACTTATAGGGCACAACGTGATATTCTGATATATGCATAAATGCCTCATATTTTTTCACTGGGATCTGTTCTTTACCTCCTTTTCCCTCTGTTTCATTTAAACAAATGCTTCATTTAGTTAAATTAATACGTATTTAGCACTTATTGCCTGCAACTAATTGGGTGCTAAGCATGCCTTAGGGTGCCTCCTCTGTGGTCCTGTTAGAGACTGAAAAGTCATCTTGCTCAAAGAGACCTCTATGACCTTTGATTATATGTAAAATTCCATCATTCTTTACTGCTTTTGGCTCAGGAATTTATGATCCCTGTTAAAATGCAAAAAATGTTCTTCAGTAGGCTTCACACATTAAGTCAGCTACACCTTAAGTCAAAATAGAAAAAATACTCAAGTTATCTAACAGAACACAGACCCAGAGTTGTAAAATATAGGAAAGGTACATTTTAATGAGGTAAGGGAGAGAAGTGGGAGAATATTGGGTAATAGGAAGCACTCCCTGGAAAAAGTAAACCTGTGGTTTGCCCCCATGGGTTTTCTAGGCAAAATTTCCAAGGGCTGGCTGTGGAAATGGGTAAATTAGAAAACCAGAAAATAAATATTATAAGTAAATTCCCTTGACTAAATAAGCTCAGCATTTTGAAAACAAGAGTTCTTTGCAGAGTGTATATTCCTGCTGCTGTTTCATTTTTTTTTCCTGTATACTCTCACAGTTCTCAGTAAATGAATTTGAGTCACAAGAAATCAGCTTCCCAGAGGTGCTTTGTCTAATTAAGAACGATAACAAAAAAAAGTCTCCATTAAAGCCTTTACTCTGGGAAAGCCATTAGGACACTACTAGAGTGACAGCAGGTTTTCTTCCAAGTTGAAGTGTTTCCTTTTACTCTAGTGCAATGATTATAAATGAATATTCTTTTATACCAGGTAGTCATAGTGGACATTTCCAGGGTGAACCATAAGATACTCTGTAATGATAGATGATCCTCCAGTTTAACACAGAGGGTGTTTTTGCCTACCAATGAAAAATGAAACAAATTCAGCTTCCTGGCACTTCTAATAAAATATTACTATTTTTACAATAGTAATGCTGTAATATTTCAGTATGGTCTGAAATGTGGTGGCCTTGAAATAGATTTTTAACAAATTCGTGGATCTTAAAAAAAAATTAGAGGGCAATGGTAACAGAAACTCAGTGTTTCAGAGTATTAATTGAAAACTACCAGTTGTATGATGTTTTCTTCATTTTAAACTTACTTTCTGTTCATACAATTTTCAACATAGATTCAGTGGGGATTGAGTAACTTGGAAATTCTTTGTTATGTGGGGTTCTTACTCTAATATTTATGTAGGAATTTTAAGCCTATGTATCTTGGTACTTCCCAGCTTGACTATGTGCATATGAAATTTAACAGAACCTATTATCAAAGTGACAATAATTTTATCTTCTACTTTCTATATTTAAGGAGAATAATGCATTTAGAGAATATCAATAAGTGAAGAGTGTTCCTGCACAGTAACAGGTCATCGATTATTTAAGGGCTGTTTTTATGAGTATTTTTAAACAACAAATGTTTTAGCAATGCCACTAAAACCAATAAGGATTAGTTTGCATATGATACAATTTATGGCATATAGTTATCTAATGACCACAACTATCATTTGTGTACCTTTTCCATCACAACATCTTTGCCCTGCCATCCTCCAGTGCCCAGAAGTTCCTAGTGTAAACTGGGTGGCCTCCCTCCTGGTTTTCTCTCTTTCTATCTCGAATTTACGTTTTTTTTTTAAGCGTTCTGAATCTGATTTATTAGACAGCACAGAAATAACAGGTTTAGATTATATTACAAAAAGAGCTCAAATTGTTCTTATGCAGCGACTGAGCTTGCTAAGGGATAGAAGGGGGAATTCTTCAGATTACTGCATAAGGACAGAAAGACTCCTCATCCTAAACAAAGTATTAAGGTACATAGACAAGGTTCTTACAAGACAGAAAACAGAGAACTCCACAGTCACTATAACACATCCCTTAAGGAATAAGCATGTATTTGTCGGAAGCAAACAAAGCTTTCCATAGAGAAACCACTTTCACGAGATGATTAGGTGCACTTGGGTTTTGTTTCTGCCTCTGTCACTTGGTGAATGAAGATACCATCTTCAGGATGTTCCGTGTCATCCATTTCATAATATATGATGATGCTATTGCAAGCGTAGTCCCATCATTACTGAAGGCAAGTGATGCAATGCTTATGGGGTACCAATGGAACTGGCACAGTTGCTTTTTGTTAAATGGATTCCAAATATTTACAAAGCCATCAGAACCACCTATGGCAAATGTATTATGGATATTCTGGAAAGAAATGGCATTGACTGGGTAAACCTGCTCAATATTATTTTCTTTTAGTCTGTGACATTTGAAGGCATATTTCTTCTGTACCTCAGGGCTTGGGCCAAGTATTCAACTGCCACTCCGCCTTCTATAGAGCTTAATACACAACTCTGCTTGTTTGGAAACGCTTATATGCAGTGAGTCTGGTATTTCAGGCTGGACTCCCTGCTCTGCTGCACGTAATCCATGTTCCATAAGCCCCACACCAACACTCTGCAGCCCGCTGTTCTCACAATCAGCTGGTCTCCAGGCACTGAGAAGGTATCTACCTTTTCAGGCTGAGAGAAGGTCCTGGCATTACAAGGATTTCTGGGATCCCACAATTTAACTGTCTGATCCCAACTTCCAGTAACCATCACGTTCACTTCCGGACAGTATTCAATACATCTGATGGGGGCATCATGGGTCCCAACAAGATTTTCTTGATCAGTGTTCAAATCATGCATTTTCAATTGATGATCTAGTCCTCTCCAGGCCTGTGCTGGATCGTAGAAGGCTCAGTCCAGGATGGTGCCAGTGTGCTGGTACCTGAGCGCATGGACCTGAGAGCAAGCGCTATTACCTAAGCACATGTTCTGCACATTGTAGAAGAGCAGTGACCTGTCCAGGAGGAGACAAGCAGGAACTGGGAGGTGTTGGGGCTGAACTTCACTGAGGAAATGACAACCTCGGGTGGCTGGGTCAGCTTGAGCTCATTAGAACTGGTCATCTCCTCTGATCTGCCTTGCCAGCTAATGGCCTGGGAAGTCCCTGGAGAGTCTGCTCCCGCAAGCAGTGCTCTGGCCTCACTCCTGTCGTCTTCGTCGTCATCATCTTCTTCTTCCCCTCTGCCTCCCCACTCTGCCTCCCCGCTCCTCCTCCGTCAGAAGATAGATTAACAAGAGAAAAGTATAACAAATTTACTCATTCAAAGTTTTACATGACACAGGAGTCTCCAGAAATGAAGACCCAAAGCCCCAGGGAACACTATTTTTATGCTTGGTTTCTACAGCCATGTAGAAATGGGATTGGACAAGGAGTAGGATCTAATAGTAATAGACTGAGGGGGGAGACCCAGCGAGGCCTGTCCAGATTCTTTTTGGTCTCTCTGTGTGGCATTTCTTCCTCCTGCCTATGGGTCTATGAAGGTCTTCAAGAGAGAGAGATGGGAGAAGGAAGAGAGTGACCTTTCTAGGTTTTATGGCTTTCTTTGGGGAAGAAGGGTTCTAGTTTCATATATGATCTGCCATGGAGGGGAAGAATTCTGGTTTCTGTGGCTCAGCTTGGGGGAGAAATGAGGCAGGAGACAAGAGGGCAGGAGAAGGTCAGAGATCTTGCTTCTGAGGTCTTCTAATCTTAATTCAAAGTACTCAGCATGCCAGGGTACCATGCTTTGAGGTATTGTTTTCTGGGCCCCAATACCATTACCACTGTCAAACTCATGAACATATGCTACTCTCAAAAGCTTCGCTCATGCTCCTTTGCAATTTAACTCTTTCTCATGCCTCCTGGTCACTTCTTCCATCCCTCCACACAACCAACCAGCCACTGATTTGAAAAGCCAAGAATTGGGCCGGGCGCGGCGGCTCATGTCTGTAATCCCAGCACTTTGGGAGGCCGAGGCAGGTGAATCACTTGAGATCAGTAGTTCGAGACCAGCCTGGCCAACATGGTGAAACCCCATCTCTACTAAAAATACAAAATTAGCCAGATGTGATGGTGCACACCTGTAATCCCAGCTATTTGGGAGGCTGAGGCAGGAGACTCACTTGAACTTGAGAGGCAGAGGTTGTAGTGAACCAAGATCACGCCATTGCACTCCAGCCTGAGCAACAAGAGTGAAACTTCATCTCAAAAAATAAAAAATAAAAAATAAAACACACACTAAGAATTTTAAAACAAGTCTGTCCTTTGTGGTGAACACCCTTAATAAACCCATGAGATTTCAACAAGTGTGGTATTTAGAATTCAATTATTTGTCCCTCTAACTTGTTCTGTTACATACTTGAAATTGAGCAGACATGGTTCTGCTGCAAAACAAGACGGGTGTTTTAGAGTAGCACTGTAAATGGTCTGATTTATATAATGAGGGCAACTTCAACAGTTTTGTGGTGAAAAAATCAGAAAGAAAAATTCCGTGCATGCAGAAACCTGCAGTGGCAGCTTCCGAACCTTTTGAAACTCTAAAACTTACGTTGTGGCTTTAACTGGAGTTTGCAACTCTAGCTGCACATTAGAATCACTTGGGGAGCCTTAAAAATGTTGATGCCTGGGTCCCATCTTGGCTGAGTTAAATCAGATTCTCTGGCAGGGTGTTGAGTCTCAGGGATTATTATGATTTAAAAGTTCCCAGGTGATTTTAACATGCAGCGAGCTTCGAGCTTCATTGCTCATAATTGTACTCATAATTAAGTGTTCTTTTTGGAGAGCCAGTTTCAGATTTTATTTTCTTAAGGAGTTTACCCAGAATTGATCATTCTGCATCACCATTTCCTCTTAGAAGGTTGGCTTGCTATGGTAAAGTAGTATTTCAACAAGGAAAAGTAAATGATTACTGTTTACACATGCTTGTAATTTATCGTCCTCTCTTGAATAATTTGCATATTTGAGTCAAAGTGCACCGTGTTTTGTTATCACCTTTACTGTTTTCTCTTTTAATGTGCATGGGAGGCCACAGAAAAAGCTATGATGTTTAAGTATTGACCTTTCCCATCCCTTCTTAGTTCCACTTCCTCTCCAGTGTTTCCGGCTTCTCAATGTGCCTTCTGGGTCCTTCATTCTGCACCATCCCTGGGGCTTCCCTCTTTACTCTCAGGATTATCCTGACCTCTACAGTCCAGGGAAATGCCCCTGTCCTTCTTATTTTTAATCTCTACTTATTTTTAGTCTTTATTTTAATTATCCTGACATCTATAGTCCAGGGAAATGCCCTTGTCCTTCTTATTTTTAATCTCTACTTGAAGTCTTTTCTAATACATGTATTTATGTCAATGTCTGCCAATGTTTGTGCTGTCTCACATAAGCTACTATCATGCTAATTTCAGCTATTTGCTGCTGATGCCATGACCTAAAGGACTGACTGTATAGTGGGATGTTTCTCTGTTTGTTTCAACCCCATGGGAGAAAAATTCGAAGACAAGTGTGTCAGCCTGTGGCATCCATAACACACCATAGACACAACATTTCCTTGTGCTTCTGCAAAGGAACAGCTTTATTGGTAGAATCACCTCTGCGGCCCGTGTAAGGAACATTGATTTGTCTACCTTTGAGAAAACTAAAGCATGCGGGCGATAAGTAATAGGGAAATATAGGTGCTTTACTTTGCATTAGTAGTAGAATGTTGTTTTTCAAAGTTTTCTGTGACTGTTACACAACCAGAAAACATTATTGCTCAATGACCCTTCAATGCAAACTTCCACTGATGAGGCAGCTGAGTGTTTTAGCAGATTGAACTCTAAAGATGTAGGAATCGATTTTTCTCAAGAGTACATCAGAGCTTTGGTCCCACTCCATTCCTACGTAGGTTCAGATATTTGTTAAATGCAGGGATATGTAGAAAAATATACAGATTACTACTGGGGATCATTTGCAATGGGTTAGTTCAGAAAGATTTTTTTCATTGTTCATATCATATATTTACTTCTAAAAGTCAAAATTGCATTTAAAGTGATCCAGTGAACGATGACTGCAATATTTCTGTGTTTATGAATCACAAGTTAGTCTTTTATATTTGCTTTGTTTCTTTTAGAAGAATTTTATTAGCACATATAAAAGTAGCTAAGAGGTAAAACACTTTCTTTTTGTTTTTATGTAACTTGGGAAAAAATTTTACTGCTGGCCATAAATTGAAAAGCTGTGGTAACCGTGATTAAGTCAGTCCAACATGGAAACATTTATTGGGAACCTGCTACATACACAGCACTCTGATAGGGATGGGGGATATAATATATTACAGATAATTGGGATAATCAAGGAACTTAAAATGTATGGGGGAAAATGTGGCACAACTGAGAATGATGCAAACATCTGTTACAGTAGTGGAGCGAATATCTTTTTGATATATTTAGCATCAGTAAAATTTCCACAAATTCCAGCATCTGAGGAAGCAAAAAGCCAAATTTGTCAACAGGAATAAAAGCAAGATAAAGATGATCTAAAAGCTTAGACACCTAGGCAAATTGATAACTACAAATGAGCAATGCCTTCAACTTTTAAGTTTCCTGGCAGCTAAAGGCCTCAGGTTTTATTTCTGACAAAAGAAAAGACACAATTTGTCTGCAGAGACCAAGATATTTTTATGACACTACATTCAAACAGGAATATATCTCAAAGGTATCTGTATAATGAATATCATATTGGATAATAAAATCAACTACAGTTTTACAACAGGAAAAGTAAATCCACAGAGGTAATTCCAGGTATGACCATTTGTGAGACAAAGAGCATTGCTTGAACTAAAGGAGAGATTTATATGATAAACAATAAAAACATGAAACCAATGTGAAATTTTCCCTTCCTTTCTCTTTCTAAACCCCAGTTCTACTTCTCATGAGTAATTATTTTTAACCCATTGTGTTCAGATTTCTGGCTGTTACCCTAAAAACACCAAGTACTGTTCTCACACAGCTATTTCTTCATCCAACAATTTGGATAAAATCCAGTATCTCCTCACTATGACAGAGGAGTTAGACTAAACTTTCTTCTCCTTTCCACTTCTTCTCCCATTGTTTGTTAGGAAACACAGATAGCCCTCCAAATACCAGGTAAATCTATGATGAACTAGATATGACAAATACTGCTGTCACATTCTCTTGCTTGAGGACTGGTTATTATTTATCTTGGGAACATGTGGGTTATATCTTCTTGGCATATTAAAGGATATAATTTATTTCTGTCTTTGCAATCTCTTAGTGGATTGCCTGTAGAGAACATCATATTCTGATTTTTTGCTTATTTAACAATAAAACTATTTTCCTTCTCTTCTAACTTTGTGGAGAGATTTTCTGTGTTGATAAAATATTTTTGTTTTTATAGTTCCCCAGCATATACTTTTTTCCCAGGAACTGCTCTGCTTGTTCTTTCTATGGTATTTAATTTTTCTCTTGATTTTTCTTCACTGTTCCTTTTTTACTACTCATTCTTATTTTTTAATGAAGAATTATACTTAGCAACAAAGCTACTTGGCATGGATTGTGCAGCTGTGTTAACACACTGCATCTCACTGGAATAAAAAAATTGACCATGGCCTTGGATAAGTGTGTGGATGTGTCATTTGAGGGTATAAAGGGCAAGCTGAACACATCTTGAAAGCTAAACGTTTATATTTGGTTATAACATTCATAGTATAACCTTGGATTCTCCTTGGGCCTCCCATTATTTTATGAAATACTCTCCTGGTTTTGTCCAGAAGAGCACTTCATGAAGGAAGTGGTAGAAAATCTATACCTTGTTCTGCATACTGAGGAGCAAATTGGTTTTCGATAATTCCTTAACTTAATCATTAGAATTTCTGACCCCTTCCCACTGGTATTCTCCAGAACTACCTTTTTCAAATTTTGAACTTCAGGAGTCATCTGGACAGAGAGTCTGCTTCTGCTCAGGCTATTGTCAAAGAGTCAGGTATGGATATAGAGCCAGGTCAGAAGAAATTGGCAGGCAAGAGTTTTCTTCTGGGTTTAAGGTTCTTTTTCAGGTAAATCGGTTTGCTGCCTTTATTTTTTTTCTAACTTCTTTCTTTTTATCTTTTTCAACTTCTCTCCTAATGCAAAAGGAAAAGAAAAACTTTTTTTTTTCTATCTATGAACTTTTTTCTCTCTTTTATTCTTGTGAATTTTACAAAGCTTCCTCTGATTAGGGAGGAAAAAAAAGTGTGAAGTTTTTTTTTCTTCAAATACACTGACACTAAAAAAACTAAAAATACATTCAACAACATACATCTGTTTGAAATTCACTGGAACATATACTCTAGGTGACAAAAGTGTCTGTCTTCCATTTTTCACATCCCAAGCATATGCCAGGCCATATTAAGTCATGATGACTTGCAGTTCATTACTACAGAGAAATAAGAATTTTACAGCTCATCCAATGAATTCATGCTGAGATCAGAGTTCTAGAGTAACATTTGACCATTTACATAAACTGGCAGTTTAATTTTTTAATAAAGGTTATAAAGTAGGAGCTCTGTCTGCTTTCAAGCAGTATTTTAAAAATTTGACAAATTTATTTAGATTCGTTATTTTGGTTCATTTTTTAAAAATAAATGAATTTCCTACCCTGTCAGAAAGTCATACATATTGAAAACGTTTTCATTTGCCTTGTTTTTTTTTTCTAGAAAGAAGGACGGTTTGCTCAAATCTATCTTCTATTTTTCACTTTATCGACAAATGCCCAGATGTTTACATTCTCAAGGAGCTTAACTGATGTTAGAAGTACAAACAGTGAATAGTTATTTTATCTTTTCTGCATAAACTTAAAAGGCCAACACGGTGATAGAAAAGCGGTATACTTTATTCTTATAATTGACCCTCATAGTTAAGGTCTCTTTGGTGATGCTATTCTCTAAGCAAAGCTTTTTGGGAAAAAGTGAAATGTTAAAGAACTGGTGAACTTTCAGGGCAAGATAAATTTTCAATCTAAAGCTTACAAGCACAAGTGCAAGAATTTGTCTGCCAGCCTTGGGCTATGGAATGTCCTTTTTTATTTTTTATTTTTTCAATTGGGGACAACCATTGAATTAGCCTTCTTTTATGTTCTATAGGTTTAAAGCTCTTTTATTTCAAAAGGCCTTTGGCATGGTACACTGATTTTATGTTTGATTTTTATTACTGATTTTAAATGCTTCTGCAGTTGTGTATATTTTTAGTACTCTAAGTATATTGTTCCTTGTAAAATACCTGGAGTATTTTCTAAGAAGCAGAATATTTTATGAATCTTTTTTTTGTATAATTAAATAATACATAATCTTTATGATACTGGCTTGAAGTTCCTAAAAATTTTAGAGGAAATGCAATGTGTAGCTCAGAGATTTGAGAAAAAAAATAGTTAAATAACAAATTCTTTCCTCAGATATTCCCTTCCACAGATGTAATGTGTGTAATGTATTTAATGTAAATAAAATAAAATAGAATCATGTTTTATAAACTACATTTATTATTTCTAGTTGCCTACTGGTGACATCTTGATTTTTCATTTTAAAAATGGTTTAGCTCTGTTCTTTATGGTGACTCAGACATTACAGCTACTTTTTTGTGTGTAGCATATAAATGAAAACTTAAAATTCCCTGTGGAGTATAAAATTAGCAAAGAACTTTTAAGTGCACCTGATCAAAGTAAAAAAGTATACCAATTATTTATTTACAGTGGGATGTTAGAAACACAAATTTGCAGTGGTAGTTGTTATAAACCTTGCGGAAATGAATTTTACTAGACAGACATACATTTTCCAATATGGAAATAGCCCTACAATTTTATAAATTCTGTTCGAAACTATGTTTGGACGTAACCATAGCCAAACATGATGTAATTGTAGGAGTTTTCTATCAGATTGATATTCTTCATTAGGGTTACTTTGTAAGTATTATGGTGTAGTATTTTCACTACTCCGAGACTATACAAAAAATCTAGTGAATCAAGCTGCCTGACTCTCTGTCACCCCAGTTCTCTTGTATTTATTGGAGAGTTCATATAAAAGCTCAACTATATACCAGTTTTAAATGTGAATGGCCTCCTACACTCACAGGCTTAATGCTGCCTAATTTCCATTATAACATAAAATTATAATTTCTTTTGTTGTGTGGACAATAAGTTTCCCCATTTTTTGGAATGGGGGCTAAGGGTGCAATGGGAGAGAGATAAAGAAGAAAACAGATAGCTTGTTTGGGGGTTTTGGGAAAAATTTCTAAGATAGGAGTCCCTGAGCCTTATCTTCAGTTAGATATCACTGGTTATTTTAATGTTATTTTTAATGCATTGAGTAGTTTGTGTTGAGAAGCGTGATATTGAGTTAAGAGGGGATAGCAGATGGTTCTGCCTAAGTTGATATCCATGTATTCTGTCTGTATTACTGGGAATATTGTTTAAAATTATGAAGCTTATTTTACATAAATGAATTTCACTTTCACAAGTCAGAAGTGCATAAAATTAAGAGTACTTATACTTCAATAGAAAACTAGACAGGACAGCCAGTCCTTGTCCCTAGACTTTAAGGTATTACATTAAGGATTAATTTTTCTATATTACTATCAGGAAAAAATTGCAAACGGTTCCAAATTTGCAGAGTATATTTGTGTGACATATGTATATTCACTTAACACTAAAATGTAATGGGGAGAATTTGCATATTTTTCATTAGCTAAAGTTCTTGTATTTCTCCAAGCCTGTCTTACTAAAATGTATATTCTGTCTATTCTCCCAATTTGAGCAATGTTAAATAATCGATTTTGAGAAATGTTTCTACCATTACTTATTTGTATGATTATTTGGATTGTTATGACACTTGTTATAAAACCTTTCGATCTTAAATTCAAGACAATTTCCTAGAAAACACTTTTTTTTAGCTTCTGCAATATTCATTTCCTTACATGACATATTCCTTCGTAAAATTCTCTCCACTTCTGACTTCCACGAGGATGTACCTCACTGCTTCTTCTTCTCCTCTGGCTATTCTTTTTTTAATAAAAATTCTTCAGTGGTTCTACTTTGCTCTCCAAACCCCGAGACTCAGCTCTTAGTTCTCTGATTCTCCCTCACCATGTTTAGGTCAGCGATGTCCTCAACTCAGGAAGTTAATAACCATCACTGCAGCCCTAGATGTAATCACCTCCTGCACTGATCCCACCTCCCTAAGAGGTGTTGAAACCAGCGCAGTTATTCATGACTCCCTTTATACCCCAGTAAAATTTTTCCTTTATTTTTCTTTCTTTGTTAATGGTATTTTCATTCTTATGGCTCCCGGGTTTGAAATTCTGGATCATCATTGCCCTCCCTTAATTTTCAGACCACATGTTTAGTAATGAAGTTTAGTTATTATTACTAGGTTATGCCTCCCTGATTGAAATTATTCCTTTTTTTCTCCTTCATTCTACGCCCTTTTCATTTTACACATTGAAAACACACACACACACACACACACGCACACACACACACACCCAAAAAAGCAAGCCACCAACCAACTTTGTGCATGTCACTCACAAAAATCTTAATTGACACTTGAACATTATTTGGTGACTTAATTACTCACCCCCTACTGCCTACCCACAAGTCACACACATCATCACTAGATTCCTATTTGGAATACAAAAATAGGGGAAATCCTGAATCTAAATCAAAAATTAGTGAAGGGTATCATTAGATGCCAGAAAATTTCAAGAAATTGTTGCTATTTAGTTTAATTGATCAAAACTTTGGGCAAACCATAGGATTGGTTACAACCTTCTATATCGAGATAATGCTGCAATGCTAGGAAGCCTGTGCAGGAGACTCTTGATTCAGAAATGCCTTCTAATTTTAGGGCTTAGGGTTGGAGGAAGGTCCAGCTGAAGAGCCATTGAAGACCATACCACTTGACATTTCATTTGCGGTGACTCATTAGTAAGAAAAAGCAGCCAGACTGGGAGATTGCAGGGCTCATGAGGTAGCTACCCTGAGCAGGAAACTAGCAGTGCAATGGGGTTTTCATGATTCAGCATCAGCAGAGTCACTTCTCCTCTCACTAATTGAGATGATGGCAGTGACTCATATTTCAAAGCAAAATACAGTTGCATTCTGGAAAAACATGATTATAGTAAATAGGAAATGCATAACACTTAATGTTTATCTATTTAGGGACTTTGACAGCTGACTTAATCCATATATATCTGGACCAATTCATTTTTATAAATCTCTATGAGATAACAGTTTATTTTCAGAAGGCTTTTCAGGAAATTCTGAAAATTAGCTTCCAGATATGTGTCATGCTAAGGCCTGTTGTAGAGTAGAACGTGGATGGACTTGGGAATCAGAGAGATGGATTCAAATTCTACCTCTGTCCCTGAACTTCTCTAATCCTGCAATCCTAACTTTTTAAATGGGAACAAGAATTCCTACCTGTAGGAGTGTTGAGTTTAAATAAAATAATTATGAAAGAACTTGTCATTTGTTGGTTATTTCCACCATCCTTACCTCACATTTTCCAGAGGACTTTCTTATAATATTTTAGCAATGGCTATTTACATATTGTAAGTGTACCTCTTTTTCCTAATTAACAGGATTTTAATTATTCCCTTTACAAAACAATTTAAAGTGTAATCTTAAATTTTAATCTCCTGAAGGCACTGAAATATTGGTTATTTAACAAGCAAGAAGCAGAAAACACCTAACTTGAGTTGAGTCAGTGACGATAGTAAATTAATCAGATAATGAAAATAAAATATGTCAATGATAATTCAGGTCTGTGAAAATGTATGCTTTTACTTACAAATGTTCAATTGACATGCAGTTTTTAGGAATACATATTACTTAAAGTGAGGTGATTCTATGGCAGAAATTCAAGCATGATTAACTTTCATGAGTCCTCTGAAAACTTTATGAGAATTTGCTAATTGGCTGTTGTTAAAATTATGACACTTATCACCTAATCAGTAAATGTTCTTATGCCATCTATATTCTTTAGACCTCAGACCATCTGGCTCTGAGATCTGCCATCATAAAATGCCTGAAAAGTTTTATGAGCCTTAGTTGTAAATAGTAACATTTTTGGTTAAAGAAAGGAGTGGATTCCAATTTGAATAACCTTATAAAAAAGAAAATGCTTGGGATTCTCATTTTTACTATTATTGGTTGGATAAGCAGATGGAATTGATTATATGGTTCTATGGAAGACAAATTCAAAATATTCCTAGAAATAAGTATATGTCTCTGAGTGACTTTTTCTTCATGTACTACCAGTTTAAAATTAAGACAAACAGAAATCTCTGAAATGTTTTATTCTTTTGATAGCACTCAATTCTTGTGTGCATTGCACTGATAATCAATTCAGTTAAAACTAGGAGATTTTGTGTTCTCATTTTCACTTTCTTCCTTTTCTCTCTAAATGATATGGAATAGGGGAATAAAGGTTATTAATAGTAGATACATCATGAAAATATAAGCCCAAGATTTCTTTCAGAAAATAATTGAAACACTAGGCATTAGAGAGTGCAGGCTGAGTTCCACAGTAAATTTATAAAAATTGGCAAGTATCAATGCCAAGAAGAGAATAGCAAAGGAGTGTGTGTGTGTGTGTGTGTGTGTGTGTGTGTGTGTGTAAAAGTGGAAACTAGGGAACTGGCAAATAAAAGAGGGTTCAAACCTTATCCTTCCTTAAATGAGGAACTCAGTTAAAAAAATCAATTTCAGGTCCTGATGTTTGTGAAGCAAGTAAAATGTTCGTCCGTGTATTCATTTATTCATTCAATAAAACCTTTTGATGTTGAAGATAATATTATGAAATAAGACTATCCAAGATTTCCTTAATGCTTACGCTTCTTCTCAGAGTCAAAACGATTCTTCCTTTGTGTTCAAAGCCGTAAATGCTAAAATAGCAAAAAGGTTAGAATACACTTTTAACTAAAAAAAAATATGTTTTTATACTCAAGGCAATCAACCATGGAAACCATTAGTTATATCTACTTATGAATCTAAGAAGTAACTGATGGGGTTCTTCAGTAATATATCAGACTAAATTGACTGCATCTGTATTTGTCATCAAATACATTTGGATAAAATATAAACACATAAAAATAGCAAATACATAACTGGGTTTGAAATTAAATGAAGAAAAAATCCTAGAGTCAGAACTGAATAGAGAAAAGTCAGTGGATTTTAACATTCTTATGCTTGTGTATTCTTTTCATGTATTTAATCATTGAACCATCTTTCTGAGGTATGTGTATGTTTGGGGGAGCTATTTTTTGAATTGGGGAAGAAAGTCTCAGCTTTAGGCACTGTGTAAATGGGGCACATGGAACTGAACATCTTTTATAAAACTTGGAGTCATAAGTGATAAGGTCATTGTGAAATAAAGACAAGGAAAGCTTGACTTCCACTCAGGCCTAGGAAGAGCAAGGAAGTTTGTCATTGTAGACATCAAAGTGGAAAGAAGAACTACCTGTTACATCCTTTGCTGGGACATGTATAAAGCTGGAGGCCATTATCCTTAGCAAACTGACACACAAACAGAAAACCAAATGCCGTATGTTCTTGCTTATAAGTGGGAGTTAAATGATGAGAACACATGGACACATAGAGGGGAACAACACACACTGGGGCCTTTTGGAAGGTGGAGGGTGGGAGGAGGGAGCGTATCAGAAAAAATAACTAATGAGTACCAGGCTTAATACCTGGGCGATGAAATAATCTGTACAATAAACCCCCATGACACAAGTTTACCTATGTAACGAAACTGTACATGTACCCCTGAGCTTAAACTAACAGTTAAAAAAAAAAAGAGCTACCTGTGAGAGGTAAGAAATACCACGAAACCTTTTCCAGATTGGGTCTGTGTTCCAGGTTTGTAATTGCAGTGCATGGAGATACCCAAGCTGGAATTCTTGAGACTCTTAGGTCCCCCAGCAAAAGCAATCCTAAGGCCACATTGCAGGGATACTTTCTCAATCCAGGGCATGTAGAAATCCCAAAGAAGTAAACTCTGCTGAAGAAAAGTTTATAGTAAGGTAACAAACTCCATGAGAGGAAAAAATGCCATTAGAGGAATCATCAGATCCAACATGTTGAAGAATGTATACCTCCTAGGCTGGAGATTGCAGAACAGACTGAAGACACTTCAGTGCAAATCAAGAGATGAAAGACAAACTAGAAATGAGAAAGATAAACTAAAGTACTTTGGGGGAAAAAAGGAAGATACGAAAGAACCATGTAGAAATTTAAAAAATGAAAAACGTAATCTTTGACATTAAAAAGAAACTCAATGGAAAGGTTAAATATAAGACTAGATTCATCTGAAGAAAGAGTGAATGAATTAGATTGCAGGTCTAAGGAGATCATGCAGAATGCGGTACAAAGAATGAAAGATAGAAAACACGAAACAAGTTTGAGATGTGAGCAGCAGAAAGAGAAGATCCAACATAATTGTAATAGGAATTTTAGGAAGAAAAGAGAGAAAATGGGGAGGTGGTGTTTATATGATGATGTAATAGGAAAAAATTATTAGAATTTTTTAAAAAATGTAATTCCTAAGCAGGTTTAAACATGTTAAGGAAAAACAAGTTTCCCCTGGAAACATCACAGTAAGATTATAGTCCAGAAAAAACCCAGTCAAATTTTAAAAGCTTTCTACTGGGATGGAAAAATACATGTGAAGATTGCCTACAGAGGAACAGCAATCAGACTTTTGACAGGCTCTTATCTGTGTCTTCTTCTATTAGAAAGCAATGGAATTATATTTTCAAAAATCTCTTAAAAAAAAGCCCTGTCAACTCATCTTTTGTATTCAAACAAACGATTACAGGGTAAGAAAGGAACAATGACTTTTATGCATAAACAAAGACTAAGCGTTTACAATTCACATATTTTCCAAAACAAAAGCTATTTTAAGATGCATTCAACCAAAAGAAAAATAAACCCAGAAAGATGAGTAGGATGCAAAATCAATGCTGACAAATAAATTGGTAAATGTATTGTATTGTTAAGGTTAAAATACCCATTGGCAGTGAAGAAAAGGCAATTTGGAAAAAATTAAAGAGGAACCAGAAAATCAAACTGCAAAAGCATGAGAAATGATACAGGAAAGATTGAATTGAAAGTAGCATATCCTAAATTTCTATAATTGCTTTCAAGGTGGATGGATTAAAGAATAACTTTGTTGAATATCTGCAGTAGTTAAAAAATGGAAATAATCTTTCATTAATAGGTTAAAAAGCATTGTATGTTTATATAATTAATATATAGCCATTAAAATAAAAAACCATAAATAACAATCTCAAAACCTAATGTTGAGTGAAAAACAGACAGTTGCAAAGTATACGTAATGCCTTATGTAAACTTTTAAAATAACACTAAGCCATATGTTATATATTCTATGTATTTTAAATGTATAAATTGTACTAATATAGTGACAGAAGAAACACTAAATTCACGATGATAATTGCCTATGGAGAGGAGGGAGGTGAATAGGCAAGTATTGGAGTTGACTGCACCTTTATCTGCAGTATACTCTTTTATATATAGAAAAATAACCTGAGCATGAGAAGGGCTAAGATTAAACTAAGAGATTAGTTTAGACTGACCTTTGTTTTTGATAAAAATACAGTCATCGTTTGCCTTCTGAATGAAGTCAGTGGCTTGGCTTTGAACACTTACAGCTGCTCCTTTGTTGTTGTCCTTGTTGTTTTGTTTGTTTGGCAGAAAAACAAATGTAGGAAGCTTATCTAGTTTGGAAAACTTGCTTCCAGAATCAGTCCTCCACAACACAGCAGTAGCAGCACAGTGGGAAAAGACAAAACATTCTTGATAAAGTTGATGCCTTAGAGATTTAAACTGGTGCAATTAAAAGAGGCCTTGATAAGATTTGATATTACACAGTGATACCTCAGTGTGCGCTAAGACTTCCAAATTTATACTTGCAGATAGAAAGATGCAAAATGACATGCAACTTGGGATTCTAAAATATTTCAAGATCGGTGGTTGTTTCAAATGAGTGGTGTATTTTATTCTGTTTTCTCTTCAGGGGAAAATAGAGAAACTACCTAAAAGCAAATGTAATATTGTTTTTGTTCAAATCCTAGACAAATGATGTATCTGTAATTTATTGATACCATAAACTTTGTTCTTAACAAATCAACTTTCAGAACTTAAACATTACATATGCACTTGATGAGTTGAATGATAATTTATTTGTAGCACGCAGTGCTAAGATAATAGGTTTTTTTCTTTTTTTTTTTTTTGGAAATGTGTGTTTGACAGACATAAAATATATGAGTTCAGTGTATCATCTGTATGAGATATGTACTTGGCCAAACATTTATCAGAAAGAATGCTGGCACGTGTTCTGCTATTTCAGAGAATTATTGAAGGAATCATACTTAACGATGCTTTTTGGGAAAGTAGTATTTCTACTACCCATTTTCATCAAAATGACATCAAGTGACGCATCATCAGAATGTCTCTGCACAGTCCTTTAGATACTCCTAATTTAAAACTGATTAGAACTTGAATATAAATTTGTTACAATAAAGATAATTTTAATCAATGCCCATCCTTAAAAATTCACCTAAAAAAAACCTCCCAAAATAAAAACAGAAAACTGAAAGCAAAATACATGAAGCCGGGAGAGGGGAGCCTTATATATTCAACAAAGAAAGCAGATACATCTCTCATCCACAGTCGATTAAGTTTACTTTCAAATTCTGAAAATTGGGGCCAAAGTAAACATAAATCTAAGAGCATACACAGACTCCTTTAAACCTCACACCAAAAGCAGCTGTCTTTAAAAGTTGGTCACCGAGAGCTGAAGGGTGTATCTTAAACATTGTGACTCCCATACATTCAGGACTTCGCATGACCTGTCCATCCTGTTCGGGAGGCTCCTTTCACAGATCATTGTAGGAATGACACCCTTTTAAAATAGTTCCACTTTGACATCATCTCCGTTAAGAGGCTTTCTCTTGTCATTATTACTACAGAAGCATATCTTCCCACTTCCATCTTTCTCTAACTTGAAATCGTATTTTGTTTTTCCTTGACATTTGTCATTTTTTTAGGATTTGAGGTCCGCTTCTCAGTGAAATCCATGCCTTCTGGAGGATTCCTGGGAAATAAATATTAAGCATGACTATTAAAATTTCTCTTTGACTATCAAATAGAGAAAAAGGTATATCTTATTTATTTGTTAATGTGTTTTTTGTCCCTGGCTTTTACTGGAATTTAAGTCTGAAGCAGTCAGGAACATTCATATCCCCCAAACCTAGAAGATTGCCTGACATATAACCAATAAAATAATTCTGAATAAATAATGAATTAATGATGAAAAGCTCATAAATTAAGGGTAAGATAAGTAGTGGTATAACTGAAGGATGTCATGTTTGTCATTTCTGGTTGTATTTATTTTGATCTCTCTTTTTACTAATCTAACAGTCTATCAAACTCACTTAATCTTTTGAAGAACCAGCTTGGTTTCATTGATATTTTGTATGTTCGCCTCTCAATTTTGTTCATTTCAGCTGTGATTTTGATTATTTCTTTTCTTCTGCTAGTTTTCGAGTTGGTTTGCTCTTGTTTTTCTAGTTCCTCTAGGTGCAGCATTAGATTGTGAAGTTAAGATCCTCCTAACTTCTTGATGCAGGCATTTAATGCTCTAAATTTTCCTCTTAACATTGCTTTTTTTTTTTAATTATACTTTAAGTTTTAGGGTACATGTGCACAATGTGCAGGTTTGTTACATATGTACACATGTGCCATGCTGGTGCGCTGCACCCACTAACTCGTCATCTAGCATTAGGTATATCTCCCAATGCTATCCCTCCCCCCTCCCCCCACCCCACAACAGTCCCCAGTGTGTGATATTCCCCTTCCTGTGTCCATGTGTTCTCATTGTTCAATTCCCACCTATGAGTGAGAACATGCGGTGTTTGGTTTTTCTGTCCTTGCGATAGTTTGCTGAGAATGATGGTTTCCAGTTTCATCCATGTCCCTACAAAGGACACGAACTCATCATTTTTTATGGCTGTATAGTATTCCATGGTGTATATGTGCCACATTTTCTTAATCCAGTCTATTGCTGTTGGACATTTGGGTTGGTTCCAAGTCTTTGCTATTGTGAATAGTGCCACAATAAACATACATGTGCATGTGTCTTTATAGCAGCATGATTTATAGTCCTTTGGGTATATACCCAGTGATGGGATGGCTGGGTCAAATGGTATTTCTAGTTCTAGATCCCTGAGGAATCACCACACTGTCTTCCACAATGGTTGAACTAGTTTACAGTCCCACCAACAGTGTAAAAGTGTTCCTATTTCTCCACATCCTCTCCAGCACCTGTTGTTTCCTGACTTTTTAATGATTGCCATTCTAACTGGTGTGAGATGGTATCTCACTGTGGTTTTGATTTGCATTTCTCTGATGCCAGTGATGATGAGCATTTTTTCATGTGCTTTTTGGCTGCATAAATGTCTTCTTTTGAGAAGTGTCTGTTCATGTCCTTCGCCCACTTTTTGATGGGGTTCTTTGTTTTTTTCTTGTAAATTTGTTTGAGTTCATTGTAGATTCTGGATATTAGCCCTTTGTCAGATGAGTAGGTTGCAAAAATTTTCTCCCATTTTGTAGGTTGCCTGTTGACTCTGATGGTAGTTTCTTTTGCTGTGCAGAAGCTCTTTAGTTTAATTAGATCCCATTTGTCAATTTTATCTTTTGTTACCATTGCTTTTGGTGTTTTAGACATGAAGTCCTTGCCCATGCCTATGTCCTGAATGGTAATGCCTAGGTTTTCTTCTAGGGCTTTTATGGTTTTAAGACTCAAGACCCATCAGTGTGCTGTATTCAGGAAACCCATCTCACGTGCAGAGACACACATAGGCTCAAAATAAAAGGATGGAGGAAGATCTACCAAGCCAATGGAAAACAAAAAAAGGCAGGGGTTGCAATCCTAGTCTCAGATAAAACAGACTTTAAACCAACAAAGATCAAAAGAGACAAAGAAGGCCATTACATAATGGTAAAGGGATCAATTCAACAAGAAGAGCTAACTATCCTAAATATATATGCACCCAATACAGGAGCACCAAGATTCATAAAGCAAGTCCTGAGTGACCTACAAAGAGACTTAGACTCCCACACATTAATAATGGGAGACTTTAACAACCCACTGTCAACATTAGACAGATCAACGAGACAGAAAGTTAACAAGAATACCCAGGAATTGAACTCAGCGCTGCACCAAGCGGACCTAATAGACATTTACAGAACTCTCCACCCCAAATCAACAGAATATACATTTTTTTCAGCACCACACCACACCTATTCCAAAATTGACCACATACTTGGAAGTAAAGCTCTCTTCAGCAAATGTAAAAGAACAGAAATTATAACAAACTATCTCTCAGACCACAGTGCAATCAAGCTAGAACTCAGGATTAAGAATCTCACTCAAAACCACTCAACTACATGGAAACTGAACAACCTGCTCCTGAATGACTACTGGGTACATAACGAAATGAAGGCAGAAATAAAGATGTTCTTTGAAAACAGCAAGAACAAAGACACAACATACCAGAATCTCTGGGATGCATTCAAAGCAGTGTGTAGAGGGAAATTTATAGCACTAAATGCCCACAAGAGAAAGCAGGAAAGACCCAAAATTGACACCCTAACATCACAATTAAAAGAACTAGAAAAGCAAGAGCATACACATTCAAAAGCTAGCAGAAGGCAAGAAATAACTAAAATCAGAGCAGAACTGAAGGAAATAGAGACACAAAAAACCCTTCAAAAAATTAATGAATCCAGCAGCTGGTTTTTTGAAAGGATCAACAAAATTGATAGACCGCTAGCAAGACTAATAAAGAAAAAAAGAGAGAAGAATCAAATAGACGCAATAAAAAATGATAAAGGGGATATCACCACCGATCCCACAGAAATACAAACTACCATCAGAGAATACTACAAACACCTCTATGCAAATAAACTAGAAAATCTAGAAGAAATGGATAAATTCCTGGAGACATACACTCTCCCAAGACTAAACCAGGAAGAAGTTGAATCTCTGAATAGACCAATAACAGGATCTAAAATTGTGGCAATAATCAATAGCTTACCAACCAAAAAGAGTCCAGGAGCAGATGGATTCACAGCCGAATTCTACCAGAGGTACAAGGAGGAACCGGTACCATTCCTTCTGAAACTATTCCAATCAACAGAAAAAGAAGGAATCCTCCCTAACTCTTTTTATGAGGCCAGCATCATTCTGATACCAAAGCCATGCAGAGACACAACAAAAAAAGAGAATTTTAGACCAATATCCTTGATGAACATTGATGCAAAAATCCTCAATAAAATACTGGCAAAACGAATCCAGCAGCACATCAAAAAGCTTATCTACCATGATCAAGTGGGCTTCATCCCTGGGGTGAAAGGCTGGTTCAATATACACAAATCAATAAATCTAATCCAGCATATAAACAGAGCCAAAGACAAAAACCACATGATTATCTCAAAAGATGCAGAAAAGGCCTTTGACAAAATTCAACAACCCTTCACGCTAAAAACTCTCAATAAATTAGGTATTGATGGGACATATTTCAAAATAATAAGAGCTATCTATGACAAACCCACAGCCAATATCATACTGAATGGGCAAAAACTGGAAGCATTCCCTTTGAAAACTGGCACAAGACAGGGATGCCCTCTCTCACCACTCCTATTCAACATAGTGTTGGAAGTTCTGGCCAGGGCAATTAGGCAGGAGAAGGAAATAAAGGGTATTCAATTAGGAAAAGAGGAAGTCAAATTGTCCCTGTTTGCAGACGACATGATTGTATATCTAGAAAACCCCATTGTCTCAGCCCAAAATCTCCTTAAGCTGATAAGCAACTTCAGCAAAGTCTCAGGATACAAAATCAGTGTACAAAAATCACAAGCATTCTTATACACCAACAACAGACAAACAGAGAGCCAAATCATGAGTGAACTCCCATTCACAATTGCTTCAAAGAGAATAAAATACCTGGGAATCCAACTTACAAGGGATGTGAAGGACCTCTTCAAGGAGAACTACAAATCACTGCTCAAGGAAATAAAAGAGGATACAAACAAATGGAAGAACATTCCATGCTCATGGGTAGGAAGAATCAATATCGTGAAAATAGCCATACTGCCCAAGGTAATTTGCAGATTCAGTGCCATCCCCATCAAGCTACCAATGCCTTTCTTCACAGAATTGGAAAAAGCTACTTTAAAGTTCATATGGAACCAAAAAAAACATTGCTTTAACTGTGTCCCAAAGATTCTGGTATGTCATGTCTCTGTTTTCATTAGTTTCAAAGAGTATTTTGATTTCTGCCTTAATTTTATTCTTCGCCTAAAAGTCATTCAGGAGCAGGTTGTTAACCGACCCCAGAGAAACACAAAAACATCCTCCGACTGTTGCGAACACCTCTAGGCACACAAATGACAAAACCTAAAAGAAATGGATAATTCCTGGAAACACAACCAAGATTGAACCCAGAAGAATTTGAAATCCTGAACAGGCCAATAATAAGTTCTGAAATTGAATTAGTAATAAAATCCTACCAACCAAAAAGAAAGAAAAAATCCTGGACTAGATGTATTCATAGCCACATTCTACCAAATGTACAAAGAGCTAGTACTAATTCTACTGAAATTATATCAAAATAATTGAGGAGGAAGGAATCCTCTCTAATTCACTCTATGAAGCCAGTATCATTCTGATACCAAAACCTGACAGAGACAATAAAAAAAGAAAACTTCAGGCCCATATCCCTGATGAACATAGACACAAAAATCCTCAATAAAATACTAGCAAATCGAATCCAACAGCACATCAAAAAGTTAACTCACCATGATCAAGTAGGCTTGGGATGCAAGGTTGGTTCAACATATGCGAATCAATAAATGTGATTCACCAGAAAAACATAATTAAAAGCAAAACCACATGATCATCTCAACAGACACAGAAAAGGCTTTCAAAATTGTTTAACTTTCAATGCAGTACAGCTCTACACATAACAAATCAAAATAAAGTACCCAGAAAGTACCCAGAAAGAGAAAAGCAGTGTTGTAAGAACTGGTGATGAAATATAGATGTTGACAATAATGTCATTTTCAAAGATTATGAAAAATGGGAGCTGGAAGGAGATTTAAATGTGTAAATGTTCTAATTTTAAAATACAGTACATGGCGTCAGTAGACACTAGAGTTAAAAACAAAAATGTAATGACTCCAAACTCTGAATGATTTTCATAATAATGTTTCTTCTTTAGAAAGATTTTTGAGGCTTTATTATCTTGTATGATGAAGAAACATTTACCTGAAGTTCAGCAATTCTACTTTTATGTGTTTTTCATCCTTAAAATGAAAGAAAACTATATTTAATATTTTTCTTGGAATGGCATCTGTGACATACACCAGTTTTTCTACATTTTCATCTTTAATATCTTTGAATCTGTATATATGCATGGACTCAAGAGATATAAAGAATTATGTTAACAGTGATGACTTCTGTTCAGTAAATAGTGTTTTGTTTTACTTTTTGGCTTGATTTCTTTGGTATATCTGTTTTATATGACAAGTTAATACACTTACAAAAAGTTAGTAAAAGTTGACATCTAAATACTCTTTCATGGAATCACTTTATTTTATTTTTTCCCGTATATTTCAATTAGATCATGATTGTTTATTTAGTAATTAACATTGCTAATGATTGTTCGAATCCATAGCATTGCTAGTTTCTTTTTTCTTTTTTAAAGTTCCGGTTTATACATGCAGGTCTGTTACAAAGGTAAACTTGTGTCATGGTGGTTTGCTGCACCTATCAACCCATCACCTACATATTAAACCCAGCATCATTACCTACCCTTCCTGATGCTCTTCCCCACCATCCTCCCCCAGCAGGCTTCAGTGTGTGTTGTTCCCCTCCCTGTGTTCGTGTGTTCTCATTGTTAAGCTCTGACTTACAAGTGAGAACATAAGGTGTTTGTTTTTCTATTCCTGTGTTAGTTTGCTGAGGATAATGGCTTCCAGCTCCATCTATGTCCCTGCAAAGGACATGATCTCATTCCTTTTTATGGCTGCATAGTATTCCGTGGCATATATGTACCACGTTTTCTTTACCCAGTCTACCATTAATGGGCATTTGGGTTGACTCCATGTCTTTGCTCTTGTAAATAGTGCTGCAATGAACATATATGTGCATGTATCTTTATAATATAATGATTTATATTCCTTTGAGTATATACCCAGTAGTGGGATTGCTGGGTCAAATGGTATTTCTGGGTCTGAATCTTTGAGTAATCACCACACTGTCTTCCACAATGGTTCAACTACTTTACATTCCCACCAACAGTGTAAAAGCATTCCTATTTCTCTGCAACTTCATCAGTATCTGTTGTTTCTTGACATTTTAATAATTACCATTCTGACTGGTGTGAGATGGTATCTCATGTTTTTAATTTGCATTCCTCTAATGATCAGTGATGTTGAGCTTTCTGTCATGTTTGTTGGCTGCATGTATACCTTCTTTTGGAAATGTCTGTTCAAGTCCTTTGTCTGCTTTTCCTTTTCCTTTTTTATTTTGTTTTTGAGTCAGTCTCACTCTATTGCCCAGGCTGGAGTGCAGTGGCATGATCTTGGCTCACTGCAACCTCCACCTCCTGGGTTCAAGTGGTCCTCCTGCCTCAGCCTCCCGAGTAGCTGGGACTACAAGCATGTGCCACTACACCCAGCCAATTTTTGTATTTTTAGTAGAGACGAGGTTTCTCCATGTTGGGCCGGCTGGTCTTGAACTCTTGACCTCAAGTGATCCGCCTGCCTAGACCTCCCAAAGTGCCAAAGTGTTAGGATTACAGGCATGAGCCACTGCACCCAGCCTTTTGCCCACTTTTTAATGTTTTTTTTTTTTTAATTTGCTTAAGTTCCTTGTAGATTCTGGATATTAGACTTTTGTCAGTTAGATTGCAAACATTTTCTCCCATCCTGTAGATAGTCTGTTTGTGCTGAGAAGTTTCTTCTGCTGTACAGAAGCTTTTGGTGATTTAATCATAAAATATTTGCCCATGCCTATGCCCTTAATGGTATTGCCTAAGTTTTCTTCTAGGATTTTTATAGTTTTTGATTTTACATTTAAATTTTGAATCCATCTAGAGTTAATTTTTGTATAAAGTGTAAGGAAGGGGTCCAGTTTCAATTTTCTGCACATGGCTAGCCAGTTCTCACAGCACAAGTTATTAAATAGGGAATCCTTTCCCCATTGCTTGTTTTTGTCAGGCTTGTCAAAGGTCAGACAGTTGTGTATGTGCGGTTTTATTTTTGAGTACTCTATTCTGTTCCATTGGTGTATGTGCCTATTTTTGTTCCAGTACCATGCTGTGTTGTTTACTGTAGCCTTGGAGTATAGTTTGAAGTGGGGCAGCATGATGCCTTCAGCTTTGTTCTTTTTGCTTGGGATTGTGTTGGCTATATGAGCTCTTTTTTGGTTTCATATGAATTTAATTTTTTTTTCTAATTCTGTGAAGAATGTCAAGGGTAGTTTAATAGGAGTAGCATTGAATCTATAAATTGCTTTGGGAAGTATGGCCATTTTCACAATACTGATTCTTCCTGTCCATGACTATGAAATGTTTTTCTATTTGCTTGTGTCCTCTGAATTCCTTGAGCAGTGGTTTGTAGTTCTCTTTGAAAGTTTCCTTCACTTCCGTTGCTAGCTGTATCTCCAGGTATTTTATTCTCTTTGTGGCAGTTGTGGCTGGGAGTTCATTCATGATTTGACTCTTTGCTTGTTTGTTGTTGGTGTATAGGAATGCTTGTGATTTCTGCACATTGATTTTGTGCAATCATTTTTCTTGCAAGCTCTGATGTTAGTAATATCATAAGGGCTGGAAATTCCTTATAAATTTTCATGAACTTACCTCTGATACCACAGGCATTGTATGATTAAATGATAGATACACTCATGATGTTATCCATATGTGATAATATTGTTGAACTATGTCCTTCCTGGTTTTTTATCATGGAAATTTGTATTCCTACTAATCTATAAAATTATTCTATAGAGGACCAAAATCCTTTTTAATAGAATATATTCAAAAATCCAGTTGAATGAAGAAAATTATCTAAATTATCTTCTTGGGATAATGGACCCAAGGTGGATGTGCATAGTTAATGGGGACAAGAGGCAGATGATTCTGCATTTCCTTCCTCATAGTCTGAGATGGATGCTCCCTGACATGTGAAATAATAGTTAAAGGCACAGTATTTAAGAAAAACTTATCAGTATGTTTGAAATCATTACCAAAAATTGCTTTACACTATCAAAGTGCCTTGATAACTTATATGAGGAAATACAATTATCTTTCACTGAAAAATCTTCAAAAACTTTCTGTCTCTGAAATTAAACTTACGTGTGTCATAGGATTTAGGACCCAAATCAGGGAACCCTATAAGCTATTACAATTTGTCTTCCCAACTCTCTCTGGTCATTGTTTCTTCATAGGTAGCTTCAGCTCTAAGAAGATTTGCTCATGTTTTGAACTGAGACTTTCACTAAGCACTTACTCTGTGTCAGGCCCTCTGGTAGGTTTTAGGGAAATAAAGAGATGAGTAAGATTCAGTCCCTGTCCTTGAGGTTGTCACACAGTCTAATGGAAAAGGCAAACGTGCAGCTAATTATAATTACAATGTGCTAAATAATCAAATAAAAAATATGAATAAGGTACTCTGGGAGATGTGATAGTAATTAATTCTGCCTAGAAGTGGTGACAAGAAGACATGGCTAGAAATGAAAATGAAAACTCTATACAGTTGGTGTAATAGGGCTAATATTTTTAGATTATTATAGCTAAGACATTTTATATACCTTCACTCTCTCTGTCAAGTAAGTGGGCAAAATGAACATTGGCTTTGGAAGAAGAAAAAGGAAGTGGAAATCTGGCTCCTTCACCTTTTCTAGGAAGCAGGGAAAGGAGAAGGAAAAACAGAAAGGCAAGGAGATCAATTGCCAGATTTAATCCACTCCCAATCCAGGACTGATCTAGAAGGTTAAAGGGCTGCAAACCCTGCAGGTTGGTATGGAATTTTCTGAGAGCATCATGTTTGTGGCCTACTTTAAAGGCTAGCCTTCATCATTCTGGCCCTGAGAGCAGCCTGATATTTGGCTTGGGACCACTTCCCACATCATGTCATAGGAGTAGAGAACCTTTGACAGGAGGAGGTGGCAAGACTGACACGCTGAGGGAGATAGTGAGGCTCCTCAAACACTACATGGAGTGTAGAGGATCCCCGTAAATTCTTAGTGCCCAGGAATAGGGAGTGGAGGATCTGAGAATATGTGTAGCTGGACAGAGACCTAGGGTCAGAATACAGAGCACAGAGCGCGGACAGCCCAAGAGGCTGGAGGTGTGGGAAAGGTGTGATCAGTTATATAAAGTAGCTGAGTTCTTCCTTGAGTTTTAGTGTGTAATTTTGTAAGCTTACCCCATAAGTGTAGGGCTAGGTGAAAAAAATGGAGGCTATGTTAAGATTTTTGAACTTCCTCTAATTAAAAATGAGAGCTCTGGAAAGATTTTTAATTGAGGGCATGGAAAGTTTTAGGAATATCTGTCTTTTGGGAGAGTGAAGGTGAATAGTAAAGGCGAAGTGGCTAGGAAGAGGACTAAAACTAGTGACATACGGTGGAAACCTGTAGAAGTAATACACAAAAAAGAAGACCCTTAATTAACTGGGGTAGTTAGAGGATGAAAAGAAGGTGATAGAATTTTTGACTGAGAGGTCCCAAGAAAGCACATGTGTGAGAAGTGTTCCTTAGAGAGGAGAAAAACCCTCTAAAAATGGTTTGAAGTTTCTACCTAGGGCACCTGCATATGTAAGATTATAATTAATTTTTATTGGAAATAAAAGAGGACAAGTGGGGATAGACAGAAAATGCATTCTGTTTGAGGCATATGATGTTTAAGGTACCAGTGAGGTATTTAATTAGAAATAGTCAAGATGCAATACAGGTGAGGAGCTATTAATTAATGGATAAATTAATTAATATTTTGAGAGCACACACTAAAGTATCAGGCCCTTGCTCAGCACTACTCATGCAGTTGTGAGTAAAACAAGCAAGTCTTATCTACATACAAATTTGTGAGCACAAATCATTGGAAGTTAATTCTAAATTAAGTTCAAACATTAATAAAGTAATCACAGACAGAAAGCCTAAATAATAAACTGTGATAAGAGGCATGAGGTAAAATGACCAGAAGAGTTAGAAGCAGGTAACAGAAAGACCTGTTCTAAGCAGATAACAGGAAGCGGATAAAAAGAAGAACTGTTCTGAGCCAAGAGGTAAATGAAAGCTTCATTGCAATATATAAAATAATTCACCTGAGGTCTGAAGAGTGCATGGAGATACACCAGATGTGTGCGTGTGTGTGCATGTGTGTGTGTGAATGTTGGTATGCAGAGCAGGCATTCCAAGGCGATTGAATAATTGTAAGGAGTCTCACGCAGGAAGGGGTTTGAGAAGCTAAAAGCAGGCTCTTTTGGTTGACTACAAAGGGGAGAAATTGGTACAGGTTAAGGTGGACAAGTCCTCTTCAGATAATGGTGAAAGAACTTGTACCAGATGATCTCTCCCAGAGATAATTATTATAAACTCTGGAGGAAAAAACCCACCCACCACTGGAAGGCATTGTAGAGCAACCAGAAGGAGGCAGAGACTGGAGGGGAGTAGACCACTGAAAGAAGAAAACTTCCCTAGGTAAAATGTTCTAGGGATAATATTTTGAGGGCCCTCCCTTAGTCTGCATTATCTTGGGGCAGCTACAACTGAGGGAGAAAATCACAATCTAACTAGAGTGGTAAGATGAAGATAAAAAAAAGCTGGAGTATCTGGAAAGTGAGGAAGGAAAGGATGTAGAAAATGGGAAGATAAATATAAAAAAAAAGTCCCCAGTTCAGGCCATGCCTAACTATTTTATTTTTGATGCTATTCTAAATAAGATTGTTTTTAAATTTCCTTTTTAGATAGCATGTCATTAGTGTGTAGAAAAGCAACTGATTTTTCTATGTTGATTTTGTGTTGTGCAATTTACTAAATTTATTAGTTCTAGCAGTTTTGGGGAAAGCTTTAGGTTTTTCTATATGTAAAATCATGTCATCTGCAAACAGGGACAATTTTACCTCTTTCTAATGTAGATTAGATCTTGAATTGGATTTTAAAATTTCTTTTTCTTGCCTAATTGTTCTGGCTAGGACTTGCAGTACTATGTTAAATAGAAATAATGAGAGTGTCCGTCCTTGCCTTGTCTCTGATCTTAGTGGAAAAGCTTTTAGTTGTTCGCCATTGAGTATGATGTTAGCTGTTGTATTAGTCTGTTCTCATGCTGCTCATAAAGACATACCCAAGACCAGGTAATTTATAAAGAAAAAGAAGCTTAATGGACTCACAGTTCCACATGGCTGGGGAGGCCTAACAATCAAAGCAGAAGGCAAGGGGAACAAAGTCACACCTTACGTGGCAACAGGCAAGAAAGCTTGTGCAGGGGAACTCCTGTTTATAAAACCACTAGATCTCATGAGACTTATTAACTACCATGAGAATAGTATGGGGGAAACTGCCCCCATGATTCAATTATCTCCACCTGGCCCCACGCTTGACACCCTTGACATGTGGGGATTATTATTCCCACAATTCAAGCTGAGATTTGGGTGGGGACACAGCCAAGCCATATCAGCAGTGGACTTGCTAGTAAACCACTTAAAAATGAGATAAAGACTGGAATAGACATTTCTCCAAAGAAGAGATACACAAATGACCATAAAGTATATGCAAAGATTCTCAATGTCACTAATCATCAGGTAAATGCAAATCAAGACCACAATGAGATATTATCTCACACGTTAGGATGACTATTATCAGAAAAAACAAAAGACAAGTGTTGCTGAGGATGTAGAACAATTGGAATCCCTGTATAGTATTGGTGGAAATGCAAAGTAGTGCAGCTGCTATGGAAAACAGTACAAAAGTTACTAAAAAAATTTAAAAATGGAACTACCATATGATCTATTAATAGCAACCCCACTTCAACATATTTATCCAAAATAATTGAAATCAGGATCTTGAAGAGAGATTTGCACTCCCATGTTCATTTCAGCACTATTCACAATAACCAAGATGTGGAAGCAATCAAAATGTTCAGTATATAAATGTATAAAGAACACGTGGTAGATACATCCAGTAGCATACTATTCAGCCTTAAAAAGAAGAAAATTCTTATCTATGCAACAACGTAGATAAACCTTGTGACATTATGTTAAGTGAAACAAGTCAGTCACCTGTCTACTTATATGAGGTATCAAAATAATCAAACTCATAGAAGCAAGTAATTGAATGATGATTGCCAGAGGCTGAGGGAGGAGAAATGGCAAGTTGCTAATTAATGTGTGTAAAATTTCAGTTGTGCAAAATGAATCAGTTCTAGAGATCTGATGTATAACATGGTGCCTACAGATAACATTCTACTGCACACTTAATCTGTTAAACTGCTGAACGCCAAAGAGAAAAATTTATAAAAACAGCTAAACGAAACCATGTATTACATCCAGAGCAATAGTAATAGACGAGATGGGTGGTTTCTGATCAGAAAGAACAGATGAATCAGACCATTGGACCATTCTAGCCTCAGAATGACAACTTTAAAGGGATAAAAGAAAGTAAAAAACCTGTCAACTCAGAATTCCACATCCTGTGAATTTTTTTTTTTCAAAACTGAAGGCAAAATTCAGACATTTACAGAAAAATAAACCAGAAATGTGTTGCCAGTAGGCTGCATTATAAGAAATGTTTGCTGGAAGACTTCTATGATTTTTAAAAAAGAAAAAAAGAAAAAAATTTGTTAAAGTTATTCAGACTAAAGGAAAATGACTTCAGATGGGAACTCGTATTCTATAGGAAAAAGTGAAAAGGGCTGTAAATACTAAAATGTGAATCATAAAAAGCCTCATATATGTAAATATATATTTCCTTGTCCCAATTTTTCTAAAAGACATATGGCCATTTAAACCAAAAATATGAACTGTATTATAGAGCTTATGATGTATAATAAATATTAATGTAGTAGCACAAAGGATGGTAGCTGTTAAACATATATAGTTGCAAAGTTTTTAAAGCTAATATGAAGTAATACATTAAGTGAACTGTAAGAGTCATGGATGTGTATGATAATTCCTGGAGCACCCATCTCTCTCTCTTACACACACATACACACACACACACCCTCAATAACATGGATTCAATGCAATACAATTTTCAATTGATTTTACTTAGTTTTTATAACTTGACAATATAATTCTAAAATTTACCTAGAAAAACAAAAGGACTAAAAAGACAAATATTGAAAAAAAAAGAATAAAAATGAAAGATTTACATGGATTTCAAGAACTGCTACAGCTACAGTATTCAAGGCAGTGTGGTTTTGACATAAAGACAGAAACACAGAGTAGGAACAGGCCAGAGAGTTCTGAAATAGACCCACACTAATATTGCCATTGATTTTGGTAAAGGTGGAAAAGTAATTTTGATAAAGAGGTAACAGAAGTATATCTAATAAATGGTATTATAATGGCTGAATAGCCATATATAGAAAAAGTAACTCAAGGTAGGTCATAAATGTAAATGTAAAATCTCAAACAGTAAGTTATCCTAGATGAAGACATAGGAACATATTTTTTTCTCCTTGGGAGTAGGCAAAAGTTTCTTAGGACACAGAAAGAAATAACCATAAAGTATAATAAAATAAACTCAAAATCACCACTTCTGTTCATTGAAAGATACCACTAGGAAAATGGATATCCAAGCCAAAGATATGAGTATATATTTCCAAATTACATAGTGATAAAGCACTTGGATTGTGAATATATACAGAACATGAGAAATCCAAAATTCAAAACAAACCAGTGAAAAATGAGCAAAAGTCTTGAAGAGACACTTCACAAAGGAAAATATATGAATGGTCAATAAGCACATGAAAAAGTAGTCAACATTATGAATAATCAAGTAAATGCAAGTTAAGCTACCATTTGAGTGTTCCTACTTCAGGCTAAATTGGTAACACCAAAGGTAGGTTTGGATGTAGAGCAATACAACTCTAATTTGTGGGACTATAAAAAATGGCACTACTACTTTAGAAAGGAATTTTGCAGCTCTTATAAATTTCAACTTTCAACTTCTCTATAAACCAGTAATTTTAGTAATTTTATGACTTGATATTCAGCAAAGAGAAATTAAACCAAATGTACAAAAACAACTTGTACACTTGAGACATTTTTAATATTCAACAATAAAATTGCCCCAAACTGGCAATAACCTAAATGTTCATCAGTAAGAGAGCTAACAAAAAATTTGTAGTATGTTTAGGATGATGGAATGCTTTTCAGGAATAAAAGAAAGCAAACTACTGAGACAGACAACGGTATGGAAGAATCTCATAGATAATATTCTGAGTAAAAGAAACTACATACAAAGTACTACGTATTGAGTGAGATTTCATTTTAAGACAGACAAAACTAATCAATGGTGAAAAATATGCAGAAAGTGAATCATTCTGTAGGGGAGGAGGATTGATTTGAAAGGGCATAAGGAAACATTTTGGGATGATGAAAATGTTATCTTAACAGAGGTGGATACACCTATTTCGTAAGTGTACGTATTTGTCAAAACTCATCAAATTGTATGCTTTATCATGCATTTTGAAAAATCTGCAAGGAAATATTGACCTCTAGTTTACAGGTTGGCTTTCGGCAGTGGTATGCATTAGCAATTCTGAGACTACTTTCTATGAATTCTAGGTTGAGCAAATGAAAAAACTTATGTGGATAATGAGTTAAATTTCTCACTGTTAGAGAAGTGACAGAGATTACTAGTCTCTCAAGTTTCTTTCCTTGTCTTCTATGTTAAAAATTATCTAGGTATGTAATTACTAACAATGGAGTAGTCATGTTATTTGCTAAGATAGAGAATGTTGAGGGAAACCAGATTTGGGGACCATGTTATGAATTCAGTATTGAGCAGAGTGAGCTTGAGATTCCTTTGAGGTATCTTAGTGGAGATGTTGATCTACAATTTATCATACGTCTCTAAACTTGGGGGAACAATCAGGTCTGAAGATCTAAGTTCAGAGTTGTGTAGCTAACATTTATTCAATGATTACTAGATACCAGGCACTCTTGTAAGCACATTATATGTAAAAATACATGGTTGAAATAGAACTTATTATTCTCATTTTACAGATGAAGACACTGAGGCACAGAGTCATTTCATAATTTACCCAAAGTCACAAAGCTTGTCACAGGAGTGTATGGAATTATTGAAGTCATTGACAAATAATATAACAAATGAAGAAAAGAGGCCTAGACAGAGATTACTAGTTGTCCCTCAATATTCCTTCCATTTTCTTTCATATAAAAAAACTATCTGGGTATGTAACTGCCCAACCTCCTCTGAAACTAGGTTTGATGCATGAGATGTTAAGAAGGACCTGTGTGCCTACTTTATGAAATACCTGGTGCACTCCCTTTTGCTGTTTTCCTCTCTTCCTTCCATCTTGTAGTCTGGAATCTAGATGCTACCTTGGACCATGAGGATGCAGATCACACCCTAGAAATTAGAGAGTTCTGAAGTGGATGTGGTTGATCTGTGGGAACTTTATTTAAGCACTGCAACTTGGGTTTTCTTCTTACTCATTGCTAAATCCAGTCTTAATGCATAAATCTGGATAACGGTCTCTAAACAAAAGTGGGAAGACCCAGATGAGCTTGAGAAAGAATGACAGGGAAACCCCTAAAAGTGTTAGTAGGAAAGAGAGTTTGGGGTCACTGAAGCTAAAGAGAGTCCCCTTCAAGAATGGAGAGATCAGCAGTGCTTGGTGCCACTGAATTTGCAATTAAGATGATAAAAAAAATTTCCCCAGGGTTTACACTATTGTGAGAGTCTTTTCCACAGAATGATGAAGGTGGAAACTGGACTGGAGTGATCGAGGTGAAAATGGGAGGAAGAAATGGAGAGTGCATTCATTAATAACTCATTTTAGAAGTTTGGCTTTAAAGATGTTAGCAGTTAAAAAAAAAGGTCAATGGAGAATTCTTTTCAATATTGAGAGATCCTAGTATAAAATAAAGAAAAATGCATGAGAGAGGGAGCTGTTAAAGGTAAAACCAAATAAAGAGATAGGAAAAAATCTGTAGTAATGGGTCTTTGATATAGTAGGAGTGGCTGCCATCCATAGCATAAGTGGGGGGATGGGCTTTGGAAAGTTGTATAGCCTGAATTGTAATGTGGGTGGAGAAGGCAGGAAAGCTCTATCCACCCCAGAGAAATTGGAAAATTGAATATAGTAATTTTGGACATTGAGCATGAACAAACAGATTATGGTAGAAACTGTGGGGATTAAGCTCAGAAACACTTAGAAAAGAGGTTTTTAAGTAGATGTGGTAGGAACATCAGAAATAGCTGGTGAGTTTTAAAAATGCTATATACTTAGATTTATGGATATTCTAGTGCCAGAGTGGGAGTGGGAAAGGAAGGTTTGAACTCAATATCAGTTAGGGCATGTTCGATTATGCCATGCTTAAAAAAATTGTCAGTGGATTTATTTCATCCTCTGGCTCCTTATCCATCAGGAATCAGCCAAAGGCTCTGCTCCACACCATTTTCTCTCAGGGTCCTGGGTCTCATGGAGGCTTCACCTCCTTGCATCCATGAATTCTGAGGCAGAAGAAAGGGTGGCAAAACGTATGCTAGCTCTTTAATCTCCCACCTAGTAGTCACAATGGTCATTTCTACTTTTATTGATCAAAGCAAGTCATAGAGTGTCCCAACTTTAATGGAGCAGTGACTTTCAATACTACCATGCCATGCATTTGAAAGATGGGGAGGGATTGGAAAATTTGGATAAGAGCATTGATGTTTACTACTGAATCTGTATTGTTAAAAAGAGGTGTTCAAGGAGAAGTATTAAGTACTTATGTCCCCCAGTGAACTACAGTGGCCTAGAGTAAGAAGTTAAGAAGATTGTGTAGAAAACCTGCCATAACATTAACATTTTAGGAAAGACGAAGTGAGGATTCAAGATAAAGCTCAGTCAGAGGACAGAGGAAAGGAAGGACTAAGTAGTGTATCAGAGGTGAAAGCAATGATTGCTTCTCTGACTTCTGGAAAGAGAAGGGATTTCTAAGGATAAATACAAAAGAAAAAAATTAGAGTGCAAAATATAAATATGACCACATAAAGTATACATTTATAACTTTAAAAATTGGGAAAATATTGCAACAAATCTGAGACAAAAGTTTTAATATATACAGACCTCTTACAAAGCACATGTCAATAAATAAGGGAAATCTGAAGTAGAAAAGAACACTGTGATTTTAAATTATTGTTCAAAAACATTCACTCCCTTCAGTGTCTTACATCTATCCACCCAAAAGGGAATATACTTTCCAGCCCCTTGACTATGGGCTCAGCCATGTGACATGTTTAGCTAAATAGATAAATATTAGCAAATATAAGGAAAGACTTAAATGTACTTGTATGGAGGGATTGGCCCTTACATCTCTGAAATTACCATGAAAAGGCTCTTTCCCCTAAAGCATGATGATATAAGAAAGATGACACGTGTGGATCAGACCTTACCCAATATACACATAAAGCTGGGCACAGCCAAGCCCAGCCTAATTCAGCCAACCTGCAGTCAACCTGCAGATATGTAAGCAAATAAGTATTCCTGTTTTGTGCCACTGAGAGTGCATGGTTGTTACACAGAAATAGCAGACTGATACAGACATGTCTTGAGTTAGGTTCTTTAGAAATAGACTCTGTTTTGGCAAGCAGAATATTTATTAGGGATTAACACCTTTGGAAAAAAGAAGATGGAAGCTGAATTGAGCAGAGGAAGAAGTTGAGCTGTGATGCAGGCTCAGAAAAGCCTTGATCAATTTCATGGAGCGCTCTAGGCCAAATGTGGCTCATTAGAGCTGTCACATGCTAGACAAAATGGCCTTAATATCACTGCTACAGTCAATCATAAGATATCGGCCACCCCAGGAAGGGTGTGCCATTGGAAAAAGTGGCTCTCTGCAGCTGAGGCAGACTGTTAACAGCTAGAGTCTGTATGCAGACTATTCCCAGTGGTTGGGGAAAACTGGCTTTCCTTGAAGAAGGATCTGGAAAGTGAATCTTTATGTCCACTATAACTTATCCCTTGAGAGGCTCCATAACACTGTGAGTCTTTCTTCTTTGGGGAAAATTGGGAATAACTAGAGCTATTGGCAATGCAGCTGTTTTGGAGGCTGGAACTGATGCTCGTTACCTCCCTCCTCTAATCTCCATGCTCAGTTCTCCTCATCTTCACCTAGTAACTGCTGGGCCTGGTGGTTTACCTGGTGGCATGACACAGATTTTCATTCCCGAAAGGTCTAAGCCTCTGGTCACCCTGTTCTTCTCAGTCTGATATTGCGGCACTTTTTCATTGACCACCACAATTGGGCAAGAGAGTCCTAAGGGGCACCCCAAGCATTCACCTGGGTATCACGCATATTTCCCTGAAGCTCATTGTGCAACAGCAGCCCTACCTCCTCCTGACTGCCATGATGTTGATTCCTTTGCCTGCTTCCTAGTATCTAGACATGAGAAATTCAAAGGGCCCAGGGGCAGAGCTAGCTTATAGTTCAATGAGACTCTCAGTATGTCCTTTGGCAGAGTATATCTCCTTTAGGGACCAAGACATCCAACTGCAGAGCCTAAAGTTGAGACTAAAAATGATAGGAAGCAAATTTTCCATGGTGGTAATCACTTGGTTCTAAGACCCATGTGCTCTTCCCACCCAGGATACAGTTCTGTATAAAGGTCTTTACTGCATCTGGAAGGACGGGACTCCATCTTCACAGAGTATTGCCTCCAAGAGAGTCCTTCAAATGTGTGTTCAGCAGACTGTTTCACTGCTCTCTTGGGCCACCACTTTCTGCATGGTATGATAGGTAATACAATCAGTGGATTCCATGGCCATGAACCTACTTTATGTAGAGTGGGTTCCTTAGTCTGACATGATGTCATATGGCATCTCATGCTGGTGATGTATCAAACCGCCTATGAGCTTCCAGATAGTGGTGCTGTGTGGCTTATAATACTGGAGAATTTGTAGCATCTAAATGCCTACTAATAGAATAAATAGCATGTGGTATATTTATACAAAGTATCATTTTCAAAAATATTAAAGTTACATGTATTATCACAGAAGGTTTGCTGAGACACTAAACAAAGCAAGTTTTGGAATTTGATGCTACAAGTTGAGTGGGTGTGTGTGTGTGTGTGTGTGTGTGTGTGTGTATCAATACACAAAAACTCTAGGATACACACCATCAAACCATTAACTATGGTTTTCAGTGGGGAGAGAAATGGGATTTGGAGGTTGCCAGATTAAGTGGTAGTCACAGAGCAGTGTGGAATTCTTACATTGTACCGTGTAGGTTGTTGAATCATGAACATACATTCAAGCGTTTCTTTTCTAAAATATACAGACTTTAAAAGTTGAAAATAGATTAATGAATCAGGGAATGTTAAGGGATTATAAGGCCTGGAGGGACCTGAATTTTCCAGCACTTTATGACCTCTCTCCAAAGACCTATTTTTAGCACTAATGATCTCCCCTGTTTCTTACCATCTAATTCTATGCTGCTTTAAATTGTTATTTTGGATTTTAATTGTTTTATATCTTGATTCTCATATTATTACAAGCTCTTTGAGCCAAGGGAGTATGATGCTTTACATATCCAATCCCTTCCTACATACACGTTCACCCCTTTTTCAGGACTCCACAGAAGGCAGGCATGTGGGAGATACTCTAAATATTCATTAAATGAAAAATTGTTTTAAAAATCTTCTGTAGAGCAGTATCTACATTACCCTTTAATCCTTTCCATTAGTGAATAATTTCATACTTTAAAATCCATTTGGTATGCATTACCTCATTTGATCTCACATTAACATAGAGTTCTAGACAACGCAGATGCTATTTCTTTAGTTTTCAGGAGAAGAAAGTGAAGCTAAAGGTCATTTGACCAACTCAGTATCAAAGCTTTGAATGAAAGAGTCTTACGACTCCTCATAGAATAACTTTGTCATTATAGATCACATGCACATATTTTACTCAGATCAGTCTGCATGAAACTCAAAATATGTTAGAATGAATTAAAGTAACTGCTTCGTTTTCTGAAAAAGAAAACATTATCATAGTATTCAGAAATTCGATCTTGACTTAACAGTAGCTGAGACTAAACAAATGCCATTGTGAAATTTATATACAGTATTTGCCTAATTTAGGAGCAGAGGAAAAGATTGGAGTTGTATAATTTTTCAGTATTTCAAAGGGAGAATGACAGTGTCCGTTGTAGGAAACACATATGGAATTAGGAGATGGCCCAGCACTGTTCTTTTTTATGTACAAAGTCACTGATTCTGATCTGGGGTAAATAATTTGCCACATTCTTTCTTTTTTTTTAAATTGATATATTATTGTTGTACATATGTTGGGGTATATGGGATTTTTTGATACATGTATAAATGTGTAATGATCAAGTAAGTGTAATTGGGATATTCATCACTTCAAAAATTTATCTTTTCTTTGTATTGGGAACATTATAATTCTTTTCTTCCAGCTATTTGAAGAATACAATAAATTATTGTTAAACTATAATTTTCCTACTGTATTATTGAATACTGGTTCTTAACTTTCTATTTGTTTTTTGGTACCCATTAACCAACTCTATCCCCACACCCTTCCTTTCCTATGCTCTGGTAACTACCGTTCTATGCTCTGTCTCCATGAAATCTATTTTTTAGCTCTCACATATGAGTGGGAACATAAAATATTTTTCTAAGCATGGCTTATTTCACTTAACATGATGGCCTCCAGTTTTATCTGTGTTGCTGCAAATGACAGAAATGCATTCTTTTTGTGGCTGAATAGTATTTCATTGTGCATATATATCATATTTTAAAATCCATTCATTTGTTGATGGGCACCTAGGTTGATTCCATATCTTGGCTATTGTGAACAGGGCTATAATAAACATGAAAGTGTAGATATCTCTTCTATATACTGACTTCCTATTTTTTGGATATCTACCTGGCAGTGGGACTGCTGGATCATATGTTCATTCTATTTCTAGGTTTTTGAGGAAGGCTTGCACTATTTTCCATAATGGCTGTTCTACTTTACGTTCCCATCAACAGTGTATGAGCATTACTTATTTTCTGCATCCTCGCCAGCATTTATTATTTTTTGTCTTTTTGATGATAGCCATTCTAAATGGGGTGAGATTAAATTTCTTTGTGATTTTGATATGCATTTCCTTGGTGATTAGTGATGTTGAGCATTTTTCCATATACTTATTGGCCATTTGTATGTCTCCTTTTGAGGAATGTCTATTCAGGCCATTTGCCTATTTTAAAAAATTTTTTTTATGATTATACTTTAAGTCCTGGTTTACATGTGCAGAATGTACAGGTTTGTTACATAGGTATACACGTGCCATGGTGGTTTGCTACACTCATCAACCCATCATCTACATTAGGTATTTCTCCTAATGCTATCCCTCCCCTAACCCCCAAACCCCTGACAGGCCCCAGTGTGTGACATTCCCCTTCCTGTGTCCATGTGTTCTCATTGTCCAACTCCCACTTATGAGTGAGAACATATGATGTTTGGTTTTCTGTTCCTATGTTTGCTGATAATGATGGTTTCCAGCTTCACCCGTGTCCCTGCAAAGGACATGAATTCATCCTTTTTTATGGCTGCATAGTATTCCCTGGTGTATACATGCCACATTTTCTTAATCCCATCTAACACTGATGGGCATTTGGGTTGGTTCCAAGTCTTTGATATTGTAAACAGTGCTGCAAAAAACATATATGTGCTTATGTCTTTATAGTAGAATTATAATCCTTTGGGTGTATACCTAGTAATGGGATTGTTGGGTCAAATGGTATTTCTGGCTCTAGATCCTTGAGGAATTGCCACACTGTCTTCCACAATGGTGTCATGCTGCAGGAAGGGGATGTGGTGGAAAAAGCATTCTGCCACAGTTGTACTGCTACAATTTGAATATTTGTCCTTTCTAAACCTCATGCTGAAATTTGATCCTTAGTGTTGGAGACGGGGCCTGATGAAAGGTGTTTGGGGCATGTGGGCAGATTAATGCCCTCCCTTGGGGGTGAGCAACTTCTTATTCTATTAGATACCACAAGTGCTGGTTGTTCTTTCTTTAAAAAAGAAAAAAAATGCCAGAAACCTCTCCTCTCTCTTTTCCTCCTCTCACACCATGTAATCTCTGTAAAACCTGGTTTCTCTATGCCTTCCACCAGGAGTGGAAGCTGCCCGTGCTTCTTGTAAAACCTGCGGAACTGTGAACTAAATAAAGCTCTTTTCTTTATAAATTACCCAGCTTCAGGTATTCCTTTACAGCAATGTAAAAATGAACTAAGACATGTATGCTAATATTGGTTTTGATTATTTCCCTCAACCAAGACATGTAAAGTATAATATTAAATGACATTCTTATTTATGAATCAACAATGTTTTGGTAATATTTGAGTTTACACTATTTCACCGTTTTGGAGGGGGACACTTCTTTTTAAACATGAATGTATTTTGTTGATCAAATTTGATTTTTTGACTTTTAATATACTCCAGAACAGATAGACAGATGGCCTAAAATAGCAAATTATTAAAGTTATTTGTATATGGCTCTGAAATTAGAGACTCACACATAAACCCCCACACCTCTGGGTTTGGACAAGACCTACTTGGTACTTACACAGAATCCTTTTGCCAGTGGGTAGCTGATACGCTAGCTGGTGAGGAAGATGGGAATTATTAGATCTATGGTAGACTTGAAAGCCACATTCCTAAAGAGCATGTTGTTTGAGTGAATTTATTTTTTGAATCTACTGACATTTAATTGCAAGCATCACTTCGTTTGTTTGATAAGTAAGTTTGTAATGCTAAATTTCAAGAAACACATGCATTATTAGGGTAATATTTAAATGCATTTTTGTTTGTTTTTGCCATGAACCACCTTGCTGAATCATACAGGAAATCATGAACGAGTAATATTTGACATGATGCTATGTAATGTTATAAAGCATTTGTATTAATTTTTTCAATCACTGACCCAGGAAATTTTAATGCCTTAAAGTAAAATTAAAGAAAAAAGTCTCAATTAAACATTTTCCTTGCTTCTCAAGTTTCTGAAGGAGCTTGTTAAGATGCTGCATTTCTGTAGGACTCTCAGTTATCTATTTGTAACTGGAGTTCTAGTAAGCAGTGCCATTAGGGGAGGATGCTAAAAATCATATGGCCTTCTAATAGTGCCTCATACTGGTAATGCAAAATATCACCTAATGTTATCTAACTACTATGAAGTTTTCAGAAAATGCATGTTTAAGGCCAGGAGTGTTCAATAAATAAAGTGTGAAATAAATAGTAGGCAGAAGGTCATATAGCCACAATCTACAAGTGAGCATGTGAATGACATGTCACCTTCTCTCCAAAATAAAAAAAAAGGCTCCACTTGCAAAAACATATTCTGAGAGGAGAAAAGAACCAAAAAGAAAGGAAGAAGGAATTCCTGAGAACACTGGCTATGAAGAAAGCTGACTGCCAGCGTGCCTGAATCTACTATATGCTAACATCAACACATGGTGTTACTCATATTAGCCATAGGGGTCTGTGAATAAGATGAAAATTGGTACAGAGTGAGATGATTGCAACAATGCTAACAAATTCCTGACTTGTGTCTGACAGGTTGTGATACTAAGAGGGACCAAAAGGAACTGGAACATAATTCATTTAGAGCAGTGGTCCCCAACCTTTGTGGCACCAGGAACTGTTTCATGGAGGACAATTTTTCATGGGGGGCTGGGGAGTTGCACAATGGTTTTGGGATAATTCAAGCACATTACATTTATTGTGCACTTTATTTCTATTATTACATTGTAATATATAATGAAACATTTATATAATTCACCATAATATAGAATCAGTGGGAGTCCTGAGCTTGTTTTCTTGCAACTAGATGGTCTTATCTGGGGATGCTGGGAGAGAGTGACAGATCATCAGGCATTAGATTCTCATAAGGAGGACGTAACCTAGATCCTTCACATGCACAGTTCACAATAGGGTCTGTGGTCCTGTGAAAATCTAATGCCACTGCTGACCTGACAGGAGGTGGAGCTCAGGCGGCAACACAAGGAACGAAGATAGAGAGCAGTTGCAAGTACAGATGAGGCTTTGCTTGCTCTGCCACTCACCTCCTGCTGTGTGGCCCAGTTCCTAACAGGCCACGGACTGCTATCAGTCCTGTTAGGACTGTGGCCTGTTAGGCCTTAATGGTGTGTATCAATGATTTTTTTTTTACATATGTATAGCTATGTGAACAAATATGGTTCATTTTATAAAATAAATTGTAATTATTAAGTGCTGAGTTGTATATATGGTTATTAGATCAAAATTGACAATGGTTTTGTTCTAATCTTCTATAGCCTTATCATTTTTCCATTTTCCATTGGCCTTTCAAATTTTGAATATAGAAAGAAATATGATTAAAGCTCCCTTAATGATTTGGCAATTTCTCTTTGTAATTCTCTCAGTTCTAGTAATTTTAATTTCATGTATCTTTAATGTTAATAGACATACAAATTTAGGTTTAATTGCATTTTTAATTAATTGACTATCATTGTTATTTGGTCATTTGCTTTACCTATAACAGTGAATTTGGTTTTTAAATCTATTTCCTCTCATAATAATATTGTGATATAAGCAATCTTTCTTTAGAATTAGTCTGATAAAAAATTTCTCTTCTCTTTCAAATTTTTGATGTTACTACATTTTAGTGGTGTAGGGAAGAAATTGCTAGCTGCTCACCAAAACCTAAGTTTACCTCTGTACATAAGTAAATGCTATATGCATATAGGCTATATTTCTTAGTTCTTTTACAGATAGACACATGTGAATAAGTCCAGCCATTACAATGTAAGTAGATGTGATCTGTTTTCAGGTCCACAAAGTCCTTCTGCCATGTAGCATCCTTCTCTCCATGACCTTTTTCCTTCTAGTTGCTGGGGTAGAGGTAAGCCAAAGAATTACAGTGGAAATCTCATGATGAAGGTCACAGAGTTTGGATAGTCCTGAATAATTGTGAAGACAGGCTGTCTGACAAACTCTTCATCCACATTGTGGTGTTAGATGAGGAAGAAATAAACTTTTATTGTGTTTGAGTTATTATGTCTATATGCTGTAGCATTGAAGTTGTTCTAATACAGAGATTGAAAAGGATTCCCTAAGGAGATGACAGTAAGCAGAGATTTGAAGAATGACTGGGTTGTCTTGCTTGGCTGGATGGTAGAGTCCGTAGGTGGGAATCTGTCCAGAAATAACTTTTTGAACTTTCTAGACTTCAGTTATTTTCAAACATAAACCTCATAGTCAAGATCATCTATTTATCAATCATTGAACATGTCTGTGCTTGCTATGTAGCCCTCTTTCCCTGATATCAAATTTCCACTTACCTTTCCAAGTGTATCTCAAATACCTCCTTTTCTATGAAGCAATTACAGTTGACCTAAAGTTTACCTTCTTTCTATATTTTCAATTTTGACAGCTTGAACGTTTTAATAGAAAACATAATTCAGATCGAACTTCAAAAAATAAACAGAAAAAATTAGAAAAATATTTAGTATTGTGAGTGGTAAAAAAAAAATAGATTGTTTTCAACATATCAGCTAAAGTCAAATTGGTGCATTGCATATATTATTTCTCAACTAATATTAGTTGGTAGGATAATAAAATTAAAGTTTTGCAATTACCTGGTGAATGGCTCAGCATAGAAACACCCTAAGACTTAAGACACAGAATACATTAGCCATCCTATATATATCTCTTCCTGAACAAACCTTCCCACTAGATAATTTTTTTTAATTTTTAAAATATAACTTGAATACAATATTTTAAATGAAATAATCATTTTCTTTTCTTTGTAGTTTAACCACCTATGTATGCATATCTAAACAAGAAAACTTGGTTTTGTCTATTTTTGAACATCATATAAACCAAATCATATTATCTATATACTTTTGTGACTTGTTTTATTTAACATATTAATTGTCTTTAGCAGTTGTTTGTTCATTTTCAATGTTGTATAGCATTCTATTATATGCCATACTTTTCCTATTCTACTTTTTATGGCTATTTAGGTTATTTCCAGTTTGGAACTATTACAGTGAACACAGGAATGAACACTCTTTTACATGCCTTTTAGTGCACATGTGCAAGAGTTACTCTATGATTATACATAGGATGAGAACCACAGGGTCATAGGCTATGCATATTTTCAACCTTGATGATTACTGTTAAATGATTTTCCAAAGTGATTGTACCAAATGACACTCAAACTAGCAGCTTATGAGAGTTTGAATTGTTAAACTAAATTTTTTCAATTAGATGACTGAAATTGGTTTCATTTCCATTTTCCTAATTACTTGTGAGGTCAGGCATATTTTATAAATGTCCTCTTTTTGAAGTATTTATTAAGATCTTTTATCCATTTTCTATTGGGTCCCTAGACACTATATATTTTTAATTCCTAGACACACACACACACACACTCATACACACACACACACACAGAGGATTATATTTTAAAAAGCATACATTTATGATATGTATACATACATGTGTGTATATATAAATATATATATATTCCAGTTCTTAGTAAAATGCAACTATATTTTTAGTTTTGCAGTTTCTCTTATCTCTCTTGATGTATTTAACAGAAATTCTAACTTTTAAATTAGTAAGTTTAGCTTTTCCTTTTTGGTCCTATTTAAGAGTTCTTTCCCTGCTACATAGTCATGAAAGTTTTCACTTGTATTATTTTCTAAAGGCTTTATAGCTTTGTTATTTGCATTTAGTTCTGTAATTTATCTAAAATTTGTGTGGATAGGATAAGGTAGAGATCTAATAGTTTTTGCCATATGTATAAAAAATAACCTAATATATTTAAAAAAATGGTTCTTTCCCCAATAATCTGCAATGCTACATTTAACAAATATTTACATTTTCATGGATTTATTTCTGGACACTGTATCCTGTTACATTGGTTTATTTTTCTATTGCTGTGCCAATAGCCATATTGTCTTAATTCCTATAGCTAATTGAGCATGTCTTTCTTCATTTTGGCTATTTTGACCATTTGGTTTTCTATGTATATTTCAGAATATGTTTTTTAAGTTGACAAAAATTTTAAAAATCTTGATTCGGACTGTATTGAATCTGTAGATAAATTTGGGTATGTTTGGCATCACATTGAATTTTACTATCCATTTGTTTTATATCTCCCTTAGGTACTTTTTTCTTTAACATAAAAATTATTTATCTATTTACTAAATAATTCATTGGAAAAAGCTTCATATTAGGAAGAGTGTGTGTAGGTGAGGGAAATTGAAGGTATATGTATGTGACAGGCATATTTTTAGAGCATATTACCATTTTCTATTTTCAGAGAATACAGAGCATTTACTTTATTGCTTTTAGCCTCCCTCTTCACCCACTGGATAGTTCTTCATTTTGGTAGAGTTGCTATTTTTATTAGGTTGTGTTTTACTTGTGGGGATGGCTCTGCTTTAAAAGCTAGTGCCTGCATGTGTCATGGTCTTTTTACCATATCCTCCTTGTTTCCGATGAATCAAATTGCCATTATTTTATTTGTGTTCATACCCTTTTCTATGATGTTTATTGAGTAAACAGATTTTTTGCCTTGCTGGCCCATGGGAAAAATAAGCCTCAGTTGAGTCTTGGCTTAAGCCACATTCTCCAAATCAGCCTCTCCCAAGCAACCCTGTATTTGCAGGGTTATTGGATAACTGCTCAGCCAGAGTTTACCCTATACCCTCCTCCCCATTTGACTATTACTATATATAAAAGAATGTATAGAAGAATTAGAAAACGGTACAATTCAAGAACTAGACTGTTTCCAAACATTCAGTGCCAGATTTTCCCCCGTGCAAAATCTTATATATGTTTCACAAAGCAATTTATACTTTCGTATGGTGACTGTAACTAATAGAATTATTATTTTTATTTTATACATCATTTTCTTCCATTAAAATAGAAATGTGGACTTCCTTTCTTTTTTAAAAATTAACATTAATATTACTAATTATTAACTTTTTTTAGGCCTGAAAGTGAAGGTCATAGCTAAACATTAGATGAGCATGCACATTAGGGCATATGCTTTTTCAAACCTTACCATGTTGAGTCTATTTGCCAGATGCTGTTATTGTGAACCTTAACAATTAAGATGTTATTTCTAGTACTTTACAGTTTTTAAGTCACTTAAGTATGCTTTATCACATTTGATCATCATAAGCTATTTATATAGGTAAGGCATGCATTTTTAATTCCCTTTTTATACCTGTGAAAATTGATCAAAAGTACTAGATTCATTTCTGAGTTACTAAGATCAAGAGCATTGTTGACTCTGCTTTTTTGAATGGAATGAACAAATGCCCCAGAATTTTAGAGTTGATAAATTGTAAAGCTGTATCTTAAATATAGTTTCTGGTTAACCTAAGAAATAGTGCAAAATAGTAGAAAGCACACAGGCTTTGGAGTCGGACATATGTACATTTAAACTTAGCGGTCTATTAGCTGTGTGACCAAGGATAACGTATTTAACTTCTCTGAACCTTACTTTCTTTTTTTTTTTTTTTTTTTTTTTGAGACAAGGTCTCACTCTGATTGCTAGGCTGGAGTGCAATGGTGCAATCTTGGCTCACTGAAGCCTTGACCTCCTGGGCTCAGGTGATTCTCTCACCTCAGCCTCCCGAGTAGCTGGGATTACAGGCATGCACCACCACACCTGGCTAGTATTTTGTATTTTTAGTAGAGACGGGGTTTTGCTATGTTGTCCAGGCTGGTCTTGAACTCCAGTACTCAAGCAATCCACCCACCTCAGCCTCCTATAGTGCTGGGAATACAGGCATGAGCCACTGCACCCTGCCCAAGCCTTACTTTCTTAATCTATACAATGTGTGTGGCATTATGTAACCCTTAAATTTGTTGCAGGATTACATGCATGCCTCTAGCATGGTGCTTAACACATGGAAGAGTTTCGGTATATTGAATCAATTATTATAATGTTTAATCCTTTAAAAGTAAAATGGATATTAAACAAAAAAGTAAGGGCACATATACTAATATATAATATTTTAAAAATATTTACTCCAAACTTGAGTTTGAAATTTCTGCTATTTTAGCTTGGGCAAATTTTCATCTCCTTTTCCCTTGAGAAATGTCTACTTTATGTCTATTCGAGGGTGTCAATGGGAGCTTCATGGCTTGGAGAGAAAAATGATCATCATTAGGGAATGTTGTGATATGCTGCCCAGATCTCTGTTCAGCACAGAAGAGCTTGTTAGTCTAATTGCTTGAAACCCTTACGTGTCATCCTTCTTTGGAAACTGCTCTTGGTTGGAAAACGCTGCATATCCCAAAGTCACACTCCTACCACTCCTTTTTTAGGGGTAGCCAACTTCCAATGACTGATCAATTTGAGGATATAAGGGCTTGGCTTTCTCACCACAATCTGCAACAAATTGGAAGGAACCTCCCACCTTTAGAATTCCCTGTGGACTTTGACCATTGTTGAGACTATATTTTATTCCAACTTTTCCTGCTGTCCAATCTTGCTTTTCATCCTTCCCCTTCCACAGGTGCTGATTCTAGAACACTTCTCAATACCTTTTCTAAATGCCAATCTCTATCCAAGGATATGTTTCCCAAGGATATGTATCCTAACCTGCAACATAGTCTCACTCTACTTTTCTTTGGCTTTCTGAGTCAGGTTTTTGTGCTAAGATTTGTCCCATTATATATTGATTAATAAAGTTGAAGTACTCAAGCTATTAATATTTTAAAATCATTCCCATCAGATGCCATGTTTTTCAAAAGTGAGCACAACTCCTGTGCTTGTTTTTTTCTGGTAGTTGTTTCCTTGATGGCATATTGAGCCCATAGTCAAAATGTTTTGGGATAATCCATTCATGCCACCTAGGTAGTATAAGTGGATGGTGGAGTGGAGGGATGGAAAAGCAGGAGACATGGGGACATGTCTCAGAAAGAGCTGGAGTGCTCTTAAATTTCCCAGTCATCACATGAAGACTAACATGTTTCCAGGAATTAAGTCCTGGGAACATAGTCTTTTCCTCTTTTCCCCTATAAACCCTCATCTACAGCAGCAGGAAATGCTGAAGCAAGCTTTCCTGAAGAGAGTAAACGCTATTTTTCTAGAGTTTTAAGAGGTACCATGGCAGGCCGGGCACGGTGGCTCACGCCTGTAATCCCAGCACTTTGGGAGGCCAAGGCAGGCGGATCACGAGGTCAGGAGATTGAGACCACGGTGAAACGCAGTCTCTACTAAAAATACAAAAAATTAGCCGGGCGCAGTGGCGGGCACCTGTAGTCCCAGCTACTCAGGAGGCTGAGGCAGGAAAATGGCGTGAACCCAGGAAGCAGAGCTTGCAGTGAGGTGAGATCACACCACTGCACTCCAACCTGGGCGACAGAGTGAGACTCCATCTCAAAAAAAAAAGAGGTACCATGGCATAAATTGTATCCAGGTAGTCAGCTATGGATAGAAAGATGAAAAGAGAACACAGAAATATACTTTATCAGGTCAGGAGATGGGCAACTTGGCTTTTAGTAAAATATGACTTGAATGCCTCTGGCATAGCTCTTCCATGTCTCCTGGGGCATCTTTTTTCTACTGGGATCTTCAAATTGGAGAATATGGACACACCTGTGAACAAATATGTGCACAGCTACAAGAAAATTACCTTTCTAATTGGAGATTTTTTTTTCAAAGATTTGGAAAACATCGAAGTTTTATTTTCTTAGAATATTCATCATGTAGTATATTCACAGGTGAAATTATAAGAATATAACTTTTCTATTTTGGTGAATGTCTATTTTGTCTCAAAAGCCTGGAGCATGGAAACTTTTAAAGTATAAGCAGTGATTGAAAAATTATAGTAGTTTTGTGTTATGAAAAAACCTAATGCTTCATCCTGATACCAAAACCTGGCAGAGACACACAAAAAAAAGAAAATTTCAGGCTGAGACCCCTAATGAACATTGATGCATAAATCCTCAATAAAATACTGGCAAATCGAATCTAGCAGCACATCAAAAAGCTTATCCACTACCATCAAGTCGGCTTTATCCTTGGGATGCAAGGCTGGTTCAACATATGCAAATCAATAAACGTAAACAGTCAACACGAACAGAACCAATAACAAAAACCACACGATTATCTCAATAGATGCAGAAAAGGCCTTTGACAAAATTCAACACCCCTTCATGCTAAAAACTCTCTATAAACTAGGTATTGATGGAACGTATCTTAAAATAATAAGAGCTATTTATGACAAATCCACAGCCAATATCATAGTGAATGGACAAAAGCTGGAAGCATTCCCTTTGAAAATCGGCACAAGACAGGGATGACCTCTCTCACCACTCCTATTCAACATAGTACTGGAAGTTCTGGCCAGGGCAATCAGGCAAGAGAAAGAAATAAAGAGTATTCAAATAGGAAGAGAGGAAGTCAAATTGTCTCTATTTGCAGATGACATGATTGTATATTTAGAAAACCCCATCGTCTCAGCCCAAAATCTCCTTAAGCTGATAAGCAACTTCAGCAAAGTCTCAGGATACAAAATCAATGTGCAAAAATCATGAGCATTCCTATATAAACAGAGGGCCAAATCATGAGTGAACTCCCATCTATAATTGCTACAAAGAGAATAAAATACCTAGAAATCCAACTTACAAGGGATGTGAAGGACATCTTCAAGGAGAATTACAAACCACTGCTCAAGAAGGTAAGAGAGGACACAAACAAATGGAAAAATGTTCAATGCTCATGGGTAGGAAGAATCAATATTGTGAACATGGCCATACTGCCAAAAGTAATTTACAGTTTCAGTGCTATATCCATCAAGGTACCATTGATTTTCTTCGTAGAATTAGAAAAAACTACTTAAAAATTCATATGGAGCCAAAAAGAGCCCATATAGCCAACCAATCCTAAGCAAAAAGAAGAAAGCTGGAGGCATCATGCTACCTGACTTCAAACTATACTACAAGGCTACGGTAACCAAAACAGCATGGTACTGGTACCAAAACAGACATATAGACCAATGGAACAGAACAGAGGCTTAAGGAATAATGCCATACATCTACAACCATCTAATCTAACAGACCTGACAAAAACAAGCAATGGGGAAAGGATTCCCTCTTTAATAAATGTTGGGAAAACTGGCTAGCCATATGCGGAAAACTGAAACTGGATCCCTTCCTTACACCTTATACAAAAATTAATTCAAGATGGATTAAAGACTTACATGTTAGACCTAAAACCATAAAAAACCTGGAAGAAAACCTAGGCAATACCATTCAGGACATAGGCATGTGCAGACTTCATGACAAGCACCAAAAGCAATGGCAACAAAAGCCAAAATTGACAAATGGGATCTAATTAAACTAAAGAGCTTCTGCTCAGCAAAAGAACCTATCATCAGAGTGAACAGGTAACCTACAGAATGGGAGAAAATTTTTGCAATCTATCCATCTGACAAAGGGCTAATATCCAGAATTGATAAAGAACTTAAATGAATTTACAAGAAAAAAACAACCCCATCAAAAAGTGGACAAAGGATATGAACAGACACTTCTCAAAAGAAGTCATTTAAGTGGCCAATAAACATATGAAAAAAAGCTCATCATCACTGGTCATTAGAGAAATGCAAATCAAAACCACAATGAGATACCATCTCATGCCAGTTAGAATGGCGATCATTAAAAAGTCAGGAAACAACAGATGCTGGAGAGAATGTAGAGAAATAGGAACACTTTTACACTGTTGGTGGGAGTGTAAATTACTTCAACCATTGTGGAAGACAGTGTGGCGATTCCTCAAGGATCTAGAACCAGAATTACTATTTGACCCAGCAATCCCATTACTGGGTGTATACCCAAGGGATTATCAATCATTCTACTATAAAGACACATGCACACTTATGTTTATTGCAGCACTGTTCACAATATCAAAGACTTGGAACCAACCCTAATGCCCATCAATGATAGACTGGATAAAGAAAATGTAGCATGTATACACCATGGAATACTATGCAGCCATAAAAAAGGATGAGTTCATGTCCTCTGCTGGGACATGGATGAAGCTGGAAACCATCATTCTCAGCAAACTAACACAGGAACAGAAAACCGAACACCTCATGTTCTCACTCACAGGTGGGAGTTGAACAATGAGAACACATGGACACAGAGGGGAACATCACACACCAGGACCTGTCAGGGTGGTAGGCTGGGGGAGGGATAGCATTAGAAGAAATACCCAATGTAGATGACAGGTTGATGGGTGCAGCAAACCAACATGGCACATGCTTACCTATGTAACAAACCTGCACATTCTGCACATGTATCCCAGAACTTAAAGATTAAAAAAAAAAAAAAGGATGCTTTTAAGACTAGGGCAACGTAAACAGGAAGAGATAATGCACCAGAACAAAAATACGGAAGTGACCAGTCTTCAGACTCATGTACAAGAAGTCTAGTCATTTAGTCACTGTTTTTTTTTTTTTTTTTTTTTTTTTTTTGAGATGGAATCTCGCTCTAACACCCAGGCTGGAGTTCAGTGGTGCGATCTCAGCTCACTGCAAACTCCACCACCCGGATTCATGCCATTCTCCTGCCTCAGCCTCCTGAGTAGCTGGGACTACAGGAGCCTGCCACCACACCCAGCTAATTTTTTGTATTTTTAGTAGAGATGGGGTTTCACCGTGTTAGCCCGGTTGGTCTGGATCTCCTGACCTCGTGATCTGCCCGCCTCGGCCTCCCAAGAAGTCTAGTTATTGTTGAGACTGCATTTTATTTCAACATTTCCTGCTCTGCAATCTTGTTTTCCTCCCTCTCCTTTCATAGGTGTTGATTCTATAACACTTCTCAATACATTTTCTGAATGACATTACATTTTCTGTTTATCAAGGAGCTGGTACAGGGGAGAATAAAGTATATGAAGTACAGGAAGCGAGCTAATGGAAAGAATGAAGGATATGAAGAGCCACACAATTTACTGAAAAAAAAAAGCCTGCTTCAGATCAGTTAAACATCTTCAAATATGTTTGTGAAGACATGTTAAGTAAGTTCACCATGATTAATGATAAAAAACAACAAAACTTGTGAACACATTTCAGCAACAAATGTGTGATTTTTATAAAGCATTCCTGATGAGCAAAAAGTGTTTCTAAAAGATATGTGCACAGATGGAGCCAAATCACGACAGACAAAACATGGTGCCTTGAAATGTACTTGCACCCTCTTCTTTATCCATCATAAATCAGGAAGAAAATCACAAGGCAATCTCATTGTAGCGGTTTGTTTATTAAGGTAGCAAAATGGTAAATACTATTAAGAGGGTTTCTTTAAAAACATATATTAAAACACCACATTATACTCCATAAATATATAATATATACAGTTGTCATTAGCGCAAAATAAAATAATTTTAAAATGAAAAAATTTGGTCAGATGTCAAATAGGAAGTAACTCAGATTCTTGCATAACTATGACCATGAATGAAACTGTTTATGTATTTTCAAAGTCTTAATATCTATTTTCCTTTAATGAGGAAAAAGGCACTATAATAAAGGGCAAGAATCTGTCCACATGAATTAATTCATTGCCAACTTTATTGAAGAGTGTGTTACAAATATTTGCTTACATAGTGATTTTTTTTTCAAGGCTGAATACTTACAATCAATTAACTGTAAGGCAAAAATTGAATGATCTGACTGCATACAACAAAATGGCTACTGTGAAAATGATGTTTGAGACTTAGATGAGAAGTTAATTATTGATAAAATGAGTCATTTACGATTTTTAGTCTATTTACATGGAAGGAAAATGAGAGCATTAAGAGTAAAGAACATCAACAGTAGGTTTTTCATTTTTTCTTTAACTAAAAAGACCTTTGTTTAAATTTTTCCCCAAGAGAGTAATATGGCCTGACCAGTGGAACGGAAACACTTTCAGCCCAGAACCTGACAACCATTGCCTAGAGATTTCAATAAGAAGATGCATTTATTAAAATTTCCATTAGGAAAACCCCCTAAACTTTGCATTGTCTTTTCTAAGTGTATGTCTGAGGGTCTTCCATCAGAATAAGCACCAAAGATCATATAAAGGGGAAGAGTTGCTGATTGTTTCTTTTTTGGTAAGAAAGAAGTCTTATAAAATATGGCTCTGAGACAAACAGGCAAAATTGTATGGGAGATGTCAATCAAGATTCAATTCAAGCTAATTTTCCAAAGTTGACAGATTCATTAAAATAACATACTGTGCATTATCAGTGAAATTTTTTTTTTAAATTAAGGTATATTGCTTATCTAATTGGAAAATAAAGCAATTTGGCATTCATTCAACAGGTAGTTTTTGATTGCTTATTAGGTGCTGGGCCTAGTGATAGACACTCAAGATCCGGCAGGAAACAAATACTCCTTATGGTCATTAAAACAAGCATAAATATGAAATAAACTACACTGTCAAATTTGCATGAGTTTTAAAGAATGTTTTCAAAGAAATTTTATGTTTATATAGCACTGCTTCAGGCTATGTCTCCAGACTCCCAAGCAGCCCACATTATCTTTACTCTGTATTAGACATACTAAGCTAAACCTTTGTGAATTAATATACATACAAACATTGCTTCTATATTATTTGTTACTTATGTTCTCTGTGGTTCTATGCAATTCAGATGGAGTGGTTCCCAGGCCTAGATATCTTGAGTCTTTGAAGAAATAAAGAGTCCCAACTAGTTGTACAGTTTCTATCTCTGGCCCTTGGACAGGCAGAACATCTATCACTTTTTCTCACATGCTAATTAAAAGCTCTACATTAGTGTCAACTCTTCTGTTGTCCTAACTGACCTCTCTGTCTTTCACATTCAGGCTATAGTATCATTTGCATTGGCCAATTTATTAAGCTAAGGATTAGGATCAATGAGTCTAATCACCCCTTCATAAAATTCCTTCATCAAATATTGTTGAACATCTATTTGTGATTGAGAAAATATACTCCTTGTACTTATGAGATTTAAAATTTAAGAAGAGATAAAAAGTGTCATTTGATTACTTGGAGTCATTTAGCATGTATGTATAGATAGTATCATGATTGTAGGTTTTTTTAACATATAAGTTTTTTTTTTTCAGTCATCAAAAAGTAAAGAACACTGAAGAAGATTAATTTCCTGCTACTATATGATATAACAGTATCTGGTTTCCTTGGACAATACAGGAGATATAGTAACCCACATTTTCCAATAATCTTTCATTTTTCTTGACTTTCATTTTTAGTTTATATCTTGTAATTTCTGAAGTTTTGTGTCATAAAGCACCTTTCTACATCCCATAGTAGATAAGTCTTTGATTTTATCTTTTATTCCTGATTTTCTAGCACTGATGCCTACCAACCATATATATATATATTTACCTATTTAATATTGTTACAAAGTAAACTGAGGCACAATACAATTTTTAAAAATTTATTTGCACATATAGCAATTCATGAATTGGGTAGCTCTAAATGAGGGGAAATGCAAGGAGGAGGCTTTTATAGGGTGAATATATAAAATATTTGACTGGTTCCAAATATATACTTGCCTTATTTGGTCTATTCCTTTGAAAAGTCTAATTATATAAATAGAAGTTTGTTGGCTATCTCAGATTGGTTGAGTTTAAGTTTTCCTTTTTAAGAATATAGGCATTTATAAGAAATAGCTCAAGTTAAGTTTTGCTTATGTTTACAAATCAAAGGTTGAGGTGACTTATGAGGCTTAACTGGCGTTGTCTGCTGAAGAACTCATCAGGCCTTCATTCTAATTTACTTTAACAGTACATGTATATACATTTATATACATTTACTATTTATATGCATTTACTAAAATTTATACACATTTAAAGTTGTATACATTTCCTAAAAATAGGGCATATTATTTTTAAATGGGTCTTTTATGGTGTGCCTTTCCAATTAGTTCAGGAACTCTTAATAAGAGAGATACATGTCTTAGATCTGTATTATAATTCCCTTAGTGTATAGCATATTTTGAACCATTCTCATAAATAAATGCTTATACACCCAACTTCTCCATGAAGGAAGGATCCCTTTTTTTTCTCAAAGAGCTAACAATTAGACTCTAAATTAAGAGCCATTGTCAAGGTTGACAGATAAGGTTAAGGACAAGATCAGGAAGTAAAGCAATTTTGAGGGGGCAATGTGAGTCCTCACCAGATAAGACTTTATTTAGTCCACTATAGGGATTGGCCTAGATGATTTGTAATGTGCCACTCATGGTAGTTGCGAAACAGGAGTTAACAAAATGATTTGAGTAATAGCAGTGTCACTGAAATGAGTGCATTGCTTCTGCAGAAGCTCCAGCACTAAAATTCATTTGAATGTAAAAGATGTTAGGTTAAAAAAATTTTACCATTTCATTGCTTTTGCTAGCACAATTAAACTGTAACACAATGTTTCATTAGGTGTCTAAAATGAATAAGTGCTGAAAAAGAATTCCAAAAAGGGAAGGAAGGTCTATGTGTGAGAGTGATCGGGTGAGATTTCCTGGAGAAGGTGATTCTTGTCTAAGGCCCAAAATGTTGGTGTTCTAGATGGAGACTGGGATACTCCATAGAAGGAACCTCAAATTCTTTGCCTGACAGAAGCAATAGACTAGATTATGCTGAAGCAGTATGAATGCTGATTATACATTAGCCAATTTAAAGAGGTTTGCATACTGTCATAATTATTCAATACATCTAAATTATGTTGACTAAATTCAATAACATATGCTATACAAGTGCATATACATTTCTACAATCTCAAAAATGCAGCATGGTACGAGTTGGCATTATGAATTTATATTCAACTGACTCTTCAAGAACTGAATCTAAAAATGTGACTATTAAAAATGCTAATTATACTACTACCAAGAGAAGAAAAATTTGAGAAATAAACTGTCCTTTTCAATGGAAAACTTTACATGTTGATTACTATTTAAAGTTAACTAGAAGTTGAAAACAGTGAAGGAAACACTTCTTTTATTTTCCAATAGGAGTTGGATTTGTTCAAGTCTATCTATTTGAATGTTCAAGTCTATCTATTAGGGGATAAGGGGAGTGGGAAATTGGGACTAAGTGCTAATAGGTACAGGATTTTTGGGGGTTGATGGAAATGTTCTAGGCTTAGATAGTGACAGTGGTTGCACACATAGTGAATGTACTAATACCCAATTTAAAATGATGGATTTTATGCTATGTGAATTGCATTTAAAAAACAAACAACAAAATGTTACAGTTTATTAAATAAAAGAATAATTTCATGTATCCTGTATGAAAATTGTATAATCTATACTTGGAAACCATTGAATATCATATTGCTAAATGTATCATTTGTTTGGTAAATTACAAACATTAAGACTTTACTGTTGAGTATCATCAAATGCATTGTGATTGTCCATTTAAGCAGCCTGGTTTCAAACTACTTTTTTTTTTTTTTTTTTTTTTTTTTTTTTTAGTTAAAGCAAAATGAGTTGAAGGGGGAAATTCTACTACTTCACATCTTAGGAAGTCACTCTCTCTCTACTTGATAAATGGAGGCCATTCAGTTACTTCCCCTTATTGCTAAGCGGTACTTAAAACAGACTTCTACCTGTGCCTTAGACTTATTCCTTTTTCATGTCTGTGTGCCTTACTTTCTCAATTAAGCCTGCTCTCCAGTAACTCCCATATACCCTTTGCACCTGCCTCCTTCTGATTTAAGACATTAGGAAAGTTTATATAAGTTTGCCTCCACTTTCCTCACCAGCCTCATTTCTGACTACTCTCTTCCTTGCTCTGTGGAGTTCAGCTTCACAGAACTTCTTTTAGTTCCTTGAACTTGTATAGTCTCCCACAGAGTCTCCACTGTCTCTAATTCCTCTGCTGTGTCTCCATTCTCCTTTGCAAGGGTAATTCTTTCTTATCTTTTAGATCTCAGTTTGGAAATCCCTCAAGTGAGCTTGCCTGATTACCTGTACCTCTCCCTAACCTCCAGTCCAGATTATCTGGCCAACCTGTGGCCCTAGAGATATGCTCTACTCCCCAGCAATTGCTCTAATCATCATGCATTTCAATAATTGGCTTATTTGTCTGCTTTCTCCACTACAATGTAAGCCTATGAACAAAGGAATTAGGTCTCCTTTGCTCCTAGATGCATCTCCCTTACCCAGCAGAATTCATTCTCTCATTTACTTACACATTAGTTACTGTTTATGCAGGTTTTATATGTCCCAGACACTGTTCTAAGCATTGTAAATAAGAAAGACAGGGTCCCTAGCCTCAAAAAACTTAAATTCTAGTTGGGTGAGATATACAACACACATGCGAACAAACACGTCAAATAATAATGTAGTGATATAAAAGGATGCATCTGGAAGACAGTAGTCTATTTTAAATAAGGTTATCAAGAAGGCAGTTATTGAGCTTGGCCATGTGAACATTGGAAATAAGATCCTTGTTGGGAAAAAAAAACCAAAAACAAAACTCAAGTACAGAGCCTCTGTGATAAGGAGGAGCTTGGCATTTTCTAGGAGGTGAAAGAAAGCCAGTGAGGGTGGAGCCTGGTGATCAAGAAGAGAATAGCCTAAGAGGTAGAAAAAGGGCTTGGGCCATAAGAAACTCATAGATCAGGATTAGGGAGTTATATTTTCATTCTATTGCAATTGAAGTTCTCTGACCAGTTTTAAAGCAGGAGAAATGGGAGTTTTTATTCTGATATGGTTAGACTTTGTGTCCCCACCCAGATCTCATCTTGAATTGTAATCCTCATAATCCCCACATGTCAAGGGAGAGAACAGGTGGAGGTAATTGAACCATGGGGGAAGTTTCCCCCATGCTGTTTTCATGATAGTGGGTGAGTTCTCCTAAGATCTGATGCTTTTGTAAGGGACTCTTCCCCCTTTGCTCAGCACTTCTCCCTCCTGCTGCCTTGCAAAGAACATGCCCTGTGAAGAAGGTGCCTTGCTTCCTCTTCACGTTCCACCATGATTGTAAGTTTCTTGAGGCTTCCCCAGCCATGCTGAATTGTGAGCCAATTAAACCTCTTTCCTTTATAAATTACCTAGCCTCGGGCAGTTCTTTATAGAAGCATGAAAATGGATTAATACACATTCTTTCCCCACAAAGTTTCAGCATGGATAGTTTCTGTTGACCTGTCTTCAAGTTCATTGTTGCTTTCGTCTGTGGTCACCTATTTGCTGTTAAGTGCATCCAGTGAATTTTTTATTTAAACTATTTTATTTTAGTTCTAGATTTCGATTTGGTTTTCTTTTTCTTTCTGTCCTACTTTCCTTTCTTTCTTCCTTGCTTCCTTCCTCTCTTCTTCCTTCCATCCTTCTCTTTTCTCTTTCTTTTGTTCCTTTGTTCATTCTTTCCACTTTTCTCTTTATCTCTTTTTTTATTTAAATTAACACAGTAGAATCATTTATGTATGCTTAAGTGTACCTGTATTTGAAGTATAATTTGATAAGTTTTCAGAAATTACTTGTGTGTGTGTGACTGTGTGCAACCAGAGCTGTAATCAAGATAAAGCATATTTTCATGATCCAGAAAGACTTCCTTGGTGCTCCTTGTCAGGCAATCTCCTCCCTTCATTCCCACCTCCAAGAAACCATTGTTTTGCTTTTTTGTAACAATAGATTCAAATTTGTTTCTTTTCTGGAGTTTCATATAAATGGAATCATATAGCATATATTCTTCTTGGCTGATTTATTTCACTCATTATAATGATTTTGAGATTCATTTTGCTTGAACCGGTAGTTTTTCTTGATTGCTAATTTATATTCCAATGCATGAACACATCACATATTTATTAATTGATCTCTTCATGAGCATTTGGGTTTTTCCAGATTTAAAATATTATGAATAAAGTGGCCATAAACATTTATATGTGTGGATGTATGTTTTCATTTCTGTATGGAATATACTAATTGTGGAATTGTTAAGTTAAATGAGAATTATTAAAAGCTGTCAACTTTCCAAAGTAGATGCAATAAGCAATATAAGAAAATCCTAATTTTGCATTCTTGTAAACACTTGGTATTGTCAATGTCTTTAAATTTTAGCAATTTAATGAATGTACAGTGATATCTCATTATACTTTTAACTTTTCTTCTTTAATGCCTAATGATATTAAGTATTTCCTTATGTTCTTATTTGGAATCTTTAAATCTTCTTTATTGATATGTCTTTTAGCTCTATCAACTTTTGCTTTATGTATTTTGAAGTTTTTTAATAAAATAGCTATTAATGAACAGTGATGATCTTTTATTTTTCTTGGTCTTTTATCTCTCTGTTTCATTTCGAATAGTTTTCTTGCTATGTCTTCAAGTTCACTAATTTTTTTCTTCTGCGGTGTGTAATTGGCTGTTAATCCCATCCAGAGTATTTTCCTTCTAAATGTTGTATTTTTCCATCTCCAGACGTTTGACTTGGGTCTTTTTCATTCTTTCATTTTTCTTCCCATCATATTTTTTTTCTTTTACCTTCTTAAGCATTTGAAATTTAGGTATAAGAACTCTAACATTATTAACATTACTAACTGCTAATTTTACCATGTATGTCACTTCTGGTCTGTTTGTATCTATTGGTTTTAGTCATATTTTCCTGATTTAATTGCTTGCATTATAATTTTTTATTGGATGGCCGATATTGTGAATTTTGTACTTTTGCATGCTAGCTTTCATTGTATTACTTTAGATATTTTTGAGTTTTGTTGTCAGTTAGAGTTAAGTTACTTGTAAATGGTTTGATTCTTTTATGACTTGCTTTTAAGTTTTCTTAGGGAGTGTTCAGAACAGCTTTTATCCTAGGGCTAATTGGCACTACACTTTAGTCAAGATTCTTCCCAGTGCTTTACCTTCCTTTTTTTTTTTTTTGAGACAGAGTCTCCCTCTGCCCCCTCGGCTGGAGTGTGGAGTGTGCTGGTACGATCTCGGCTCCCTACAACCTCCGTCTCCCTGTTCAAATGATTCTCCTGCCTCAGCCTCCTGAGTAGCTGGGATTACAGGTGCCTGCCACCATGCCCAGCTAAGTTTTGTATTTTTAGTAGAGACGAGGTTTCACCATGTTGGCCACGGCTCCTGGCCTCTTTACCTTATTTCTTATTTCATTAGAATTCTTTTTACCTTAGTTGGTGGGAACACAAAATATTTTCAGTGCTGCGTGAACCCCAGGAATTGTTCTGACTACTCTTTTGCGTGTGCGTGTGTGTCTCTGTGTGTGTGCATGTGGTATGGCTTTTTTCTCCCTGGTTTTAGAGTTTGCCCACATATATGTGTAGATGAATACTCAGCTGAAGATTCAAGAGGGCCTCTCTGATGATTTCTGGACCTCTTTCTCTAAGCTCTTCCCTTTTCTTCAGCACACTTTCCTATTAATCGTAGTTACCTTTTTGGACTTGCCCTTCCTTCCCTCAGTCTTGGATAGTCTCTCAAGCTGGTGAACTGTGGCAATCATAGCATCTACCTCATGTTTTCCCTTCTCTTAGGGACCATTATTCTGTATTCCCTGTTGTCTAAAGTGTCAGTTGTTTTGAATATTTTTTCTAGCTTTCTAGTTTAAATCAGTATAGTAAAGCTGTTCCACCTTACTTCATTCTGTTAAAAGTGGAAAATGTATATTTATTTTAATGAGTGTCTAATTTTGACTTTGTATTTTTGGTTGTTATTTCAATTGCCAACTGTCTTTAACTGCTTATGTGGATATATCACCTGAAAATCCTGATGATTTCCTTTCAAGTTAAGATATCTTTTTCTCTATTTGAATTTTTTCTTTTTCTATTTCTTCTTTTCAGCCTCACCTGCATCTTCTCAGATGATCCTAAATTATCCTGCTTGGGGTTTCATTTGGATTTCTGGATTGAATTCTTTAATTGCTTTTGGAAAATTCACAGCTATTTATTACTTGAGTATTAGTTATTCCTCATTGTGTCTCTCCTCTCTGGAACTTCAATTAGATCATTACATGGTCTCACATATGTTTCTTAGATTCTTTACTACATTTTCCTTTTTTTTCTCCTTAATTAGATATTTTCTGTTCCATATTCTAGCTCATTAATCCCTTTCCCCTGTCTATTATGATTTTAATCCTTTATATTAAGTTTTAAATTTCAGTTACTTCTTATTTATAGCATTTCTATTTTATTCATTATAGGTAGAGTTAATGTTCTTGTGAATACATCCATTTTTCTATGTTTTTCCTCCAGTGTTCCATTTATTTCCTAGAACTCCTTAGTCATGGTTATCTTACAATTTTTATTTGGATTGCTCCTGGGTTATGTGTTGTTTATATTTTCTCTTGGGCTTTTATCATGTGGTTCTTGCTCATGGCATGCCTGGTAATTTTATATTAAATATCAATACCTTTGTATGGAAAGGTGTAGAGGCTCTGAGTGCTGTTTTCTTTCTCTAGAGAGGGTTTATCATTCCTTTTGTTAGATAAAAATTGGAGTTTACAATATTAACCAATCTTGGGTTAAGCTGACTTAAGACTGTGTTACAAGCTTGCTAAGTGTTTCTCTACCTTTGGTTAATTCCATGTTCCTAGAGTGTAGTCTTGCAGGTGCTATGATTGCATACTTATACATATTTAGGGGAAAACAGTCCTAAGGCAATGCTTAATTTTGGATCTCACTAAAATCTTGGTCTCTCAAGTTTCTCATGTTCGTTTTCCATGTTTGTGAAACTGCAAATGCTCTCTTGGTTTCTCTGATTCTAAGTATTTTCCTTCTTACCCTTTCATTTGCTGAACTCTCAGATTCTTTCCCAGTATCTAGAATTAGCAAATATAGCAAAGCTAAAAAGCAGACACAGAATGTTAGTTTACCTTATCACAGTTTTCCTATTTATTAAGATCTTGTCTCTTTAAGACTTGGTTAAATCAGTAGCTCTCTGATACCTTAAAACAGATAATTTAAAGACTTATAGTTAATAAAAGTCTCCACAAAAGGAATTCGAGGTCCTCAAAGAGGTGACTAATAGTATAGCTGGGATAGGGCATAAATGAGATGAGGCTGGAACATTTTGTTATGACAGAAAGTTAGAAAGTGCTCAATAAATGTTGAGGGCATGTAACAAAGACTCAGGAACATGTTTGAAGGAGCTCCCCCTGACTAAATTTAGGAGAACTTAAGCATTAAAATACTGAAGCACAGTAATACATTTGAAAAATAGGATAAATAGATATTTAATAGTCCCTACTGATAATAAATAGGTAAACCAATAAGTAAATAGTTGAAGAGAATGGAAAGCTCTTGCTTACAATAGAATTCTAAGTTCCAGACTAATAAAAATGGAAGCAGTGCCCACAGTAGACTCCTTATTAGCTACAAGAGTTGTGGGGGGGGGGGGGCAAGTGTAATTATACAATGGATACATCAGAAACAACTTGATTAGGTGATCAAAATTAATATGTTCAATGAGGAAGAGATAGATATGATGTTTCTCCATTGAGGCAGATACCACATCACCTGTACAGTATTCTGGCTGAGAATGTATAACCTAAATCTAATTAGGAGGAAACCTAAATCTAATTAGAAAACACATCAAAATGTGGTACATTTTATTTTTTAATGAGGAGATATTTTTTAAAAATATCAGTGCCATGAAAGACAAAGGCTGTAGAAAGGTCTAAAATTGAAGGATAAACATGTATGACAAATGAATGTAATATCTAACCCCACACTGGATATTGTAATTGAGAAGAAAAAAATTCTAAAAGAAAATTAGTGGGTCAATTAACAAAATTGGAATATAAATGGTAAATTAAATAATAATACTTTATCACTGTTAAATTTACTGATTTTGATAACTTCACTGTGGTTATGTGAGAAAATAAATATTCATATTATTGGAAATAGTAAGAATAAAGGGCCATTTTAATATGTAAATATGTATAATATATATGCTATTAAATGTATATAAAGTTATATATAAAAATCTACAAATGGTTCAGAAAATATAAATGCAGAGACACACATATATACATATATGTATCTATATATGTGTTGATATTATATATATATATATACACACACACACATATAAAGAGAATGAGACAGAGGAGAAAAGCATTTTTAAAAAATGGGAAAAAGTTAAAATAAGTGAGTATTTTGGTAAAGTGAGTATTTGGGTAAAGAGAGCTGGTTCTTGTGGCAGGTGGGAAAAAAGAGGCAGAAAATAAACCATATTTTAAAACTTTAAAAATGATTGAAAGTTTTATATAACTTGTTAAAAAGCATAAGAATGATATAACACATGCATATCAATACCTAGGTTTAATTGATGTCAAAATTTTCTTATATTTGCTTTGGATTTTTAAAAATAAATATCACTTTCCCCTACAGGCAGCGATGTGGCCAGGGGCTGAGGATATGGTAAATATCTTCTCCGTCTCTGTCTCTGTCTCTCTCTCTCTCTCTCATCATAATGCGAAAGGACATAATCATAAAAACAATCTCTTTCTATTATTTTCATGTTATCATAAAGATTTGTTAGCCTCATCATTTCTATCTATCTCCATCACTTATTTCTATAGAGTAAATGTGGCAAAACATTAACAGTTTGTGAAAATAAGTGCAGTGATATGGCTTTAGGTGTACTCCTATAACATTTTATAGTTGAAAACTTCCGTAATTATAATTTTGGTGGCAAGGGACACATCAGCTCAGGTCATTTGGATACCCTGAAATGTAGTTTGTACAAGAGAAGCAGGTTTAAAGATGAATTATGTTCCTTTCATTGCCAATTCACTGAGTAGTACGCAGCGTTATGTTTACTTCCAATATTGACAAGCTTTTTAGCCTGTTTATTTTGTTATTTATTTTGAGTTTAGTTATGTTCTCATAGATTTATATATTCAATTTATTTTCATCAACTTTTGTCATTTTCTGGAGGGAGACGGAAAGGAGACATCCCAGGCAAGAATACCAGATTCCCACATTTCTTAAATTACATTTAAGAATTTTTCATGAACTAATGCTTCTTGAGTTGTTCTTTGCCTTCGTTTTATATCCAAAAATAGAAATGTTTGTTTTAACAATTTTGTCAAGTCACATAGTGGTTTTTTTCAGGGGGAAGATTTTCCATCTTCATCCTTTCTGCACTGAAAATCTTGCACAGTTTGGTCTAGTCTCAGTTTGATAAGAATTACTTTTTAAAAACATGAATATATAGTCAATGTTATAGATCCTTCTTCATCCATTGATATAAATGTGTAGATTTAATTGTTATTCATGTGATGAGTTATACTAATAGATTTTTGGATACCATATATTAGACCACCCTTGCTTTTAAGTATAAAATATGTTTGTTGATGTATTTTTTATACTAGTTAAAAATTTTAATTAAGATTTTGCATTTATGCTTATGAATAAGTAGGCTTATTTTTTCCTCAGATTACCTTTATTCAATGTTGGCAGTTAGGCTATCCTGGCCATATGTAATATATTTGGGAATATTTTCTTTACTCCATGAAAAAGTTCATGTAAAGTTAGTGGTATTCTTTAATTCTTTCACAGTCTCATCCTTTGAGAGAATTGTGATGTTGACTGAATTTTTTAATGGTTACACTTCTGCCTTTCTATTTATTCTTGAGTCCACCTTAATAACAATTTGTTAAAAGTTATTTTAATATACATTTTAATTTATTTGATAATTTTATAGCATTTTCTTCAATGTTTTAACATATCTATTTGTAGTTATGTCCCCTTCAACCTTCCAAAACAAACAGAATCTCTCTTTAATTTTGTTGATCAGTTTTGCCTTCTGTATCTTTTATTACTTTTAAAGCTTTTTGCTTTCATTAGTCTCTATTTTTTTTGTAAAAATCTCAATAGCTTTGGGGGTACAGGTGGTTTTTGGTTACATAGATGAATTATATAGCGGTTAAGTCTGAGATTTTAGTGCACTCATCACCCAAGTAGTGTATATTGTACCCAATATTTTATTTTTTAACCTCTCACCTCTGTCTTACCCTCTCTCCTTCTGAGTCTCCAGTGTCCATTATACCACTTTGTATGCATTTGAATACCCATAGCTTAGCTCCTAATTATAAGTGAGAACATATAGTATTTGGTTTTCCATTCCTGAGTTAGTTCACTTAAGATAATGCCTCAAGCTCCATCCAAGTTGCTGCAGATGACATTATTTAATTCATTTGTTATGGCTGAGTAGTATACCATGGTGTATATATACATTTTCTTTATCCACCGGCTGGTTGATGGGAACTTAGATTGGTTCCATATCTTTGTAATTGTGAATTGTGCTGCAGTAAACATATGCTTGCAGGTGTCTTTTGATATGACTTCTTTTCCTTTGGGTAGATAGGTAATATCCCCTTTGCCATTTATGATTGTGTTTATTTGGATCTTCTTGCTTTTTTCCTTAATTAATTTAGCTAGTGGTTTATCTATCTTATTAATTCTTTAAAATAACGGGCTCCTGGATTCATCAGTCTTTTGTATGATTTTCTGTGTCTCGGTTTTCTTCACTTCAGCTCTGATTTTGTTTCTTGTCTTCTGCTAGCTTTGAGGTTGGTGTGCTATTGTTTCTCTAGTTCCCCTAAGTTGTGATGTTAGGTTGTTAATTTGAGATCTTCCTAACTTTTTGATGTGGGCATTTAGTGATATATACTTGCCTCTTAAACGCTTTGGCTGTATCCCAAAGATTCTGGCATGTTGTATTTTGTTTAATTAGTTTCAAAGAATTTCTTGATTTCTCCTTTAATTTCGTTATCTATCCAGAAGTCATTCTGGAGCAGATCGCTTAATTTCCATGTAATTGTATGGTTTTGAGCAATTTTCTTAACACTGATTTCTATTTTTATTGCACTGCGGTCTGAGAATATGGTTGGTATCATTTCAGTTTGTTTAAATATGCTGAGGATTGTTTTATGCCCGATCATGTGGTTGATTTTAGAGTATGTGGCGAGTACAGATGAGAAGATTATATATTCTGTTATTTTGGGGTTGAGATTTCTGTAGATATCTATTAGGTCTACTTGATCAAGTGTTAAGTTCAGGTCCCAAATATCTTTGTTAGTTTTTTGCCTTGATGATCTGTCTAATACTGTCAGTGGCGAGTTGAAATCTATTATTATGTGATTATTTAAGTTTCTTTGTAGGTCTCTAAGAATTTTTTTTATTAATCTGGTTACTCCTGTGTTGGGTGCATATATATTTAGGTACTAAATTATCTACATTTCTTTGTAGGTCTCTAAGAACTTTCTTTATTAATCTGAGTACTCCTGTGTTGGATATATATATATCTCAACAAGAAGATAATTAGGTCTTCTTGTTGAATTAAACCCTTTACCATTATGTAATGCTTTTTTTTTGTATTTTTTGATCTTTATTGATTTAAAGTCTGTTTTGTCTGAAATTAGAAAAGCAACTCCTGCTTTTTTTGGTTTGTTTTCCTTTTACTTGGTAGATTTTTCTCCATCCCTTTACTTTGAGCCTATGTGTGTCACTGCATGTGAGATGGGGTGTCTTAAGGGCAGCATACCATTGGCTTTTGCCTTTTTAAATCAAACTTGCCAATCTGTGCCTTTTACTTGGAGTATTTGTCCCATTTGCATTCAAAGTTAATGTTGATATGTGAGGATTTGAACCTGTCATCATGTTGTTAGCTGGTTATTATGCAGATTGTTTGTGTGGTGGCTGTATAGTGTCACTGGTCTTTGTAGTAAAGTGTGTTTTTGTAGTGGCCAGTAATGGTCTTTCCTTTCCATATTTAGCATTCCCTTCAGGACCTCTTGTAAGGCAGATCTGGTTTTAATGAATTCCCTTAGCACTTGGATCCACTCTGCATGTGCACCAGCAGAGAGGGAGTCAAGGTCCACCCATACATAGACACACACTGGCAAAGCATAGTGTGGGGTGTCTGTGGGCAAGTGCATGCTGGGAAAGAGACATGGGGGCCACTGTGGTTGGGGGAGGGCATGGACAAGATGTGCACATTGGCTAGGACTGCTCTGCTGGAGCTCTCTGATGGTGAGGCATGGTCTCTGCCAGTGTAGGAGCTATGATGCGGCCCCTAGGATGAGCCTCAGTGAGCATCCTGCAAGCAGGCATGGCCAGGCTGGGGCCCCAGGAGAAGCCAGCAGACAGGAGGGCACTCAGGTCAAACCAGCCCCATCTCATAGGCAAGATTGCCCAGCACTGTTGAGGTGCAACATTTTCCCTAAGGTTAAAGTCTCCTAGGGGAGCAAGGCTAGCCTAGATGGGTGGGCATCCCTGGCCCTGCTCCTCTACAGACACTACTCCACTAAACTCTCTGGGCTCCATACTGGCTGGAGTTCTGTATCTGCCATCTGTCTAAGCCTCTCCCTGCCGGCTCAATTGTCCATGGGAGTCATGGGGTCTCCTGTTGCCAGGATTCCAGAGGTCCATGGTGAGAGCTGGTCATTCTTTGTCTGCTCAACTCAGCCATCCCCAGGAGTCGTTCAGGGGCAGGAATGAGTCCCAGTGCAGAGTAGCCTCATGCAGGGTTCCCAACTTTCTCCCTCTTCAGCCCAGCATCTGTGTCTTCTCTCCATCTGCTCTCAGTGCCTTCCCTGTGAAGATCTGCTCAGAGTATGCCAGTCTTTCCAATGTCATGGTCTCTCCTAGCCACATCTAGTCAGCCATCTTCCAAAAAACTGGATTGATTTTTTCTATTCTTCCTTAAAAAAAAAAAAAAAGTTTCTGCTCTTACCATGATAGTCTCCTTTTTCTTTGAGTTTTTTCTTTTGTTTTGTCTCTAACTTATTGATTTGAACGCTTGGCTTGTTAATTTTTAGTCTTATTTATATGTATATTATGGTGTAAATATTTCCTGTTTTTAGAGATGTTTTAACCTTTATTGTTTTTATTGTCATGCAGTTATAATCATAACTTGTATTATAAATTTTCTTTGCATAGCAGATTGTGTGGAAGTATATGTTTAGTATTTTAGTGTATTATTTTCTTTAGTGATTCCTTTATATTTTAAATCTTGTCTTAAAAATATCTAAAGCTAATTAATATGTCCATCATATTGCATAATAATGCAAAAGGATGTAATTACAAAAACACTAATCTCTTTCAGTTATTTTGTTATTATCAGGTTTGTTAGGCACATCTGTTCCTACTAATTATAATTACTGATTTATTTTTATAGTCTGTAGTTAAATAAATTTACCAACATGTTTATCAATTTTTTTATGTTCATGACTTTTTTCTTACATTTTACTATTCTCTTTTGGGTTCACAGTTTTTTGTTCCTTTCTTTATTGTTTTCTTTCCTCTTTTCTTCAAAAATATTAATTTAAGACTTTATATATATGTTCAAATATGGCTGGGGGTGACAAATGATAAACACTAACATAATAAATAGTTAAATTACATTGTTAGTAAATTATAAATATTCTAGATAAGTGAGAGCAAAAAGCCAGAGATTAGTGGCATTTTTAAACATGGTGGTCAGCATTGACCTCACTAAGCATACAACATTTAAGTAAAGTGGGCCATGGAAGTGCTAGGAAGAACAGCACTCTAAGCAGAGAGAAGTAGTTAATGCAAAGTCCCTGAGGTACAAGCCTGACTGCAGTATTTGGAAGAACAACATGGAGGACAGTGTGGCAGGAACAGATGAAGAGAGAGGGAAAGAAGAGAGAAAGGAAGTTGGAGCAGACACAGGTCAAATTATGTAGGCTTTGCAAGCCATTACAAAGAGTTGGGATTTTGGTCTGTAGGAGATGGGAAGTCATTGGGTGATTCAGCAGACCTACACCTTTTAAATTACTCTGGCTCCTATGTGGAGAATTGATTGTAGGAAAACAAAAATAGAAACAGGAAAACCTGTTAGAAGACTGTTGCATGATCTACGTAAGAAATGATGACCAGGCCAGATTTGTTGCTATGGAGGTAGTGAGAGATAGTTAGAGAGTCAGATTCTGGATAAATTTTGAAGACTTAGCCAGCAGAGTACTTCTGAATTTGATAAATAAATTACTGTGGCTATAAGAAGGCATCCTGATGATAACTAGCATGTGATAATTAATTACAGTAAGATAAGTTTAAAGGATAATTAGTTATTATCCACCAAAATTATATGTTATATATAAACAATTTTTTAAAACTCTTGCTTAAAAAACAAATATCAAAAAGTTGAAACTTCATAGCTCACAATTTTTACTGGTTGCAGAATGACAGATTTGTTTTATTACTTTTACTAATTAGAACATAACATATGATATTATGTGGTAATCAAAGATAATAATAAAGGTAAAAATATAAGAATATAAAAATTAGGGCAAGATAAAGCAAATAATATGAATACTTCTATAAAGTATTTTAAATTTTTTTTGGGTTTATTTATGTTTTATATTGTTTGTATTTGTTGATCTTATAAGAGATAGAGTTTGTTAAATGAGAGTTTGCTGTAATATGCATAACATGAAAAAATAAGGCTTTTAAATTTAATTGTTATACAGATCACATGAAAAGCCATGATTATGGCCAATACTATGTAGCAGTGTTAAAAATATAGGCAAAACAGCAAGGCATTAAATAGGGGTAATTGCTTTCTTGTGGCAAACATTCTGAAATAGAGAAAATGGGCATCCATCTATTTCAAAGATTACCAGGACATAGTAATTACTATGGATATATAAACCTACATTTCATTAACAGTGCATTTGGCTAAACATAACCTCTGAAGAAATATGTATAAAGTCCAGGTTAGGTGGAGGAAGATAAAACCTTATGTAAGATAATTAGTTTACCAGCTTTGTTCTTAACGATAAAGGTATGTGACCAGTGAAGTGGACAGAGAAGTGCGAGAGATCAGAAAGCCTGGATTCTAATCGTAATCTTGTGTTGTGCTGGTGAATGTCATACAATTGGCTCCCTGGAAAAAAATGCTGATTTTTAATGTTGCTGGATTTCCATGGTATAAATATTCCACTGTCACTGATTTCACGATCATGACCTGATGTCACCGAAAGCGGAGTTCAGAAGAGATGAGGACACTTAACCCTTGCAGATCTGTGAAAGTCAGCTCCAGCATGTCACTTCCCAGATTTAGAATCAAATGGTCATGAAATTTTGAATAACTCATGTAAAAGTTCTAGACCTAAGTTTCCTCACTTTTCAAATCAAATATTGGACTGTTGTCTAAAATCCTTCCCAGACTTAACATTCTTTTTAAAGGATAGAGGTAAGATGATTTTTTATTATTAAATAAGATTTAAAAATATATAGGATACCCTTACTTTTAAATTGTATATAAAACTACAGGTGGAAGTAACAGAATAAAATCTATTTTCCCATTAATGACTGTTTTAATACTCCTTATCTCTAAATGGAGATAGATTTGAGAACATCATGTAGAGAAATTGGCATTAAGTATGTAAAATACTAATTAGATGAAACCTAATTCCAATTGTTACAGTATCAGTTATAATAATGCAAAGAGATGCCTTTGGTAGTAGAACATATATTTTCTGTCACATTCTTCGTTTAGCCTAAATCTGTACAATGTTGTGGTGAGCTTGTAAAATTATCCCAACAAATTCCACTTCCTGGTATTCGTACCCTTGTGTAATTTGGCTCTTTGAGTGTGGAGTGGAATTCTTTTTTCCATTCTGATGGATGTAATTCAGCAAGTATCGGATGTTACTTCCACAATTAGGCTTCAAAAGGACTGTGACTTCCTTATTGTATGCCCTCCTTTATTCTCTGCTGGCTCACCCAGGGAAGCATTCGGATGATTGCGACCTTAGCCATTTTCACTGAAACTTCACAAGAGACCCTGAAATGGAGGATACACCCAAATGAGCATCTCTCAGATTCTAACAATCAGAAACCATGTAAGATACTAAGAGCTTGTTATTTTAAGCTGCTACATTTTGATGTAATTTAGCAATTAAAAAATCAATACAGGGGTTGAGGAGAAATATGTTTGAAATTGAAAGGCAGGAGCTCCTTTTCTCCATATTTCCATGCAGTTTTATCAAAGTACATGGAAAAGTACAGCAACCCAATATACATTGTACCACTAATGAAACAGTCCTTTCAGGAATAAAGGTTAGGGTCACCCCACCAGGCAAGGAACCTTAACCTGCTGAGGTGCTTGCTTAGGACAAAGGACGTATGGAATGGTTAGTGGAAGAAGGTTATTAATACTATGATGATGGAGTTGGTTATAGAAAGAAGATCTATAATAGTTATGACTATTATATTTTTCCATATTTTAAATAAACATATAAATATTGATAAAAATCTTTACTTCCTCATCTCCCATTTTCCTGTCAACTAGCATTACAATAATATTAACTTTTTATCTCAGTTTTGAATTTATATGACTTCAAAGGCAGATTGTGACTCGGCTAGAAAAATGAATAAACATTACCCAAAGATGGATAAGGTATATTTTTCCTCTTGCGGGGCAGGAAGGGGGCAGGTTGCAGGGCAGCGGTTATATTTTTCCTCTTGGGGGCAGGTTGCGGGGGTGGCGGTTAGTGTGTGTGTGTGTGTGTGTGTGTGTGTGTGTGTGTGTCTGATTGTATATGGTATAGTAGCTGTATGGTGGGCAGAAGCAAGACTTTGCTCATCTTTATTTGAAATTTGAGTATGATTTAAAGTGTCGTGTATGGATACATGGTGACAAGGACTGTGATGGCCTTAAATTTTGTTAAAACGGCTCAACTGAACAATGTTCCCAAGAATTTCCTTCCCTGTGTGTTTCTGATTAGGGTTGACTACAAGAACAATTTGTGTAAGATTTGGAAGGTAGAGTGAAAAAGTAGTCATGTTTGTTCACTGAAGGTTTATGTAGGCCAACCTTTTTGCAGTTCATGCATGTTTTTGAGTATCTGGGTGGCAGCTGGACCTAAGGGTTATGTTGCTTCCATAAGATATTTTCCCTAGTTTTCTTAAATCCTAGGTCAGGTGCTATTTGACTCTATGACAAGTGCAAACTTCTCTTTTATGTCATCCATGGCACTGATGAGGAGAGACAAACATAGAATAGATACATGTTAGGCCGGGCATGGTAGTTCATGCCTGTAATCCCAGCACTTTGGGAGGCTGAGGCGAGCAGATCACGTGGTCAGGAGATCGAGACCAGCCTGGCCAATATGGCAAAACCCCATGTCTACTAAAAATACAAAAATTAGCCAGTCAAGGTGGCATGCAACTGTAGTCCCAGCTACTCAGGAGGCTGAGGCAGGAGAATCACTTGGACCTGGGAAGCGGAGGTTGCAGTGAGCCAAGATCATACCACTGCACTCCAGCCTGGGTGACAGAGTGAGACTTCGTCTCAAAAAAAAAAAAAAAAAAAAAAAAAAAGATACAGGTTCTCGGTTATACTTTGCAGATTTCAGTTGTTCCTAATCTCTCTAACTTCATGTCAATCTTTCCTTATCCATCTCCTGCACTCTGACTCCACAATCAGCAATAGAAACAGAAGAAATAACTGAACCAAGAATGTTTTACCAGTTCCTACAATTGTATAAGTTGAAATCTCCATGATAAATACCTTATTCTAAATCATTCCTAGTGACTCTGATTCTCTGGAATATGTATCTCTGAATAATACATACATTTAGCTAAGAAGAGTGGCTTTTCTTTGGTTGAGCCAAAAAAACAGTCTCCTACCTTCAAGATTATCCCAAGACTTACTGCCCATGATTATCCTGTAATAGGTTTTGATCATTCATAATACAGCCTTTTCTATGCTATTTACTTCAACCATAAGATTGTAATGGACATCATAATATTGGCTTCTCTGCATTTTAAAGTTTCATGCAAAAATTTGTTATAGCTGAGATCCTATATATTTATTCTGACTTAGAATCTGAATACTCATTTTTAAGGAATACCACTAGTTCTGTGCAAGTAGAATATGATATTGAGAATTTTATGTTCCCTAAGGCCATGGGATGGGGAGACAGAAAGCAATGAATGCTTCTGTTAGGGGTAAAGGACACTACCTGACTATCCTCAAGAAATGGAAGCTCCTTGGACTGATGACTCTCATTCTATTTCTAGGACAAGTACTTAGTGTCCATATATGCTTTTCAAAACCATAGTTAAATGTGAAATGAAGAAAAAAACAAAGTCTTGCTCTCTGTCTAGCATGATATTGCATACCTGGAATGAATCCTGCTTGATCACAGTGAACGATCTTTTGAATGTTTTGTTGAATTTGGTTTGCTAGTAATTTGTTGAGAATTTTTGTACCTATTTTCATTAGGGATATTGGCCTGTAGTTTTCTCTTTTTATATTGTTGTGTTCTTGTCTGGTTTTGGAATCAACATAATGCTGGCTTCATAAAATGAGTTTGGAACAATTCCCTCCTTTTTAATTTTCCAGAATAATTTGAGGATAATTGTTTTTTTTTTTTCTTTAAATGTTTGTTAGAATTCAGCAGTGAAGTCACCAAGTCCTGGGCTTTTCTTTGATAGAAGGCTTTATATGATTTATTTAATTTTCTCTCTAGTTACTGGTCTGTTCAATTATTTTATTTCTTCATAGTTAAGCCTTTAAAGGTCGTTGTATGTATCCAGGAATTAGCCCCTTCTTTTATGACATCAAATTTGTTGGCATATAGTTGTTCCTAAGAGTTTCTTATGATTCCTTGTATTACTGTGGTATCAGTTGTAATGTTTCCTTTTCCATCGCTGATTTTATTTAAGTCTGTCTCTTTTTTAAGTCTAAAGGTTTGTTGATTTTGTTTATCTTTTCAAAAAACCAACTCTTCATTTCATTGTTTCGAATTGCATTTTTAGCCTCTGTTTTGCTTATTTCTTCTCCAAGTTTTATTATTTCCTTCCTTCCTACCAATTTTGGGTTTAGCTTATTACTGTTTTCCTGGTTCCTTGAGGTACATCATTAAGTTAGTTACTGTAAATCTTTTTTTGACATAGAAATGTATTGCTGTACACTTTTCTCTTAGGAGTGCTTTTGCTATATTCCATAGGTTTTGATATGATATGTTTCCATTCTTGTTTGTCTCAAGGAATTTAAAATTTTTCCTTTTAATTTCTTCATTGACCCATTGGTTATTTAGGAGCACATTGTTTAATTTCTATGTATTTGTAAAGTTTCTAAAGTTTTTCTTGTTGATTTCTGGTTTTATGCAATTGTAGGCAGAAAAGATATTTGATACAATCCCTGTATCATAAATTTGTTAAGACTAGCTTTGTAGCCTAACATATAATTAATCCTGGAGAATTCTCCCTGTGCAGTTGAGAAAAATATGTGTACTGCAGCAAGTGAATAAAATGCTCTGTAAATGTCTGTTAGGTCCATTTGGTCTACGATGTGGTCTCAGTCTGATGTTTCTTTGTTGATTTTCTGTGTGTCCATTGTTGAATTTGATATAATTGTTGAAAGTTGAAATTTTTTCCTAAATCCTTTTTTTATTATTTTTACACGGTGGAAAATAATCTTCCTTGATACATTTATATTTTCTAATTACAGATTATTGTATTAATTCAAGTAATTTTTCACTTTTGGGTTTTTGTTTTTTTCTCTTTTCCAAAATTTATCTCATGCTTTGTTTTCTTGTATTAACTCATTGGGCTTTCCAGGTAAATGTTCAATTATCTGACAACACAAAGGTTGCGTTGAGCAGACTCATATGAATCATAAACCTTACCAGTAGCAAATTTGCCAGTGACTCAAACATGTGTCCGTCAAATACCAGGCAAAAGTGAAACATTCTTTACTCAGAGAAATTGAGGAGTCAAACACAGCTCCCCAAAGTGCCTTTCTCTTTGAATTAGGAAACGTTTTAGTTTTGGACTAATGAATAAGATTCTTCCTAAGCAACATGTGCTGCTTAGAAAAAAAGGGAGCCATTTCAGTTAAAGAACATCTCCTCTTTGTACCTCATTAATTCACAGATAAATTGGTTATCTTCCATTTTCTAGAGAGTCATGCTTGCCATAAAACCATACATTTCAAGTTTGCTTATAATAAGTAATATAAGCAGAGCAGGTATATTCTTCTGACAATATTTAATGCATAAGGTTGCTCTATTCTCATGAGTGAGTACCACCAGTAAGTTTACCATGAGATTTGGTCTTTGGTATGTTTAACAAGATATTTGATTGAAGCCATTCCTTCTTGCCAGGACTACCAGTTAGGGAGGCAATTGGTTTCAGGGCTGCCGTTAATTCCTTTCTTCTCAAATCATCATCATAATAACAAATATTGCTATCTAGGTACTGTTTATTTTATAACAAAAATGTTTTAGCATTTTGGTAGGGTACTTTGCTTTGTTACTTTTAGAAAAATGATTGTATATCTTGTAGTTTTGAAATATCCTTCTGCATTAGTTTCCTGAGGCTGCAACAAGAAATTACCAAACACTGGGTGGTTTAAAACAATAAAAGACTGGACGCAGTGGCTCACATCTGTAATCCCAGCACCTTGGAAGGCTGAGGCAGGTGGATCCCTTGAGCCCAAGAGTTCAAGACCAGCCTGGGCAACATGGCAAAACCCTATCTGTACAAAAAAATATAAAAGTTAGCTGGGCATGGTGGCACATGCCTGTAGTCTCAGTTGTTTAGGAGGCTAAGGTGGGAGGATCACCTGAGCCCGGGGAGGTCAAGGCTGCAGTGAGTTGTGATTGCACCACTGCACTCCAGCCTGGGTGACAGAGTGAGACAGTGTCTCAATCAATCAGTCAACAGAAACTTATCCTCTTATGGCTCTGGAGGCCAGAAATCTAAAATCAGTGTGTCAGCAGGACTGTTCTCTCTGGAGACACTAGGTGAGAATCATTACTTGGTCCTTTAACTTCTGGTGTCAGAGTTCCTATAGTTGTATCACTCCAGTCCCTGCCTCTGTCTTTACATGGCCTTCTCCTCTGTGCCTGTCTTCTCCTGTTTGTGTTCCTTATAAGGACACATATCATTGGACTTAGGGCCCTCCTGAATAATTCAGGATGATTTCATCTCGAGATCATTAACTTAATCATGTTTGCAAAGACTCTTTTCCCAATTAAGGTTGTATTTACAGATTTTGGGGATTAGGACATAGGCCTAATATCTTTTTGGGGGCCACTATAATTCACATTTCTGAATTAATACTTCATGGTATTAATATACCATTCTTTTGATATACTGCTATTATCAGATTAAGAATTGATGCATCCATATTTTTAACTGTGATTAGTCTAAAGTTCTGCATTAGTTCTACCCTGGTAAAGTTTAAAAATTAAGATTATGCTGACTTTTAAAATTAATTAGAGATATTTCCATCATTTTTCTAAGTGTTCAAATAAACTTAAATTTAATGTTTTAAAATGGATTTTAAACATGTTCCAATTTAGACCTGTTCCCATTGGCCCTCATTCAGTTTTGGTCTTTAATTACTTATAAATTTTTTCTATAATTGAGCTATTCAAATTTTACTAATTTGAAACTTCATAGAAAATTTTTCATCTTTTCTAGTTTTTTTAGCTATTTTCTATTAAGCCTGTTTAATCATTTTTAAGACTGTAAATGGCATTATTTTTAAGTTTGTTTTTAATTGCACATTGCAATTAAAATTGCAAGTATATAGAAATAAGGTTGATTTTTATAGTGCTGACCTTATATCCTGAGACTTTATTAAACTCATATACTAGTTCTGGGAGACTGTTTCTTTCTGGGAGATTGTTTTCTTTTCTGTAGATTCCATGGGATTTCTACATAGACAATAATGTCATCCATTTCTTTCTTTCTAATCTGTGTGCCTTTAACTTCTTTTTCTTGTCTTATTGTACTGGTTAGGACTTCTATTAAAATGTTGAGTAGGAGTGGTGATAAAGGACATCTTTTCCTTGTTCCTCATCTTTGTTGGCAAATATTACATCTTTCACTATTATGTATATTGTTAGCTGCATGGTTTTTGTGTGTGTATTGGTTCCATTTTCTTCCTTTCTGTGGCTTATTTGAACATTTTTGAATATCCCATTTGTCCATTCTATTTTAAAATGTCTTTCCTTTTCCCTTTCCTTCCCTTTCTTTCCCTTTTTTTCCTCCCTCCTTCCTTCCCTCCGTCTCTCCCTTCCTTCCTTTCTTTTTTTTCTCTCTCTTTCTCTCTCTCTCCTTTTCTTTCTTTCCTTTCTTCCTTCCTTCTCTCTCTCTCTCTTTCTCTTTCTCTGTCTCTCTCTCTCTCCTTTCGTTTCCAGGCAAAAATTCTCTTAATTTTCTTTCTTTAGAAGTCTTTACCTTAATTTCTGAAAACTATGTACATCGTGGGATATAGATTATAGATTGGCATTTCTTTCAATATTTTAAAAATGTTATGCTACTTCCTTTTAGTCTCCATGTTTTTTTAATGAGAAATCTGCTATTTAAATCATTGTTTCCATACAGATAATATATTTTTTACTAGCTATTTGGAACATTTTTTCTTTTTTGTTCAGTTTTCAACAGGCTGATTATGATGTATCTGGATCTGATTATGATGTATCTGGATATGGTCTACTTTGGATATTTCCTGTTTGGTGTTTGTTGAGCTTTTTGAATATCTAGTGTTACGTCTTTTTACCATATTTAGGAAGTTTTCAGCTGTTATTTCATCAAATATTTTTTCCATTCTGCATCCTTCTATTCTTCTGTGGCTCCAATGGCATAAATGTTAGACCTTTGTTAATGTTTCACAGTTAGTTCGTAAGTTTCTGTTCATTTTTATCTAATGTTTATTTTTCCTCTGTGGTTCAGATGGGATAATGTATTAGTCCATTCTTGCATTGCTATAAAGAACTACCTGAGGCTGAGTAATTTATAAAGAAAGGAGGTTTAATTGGCTCACAGTTCTGCAGACTGCATGGGAAATATGGCTGGAAAGACCTCAGGAAACTTGCAATCATGGGGGAAGGCAAAGGGGAAGTAGGCATGTCCTTCATGTTTGGAGCAGGAGGAAAAGAGAGTAGCCGGGGTGCTACACACTTTTAAACAACCAGATCTGGTGAGAACTCACTATCATGAGAACAGCAAGGGGTAAATCTGCCCTCATGATCCAATCATCTCCCACCAGGCTCCTCCTCCAACCCTGGGGATGACAATTCGAATTGAGATTTGGGTGGGGACACAGATCCAATCATATCAGATAACTTCCATTGATATATCTTTTAAGTTCACTGCCTTTTTCTCTGTCCTCTTCGTTTACTGAGCACCTCCAGTACATTTTTATTTTGTTATTTTATATTTTGTTTCTTACATCTTGTATTTCTTTGAGTTTTTTTTTTTTTTTTTTGAGATGGACTTTTGCTCTATGGCCTGGGCTGGAGTACAGTGGCATGATCTTGGCTCACTGCAACCTCCACCTCCCAGGTTCAAGCAATTCTCCTGCCTCAGCCTCCCGAGTAGCTGGGACTACAGGCATGTGCCACCACGCTTAGCTAATTTTTGTATTTTTAGTAGAAATGGTGTTTCACCATGTTGGCCAGGATGATCTCGAACTCCTTACCAGAGGTGATCTGCCTGCCTCGGCCTCCCAAAGTGCTGGGATTATAGGCATGAGCCACCACGCCCAGCCAAGAATTTGTTTTTCTGTTTATTTCAAGTGTTTCTTGATTATTGCAGCATTTGTATAATAGGTGCTTTAAAGTCTTTGTAGATGTTTTCAACATCTGTGTGATTTTGTTGTTGGAGTCTGTTGGTTGTCTTTTCGCCCAATAGCTGAAATTTTCCTAGAGATTTTTGTTTTAGCAGTCAATAGACATGGTTAGGTTTATACTGCAGGTTCCAACTTACCTATAGTAGGCTGTGGTTCCAATTCCAGTCTAATTTTAAAAGACCTTTGATGTGCTGATTAAGGTCTGGTGTACACATGCAAAACTTGGTAATAAGTTTATAAATAACTTTGTAGGGTTTCTTTTTTGAGCCCTTCACTCTGTCTGTAATCTCCCTGGTTCCATTATTTTCTTAGGCCTCTTGTTTTTCATCCTCTGGCTAGAAAAGGCTCCCAAGTAACTAAGGCTTTTATTACCCCCTCTCCATCACCCACTTTTAAAACTGTGTAGCATTCAGGGCCGAATGAAGAAAATCTTAAGAAAAAAATGGTAAGCTCAATGTATGTCAGGTAGTTATTCAAATGCTCATCTTCTTACATAATGTGTCTGTTAATATTTATTTTTTGGGCACCCTCAAATAGATACTGCATGCATTCTGATATTTTTTATAGTTGCCATCAACGTGAGTGAGAGGGCAGAGCATGCGTAGGTATCTTATACAGAATAATAAGTCTTGTTCTTTTATTTTTAGCATAATTATTGATATGGATTTGTTTAAATGTACCAAGTGTAGAGAGATAAGTGTTGAAGGGATACATTTTCCACCTGGATGTTAGTTATTTGGAATAATTCTCGATTTTTGTATTTTATGTTAATACTGTATTAACATAAAATACAATTTGTATTTTATGTTATTTTGTATTTTATGTTAATATGTAAATTTTTCATTAGTAGTTAATGTTCACTGATTATAGAAAAAAAATGGAGAATACAGAAGGGTGTAAGTTTGATAAAAACCAAACCTCCTCTTACTCCAGCTATTCGGTGACAAGTTTGTTTAGTTTTTTTCTTTACCTTTATAATGTGCGTGTGTGTTTATAAACAAAATTAAATAGCATTGTGTTTACAGGTTCTTTTCATTTTATAATATAAGCAATTTTTATATAATTGAATTTTAATTCTGTACAATATCCAACTGTATGAAATTATATTAACTTTAAAATAAACCTACATTTCTCCAGAGTTATATATTCTCCTACAGAGTTATATACCTTCTAGGTCCCAACTCCTCATAGAGTATTTTTCACATAAAAAAATATGTCTGGTTTTTAAAAACGAATATATATGGATTATAAAAATAATATAATAGATTTACCAAACTGTTTTCTGTTGGGCACTAGTACATTACCGTTTACTTTTCTTGGTCACATTGGACTTTACATTAGTCTAAAGCTCTTTAATTTCATGGCTTGCTTTCTCTGTTTTTTTTTTCCAAGTATTTAGGAAGCAGTGTGTTAATACCAGGTAGGCGTTTTTCTTTACTAGTTATGATGGTTCTGATAAAAGTAATATTTTTTCTATTTAAAAAATTACCTATTTGCCATACCTTAACTTGACTTCTATATAAACACACATGCATGCACACACACACACACATACACACGCACACACACAATTGAAGAAAAAGAATATTGCTTTAGTAGGACTGAGAGATAGTAAATGCTGAAACTTCTGTGATTCTGTAAAAAAGAAAATTAAACAAGAGAAGAATCTGAGTCAAATATGTTTGTATATGATTATAGTTTCTATTAAAGATTTTAATACATTATATTAAAAGTACAAAGGTGCATAGCAAGTGTGGAAATGAACCTAAGTGTGTCCAGGAACATTGTAGCTAAAAATAATGGAACATCTGTTAATTTCATAAATTCTGTAATAGTAACACTATTTATAACCCATTTTCATAATCACAGTTTTATTTAGTATTTTTAGGAAAGTTGTTTTAAAGACAATCTGTTATAGTAACACTATAATGTAAAAAGTATCACTGTTATTTATGAAATGATTTAACTATTTGAAATATACTCCTATATTTCACTTTGGACCATACATAACTTTTCCCTAAATAACATGTCATAAGTTATTCATTATACTAGACCTTTTTATGAAATTATATATTGATATATATTTTACACACATATATATATATATAGTTTTATTTTTTTGAGACAGGATCTCACTCTGTCACCCAGGCTGGAGTACAGTGGCACAGTCTCGGCTCACTGCAACCTTCACCTCCTGGGCTCAAGTGATCCTCCCACCCCAGCCTCCCAAGTAGCTGAGACTATAGGCACACACTACCACACCTGGCTAATTTTTGTAGTTTTCTTTGGTAGAGATGAGATTTCGCTATGTTGTTCAGGCTGGTCTCAACTTTCTGGGCTCAGGCAATCTACCTGCCTCAGTTTCCCAACGTGCTGGGATTACAGGCATGAGCCACCATGCCTGGCCTATTTTTTCTGTTTTTTTTTTTTTTTTTTTTTGAGAAAAGCAACCACATTTAACATTTACCAAGGAATATTACTCATCATATTGAAAGAAGTTTTATGTTTTCACAATTTTTATATACAAATATAAAGGCCTTTAAATATAAAATGAATAATATAAAGAAATAAACTATAAAATATACCGTTGTAAAATAGCTAATGTTTTACACTATTCGAAAAAACTCACACAAAATTACCGAAATATATATTACAATTCAAGAAAATTTGATTTCCTATTCATTTTAAAGCTGTCCAACAAACCCTGTGGGAGATATTTTAAGTTGTCAATTTCAAGGTAAAAGTTAGAATTTATATTTGATGACTTTTGTCAATTTCTGCTAAGGCTGTTTCCTTCTTCCTAATGTAAAGTAGCATTTTTACATTTTTATATACCCTCATTCACTTATCACTGACAAGTAGCATTTCTTAAGCTGACAAAGATAAGCATGAAGCAGATGTCAGGAGATGGAAATGATCACAGTATGGAGCACTTCTTTTGTAAAATATGAGTTAATTCACCAGTCATGAAAGCAAAGGACTGAGAAATGCTTTCTTTGTGTGTACTGTTGGCAAGTGTCACGAAAGTTCCGCCGAACAAGATTATTAATTCATGACCTATTTATCTCCCTGCCATAGCACCTTCTTCAGAAAGGACTACCATTTCTACCAGGCAGAGCTTCCAATTATGCATGAGATATGAAGTAAAGGCCAAACTCCATCAAAAACTTAGAAGCAAATAGTCCCCTTGACAACCAGATGTCTATCTTTCCAGGTTAAAGCTTTCCAAGTTCTGATGGATGGTTTCTGCAACACTGTGTTTACCTTCAAACTCATGTTGCTTCAAGGTCTGGTTGGCAACTCATGGAGAAAAATACACTATTCTTGAGAGCAAGCTGTATCTTTTATGAAGTAAAGGTTAAAGGAAAAATTGTATTGGTAATACCCACATACCGACAGACGAAATCATTCCAAAGGTCTTGTAGATTTGCTACAAAAAGGAAGTCTGGCTAGAGTACTAGACAGTGCATCTATATACCTTTCTTTTTTCATTTCCATTTCCCTATCCCTAACAAAACACAGCTTAAAATGTGGCCAGTTCAAGTTGAGATGTCTGTAAGTATAAAATTCCCAGCAGATTTCAAAGATTCGGTACCAAAAAAGTAAAAATATTCAATAATATTTTTACATTGATCATGCATTGAAATGATAAAAATTGGATACATTGGAGTAAATAAAATATTTCACAATGTAAAAAGAGGAAGTCTGGAGAAAGTGTTATATCAGGTGTCTGCTTTTAAATATGTGAGTGTTACATTTAAAAAATCTGTTATGGCTCCTACTAGTCTATAGGACAAAGTTCAAAACTTTTAACCTTATATTCTTGGGTAAACCAGATAATCAACGCAAGAAACACCAGCACAGTGTCATTCCCCCAAGACTACTTTTTTGTGCATTGATATGCTACTGCTGGCCTATGTTAGGGATGTTCTAAAAAACCGTTCTGTCAACTTTATTCCTGTGTTGTTGAGGATGTTGTTTATCATATTTTTTGAGGTCTTTGGTCTTAATATCAGTTTTGAATTTCCTGAGTATTTGATTTGTTTGTGCCTCATTATCCTTAACTTGTTACTTCTTTTTCTCTTTTGGTATGAGTTGCCATAAATCTTAAAACTTAATTTTTTCTATCACTTTAAAGAATATATAACAAGTTATAGTATCATTCTTATACATTAACTTCTTTCCTAGGTACATCTCAGGTATGTTAAATCTTAATTTCTATTTTGAACCATTTTTTTCCTAAAATGTAAACTAGGTTATTTTTCTTGGTTAGCTTCATCTTTGTAAGCTACCCCAAATCATTTTATTATTTTATTTTATTTTTTGAGATGGAGTCTTGCTCTGTCGCCCAGGCTGGAGGGCAGTGGCACAATCTTGGCTCACTGCAACCTCCACCTCCCGAGTTCAAGCAATTCTCCTGCCTCAGCCTCCTGAGTAGCTGGGATTACAAGCGTGTGCCACCACACTTGGCTAATTTTTGTATTTTTAGTAGAGATGGAGTTTCACTATGTTGGCCAGGCTTCTCTCAAACTCCTGACCTCTAGTGATTTGCCCACCGTGGCCTCCCAAAGTGCTGGGATTAGAGGCATGAGCCACTGTGCCCGGCCTCAAATCATTTTAGACCAAGCTAGGATACAAGTTAATAACATTACATGTATACCTTAAACTGAAATTCAAATCACTTTACGATGTAAATCCAATTGACTTTTCAAACCCTAATTTTTAAGAACATCTTTTTATATACCACTAGCTATAATCAGCTTTGTCACCTACATGGTCCCACACAACCTAGGTTCTCATTTTCATTTGGCCCATATTGAGAATGCCTTATTTTTTCACCCCTATCCATCTAAATATTAACTATTTTTCAAGATCCATTTCTCGTTCCACCTCATCCTACCTCTTTTTCTAATGATAAACTTGTGGCATTTATTTACTTAACCATTCATCTGGATCTTGACTTTGTCCAGTCTACCGACAGTTCTCGCATTGTTTAACATGTCCTGAACCTTCTTAGTATGTTTAGTACCAATATCTTGGATTTCAAATAGACAATGAATTCCTAAAAGGAGTTAGATCTTGTCTAGAACCCAAATTATCTTGAATTCTGGTGCATTTGTGGAAGGCACAGACATTTATAAAATAATAAATCAATATATAGGATGACATTAAAGTATTAGAATGAGTGGTCATAGTAGATTTTAACACAGTATTATGAAATCAACTGGAACCTCTAGAGTTATTTACAACTGTTGCAATACCTGAGATGGTACTGAGCACTAACCTGAGCCTTAAACAGAGTTCCTAGATCTGTTCTGTACATTTTATTATTCTATTCCATCTTTTTGTAAAAATAGGAATGGCTATGTGAACTCTGAGTTTTCCTGGAATGCAGAAACTTACTCAAGAACAGTATCTAAATTCAGCAGTGACAGTAGAGCTTATACTGAGAATTGGTCAATCTGGTGCTCTTATGACAATTTATGTTGGTTTGTGGCTTGGTGACATTGAGAAATGAGTCACTGTAATTCTCCTGGATGATGACCAATGGTACAATCACAAGGTTCAGAGTAGGCAACCCAAGTGAAACAGTTATTTTCTAAACAATGTATTCTGATATCCTATGCAGGAGGAAGAATAAAGCCTAGGGCATATTTGGAATCTCAGAAAGGCAAAAAGACAATTTCACTGCCATTCTGAATGACTGCCATCTTGTTGCATGCTGTGATACATTTTCTACTCCAAATGTACAGTTGAATAGGCATTCATCCTACATTCCTTAACGGGTTTTGTTTTTGAAGATTTACTTCTTTTCTTTTCTTTCTTCTTTTTTAGCATAGATGGTAGCCTGCTGTTGATAAAACACTTGAACTCCTGCTGTTTAAATTGCTACATTCTGTTCTGAGGAGTGAAATAATGTTCTGCCATTTGCTCCCAGGTACTGGAACTGCTACTGAAATGTACACATAAGTGCTCTAATGTTGGTAGAGAATAGCTTTTCGTAGGGCTTAAGGCAGTAGGGAAGGAGCATATCTCACCCCTTTCCTTATGGGAGGCTGAACTGCTTATTTCCCCTGCTGTGACTTCTATCCCCCAGAAACCCCCTTCTCATGTACTGGCACCTGGATCACTAGAATTCCCCCCGCCCCCCCAAAAAAAACAGCCCAAAGCTTGCATTGTCAATGAGGTAATTCCCAAAGTTGCTAGATCAGGCTTCCTCACTGAAGAAAGTTCAAAGTGTTTTAATCTGCATTATAATTAACATAGGTATTCTGAATTATTACAGTGCTCAAAGCCTTTATTTTCACTACAGAGAAGGTTTACTATCCTCTCTTTTGGCTTTCTGATTTTTCACATTTTGAGGGTGAGCTTTTCTCAATACTAAAGGAAACTTAATGTCATAGGTTTTTATCAATTTTACTTCAATGATTAAATTCTACAACATGATTTATTTTGGATCCAGAAATACTTTGATTAAGCAGACTATACTCATTCACATATTACCTACCAATGGAACAAATGTACAGTTTACAGTCCAATCTTTTAAGATAAGAATTGTTTTGCATCTGGTACATGCTTCCCCACTTCCAACAACAGATACTATTTTTCTCCAGATTATACTTATCCTCTTGTGGGAAGCATCTTATTTTGTAGATCCAATTGTCCCCCATATCTTTACAATAAAAACTTTTCTCATGCAGTCATTGTATATCTAGTAGGCACCTAACAATCCTAAAAACTATGATAAGCTTAAGTATTACAAATTCAAATAAAACAAAATCCTTGATAAATGAGCTAAAAAGGGTGTTGTGAAGTCAGGTTTGTCAATAAGCACTATGAGAGTGCTGCAACTGTGATCATGGTATTCCATGTCTTCTGTAAAAGATCAATAATTGTGTTTTATCTGCATAGTACATAGTAAGGTTAGGCCCTATAACATTTTATATAATTGGATATATGTTATAGAAAATAGAATGTATAAAATGTGTATGATACCTGTACAACTATAATGTGTTAGAAATATTACATATAATAAACATTTTGGGCTGGGTGCATTGGTTCATGCCTGTAATCCTAGTACTTCGGGAGGCCAAGGCAGGAGGATTGCTTGAGTCCAGGAGTTGGAGGCTGCAGTGAATATGATTATACCACTGGATTCCAGCCTGGATGACAGAGGGACACTGTCTCGAAAAAGAAAGTTTTCTGGTGCTGCATTACTAATCAATCTCTACTACAATTAATTGGATAGAATTGGAATCAAAGGTTCAAGGACCTAAATAAGGGAGTTACCTTAGTGTGGTTATATAGGTCACAAATGTCTACTGACTCAATAAATAAAAATTCTCACCAGAAATGAATTTGGGGTGTTGGAAAATGTGGCCACTTTGGATATCTTTGGGGGCCCATGGGGGGTTAAGGGTGAAGACTTGATTCTAAATGTCAATTCAGAAAAGATACGATATTTCATACAATCTAATTGAAGTGCTTGTGTTGATGGTGCAAATCCCCTTGAAGCTGTTTATTTATAAGTGAGAGAGATCCCATTTGAGCATTTCTTACAATGATGCTTTCTACTTAAGGATTATCCTTTTTATCTTTGTTGTGTATGTATATTAAGATCACCCTTCTCTGTAGTTTCTTTCCAAGTGCCATTTTTTCAAAACTCCTAAGAATGAGACTGAATGAGGAGAATTGAAATGATATTGCAGCTGCAAAGAGGGGCAGGGGGAACCTAGGTTTTATTGTAACTCTAAAGGCACATTTTAAACCCTGCAATATACTTAAGAATAAAAATTTTAAACTCACCTGTCATGAAATGTATAGTTAATAATCCCTTATTGTTAATATTTCTTAAATCATCATTACTTGCTAATGGCTACATGTTGATAAAAGATGCCTCTTTTATCTGTTTGTCTCCTTACTGGGTTTTATGACTTCCAAAGATGAGGTCACTGGGGCACCTACTCAGGCAGTGGGAATACCGCACCTAGTTAAGGAAATTGACACTTATTTGGATATTAAAAAATCCTCTCTATCCATTTTGACATTTTCTACTTCAAGACACAGACTGGGTCAAACTTAGAGACTTGGAGAATAATAATGAGAAAATTTAAGAGGTACTTTAAAACTTCTCTTCTCCAAAATAATACTTATAATACTTTAAAAGAGTTTATTTCCCACTTGTATTACAGAAGAATTTTTCTTCTATTGCCCTTTAAATACAGGTTCTTCAGGTCTCAAAACATATTTCAGCACAATTATTTAGATTAATGACTAAGTAGATTGTGTTTGTAGTAACTGCGCTGTGGGGTTTTAAGAGCTATCAGACAGTTTGACAAAAGCAGTGGTCAGAAGGAATCATAGCAAATTGTGTCCACTGAATCTTCTGGACTGTACAATTCTCCACAGTTATGCCAGGTCCATTTTCAGAACCAAATTTTCCTCTCTAGGCAAAAAAAGATTTACTTCCAGAAATCTAGCACAGCAGAGTTCCACTCTGGGGTTTGAAGTTATAGCCCCAGATAGCAATAGCATCAGCTTGCCCACTTTACCTCCTTTTATCCACATGTCTTCTCTTTCAGGGGCCCCTCAAAGTGAGTGGCTGGGTCTCAGTAAGATGTGAGTATTCCTGGATACCCTGTTGTGTCTTGACCAGACTTCTTAGGATAACAGTGTTCCCTCATTAAAACCTCAGTGTGTCTCCCTCTGGAAAACTATGTGTAATTATGTTAGATTGATGAGTTATAAATAAAATCACAACAACATGTTTTGTTTGCATTGTATCCTTTCTTCTACAAATACTGTTTCCATATATTTTAAAACCGATCCTCCCAATCATTTAATTAGGTAAGTAGGGATGTATTATTTATCTCCACTTTCCAGATGACACTAAATGTTGTGACAAGTCTGAGGTCATTAAACCACTATGCAGAAGAATCGACACTGGTACCTAGTCATGAGGTTATGTTATGATATAAAACTGAATCTAATGATATTCCAATAAGAAGTGGCGGGCAGTTCATATCAACTTATTTTTAAATTTATCCTTAAAGCTTCATCAATAGTAATTGAAAATGAATGTGGATGAAATGAAGAGCATAGAGAGCAGCAGCAATAAGAATCAACTTAATAACTTTTTTTTCTTTTTTTGAGACATGGTCTGGCTCTGTTGTCCAGGCTGGAGTGTGGTGGCACGATCAGTCATAGCTCATTGCAGCCTCAAACTTCTGGGTTTAAGGGATCCTTTTGCCTCAGCCTCTTGAGTAGCTAGGACCACAGGTGCACACCACCTCAAAAGGCTGGCTTGCTTGCTTATTTATTTATTTATTTATTTATATATTTATTTATTTTAGAGATGAGGTCTTGCTATGTTGCCCAGGCTGGTCTCTAACTCCTGGCCTCAAGCAATCCTCTTGCCTTGGCCTCTCAAAGCTCTGGGATTACAGGTGTGAGCTACCTTGCCCAGCCCCCTTGTTTAATAAATTCTAAAATACTGGAATTGTAGATTCTGAGGTGTAGTACAGACCTTATTGCTAAGAACACCTAGCATTAAAAGTGAAGCAGGATATTTTGAGAAGGCTTTTCTGGCATGGAAATATAGCAAAGTGAATCACCAAGTAACACAGACAATTAGCTTCTCTGATTAGTATCCCATGAAGCAGGAAAACTTTGGTGCCCCAGAAGCCAATGTGAGAAAGACTATGTGGAGAAGAGCAGTTTGAGCAAGATTTCCAGAACTTCTCAAGGCCATTATTTATCTGGGGACAGAGAAAAAGGACAGAAAAGGAAGAAGATAACTTCCTCTTGTTTCCCTAAGGCTGGGAACAAGCTTCTATTTATTTTGGGATTGCAAAGCATGTAACTTGCGAACAAATACACGAATGTTATTGATCTGGAGAAAAAACAAGAAGTGGATTTTGTATAAGTTAAGCAAAAAAGCTGCTTATATAATATTTTGTAAGCAAAGAAAACTTAGAGGAGAAAGAAAGAAGTAAAGCAATACTAGGTAGATGCGTATTTTATCAGAACTGTAAAGTGATTCATAGATAAAAATGGTCCTGTTTTTAATCACGGCTTATTCCCACTTGGCTTTGGGGTAATCAAGAAAATTATGGCCAATAGACATTACATTCTACGTGATGGCACTAGTAAGCTTTCTTAAACCTGGTAGTAGGAACTAAGTGAGGTTCCCTCAACTCTGAGGAAGAAGAGGTGTGAGGAGGGGGGAATAGCAATGGTGCCATAAGTATCACTCTGTAGTCTCAGGAGGAAGCTTTTCTACATAGTGAGACCAGTGTCCTGAGGAAGGTTTGAACTTCTGCTAATAGTCACATTGCCTCACATCATAATTCTTGCTAGTTTTGTCAGCAATGGATTCTTAGGATAGAGGAATCCCTAAAGAGTGAGAGTTCTGAAAACAGAAAGGATGCTAATGGATGCTGCTGCTTCTGTTAGTCTGGCTTTAAGGAGAACAAAAAGTAGCATTTTGGTTTGTTTTTTGTGATTCTCCCCAGAACCGGCAGATTATAAAAATGGATTCGAAAAGTCTCAGCTAAATTTATATGTGAACTGCATAATGGCTGTTAAGGGAAACTTAGGCATATTTGGAAGTTTTTGAAGCTGACTTAAGAAGAGCTATCATGGCCCCTCCCAAAAAAGCCCCTTGATACCACAGACAGAAATGCTGAGTTGGGCTGGATAGTACCTTTAATTGCTATAATGCTGTAAGAAGAATAGGTATAAGGTAAACAAGATTCAAAAGAAACAACAAGAAAAAGATGAAAAGGAAGAAAATAAAATATTTATCGATCATCTAATACATGGTGGGTTCCAGTGCTGTGCTGTAGTTAGCTAGTACTAGCTCATGTTAGAGAGCCCATTGTTAAATTTTCAAGCCAGTTGTTAAAATCATCCTTTATTGAAAATCAAGTTATATAAATCTACACTTAAAATATATTTTTAAAAAGCCAATAAATACTCAAAGCTTATTATTTTCATATTGATTTTCTATATTTCATTCTCTATGCTGTTGAGGAGAGTGTTTACATCTATTAGACGGGAATGATGTAAATTCTAGTTAAGTGTGCTAGTGCACATCTTAACTCTGGGTTCAGTGATGTCATATTGGTAGCTTGAAATTAGCCATGGTTAGCAAATGCTATAAATCAGGTCTTTGTCTTGATTTATTGTTTTGTTGAATCTTAAGAAACATTCATAATGCAGATTAAAGTTTAACATATGTCATGCAGTTACACTGTGTATGGTATAAAATTGAGAAAACACTCCTCCATCATTTGAAAACTATTATCCAATTCAACCAAAAAATGGCATTGAAATTAATAGTAATCAAGTGAAGGTCTGACACACATCTTAGTTGTATATCTTTCCTCCTAACTTGTTAAACTAAACACAAATATCAACCAGCACTCATGTTACATATCAGATGTATCAATGATGTATTTATTGAGGAAAGAAATTCTGGTATCTCTGCCAGGTTTTGGTATCAGGATGATGCTGGCCTCATAGAATGAGTTAGGGAGGAGTCCTTCCTTTTTAATTTTTTGGAACAGTTTTAGTAGGAATGGTGCCAGCTCTTCTTTGTACTTCTGGTAGAATTCAGCTTTAAATCTGGTCCTGGGCCTTTATTTATTTATTTGTTTATTTTTGGTTGGTAGGCTATTTATTAGTGCCTCAATTTCAGAACTTATTATTGGTCTATTCAGGGATTTGATTTCTTCCTGGTTCAGTCTTGGGAGGGTGTAAGTATTCAGGAATTTACCCATTTCTTCTGGATGTTCTAGTTTATGTACATGGAAGGTTTATAGTATTCTCTGATGATTGCTTGTATTTCTGTGGTGTCAGTTGTGATATTTCTCCTTATATCTGATCGTATTTATTTGACTGCTCTCTTTTCTTCTTTGTTAGTCTAGCTAGCAGTCTATTTTACTAATTTTTTCAAAAAACAGCTCCTGGATTCATTGATTTTTTTGAAGGAATAGTCGTGTCTCTATCTCTTTCATTTCATCTCTAATCTTGGTTATTTCTTGTCTTCTGCTAGCTTTGGGGTTTGTTTGCTTAGTTCTCTAGTTCTTTTAATTGTGATGTGATGTTGTTAAACTGGGATCATTCTAGATTTTTGATATGGGCATTTAGCACTATAAAATTCCCTCTAAGCACGGCTTTGGCTGCATCCCACAGATGCTGGTACATTGTATGTTTGTTCACGTTAGTGTCAAAGAACATCTTGATTTCTGCCTTAATTTCTTTATTTACCCATGAGTCATTCAGGAGCATGTTGTGCAATTTTCATGTAGTTGTGTGGTTTTGAGTGAATTTCTTAATCTTGAGTTCTAATTTGATTGCTTCAGACCAATATCTTGCTGAATATTGATGCAAAAATCCTCAACAAAATACTCAACGAAATGCGGCAAACCAAATCCTGTAGCACATCAAAATGCTTATCCACCACAGTCAGATAGGCTTCATGCCTGGGATGCAAGGCTGGTTCAACAATGAAAATCAATAAATGTGATTCATCACATAAATAGACCTAAAGACAAAAACCATATGATTATCCCAATAGATGCAGAAAAGGCCTTTGATAGAATTCAACATCCCTTCATCTTAAAAACTTTCAATAATATACTACTGGGGTCCTGGGGAAAATGGCCAAATAGGAACAGCTCCAGTCTGCAGCTCCCAGGGAGACCAATGCAGAAGGTAGGTGATTTCTGCATTTCAAGCTGAGTGTAAACAAAGCTGTCAGGAGGTTCAAACTGGGTGGAGCCCACCACAGTGCTGCAAAGCCACTGTAGCCAGACTGCCTCTCTAGATTCCTCCTTTATGGGAAGGGCATCTCTGAAAGAAAGGCAGCAGCCCCAGACAGGGGCTTGTAGATAAAACTACCATCTCCCTGGGACAAAGCATCTGGGTAAAGGGGCGGCTGTGGGTGCACCTTCAGCAAACTTAAACATTGCTGCCTGCCGGCTCTGAAGAGAGCAGTGGATCTCCCAGCACAAGGCTCAAGCTCTGCTAAGGGACAGACTGTGCCTCCTTAAGTGGGTCCCTGACACCCATGCACCCTGACTGGGAGACACCTCTCAGCAGGGGTATACAGACGCCTCATACAGGAGAGCTCTGGCTGGTATCTGGCGGGTGCCCCTCTGGGATGAAGCTTTCAGAGGAAGAAGCAGGCAGCAATTGTTGCTCTTCTGCAGCCTCTGCTGGTGATACACAGGTAAACAGGGTCTGGAGTAGACCCCCAGCAAACTCCAGCAGACCTGCAGCAGAGGGGCCTGACTGTTAGAAGGAAAACTAACAGAGGAATAGCATCAACATCAACAAAAAGGATGTCCACTCAGAAACCCCATCCAAAGGTTACCAACATCAAAGACCGTAGGTAGATAAATCCATGAGGATGAGGAAAAACCGCGTAAAAATGCTGAAAATTCCAAAAACCAAAATTCCTCCTCCAAAGGATCACAACTACTTGCCTGCAAGAGAATAAAACTGGATGGAGAATGGGTTTGACAAATTGACAGAAATAGGCTTCAGAAGATGGGTAATAACAAATTCCTCCGAGCTATGTTACCATGTTCTAACCCAATGCAAGGAAGCTAAGAACCTTGAAAAAAGGTTAGAGGAATTGCTAACAAGAATAACCAGTTTAGAGAAGAACATAAGTGACCTGATGGAGCTGAAAAACACAGCAGGAGAACTTTGTGAAACATACACAAGTATCAATAGCCAAATCAATCAAGCAGAAGAAAGGATGTCAGAGATTGAAGATCAACTTAATGAAATAAAGTGTGAACACAATATTAGAGAAAGAATGAAAAGGAATGAACAAAGCCTCCAAGAAATATGGGACTATGTGAGAAGACTAAATCTAGGTTTGATTGGTGTACCTGAAAGTGACGGGGAGAATGGAACCAAGATGGAAAACACACTTCAGGATATCATCCAGGAGAACTTCTCCAAACTAGCAAGACAGGCCAACATTCAAACTCAGGAAATACAGAGAACACCACAAAGATACTCCTCAAGAAGAGCAACTGCTAGACACATAATCACCAGATTCACCAAGGTTGAAATGAAGGAAGACATGTTAAGGACAGTCAGAGAGAAAGGTCGGGTTACCCACAAAGGGAAGCCCTCCAGACTAACAGCGGATCTCTCTGCAGAAACTCTACAAGCCAGAAGAGAGTGGGGGCCAATATTCAACATTCTTAAAGAAAATAATTTTCAACCCAGAATTTCATATCCAGCCAAACTAAGCTTCATAAGTGAAGAAGAAATAAAATCCTTTACAGACAAGCAAAACATTCCATGCTCATGGATAGGAAGAGTCAATATCATGAAAATGGCTATACTGCCCAAAGTAATTCATAGATTCAATGCTATTCCTATCAAGCTACCATTGACTTTCTTCACAGAATTAGAAAAAACTACTTTAAATTTCATATGGCATCAAAAAAGAGCCCGTATACCCAAGACAATCCTAAGCAAAAAGAACAAAGCTGGAGGCATGCTACCTGACTTCAAACTATACTACAAGGCTACAATAACCAAAACAGCATGGCACTGGTATCAAAACAGACATATATATAGACCAAGGGAACAGAACAGAGGCCTAAGGAATAATGCCACACATCTACAATCATCTGATCTTTGACAAACACAAGCAATGGGGAAAAGATTTCTTATTTAATAGTCTTGGGAAAACTGGATAGTCATATACAGAAAACTGAAACTAGACCCCTTCCTTACACCTTATACAAAAATTAACTCAGGATGGATTAAAGATTTAAATGTAAGACCTAAAACCATAAAAACCCTAGAAGAAAACCTAGGCAACACCATTCAGGACATAGGCATGGGCAAAGCCTTCATGACTAAAACACCAAAACCAATGGCAACAAAAGCCAAAATTGACAAATGGGATCTAATTAAAGAGCTTCTGCACAGCAAAAGAAACTATCATCAGAGTGAATAGGCAACCTACAGAATAGGAGAAAATTTTTACAATCTATCCATCTGACAAAGGGCTAATATCCAGTATCTACAAGGAACTTAAATTTACAAGAAAAAACAGCCTCAACAACAAGTGGGTGAAGGATATGAACAGACACTTTTCAAAAGAAGACACCTATGTGGCCAACAAACATATGAAACAAAGCTCATCATCACTGGTCGTTAGAGAAATGCAAATAAAAACCACAATGAGATACCATCTCATGCCAGTTAGAATGGTGATCATTAAAAATTCAGGAAAAAACAGATGCTGTTGAGGATGTGGAGAAATAGAAAAGCTTTTACACTGTTGGTGGGAGTGTAAATTAGTTCAACCATTGTGGTAGAAGTGTGGCGATTCCTTGAGGATCTAGAACCAGAAATACCATTTGACCTAGCAATCCCATTACTGGGTATATACCCAAAGGATTATAAATCATTCTACCCTAAAGACACATGCACATGTATGTTTATAGCAGCACCATTCACACGTATGTTTATTGCAGCACCATTCACAATAGCAAAGACTTGGAACCAACCTAATGCCCATCAATGGTAGACTGGGTAAAGAAAATGTGGCACATATACACCATGGAATACTATGCAGCCATAAGAAAGGATGAGTTCATGCCCTTTGCAGGGACATGGATAAACCTGGAAACCATCATTCTCAGCAAACTAACACAGGAACAGAAAACCAAACACTGTATGTTCTCTTTCATAAGTGGGAGTTGACAATGAGAACATATCAGCACAGGAAGGGAAACATCACACACTGGGGCCTGTCACGGGCTGGGGGGCAAGGGGAGGGATAACATTAGGAGAAATACCTAATGTAGATGACAGGTTGATGGGTGCAGCAAACCACCATGGCACATGTATAAATATGTAACAAACCTGCACCTTCTGCACATGTCTCCCAGAACTTAAAGTATAATAAGATAATCAGGAACTCTCAAGCATTATTAAGAATAAAAACTGGTACACCCATAAGGAAGCCATTTCTTCTAGAAATGTATTCAAAGGAAATGTTCAGAAGGATGCTCACTACATTATGTTTATAGTATCAAAACATTAAGATCCTAAATGTTTATCAATAATAGTTTGGTTAAATAAACTTTGGTTCATCCATAAAACAGTTATAAAAGAGTTTAAACTAGATCTATATTTGTTACCATTGAAAGATTCAGAGAAAAAAATTGCTCAACAGTGTATATTATTTCACTTATTTAAAAATTAAATATACCTCTTCATATATATTAAAGATTCTGTATATTTTTAAAAAATAATCTAGTATTGAAGGAACATACCAAAGGTAGAAAGAGCCATATAAGACAAACCCACAGCCAATATCATACTGAATGGGCAAAAGCTGGAAGCATTCCACTTGAAAACTGGCACAAGATGAGGATGCTCCCTCTCACCACTCCTGTTCAACATAGTATTGGAAGGTCTTGCCAGGGCGATCAGGCAAGAGAAAAAATAAAGCGTACTCAAATAGGAAGAGAGGAAGTCAAATTATCTTTGTTTGCAGATGACATGGTCCTATCTTTAGAAAACTACTTCATCTCAGCTCAAAAGCTTCTCAAGCAAATAAGTAACTTCAGCAAAGTCTCAGGCTACAAAATCAATGAGCAAGAATTCCTAGCATTCCTATACACCAAAAACAGGCAAGCCAAAAGCCAAATTATGAATGAACTCCCATTCACAATTGCCACAAAAAGAATAAAATATCTAAGAATAGAGCTAACAAGGGAAGTGAAGAACGTCTTCAAGAACTACAAACCACTGCTCAAATCAGAGATGACACAAACAAATGGAAAAACATTCCATGTCCATGGATAGCAAGAATCAGTATTGTGAAAATGGCCATATTGCCCAAAGTAATTTATAGATTCAATGCTATTCCCATTAAACTACCATTGACCTTCTTCACAGAATCAGAAAACCTATTTTAAAATTCATGTGAAGCCAAAATAGAGCCTGGATAGCCAAGGCAATCCTAAGCAAAAAGAACAAAGTTGGAGGCATCACACTACCCTACTTCAAACTCTACTCCAAGGCTATAGTAACCAAAACAGCCTGGTACTTGTACAAGAACAGACACGTAGACCAATGGAGCAGAATAGAGAGCCCAGAGATAAGACTACACACCTACAACCATGTGCTCTTTGATAAACGTGACAAAAACAGAAGCAATATTGAAAGGATTCCTTATTTAATAAATGGTGCTGAGAAAACTAGCCGTATGTAGAAAATTAGAAACTGGACCCCTTCCTTACATCATATACAAAAATCAACTGAAGGTGAATTAAAGACTTAGATGTAAAACCCAAAACTATAAAAACCCTAGAAGAAAACCTAGGCAATACCATTCAGGATATAGGCAAAGATTTCATGACGAAGACAACAACCCAAATGTCCACCAATGATAGACTGGATTAAGAAAATGTGGCACATATACACCATGGAATACTATGCAGCTATAAAAAAGGATGAGTTCATGTCCTTTGCAGGGACATGAATGAAGCTAGAAGCCATCATTCTCAGCAAACTATCACAAGGACAGAAAACCAAACACCACATGTTCTCACTCATAGCGGGGAACTGAACAATGAGAACACTTGGACACAGGGCAGGGAACCACACACACTGGGGCCCGTCAAGGGATGGGGGGCTGGGGAAGGGATAACATTAGGAGAAATATCTAATGTAAATGACAAGTTAATGGGTGCAGCAAACCAACATAGCACATGTATACCTATGTAACAAACCTTCACGTTGTTCACATGTACCCTAGAACTTAAAGTATAATAATAATAATAAAACCACCATGAGATACCATCCCACACCAGTCAGATGGCTATTATTAAAAGTCAAAAAAAAAAATACTGACAAGGTTGTGGAGAAAAAGGAACACTTTTATGCTGTTGGTGGGAGTGTAAATTAGTTCAACCATTTTGAAAGACAGTGTGGCAATTCCTCAAAGACCTAGAGGCAGAAATACTATTAGACCCAGCAATCTCATTACTGGGTATATACTCAAAGAATATAAATCATTCTATTATAAAGATACATGCACACATATATTTCTTGTAGCACTATTCACAATAGCAAAGAAACTGTGTATTAGAATTTTGTAGAGGGACAGGACTAATGGGATAGATGTATATATGAAAGGAAGTTTATTAAAGAATATTGACTCACATGATCACAAGGTGAAGTCCTACGATAGGCCATCTGCAAGCTGAGGAGCAAGGAGGCCAGACCGAGTCCCAAAACCTCAAAAGTAGGGAAGCTGAGAGTGCAGCCTTCACTCTATGGCCAAAGGCCTGAGAGCCCCTGGCAAACCGTGGTGTAAGTCCAAGAGTCCAAAAGCTGAAGAACTTGGAATCCAATGATCGATGGCAGGAAGCATCTAGAACGGGAAAGAGATGAAGGCTGGAAGATTCAGCCAGTCTAGTCCTTCTGCATTCTTCTGCCTGCTTTATTCTACTGGGCTGGCAGCTGATGAGATTATGCACCCCCAGACTGAGGGTGGGTCTGCCTCTCCCAGTCCACTGCCTCAAGTATTAATATCCTCTGGCAACACCCTTACAGACACACCCAGGAACAATACTTTGCATCCTTCAGTCTAATCATGTTGACACTCATTATTAACCATCACATAGAATCAACCTAAATGCCCATCAGTGATAGATTGGATAAAAAATGTGGTACATATACACCATGAAATACCATGTAGCCATAAAAAGGAATGAGATCATGGTCTTTGCAGTGACATGCGTGGAGTTGGAAGCTGTTATCCTCAGCAAACTAAAGCAGGAATGGAAAACCAAATACCACACACACTCATTAATAACTGGGAGCTGAATGATGAGAACACATGAGCACATTGTGGGGAACACATGGGCACACTGGGGCATGATGGAGGATCGGGGTGGGAAGAGGGAGAGCCTCAGGAAGAATAGGTAATGAATGCTGGGCTTAATAACTAGGTGATGGGATGATCTGTGCAGCAAACCACCATGGCCTACATTTATCTGTGTAAGAAACCTGCACATATACCCCTGAACTTAAAATTTGGAAATTAAAAAAGAAATTGTGGATTGGGATGCAATTTTATCAAATCCCAGTTGAATTGCAATCATAATTTTGTTACCAAGATAAGAGTTTAGAAAAAAAAATTAATAGAATTATTCTATTAGAATCAATTGTTCATGTAGAAATTATAATGTGCATATATCTTTTATTGTTACTTACTGTATGCTATGTATCCTTTATAAAGTTTATAATAAATTTAGGTATATATATACATGCATACTATTTTTGGAGAACCAGTTGTTTGTATTTGTCAACATATTAATGACAATAATTAAAATTTTCTTTTTATTATCTTTTTTAATCCTGTAACAACTCCTTGAAGTAGGTATAGAAAATGAGGCTCAGAAGAGATTGGCAACAGTACCAATGACAAGCAAACGAGAGAATTTAGTTGGGATGGGGTCTCAGGTATTCTAGTCAAAGTCTAAGCTTTTTTAACCATACCACAATGACACTGATATTTACTAAAGACCTTAGTTAAGTCACTTTTTCTACACTCTGGCCTCAGTAGCCTACTCTGTGAAATGGTACTATCTATGCACTTCTCAGAACTGTTGTGAGAATCAGATGTGAAAATAATTTGTGAACCCTAAGATGTTAAAGTAATATATAATTTACTGAAGAGGTAGACAGTTGAGAGAGTATTTTGCTTGAAGAGATTTACTATTCTGGGCCTGGTTTATGCTCCTTGAAAATAAACTTTTCCATATACTGCCTGAAAAACAATATGCATTACATTTTCCCTTGGAGATAATTTCCATTATAAATTGCTAGATATTTTCCTGCTTTGAGCTTCTTTGCAAATTTCCAACACCTTTTTAAGCACTGTTAATTTTTCCAATAATAGATCGATGAATTCTTAAAGTGTTTGGCAACTCTGCATCCCTGAGTTTTCATCAGCCTAGAGCATCCCTGGAGGTAACATATGACCAGTGGATACTGGGGAAGAAGCCAAAAGCTAGAAACCAATGCATAAATAGAAAGAATAAAAAACAAATTTTTTTGAAAAGGAATCAAGTTGTTTACATTTGATTATGGTTACTAATAACTGAATAGTTTGAAGTTGTTGGAGAGTATAAGCACATTTTAATACCCTCTGATACCTAGGTATTAGATTGCTGCATGGATACTAGGTAATTTTGCCCTAAATCTGTCTCCCAATGCCAAAGCACTTTCAGATGATGACATTTTCTATTGCAATTCTGAGTGCTTATAGACCTTGATTGTGCTAGGTAATTATAATATCCACCATGGCATTAAGGCTCACTGCATGAGCTAATGCCTTGATATGGAATTAATCAAATCTGAAAGAAAAGGTCATTAGAAAGTTAAATTATGTCAGTGATACAGGAAAGCACCATATAAGCAGGAATTATACCCTGTTGTGATATAATAGATCACAAAATTCAGTAATTAGTTTCACCTCACGAGGGACATCTAATTACTGATGTGGTTAATTACTTAAGTCCATTGACCAGTGTCTAGTATTTTATTACTTACATGTTTAGCTCTTTGAAAAACTGTTATTTAATGTTCCTATATACTTATGATTCACCTTAATTATAATTTGCTATGGGTTAGTAAAATCAGATGATCTAATAAATTGAACCAACAGTTATTTGTTAAAATCCTACTATATAGGGGGTTGTGCATAGGTGTAAAGGGCAATTGTTATCTTGGTGAAACAAGTGAATTTCCTACTACGTTAGAATTGTATTCACTTCCTCAGGGGAGTCTTCATGACCTTTTCTGGCACTGTCCTTGACCAGAACAGACCAGACTACGCCTCTGTGAAAATGAACATTAAGGGATTCTGGATAATTTGAAGAAGATAAATGGTTTGGGATCACCTAACTGCTGAATGTCTACTTTCTCTAGCAGATTAATGCAGATTGCTAATGTAAATCTAAATAGTGATGTCGTCTCCTTTTATTTAAAATGCTATATCACAGCACAATATTAATTTTGGTTCTGGAAAGACCTCAGGATGCTAGCAGCTTCCTGCCTTGTATTGGTCAGGACAGTCTTGGGTTAGGTTGCACTAACAAAAAATCCCAAGAATTTATTCAAACAACAATGGCTTATTCTTGTTCATGCTACATGTCCTTTGTGATTTGGCTGCGGTCTCTGCTCTGTTTCTTCAGTTAGGAGCTTAGGCTGACGGACACTCTATCATCATGGTAGGGTGAAGAGTAGAAGGTGATATACACACTTAGTTATTCCCCAGAAGTACAATGTTATCATGTGCCACAAAGAATAGGACCAGAATATTTGGGCTTAGCCACGATGACTATCACCTATCTTTACTAAAGGCTTCTGTGGGGGAAGTAAGAAATGGAGCAGGTCTCAAACTGTTATATCTGCTCTTGCTCTGTGTGGCAATCTTACTTCAGCTAGAATTCTCTAACCTTTGGGCAGTACTCAATAAAGTGAATTGAACATCTTTGGTGATGTCTTTTCTGTGCAATCCTGTAGTCTATCTGAGATGTTTCAGTCCCCCTAGTGGAACCTCACTGCATTCTTCAGTTCCCATATACAGCTGATGAAAATAAAAAATTTAATTATTTCTAATTGTTTCCCTACATTCGATAAGGGAATGGATTGTAATCACAGCTTTTGCCACAACATCTCACTCTGTCAATCTCAGTGTACTTGCAAAAAAAAAAAAAAAATACAGGCTGTGTGAACAAATGAATAAATGAGAAAATAGAGAATTCAGCCAAGTAGGCTGCCAGTTGCATTAGCTCTAGGTAGGTGTACAGGACATTAAAGACTGAAGATGCTGTTAACTCAGAGAAGGGCAGACTAATAAGATTGGTTGACAGAGACCAGATGTTTTCAGAGTTAGGAAAGTCATACTAATGGGTTGTGCTATTCTGTTTTAATGCTTTCTCTCAGTATTGGTAGCTGTAAACAAGCACACATCTACTTAGTGTAGCTAGAAGGGGGTGAAAAGTCCATAGATAAAACGCCATTTTGTGTGAGATAGAGGTGCAAAAGCTAGTATCATTTCAATAAAATGGATCTAGGAAATAGGGCAGCATGCAGAAGGTTTATGGAAACTCTCTGAGTTAGTGAAAATGCTACTAATTTGAGTCGGATAACTATGACAAATCCTAGTTCCAAAATGTACTCTGAGCTCTTGCTTTGTTTATTTCAAAGTATTTATTAAAGACTGACTATGTGCCAGGCACTGTTCGAAGATTTGGAGACACATTAATGAATGCACACAGACAAAATCCGTACTCTCCTAGAACTTGCGTTTATCATAATTTCACTGAAGGTTTCCCTCTTATATAAAATACAATAGAGAATTATAGAGTGATGTGGAAGATGTATGTTAAGATTGTTTGTAGAATGTACACTTGTTAGAAAATGTATTAAATAAAGTTTTGAGAATTGAAGCTGCTCAGGTGATGTTCACTGACAGTTAAGCAGTATGTATATATGACATGTAAATATGTCATATATGTATATATGCATACGTATATATGTATATATACATATATATGTATGTGTGTGTATATATATGTATATATGTGTGTGTATATATACGTATATATGTATATATGTGTGTATATATATACGTATATATGTATATATGTATATATGTATATGTGTATACACATATATACATATGTATGCATATATGTATATGTGTATACACATATATACATATGTATGCATATATGTATATGTATGTGTGTGTGTGTGTGTGTGTGTGTGTGTGTGTATGGATTCAGAGTTGTTTGCCCATGTTACAGAAGGATGCCCTTTGGAAATATTCACAGAGAGAGCCATCCCCTCCATTCTGTATACACCTATGTTTGCTAACTCGTAGTATAAAGGGAAAGTGAAGCTTTAGGTCCTAAATTAATGCTGAAATTAAGGACCCTCAAAAATACTGATGGGCTTTGTTGACTTGTTAAAGTGGGTCTTGTTTAAACGTGACCATATTGACTGAGTTTATTTCCTATACTTACTTATAGCTCTACTGTCAGGCAGCCTCTTCTTTTATAGAATGTATAATTATTTAATTAATTCAACAGGTGTTATTGAAGGTCTTTTATGTGCCAAAGACTATTCTAAAAGCTGGGATAGAGCAGTGAAAAAAAAAAAAACAGCAAAGTTCTTGTCCTCATGGAGCTTACATTCTAGGGAGGAGGCAGAGTGATAAAGTAAATGTGATACAATATAAGCAATTGCCAAATCTTGGTAAAGATAATTCAGCAATTCTTCGTGGTATTATTTCAGCTTTTTCATAAGTTAAAATTTCATACAAATTTTAAAAATTGCAAAAGATTGTGAAAGAAATTTAATGTTTTTTCTTTTTTTTCAATTAAACTGAAATTTTAATGTAACAAAATTAAATTTTGCAGCTGAAGCTGGGATGCAACTAATGCATTCTCTATGAGAAAATTTATGTTACTTATACTTACATTTAAAAATAAGAAATGCATAAAATAAGAAACCTGATCATTTGTCTTAATGAGATTCTTTTTTTTTTTTTTAATCTGAGGAATTGCCACACTGTCTTCCACAATGGTCGAACTAGTTTACAGTCCAACCAACAGTGTAAAAGTGTTCCTATTTCTCCACATCCTCTCCAGCACCTGTTGTTTCCTGACTTTTTAATGATCACCATTCTAACTGGTGTGAGACGGTATCTCTTTAATTTTTTAATTTTATTATTATTATACTTTAAGTTTTAGGGTACATGTGCACAATGTGCAGGTTAGTTACATATGTATACATGTGCCATGCTTGTGTGCTGCACCCATTAACTCATCATTTAGCATTAGGTATATCTCCTAAAGTTATCCCTCCCCCCTCCCCCCACCCCACAACAGTCCCCAGAGTGTGATGTTCCCCTTCCTGTGTCCATATGTTCTCATTGTTCAATTCCCACCTATGAGTGAGAATATGTGGTGTTTGGTTTTTTGTTCTTGCAATAGTTTACTGAGAATGATGATTTCCAATTTCATCCATGTCCCTACAAAGGACATGAACTCATCATTTTTTATGGCTGCATAGTATTCCATGGTGTATATGTGCCACATTTTCTTAATCCAGTCTATCATTGTTGGACATTTGGGTTGGTTCCAAGTCTTTGCTATTGTGAATAGTGCCGCAATAAACATACGTGTGCATGTGTCTTTATAGCAGCATGATTTATAGTCCTTTGGGTATATGCCCAGTAATGGGATGGCTGGGTCAAATGGTATTTCTAGTTCTAGATCCCTGAGGAATCGCCACACTGACTTCCACAATGGTTGAACTAGTTTACAGTCCCACCAACAGTGTAAAAGTGTTCCTATTTCTCTACATCCTCTCCAGCACCTGTTGTTTCCTGACTTGTTAATGATTGCCATTCTAACTGGTGTGAGATGGTATCTCATTGTGGTTTTGATTTGCATTTCTCTGATGGCCAGTGATGGTGAGCATTTTTTCATGTGTTTTTTGGCTGCATAAATGTCTTCTTTTGAGAAGTGTCTGTTCATGTCCTTCGCCCAGTTTTTGATGGGGTTGTTTGTTTTTTTCTTGTAAATTTGTTTGAGTTCATTGTAGATTCTGGATATTAGACCTTTGTCAAATGAGTAGGTTGTGAAAATTTTCTCCAGTTTTGTAGGTTGCCTGTTCAAAAACAACATGGTACTGGTACCAAAACAGAGATATAGATTAATGGAACAGAACAGAGCCCTCAGAAATAACGCTGCATTTGTTTGTGTCCTCTTTTATTTCCTTGAGCAGTGGTTTGTAGTTCTCCTTGAAGAGGTCCTTCACATCCCTTGTAAGTTGGATTCCTAGGTATTTTATTCTCTTTGAAGCAATTGTGAATGGGAGTTCACTCATGATTTGGCTCTCTGTTTGTCTGTTGTTGGTGTATAAGAATGCTTGTGATTTTTGTACATTGATTTTGTATCCTGAGACTTTGCTGAAGTTGCTTATCAGCTTAAGGAGATTTTGGGCTGAGACGATGGGGTTTTCTAGATAAACAATCATGTCGTCTGCAAACAGGGACAATTTGACTTCCTCTTTTCCTAATTGAATACCCTTTATTTCCTTCTCCTGCCTGATTGCCCTGGCCAGAACTTCCAACACTATGTTGAATAGGAGCGGTGAGAGAGGGCATCCCTGTCTTGTGCCAGTTTTCAAAGGGAATGCTTCCAGTTTTTGCCCATTCAGTATGATATTGGCTGTGGGTTTGTCATAGATAGCTCTTATTATTTTGAAATACGTCCCATCAATACCTAATTTCTTGAGAGTTTTTAGCATGAAGGGTTGTTGAATTTTGTCAAAGGCTTTTTCTGCATCTATTGAGATAATCATGTGGTTTTTGTCATTGGCTCTGTTTATATGCTGGATTACATTTATTGATTTGCGTATATTGAACCAGCCTTGCATCCCAGGGATGAAGCCCACTTGATCATGGTGGATAAGCTTTTTGATGTGCTGCTGGATTCGGTTTGCCAGTATTTTATTGAGGATTTTTGCATCAATGTTCATCAAGGATATTGGTCTAAAATTCTCTTTTTTGGTTGTGTCTCTGCCCGGCTTTGGTATCAGAATGATGCTGGCCTCATAAAATGAGTTAGGGAGGATTCCCTCTTTTTCTATTGATTGGAATAGTTTCACAAGGAATGGTACCAGTTCCTCCTTGTACCTCTGGTAGAATTCGGCTGTGAATCCATCTGGTCCTGGACTCTTTTTGGTTGGTAAACTATTGATTATTGCCACAATTTCAGAGCCTGTTATTGGTCTATTCAGAGATTCAACTTCTATGCTCATGGGTAGGAAGAATCAATATCGTGAAAATGGCCATACTGCCCAAGGTAATTTACAGATTCAATGCCATCCCCATCAAGCTACCAATGATTTTCTTCACAGAATTGGAAAAAACTACTTTAAAGTTCATATGGAACCAAAAAAGAGCCCGCATCGCCAAGTCAATCCTAAGCCAAAAGAACAAAGCTGGAGGCATCACACTACCTGACTTCAAACTATACTACAAGGCTACAGTAACCAAAACAGCATGGTACTGGTACCAAAACAGAGATATAGATCAATGGAACAGAACAGAGCCCTCAGAAATAATGCCACATATCTACAACTATCTGATCTTTGACAAACCTGAGAAAAACAAGCAATGGGGAAAGGATTCCCTATTTAACAAATGGTGCTGGGAAAACTGGCTAGCCATATGTAGAAAGCTGAAACTGGATCCCTTCCTTACACCTTATACAAAAATCAATTCAAGATGGATTAAAGATTTAAACGTTAGACCTAAAACCATAAAAACCCTAGAAGAAAACCTAGGCATTACCATTCAGGACATAGGCGTGGGCAAGGACTTCATGTCCAAAACACCAAAAGCAATGGCAACAAAAGCCAAAATTGACAAATGGGATCTAATTAAACTAAAGAGCTTCTGCACAGCAAAAGAAACTACCATCAGAGTGAACAGGCAACCTACAACATGGGAGAAAATTTTCGCAACCTACTCATCTGACAAAGGGCTAATATCCAGAATCTACAATGAACTCAAACAAATTTACAAGAAAAAAACAAACAACCTCATCAAAAAGTGGGCGAAGGACATGAACAGACACTTCTCAAAAGAAGACATTTATGCAGCCAAAAAACACATGAAGAAATGCTCATCATCACTGGCCATCAGGGAAATGCAAATCAAAACCACAATGAGATACCATCTCACACCAGTTAGAATGGCAATCATTAAAAAGTCAGGAAACAACAGGTGCTGGAGAGGATGTGGAGAAATAGGAACACTTTTACACTGTTGGTGGGACTGTAAACTAGTTCAACCATTGTGGAAGTCAGTGTGGTGATTCCTCAGGGATCTAGAACTAGAAATACCATTTGACCCAGCCATCCCATTACTGGGTATATACCCAAAGGACCATAAATCATGCTGCTATAAAGACACATGCACACGTATGTTTATTGCGGCACTATTCACAATAGCAAAGACTTGGAACCAACCCAAATGTCCAACAATGATAGACTGGATTAAGAAAATGTGGCACATATACACCATGGAATACTATGCAGCCATAAAAAATGATGAGTTCATGTCCTTTGTAGGGACATGGATGAAATTGGAAACCATCATTCTCAGTAAACTATCGCAAGAACAAAAAACCAAACACCGCATATTCTCACTCATAGGTGGGAATTGAACAATGAGATCACATGGACACAGGAAGGGGAATATCACACTCTGGGGACTGTGGTGGGGTCGGGGGAGGGGGGAGGGATAGCATTGGGAGATATACCTAATGCTAGATGACACATTAGTGGGTGCAGCGCACCAGCATGGCACATGTATACATATGTAACTAACCTGCACAATGTGCACATGTACCCTAAAACTTAGAGTATAATAAAAAAAAAAAATTAAAAAAAAAAAAAAAAAAGAAGCATAATTCAAAAAAAAAAAAAAGAAAAAGAAAAACAGTGTTTGGGGCAGAATTAATAAAAAAAAAAAGTAAAAAAAAAAAAAGAAAAGAAATAACGCTGCATATCTACAACTATCTGATCTTTGACAAACCTGAGAAAAACAAGCAGTGGGGAAAGGATTCCCTATTTAATAAATGGTGCTGGGAAAACTGGCTAGCCATCTGTAGAAAGCTGAAACTGGATCCCTTCCTTACACCTTATACAAAAATTAATTCAAGATGGATTAAAGACTTTAACGTTAGACCTAAAACCATAAAAACCCTAGAAGAAAACCTAGGCAATACCATTCAGGACATAGGCATGGGCAAGTACTTCATGTCTAAAACACGAAAAGCAATGGCAACAAAAGCCAAAATTGACAAATGGGATCTAATTAAACTAAAGAGCTTCTGCACAGCAAAAGAAATTTAATGTTTTTTCAACATATTTCAGTTAAACATGGCTTACCTTTATAAACAGCATATTTATTTCAAGCTATAAATATGTTTTATAATCTGTAAATTTTTAGAAATTTTAAGTCTAGCGATGAAGCTTTCATATGAGAAAGTGCACATTTTATATATGTTTAAAATATTAATTTTTCATTAAAGTGTGTAATAACACATGAATAGAAAGCATAAATTAAGTCATAAATTTAGACAAATATTTTGAATCATTAACTTTTTTTTTTTTTTGCTTATCTCTGAGTCTGTTAAAAGTACTTTGTTCTTACACAATAAGAATTGAATACTTTTTGGAAGAAGTGAGATGCTTTTTCTTTTCATTTTCTCCTTTTTTCTTTGAGTGTGAGTTGATTTTTTTTTTTTTATAAGGTAGTTAGTTGTTCATGCTGCTAGTGACTTAACCATCATACTGAAATGTTTTGACCTTGGTAGAAAATGTCCTGTTCTTTATTTACTTAGGTCCATGCCTGAGAGATGTAGTTATAAGGAAGCAAAAAGTTCAAGACTGTATCTACAGCCATGCTCACCATATCAAATACTTATGTTCTCAACTAACATTAAGCTTGGTATCCAGGAGCTCCTCTGGCTGGCATTGGAGGAGTCACAGCTTTGTGGTCATGTCAGGGAAGGGGAGGGATCTTATTTGTAGGCAGAATCAGGTATGATGTCTTGTTCACCTACCAAATGCAGGAACCTGGGACAAAATGAAATAATTTTCAATGACTGGGAACAGACCGAATTGCTCAGTCTTGGCTTACCTGTGAATGTTAGGACTAAGGGCAATAGACTCAAGGGGTCATATTCAGAACACACAAATAGCAGGTTTTCAGGTGCCCCGGAACAACACTCCTCCCCTGCTTTTGGTCCGTCAAATGCACTTCTTGTGTAGATCAGATATCCTACCCCTAAGGTTAGGCACATGACTCGAACCAAGTCCCCAAGAGGCTTTCTCTGAGATTTAAAGAAAAAGGCTTGAAGTTTACCATGTTTTAAAGGAATATTTTATTTGCATATAATCTAAAACTTATAGAAAATGGCAAGAACCTTATAAAGAACTCCTGTGTACATTTTATTATGATTCACCAGTTGTTAACATTTTCCCCAACTGTTTTGTTATTCATTTTTTTATCTCTTTATCCTGTACTCCTAAACCATTTCAGAGTGTGTATGGTGTTTGTTAGCCCCCAATATTGATAATGCTAACATAATTATTTATTTAGGGTATTGTTTAACAGGTCTCTCCACTGTAAAATTAATGTTTTCTCTTTGGTGATTGACAAAGATTCTCTCCATGACCAAACTTTCATCAGGCTTCTCTGAACTCTGTTCTTCTCAACTAGGTCCTGACTTGTGGGCTTCTGTGTTCATCTTTGCATTGTCCATTTTTAGCAAAAGTTCTGCTATGTCAGTTTAACCAGAATCCCTCACTCTCGCTATCTGATTACCTTTGCTATCTGACCAAATTCCTTAACCCCCACTATCTCTCAGGCAATATCTGATCACCTTGGCCTGCCTTCAGAATTCTGTTAGGTCATTTCAGCAAAGAATTATCCCACTCTCTTAATTTTTCCCTCCACTGGCCCCTCTACCAACCTGGCTTCTTGTCTATAAATTCCTATATTTCCTTATTGTTTTTGGAATTAAGGCCAATCTCTCTTCCCTACTGCAAAACCCCATTGCGGTAGTTTCTTCTTGAATAAAGTCTTCCTTATTGTTTTTAACAAGTGTCTGAGTAATCCTATATCCTGCATCATTACATAACTAATATGTTTTTCTGCATCAGTGTAGATTCTATTTCATTCACTGGATTATAACCTGTTACTATCATTATTTTGATACTCAAATAGTACTTAGTGTAGAGTTCTTATATATACTTTTAATATTTAAATCTAAATATTTTTGAAATTGTAGTAAATTGAATTTTAAAATTTATGTGTCCAATTATTTGCTTCTAGAATCAGAAATAAACTTCAGCATATTGATTTTGCATTAGTTATCTATTGCTGCATAACCAATTTTATTCAAATTTAGCCCCTTAAAACAACACATTTACTCCACCTTTTCTATATGGGGATTCACGTGAAGCCTAGCTAGATACCTGGACTCAGGGTCTTTCATACAGCTGCAATCAAGGCGTTGGCCAAGGCTGCAGTCATCTTATGATTGGATGGTGGGGCCAGGGTGTCCACTTTTAGGTCCACTTACATGGCTGTAGACTGGCCACAGGTCCTTGCTGGTTATTGGTTGCTGGCATCAATTCCTTGCTATGGGCCTTCCCACAGGATAGCTCACAATAGAACCGAGGGCTTCCCTTAGAATAAGCAAGTGATGCAATGTGAGAGGGAACCCTGGTGAAAGCCAGAGTTTCTTTGTAACCCAATCTCAAAAATAAAAAGTCATTATTTTAGCCACTTGTGGTAGGCACAATAACACAAGCCTTGTTCCCATGCCAAAAGAAATCCACATCCTAATCCCTGGAACCTGTAAATATGTTATCTTATGTAGCAAAGGGGATTTTGTAGTTGTGATTAAGTTAAGAACCTTAAGAGGATTATCTGGGTGTTCCCCAGTAATCAGAGATGGAGAGGTGCCCCAACAGAAGAGTCAGAGAGAAATTTGATACACTGATGACTTTGAAGATGCAGGAAGGGATCACAAGTCAGGGAATGCAGACATCCTCTAGAGGCTGGAAAAGGCAAGGGAAGTGATTCTGCCTGGAGCCTCCAGACAGAAGGAATGCAGCCCGCTAACACCTTGATTTTTGCACATTGAAATGCCTTTTGGACTTTTAAATTTCAGAGCTCTATGAAAATAAATTTGGGTTGTTCAAAGCTACTAAATTTGTGGTAATTTATTACTACGGGTATTAGGAATTTAATACATGGTCATTTTATTTTAGAAATAATTCACTAATACAGCCACACTCAAAGGGAAGAGATTACACAAAGGCCTGAGTGCCAGGGTGTGGGGTGGCCATGATAAAGACTGCCTACCACATAATTTGAATACTGCAAGCTTATAATTTATTAATTCTAGTAGTTGTTTTGTAAATTTATTATTTTCCACAAAAAATGTTATGTAAATTATGCCTACATGATTTTGCCTTTAAGAAAACATGAAGTAAAAGGAAATATCTGGTCTTCGATATAGATAGTTATACCATGCTCTTTCAAATATTGCACCAGGAAGGGTGTCCAAAATATGTTGAATAGCAATGATGCCAGTGGATACTCTTGTCTTGTTCCTATTCTTACAAGGAAAGTATAGAATATTTTCCAATTTAGTATGATGTTAGGTATTAATTTTTGTTGTTATTTTAACTTAGATGCCCAATATCAGATTTAGGATTTTTTAGTTCTCTATTTATAGTTTGCTAAGAGTTTTTAGCATGAATGGGTGTTGAATTCAATAATTTTTTTGGCATTCATTGAAATGATCATATGATTTTTTTCTTTGTTCTGTTAATATGTGCAATTATGTTGTTTAATTTTCAAATATTAAACTAATGTTGCATTTCTGGAGTAAATCAACTTAATCGTGATGTATTACTTTTATTATATGTTCCTGAATTCAAGTGAAGTTATTTTGATGAAAATTCTAGCTTCTCTTTTTCAATGATGTTCTTTTTTTGTTATGTGTTTGACCGGTTTTCATATCACGGTTATGTTGCCTTATAAAATTAGATGGGAAATGTTCCTTTCTTATTTTTTTCCTCCAAGAGTACGTCTACAATTGGTATTATTTCTTCCTTAAATCTCTGATAGAATTCACTAGTGAAATTTTGTAGACTTTGAATTGCTTCCTGGGAAGAATTTTAACTGAAAAATAAATTTCTTTAACCAAGATAGTGACATTTTGATTTTGTTTTATTCTTCCTGTATCAGTTTTAATCAGTTATTTTTTTTTCCCAAGAAATCTAGCCATTGCAACTACACTAATGGCAGCAAGTTTATAATATTCCCATATTTTCCTTTTGATATCTATTAGATCTTTGTAGATAGCTCACTTTCTATTCCTAATATTTGTAATTGTGTGTTTGCTTCTTTTAATTGATCAGTCCTGTTAGAGGTTAATACATTTTATTTTTCTCCCAAATTACCCATTTTTGGTATTTTTTTCTATGGTAATTTGCCTGATGTCTATTTCATGGAAATATTTTATATCTATTTGTATTTCATTTTTGTTTTTATCTTGATTATTTCTTTCTTCTACTTTTTTGGGATTAATTCGTTCAGTTTTTTTCTAGCTTCTTAATGCAGAAGCTTAGTTCTATATATTACACCTTTCTTTTTTAATATAAGCATTTAAAGTTATGCAATTCCCTGTATTCACAACTTTTCCTGCGCTACATACATTTAGATATATTGTATTTTTATTATTTAGTTCAAAATATTTTCTAATTTTTGCTGTAGTTTGTTCTTTGATCCAAGTGTTATTTAGAAGTGTTTGGTATGGACATTTTGAGATTTTCCTGGATATCTTATTGCTACTGAATCTAATTTAATAGCATTATTTGATAATTATAAAAATTTACTTTCTGGCTGAGCATATAGTCTGTGAATATTCCATGTGCACTTAAAATTGACGTGTATTGTTCAGTTGTTGCTATGTTCTATAATTTGCAGTTAGTCAAGTTGGTTCATGGTGTTGTTTAGATCTTTTATATTGTATTTTTACTGGCTCTCTAATTGTTCTATTTAGATACAGTCAGGGGAATCACCAAATATGAATGTATCATATTCCTTTAGATCTAATTTTGGCACTTTTGAATAAAATTTACAAAATTATTATATTGCAAAATAATGACTTTTTTAAAAGTTCTTTTGTTCTATAGGGAAGATCTCTCACTCTCTCACAGCCTCTCCCCCTTTCCTAAAACTATCTCTCTAGCCATATTGATCCTTTTAATTTTCTTAGTCAATGTGTTATATGCCATTATCAGTATTTTCTGATGTTTTATTTGCTCTAAATTTCAAGAGTGAAAGTCTTTTGAGGTAATCTCCTGCATCTTTTCAATGTGCCCCCTTTGTATCTGAACACATCTTTGCTTTCTAATACAACAAACTGTGTCAGGCTTACTTTTTATTTTCCCAGTGCCAAACCGATTATCTTTTAGTTGGAAGTGATATTTAAAAACCAAAATCTAGGCATTATATTATGTATACTAATTGTTTAGATGATATTTCTTCTAAGCCTTTCAACTAAATAGTTTGGAAGTATATTTCTTAGCAATCATTAGTCCATACTGATACCTCTTACTGGAATTCAACAACACAGGGTTCACCTTCACACTTTCCCATTCCATATTCCTGTTTTCCTTTTCTCAGTAAATACTAATATCCACACATCTAAAGCTTAAACAGAAGAAATAAATGAAATACTAACCATAGTCTGAATAACACTAAAGAGGGAAGGAAAGGAAGAAAAGAGAACTGAAAACATGGCATAAATAGAAGACAAACAGCAACATATTAGAAATAGTTCAACCACATCTATATTTATTTTCAATTTAAATAAAGTAACACTGCAATTAGAAGTCAGAGGTTGTCAGAATGAGTAACAAAAGCATGATCAAGCTTTGTGCTATCTAAAGTAGATGCACATTAAATATAAAGACAAAATAGATTGAAAGTAGTAGGATGACAAATTATATGCCAATGTTAAGAATAAACATAATAAAGCTGATGCATGTATAGTCATGTCAGATGGAATAGACTTTCAAACAATGAATATTGTTAGGGATAAAAAATATTTCATTATGATAAAAGGATCATTTTATGAAGAAGACAGAATGCAAATGTACTTAATAACAGGATTTCAAGGCCGGGCGTGGTGGCTCACGCCTGTAATCCCAGCACTTTGGGAGGCCGAGGCGGGAGGATCACGAGGTCAAGAGATCGAGACCATCCTGGCTAACACGGTGAAACCCCGTCTCTACTAAAAATACAAAAATTAGCCAGGAGTGGTGGCAGGTGCCTGTAGTCCCAGCTACTCAGGAGGTTGAGGCAGGAGAATGGCGTGAAGCCGGGAGGCGGAGCTTGCAGTGAGCTGAGATCGCACCACCGCACTCCAGCATGGGTGACAGAGCGATACTCTGTCTCAAAAAAAAACAGGACTTCAAAATACATGAAGCAAAAACTGGCAGAACCAATGGGAGAAATAGAGTGATCATAATAATTGAAGATTTTTAACACTTCTCTCTCAGTAATTGATAAAACAAATAGGCAAAAAGATTAGTAAGTATATAAAAAATATGACCAATGATAACAGCCAACTTGGCTTAATTAATATTTAGAGAAATTATAGCCAACAACTGAACAAGAAATGCTCACCAAACAGATCAATGCTGTTTAAGAGGCATTTAATTTGCCATTAAATAGATCACAATATTTTTAAAAAGATTAAAATCATTCAGGGTATGTTGCCTTGCTATAATCCAATTAAATTATATAATCAGTACAAATAAGATATGTATAACTCTCATAATATTTGAGGGAAAAAATGACACAATTCTAAACCATCAATGGACTAATGTCAATATTAAAAAAGAAAATGGAAAACACTGAGAACTGAGTAATAGCAAAAATGCAATCTATCACTCTTTTTCTCTTATATTATTTATATTACATTTAAAAAAGAAAAATTTAAAATAAACAAACTAAGCAGACAAAATAAGAAAAATAAAGAAAAAATAATAACAAAAGAGAAAGTAAATAGGAAGTGAACAAATAATAGAAAAAAGTCAAAATTGTTTCTTTGAATAGGTTAACATAATTGGTAAACTTTAATAAGACTAAAATAAAATACAAATTACCAATATTAGTAATGAAATAGGGATATCTACAGAGTGTATGTACATTTAAAAGAGAAATATTATAAACAACTATAAATTTTACAGCTTGTGTGAAATGAACAAATCTTTAACAATCACGCATACTAAAACTAATCAAGAAGTACAAAAATTTTAACCACCATATGTTAATTAGAATCATTAATTTTGTACTTTAAAGTTTTCATGCAAATAATTCTGGGTCATTGGCATATTCTAACAAATATTTGATGAATGTAATACAAATATTCCAATATTTAATACAAGTGAAGCAATAACAGTATTGCACAAATTCTTTCAGAAAATAGAAGAGGACAGATATCTTCCTCATTTGTTTTATACATCGAGGATGTCAGTGATATCCAAACCTGGTAACAATGCCATTGCAAAAAAAGAAATGTGTAGAACAATATGCCTCATAAACACAGCCACAACATTTGTTAACTAAACATGGCAAGTAAATATAGAAATATATAACAAAATATAGCAAAATTATACTATGACCCAGGTAGGTTTTAATTTAAGGGTTTAAGATTAGTTTGTTATTAACAAATCAATCTAATGGAATACTACTACGTAATAAAATGGAACAAACCATTGCTGTTTACAACAGCATGGATAAATCACAAACGCATTAGGCTAGATTAAAAAACCCAATATTAAAATGTTACATATTGTATAATTCCATTTATTTGACATTTTAGAAAAGGTGATATATGAGAAGACAGAACAGATTAGTCATTGCCAGAAGTTAGGCTGGGAGGAGGTTCAGAATAAAATGCAATAAATGAGATAATTATTTGAACTGTAGAATATTTTGTGTATCTTCTCTCTAGTTCTGGTAATGATAATCCATACAGATGTAAAAATTCATAGAAGTTTACAATAAAAAGTGACTTTTGCTCTATGTAAATTCAAAATATTAAAATCCAAAGAGTCAATGTAATGTTCTTAAATAGAGTAAAGCAGAAAAGCAATCATCTTTTAAAAATTCAGACTATCCATTTGACAAAAGACAACACTCCTTATGATAAAATATCCAAGACCCTTTGGAGTAGAAGAAAACTTTCTCACTCTGTTAAAGCATTTCTGCAGCAAACCTGCAGTTAATATCATACTGATGACACAGTGAACACCTTCCCTCCAGGATCAAGAATGAGCAAGTGAGTAAACACATTGTCACTACCTCTACTCATTATCACACTGGGCAGCAAGGCTAAAAGAAAACCCTCAAATCCAGAAAGGAGGTGTTATCGGAAAGCAAAGAATACTTTCAGCCATCTAAAAACCTGAAAGCCAGGCTGTGAAGCAGGGGAAGTACTGAAAGCTCTGTTCTGAAAGCTAGCAACTTACAGGTGATCCTTAACGCAGATTTGAACTGTGTGGGTCTAATTACATGCAGGTTGTTTTCAACCAAATGTTGTTGGGGTGTGTATTATAGGATGTTCTGGAATGTGAAACCTGCATATATGGAGTGCTGACTTTTCATATGTGTCAGTTCTGCAGGGTTGCCTGTAGGTTTGAGTGTGTACAAATTTTGGTTTATGCAGAGGGCCTGGAACCAATCTCTTGTGTGTACTGAGGGATCACTTACAAACTTCACATCACAGGCCTTAATGCCAGGAATAGATTCATGTTACCCTCAAAATGGTTAAAACCAGAAGTAAACTCAATCAAACTAAATTTGCCATGTGCCAAAACTGTTTGACTATAGATTTGATTGACTCAGCCCACAATCTGGTAACCTAGGAGAAGAAGGTGCTAATTCCTGAAGAGAGATATTAATGATATCACTGTCTATTGTGTTATACAAAATCTCTATGATATAAATAATAATAATACTAAAGACATAAAGAAGCAAGAAAACGTGACCTATGGCCAAGACATAAAACAGTCAGTAGAACAGACCTAGAGATAGCCCATATGTTAGAATTGTAAGAAAGACACATTAAACAATTATGATAAAATGGTAAAGTTCGTAGTGAAAATGGTAGCCAAGTGAGAAAGAAATGGTGAATTTTAGCACAGACGTAGATGCTAGTAATATACAATTAAAATACTGGAAGTGAAAAATATCAAAAATAAAGACTTTTCTCATGGGCTTAATAACAGACTGAATATTGCAGAGAAAGAGATTAAAAAAATTGAAGACAATTTAATAGAAAGTATCAAAACTGAAAAACAGAAGACAAAGTTAAATGAAAACAAAACAAAATATCTGAGACCTATGCAACAATATTGCATGGTCAAACACAGGGTTTCTAAACCTTGGCACTATTGACATTTTGGGTCAGATAATTATTTGTTGTTGGGGATATCCTGTGCATTGTAAGATGGCTGGCAGCATCCCTAACCTCTATCCACTAGATGCTAGTAGCAATCTGCCTTCTAGTCTTGACAACTAAATATGTGTCTAGACATTGTTAAATGTCTCTTGGGGGACAAAATTGCACCTGGTTGATATCCTCTGGTGTAAAATAAATCCCAAAAGGGATGAGGAGAGAAGAGAGAAAATGGATGGATCAAAGGAAATATTTGAAAAACTACTAGATGAGAACTTTCCAAAATTGATGAAAGACCTCAACCTGTATTTCCAAAGAGGTAAGTAAAAATTTAAAAGCAGAATAAATAAATCAAAATCCCCACATTGGCATATTATAGTCAATGACACAGAGCAGATATAAACCCATATAGAAAGACATATTATACACAAGGTAACATGAATGTAACTACTGCTCATGCAGCAGAAACAACAGAGATGAGAAAGAAATAGGACAAAATTTTTTAATTGCTGAAAGAAAAAAATCATACCAACCTAGAATTCTTTTCCTAGACAAATATCCTTCAATATGACTGTGAATAAAAATATTTAAGAGCGTCAAAACTTGCGAGAGCAGGCTTGCACTACAATGCATGCTAAAAGAAGATACTCAGGATGAAGGGAAAGGGTGCCAGATAGAAGCATAAAATGAATTTGCAAGAAGGAATTAAAAAACACTCTAAATTATTAAGAGATGCAGTGTAATCCACACCAAATTCAAGTGGGCTCTTTTGAAAAAAATAGTTAAGCTATTTCTAAAATTAAAAAAAAAATACAATCTAGAACAACCACAACAATGTTGACAAAGAATAAACTTGGAGGATTTCACTACCTGATTTCAACATTTACTACAAAGCTATAGTAATCAAAAGACCGTGATATGGGTGCAATGGAGACACAAATACATCAGACAAACCAAATAGTCCAGAAATTGACCCCCACACAAATGAGCAGTTGGTTTTTTAACGAGCCACCAAGGCCACTTGTTGGGAAACTTTAACAAATAAATGGTGCTGAAACAGCTGGTTGTATGTATGAAAAAATTAGATCTTAAAACCTATCTTACTCTGTCCAAAAAAATTAATTTGAGATTAATCATGGACATGAAATAAAACCTAGAACAATAAAGTATTTAAAAGAAAAAAAACCACAGCGAATATCTTCAAGACTTTGGGGTAGGAAATGTTTACTTGGTCAGAACATAAACTTATCATAAAAGAAAAACAGTGATAAAGTGGTCTTTTGTAAACATGATAATTTCTGATTAAAACAAAACTCTAATAGAAAGCTATAGTCTGGGAAAAATACATTTATAACACATATATTTAAGAAAGACTTTAAGACAGTATATGGAGACCTACTAATAACAATAAAAAGATTAACAACCCAATTTAAAAATTGACAATCTAAACAGCCATGTTATAAAAATATATAAGAGTAGTCAATAAGCAAATGAAAACTCAAAACTGCACTGATATACTGTTCCACAAGAGTGGGTAAAATTGAAAAGACTGACAACACTAAATGTTTTCATCAATTTGGAGAAATGGAGCTCTCCTACATTGGTGGTGACAGTGCAAAATGGCTCAACTAGTTTGGAAAATTGTTTGGCCATTTCTTATAACATTAAATATAATCTACCCAATGACCCTGCAATTTTACTCCTTGGTGTTGACCCAAGAGAAATGAAAACATGTCTACAAAAGAATTGCACAAGAAAGCTTATATTAGCTTTATTTATAATAGCTCACTAGTTGAAACAACTCAAAGTCCATTTACGAAAGAATGGATAAACTTACTGTGTTAAACAAAGTAACACTTGTCAGGATTAAATGAAAAAATACATAGAGAACAACCTCTATATCTACTGATATAGGGAGCAACACTGATGAATTTCAACATGGATTAATCATGTGAAAGAAGTCAGGCACAAAATAGTATTTAAAATACCATTTGTATAAAGTCCAAGACCAGCAAATCTTGAAATTAATTGTGTTAGAAAGTTTTTGGTTTTGAGCGAGTGTGGATTTAGTGAAAGGAGAAGAAGGAAAATTTCTGTAAAGATGAAAATACTCTATATTTTAAGTGAATTAGTTCACACAGGCAGATGCATAGGCCAAAAGTCATCAAAAAATATATGAGACAGGTGCATTTTTTCATGTTAATTATACCTCAATATGGACAAACAACCCAATAAAACAAAATGGCAGAAGACTTGGCAGTTCACAAAAAAAGACACAAGAATGACAAGAAAGCACATGAAAGATGCTCAATATCATTACTCATCAGGTAAATGAAAATTAAAACCTGGAGTAGCTACCACTTTATGTTCATTAGAATAGCAAAATTTAAATAGATTGATAAGAATGTGGAAGAAATGGAACTCTCATACATTGCTGGTAGAAGTGTAAAGTGCTAAAATCAGTTTAGAAAACTATTTGGTGGCTCCTTATAGTTAAACATAAATATCACCTTTGACATAGAAATCGTACTCCTAGGTATTTACTTAGGGGAGGAAACATGTCCACAGAAAAAATTCTTACCAAGAATGTTTATAACTGTTTTATTAGTAATATTCCCAAACTGAAAAAAAGTTCATCAGTGGAATACTATATTCCATTAATATAGCAATGAAAAATGAATGAACTACACACACTGCAACATGGATGCATCTCAAAATTATTTTGATCAAAAAAACCCAGAAGCAAAAATACACATACTGCCTGAACCTATTTATATGATTTCCTAGAGAGGCAAAACTGGTCTGTGGTTGTAGAGCTCAGAAGAGGTGGCCTGCAGAATGTAGAAATGGATTGGAAAGGGCCATGAAGGAAATTTCTGTGGTGATGTGGTGACAAGAATGTTTTGTACTTGATGGAGGTATAGTTAATCATTAATAATTTTATCAAAACATCGAATTTTATACTTAAGATCTGTGTTTCACTGTCTATACATTTTACCTCAATAATAAAAAGGAGACTGAACATAGGGAATTAGGAATTCCCTAATTAGGGACTAGGAATTCAATTGATAGGCTTGATGAATGGACTTTAGGGTGAGCTTACAGGAATGGTCTCCCAAGCATGACATAACTGCCCCACTAGGGTAGCTACTACTTCTGCCAAAATCAAAGACCACTATTAAATGTACAAGTTAAAGTTCAAGGACTATGAGGTGGCATAGTTGTAGCCTAACCAACAGGTTGGGAAACCAGCATCAGCAAGCCACTGATGGAGCAACTGCACTATCAACTCACGTGAAGCTGATGCCTGGAGACTGGAATGCATAGTCTGGCTGCGGTCCCTCCGCAGTGAACTCTTGACCATCATAAACTGGGGCTGAATACTGGAATATGACTGGAGAGAAAAACAAAATCCACATCTTTATGCTCTTGTTTTCCATAGCCAAAAAGCAACAAGAAGGTAGTCTGTGCCTCATTTTCACTTTCAAACTTGCAGAGATACAAATAATTGGTGAAACATATCTTGAAGGCAGAATTCTAGCTCTAAGAGAGTATGGGAAATACTGTTTTCATTTTTCAGTGTGTCTAGAGGAGGAAGGCCCAAAAGAAGGATGTTGCAACGGAGACCAAGCATTCATCAACCATATCCAACAAAGGTTGAAGTATCATTATGATTTATATTTTGCAGATGCTGAGCCTTAGCAATGCTAAAATTAATTTCTTATTAGGGCTGGAAATTGAATGCTAAAATTTGTAACCACTAAGCTCTACTCCGTAAGTCACACTCTGCTTTTCTCTGCATTATAATTACTCTACCCCAGTATTTTGTCTAGTCTGATCCAAGGTCTGTGATCCAGTGAATAATGACATTGGAAGTTTAGTTTGGAATATTGAGAAAGTGAATTTGAGAAAACTCTCATCACCTGAGGTTTACTTTTTAAAAAATATCCAGACATTTTTAGCTAGTCATTTTCAATTAAATGAAACATAATTATATGATTAGACTTAGATGAGCCACTGAGAAATTCACCAATCTAATTGAAACTAAAAATAATTGGAAAGCCTATCTATGATGCCTCAAACTGTAGGAAATATTAACTTTATCAGTGACTCTGCACTGAAAATTATTCTGGGCCTGCAACTGCAAGGCTTACTATAGAGAATGGTGTTGCAGAATTTTGAGTCCATATGGCAAATTAATAAAGGTCATCATTCTGGGTCCTTCAAAGTTATATTTCACATTTTACTTTGCAAATTACTTCAAAATTTATTTTTCTGTCTTGGCATGAGATTAGTTTAGCCACCTAAAGGCTATCAACAGTGTCTTTTGACTGACAGTCTCTGCGTTGGGAGTTAAGTTTGAATTTGCATTTCAAAGCATCAATTTGTAGGCAGCAGAAGCCAGAGACTTTTCTAGAGCCCATTCTACCTTGTTAAAGAGATAGTTCCTGGACACCAAAATGTTTGAGCTGTGCCTGTGGTCACAGCCAACTTTCACAGATCTTCATTTCCTTCTGACCTATCAGAGCCTGTTAGGTAATGAGAAGAAAATGGACAATGCTGTGCTCCTACTATCATGTACTATTCGTTCACTGTCACCTCTACTGGCTTCTAGGAAGAAGTACAAATCTTAGAGGAGTAGTTTGATTCCTTGTCACAGTTAAAAACTGATATAATCAAAGAATGAGCTTCTTGCTGGTGTCCAGTTTTTGTTACATTTTTTTTTTTAATCCAAGAGAAATATTTTTTCTAGGATAAGATTTGGAATTACCCTCAAGCAGTTACTTAGCTCAGGAACTACTTACTGAATACCTAAATCAGTAACAACAAAGGAATTTTGTTGAGAAGGAAATTAGTGCAAATAAAATACTCATGGCTAGTAAAATAGTATTAATAATTACATGGATGAAAAATAATGTTAAAATGGAATTTCACTAAGTGGCCTTGTGAAAGAAGAGTGAACACAAGAGGATATAATTGTTTATTAATTTGAAAAATAGGAGGAGATGTGGACTTGTGTGAATATTGTTTCTTATATTTATTTCTGTCTATAAAGAATAATTTTTTAAACACTTGCATAAGCAGGAATCAGTGGATAGAGAGAAATAACAGTGACACAGAAAATTATAAAAAAAATTTTAGGTAGTATAAGATAAAAGAAAGTACCAGATAGAATGAATCACATAATATATTGCCAGTTGCTGGTGTAGCCAAATGTCCTCAGAAGGGAGTTGACCAAGCAGAATTGATCTCCTGTCTCCAGAATACTAACACCTTGCATAGCCCTATCACATGTGATAGGATGCCAAAGAGGCAAGAAGTAAATCATAAACTAAGGAAGAGCTCAGTGAAGTAGTTAAATAGAACTCAATAAATACATATGCGATATGAGCTATGGCAATGTTAGGAATTAGAAACATGAAAAATTAGAAAACAGATCGTATGTATGTAATTAATTAATTTCTGTATAAGCCAAACTTTCCACTATGTTTTTGAGTTAAAGTAGGCTATAATGCATTAAACTGAAACTTGTGCAGGGTGTAAGCCTGAGTTTCAGCATATTTTATCTCTCATAAAGACTCTTACTGATTAGTGGTAGCTACTTGAATGACTCTATGAGGATATATTGTGAAACTACACCCAAACATTGTAAGTGTGTCATAATCAATTACTTATATCTGCAGTGATTATAGAAATGGAACATGGGAGCATGACTTCTTACCATGAACAAGACCTTTCAAAACAGGAATTTTATATAAACTAGGGCTCAAATCAGACCAGGACTGAAAATTTGTCACACTTCTAATGTTACGAATTTGATAGGTTTGATGATAAATAAATGGCTAGTGTTTGTATATTCTAAGGACCAGTTAGAATCTAAATCTGTGCCTAACAGACAGCCTAAACTCTGATTTGAAGAAGAACCTGAAGTCATATTAAATCAGTTGATTTTTGGTTTGGAATCTTAAAGATTTGAGGAGCAAGCAGATTCAGCTAACAGAATCTTTCTGGCTGATGAAGGCTGAGATTGGCTGAACATTAGTGTATCTTTTTGGATCTCTGGTTTATGAATTTATAAATGGCGTTTTAAAATCTTCTTCCTGAGCTTAGGAACAAAGGTCATAAGGACTCCATAGGCTTAGGGCACATCACTGAGGGTGTTCACTTAGGTTCAGATAGTATAGCACATTCTGGCCAGGAAACCGGTTGGCAGTTCTTGCAGATATTTCTTTGATGGCTTGTTTGTTTGCTTTTAAACTAGGTATATTACTCAGGGTTCTCTAGAGGGACAGCACTAATAGGATAGATGTGTATATAAAGGGGAGTTTATTAAGGAGTATTGACTCACACGATCACAAGTTGAGGTCCTGCAATAGGCCTTCTGCAAGCTGAGGTGCAAGGAAGCCAGTCCAAGCACCAAAGCTGAAGAACTTGGAGTCCGATGTTCAAGGGCAGGAAGCATCCAGCACAGGAGAAAGATGTAGGCCAGAAGACTAAACCAGTATAATCTTTAAAAGTTCTTCTGCCTGCTTTTATTCTGGCCATGTCGGCAGCTTATTAGGTTGTGCCCACCCAGATTGAGGGTGGGTCTGCCTTTCTCAGTCCACTGACTCAAATGTTAATCTCCTTTGGCAACACCCTCACAGACACACCCAGGATCGATACTTTGCATCCTTCAATCCAATCAAATTGACACTCAATGTTAACCATCACACAAGGCTTTTAGGAAAAACAGGTATAGTAGTAGAATGCTTCAGAATATCAGACAAAATTGGATGCAATTTGTGAGATTGTAGGCCAAATTCAATGGTTCAGTTGGAACGTCTGACTTTGAGACTATCTGGATGTGCAAAACCAAAAGATACGTCAGAGAAAAGAAATGATTAATGCAATAGTGCTCTTAGCAATTTTAATTATAATGGAAAACTGTCTGCTGGAGCAGATAACTGGCAGAAATTCTAGCCTGCAGATATTTGTTTGCTATGGAAGAGTGGTAACTTTTGAAGTTGGAAGGCTGGGAATCCAAGCGGGGTACTTGCAAATGAGACAGGGTCCCAGTTGTCAGTATACTCTAATCAATGAATTGGTGACATTGGGCTGTTGAGTAATATCATGAGGCTCCTACTTCTCTTGCCTGGACCCAGTTTTATAAGGAAAGTTAAAACCTATGGAAGGATGCTATGACCAGGCTCAAAATCAAGGGCTGGAAAGATGTAAGGAGGAGAATGTGACATGAATGTCAAATGCTATTCAATTTTTAAAGTTTTCTGTAGATGTAACTTTTATAATCTCTTTGCAAGTCTATTCTATTGATTCAGGAATTTAAAAATAATTTTTATAGTTATATAATTGATTGCTCTTTTAGAAATAAAATTATTCTTATTATATACCTATGAGTGTGGGAAAACAGTGTACTGAGAGAACAAGAGCAAATCAAACCTATAATTAATCGGAAGCAAGAACTAGCCTTGAAGTATCTTCATGGATCCTGAGGAAAAATAGGAGTGGAGTTTGAACAACCATTAAGCTTGTAAAGCTCTATCATATATATACAATTTTCATTGTCATCTAACATTTTATAACGTATGACATAAATATACAACCTAAGTTTTCTGAAACTACATTCATCTGTGTAATCAGTGACTGGAACATTGGTAGCATCCTGGAAAGCCTCTTTTGTGCTCCTTCTAGTCACTAATCCCCCAACAAGGATAACTGCTATTCTGACTTTTAACCCCAGTGGTTGATTTTTGTACTTGATAGAAATGAAATTCTATGGCCGGTGCTTTTTTTTTTTTTTTTTGTCTGCCTTCCTTCATTTTACTTGTGAGGTTTACTCATGTTATTATGACTAGTTACAGATCGTTTATTCTCATTCCTGTGTAATATTCCTCTGTGTGATATATGTCATGGTTTCTTTAGTCTACTGTGTTTGGGCATTGAGATATCTTACAGTATTGAGCTATTAGACATAGTACATCTATAAAGATTTTAGTACATATCTTTTGGTAAATATATACAGGTATTTTGGTCATAAGCCAAGGAGTGGAAATTCTGGGTCATAAAGTCTAAATATGTTCAGCTTCAGGAGACACCAGCAAATGGTTTTTCAAAACGGTTATGCAATTTACACTTCCTCTAGCATGTCAGAGAATTCCAGAGTCTTACCAACACCTGGTATTATCTGTGTTTCCCAGTTTAGTCTTTCTGGTAGATATCATAATGTGGTTTAAATTTGATGTCCCTAAAATCTAATGAAATTAAACACCTTTTCATGCCTTTTTTCATTATAATTTTATTTTTAGTGTTTACCTATGTAAGTTTACCAACTTCTTAGTCAATATCCATGAATTTATCAGATTGATTACTAAATATTATAGTGTGATATTTTATAGCAAAATTGATTCTTAATTATTGGATATTTGGATTATTTCTAATATTTTTCTTTCTAAATTATATGAGGCTGTTTTGCTTAGATGATTTCCATAGGGATATGATCCTAATAATGGATGGAATTACTCAGTTAAAGCCTATGCTATAAACATCTTTATTTAATGGAAAAGAAAACTGAAGCTTTGAAAGGTTAAATAATTCTATCCAGTCACATGGTATGTTTGATTACAAGGTTGATTTAATTAGGGCACCAGACTAGAATAAACAAATGTCATTAGAATCCACCATCGCAACTACCATCACTTAGTAAAATGTGTGGACATTCTAAGAGAGATGATGAGTTTAAAACAATCAAATCTCCTTTATGAAATGAATAGTTTATTAACCTTAATCTATCCTGCCATTTATAAATCAAATAAAGATATATCATTAACTGATCATAAAAGGCTTTAGCTAAAATTAATTACTGTACTTCACATGTCTTCTACTCTAGACTCTGTACTTTCACTAGTGTAATTCTCTAATTTCAGTGTTCACTCTTCTGTCTTCTCAAAATGACATAGTAAAATAAAGTGTGTGCTTCAAATTCCTCTAATGTTTTTGCAACAAAAATGTGGCAGTAATAGATCAAACATTAAAAATGGAAATAAAAAGATATATCAATGCTCAAAAATAGTTATTTCTCTAGATTAGAAACGGAAGGGAAACATGAAGCATCAAAGCAGAAGTCTGAATCTGGAAATGGGAAAAGTTTATCTTCTATGGGGTGACAGTGTTCAAGTGTATAAACTATGGGGTGTCAGTGTTCAAGTGTATAAACTATGGGGTGACAGTGTTCAAGTGTATTTGAAGCCAAGAAGGGGGTGGAGCTAGGAACATGGCATAAAACCAGGTTCTTAAAACATTTGGAAGGAAAGTTGTGATTGTTAATTGCCTGCAATATGGCTTTTATGTACTTCAATACTTACAGAAATAGGAAAAAAGGTAATAAGACTTATGGTCATTATTATTAGTACTTACCTGTCCAATGGGAAGATAAATATCCCCGAGCTCACCAAGGGATAGGAGCTTCAAGGTGCCGGTGTTAGACCTACTTCTGCATGGGACAGACGTTATGGGTCAGGGTAGTACCAAAACAAGAATGGGTATGTAGAAGAGAAGAAAAACTGCAACAGCAATAACAAAAGCAACAACAACAATAAAATTGCTTAAGATGAGCCTACAAACCAATCTTCCAAAGCTTATAAGTCAAGCCAAGGAAGATTGCTACTGAATTAGCTAATGAGGAAATAATTCATTCATACAAAATAAAAATAAAGAACAATCTAAAAATTAATTAGAAACATTTCATTGTTAAATTCAGAGGTTTAATAATAGAAATTACATTTATAAAAATAACCAAAAGCAAAAAGGAAGAAAAAATATATATGAAAAATTAATAAGTTGTAGAAATGAAAAATATATTGAAATAAAAACTCAATATTCTAGCTAAACTTTAATCTGTACAGAGTTGAGGGAATCCAAAGAATCAAAAAATGATTGTGAGGTACCTTCAATCTAACATAGTGAGATACTGAGATAAAGTCAAAATATAAAGGAGAAGTTAAGGACTAGAGAAGATATTATAGAATAACAGTACCAGAATGCAACAGACACATATAATCAAGGAACAGGACTAAAGGAAATAAAATATCAATACTTCAAAAAATAATGGCTGCAATTTTTTTTAAAAAAAGCCTGTAAAGATTGAAATGCATGTTCATGCATCAGAATAGATAATAAATCCACACCAAAACATTATCCTGAAACTAGCAGATATCAAGAAAAGTGAAATTTTATGTGTGAGTAGGAAGGAAAGACAAATTTTACACAGTGATTAGAATTACAGCAGACTTTTTTCATCAGCAGTGCCAAGTACTAGAAGACAAGGAAATATTATCTTATATAAAATGCCAAATAAATTTAACACCAAAATTAAGGTATTGCCATGGATACAAAAAAGAACTGTTTTCCCTCCTGTAAACAGCTTCTGAGAGAATTATTAAAGGATGTATTTCAAAAGGTGGGTTATACAGAAATTCATAAAAACATGACCACAGTTTAGCTCAGATGTCTTTAAATGTTTACTGTAAAGGGCCAGTTAGAAAATATTTTAGGTTTTGCTGGCTGGGCGCGGTGGCTTACGCCTGTAATCCCAGCACTTTGGGAGGCCGAGGCGGGCAGATCACGAGGTCAGGAGATCGAGACCACCCTGGCTAACAAGGTGAAACCCCGTCTCTACTAAAACTACAAAAAAATTAACCAGGCGTGGTGGCAGGTGCCTGTAGTCCCAGCTACTTGGGAGGCTGAGGCGGGAGATTGGTGTGAACCTGGGAGGCAGAGCTTGCAGTGAGCCAAGATTGCACCACTGTGCTCCAGCTTGGGCAACAGAGCGAGACTCCGTCCAAAAAAAAAAAAAAAAAAAAAACAAAATTGGTTTTGCAATTCATCATTTCTGTGGCAAAGGATAAGACATAGAGGATGGTATGGTGGTTATGTCCCAATAAAACTGCTTTTTTACATAAACAGGAGACAGACCAGATACGACCTACAGCTGTTGACCACTGTTCTAGATCACAGAGAGACTCAAAAATTTCAACAATGTAATTACCTCTCTCTGTCTCCTACGTGGTCTGGTGGTACCCAGCATCAGAATTAATATAGAAATGGCACGGAATTTTCAATCTCTGTATTTGCAATATCCACACAGTCATGTGACGCATAATGGCATTTTAGTCAACAATGGTTCACATACATAACGATAATCCCATCAAGTAATAACACCATATTTTTGCTGTAACTTCTCTATGTTTAGATACACAAATACTTACCATTGTGTTACAACTGCCTGCAGTATCCGGTAAAGCCACATGCTAAGGTTTGTAGCTTAGAATGGGGTTATACCATGTCGTGGAGGTGTATAGTAGGCTATACCATCTAGATTTGTGTATGTACACTTTATGATGGTCATACAACAACACAATCACCTAATGAATTTCTCAAAATGTGTGCCCGAAGCTAAGTGCTTCATGACTGTATTACAAACTTATACCTGTATGAGAATTTGGCAACAATGTGCATATCTTGATCATCATTTGTATTTTACCTGTCTAATTTTGTATAATTCTCATCTCATCAGAAGAAGGGTTTATGTAGGGAGAGGCCATCATTGTTCCCTGAAACACTGGGGTCAGATAGGTCTCTCTAGATTTTTGTGCTTTTGGATAAAACAAAATTGTCTTCTAAACTGAAAGCCACATGGAAAACTTCACATGATTACTCAGATGCCTTTTGCTGTTTCAATTTCTCATTACAAAGAGCCTTACCACAGAGAAACAACTTTCTCTCAGAGCTGGATTTAGCAGAGTGTGTTTGTTCATATAATTTATTCACCCCCAATGCAAAAGGGTTGCTTTCATATTACTGGTTATTGGCAGAGTTGGCAATTTTTTAAGTTAATTGACTTCTTGGCATTAAAGATTATACTTTTAGAAACACTTTTATCAGAAGAAACGTGAAGCAAAAGCTGAGCCTAAGTTCCTAAACCATTCTCGGGTTTTATTGTGGTTCTCTCATTCATGCAATTTGAGATAGAAACTCTGGACCCAGGCAAGCCAGACACGCCTGCTACTGTTAACAAAAAAGAGGTGCTGTGGAAAGTTCTTATCTGCCTATGCCTAGAAATGTGTTTTTTTCTGGCTCTGCATGATTCTAAATACTTACTGAAAAATGCATGTTTCTTTTAATTTTTTACTGACTTCTTTTTCAATAATATTAAATATGTAACATTAAATGTTAAATTTATATAGTGTAGGTTTTGTATAGGAGGTCAAAATATAAAATTTGTACAATAAAAATTATGTAATGTTAAATGTTAAATTTGTATAGTGTAGGTTTTGTATAGGAGGTCAAAATATAAAATTTGTACAATAAAAATTATGTAATGTTAAATGTTAAATTTGTATAGTGTAGGTTTTGTATAGGAGGTCAAAATATAAAATTTGTACAATAAAATTATATTTGGTGGATTTCAAGTGGTTATGAATTTATAAATCTCAGTCATTTGTATAATAAAAATTTACTTATTTCCTTCATTGGTCCAAAAATAATTCAAGAAACCTCAGGTGTAAAATATGAAATGCAAGATGAGAATTAAAGTAAGTGAAGGAAACAGGTGAAAAAAAATTAAAGAGGGGAAATAATGTCAGAATTAAAACTTATTATGAAATTTGTGATATTAGATACTTCATGCTTACTACTGTGCCATAAATTTGGCTCTTAGCTTCCAGATAGCCAAAGCTAAGAGAGAAAATACGATGGTTAAGGACGAGCTACTTTTTCCTTGGTAGCAAACCAGGGGTCTTCATAAAGCAAACATTGTGATGTACTGAACGTATGCCTGCAATAAACATTTCAGAGAAAGCTTGCAGCTGACGCTCTATACGGAAAGTCTAGTTGTAAAAGTAGTTCAGTTGTTCTATTAGGGGCTAAGATGGCACAGGTCAAGTATAATTACTGCCTTGTAATCTGGGTTGACAACAAGGACTACAAGGATAATTTTAGAATATCTGTGGGGAGAGATAAAGTGAACATCCTTTAGCTAATACTCCACTAAAATTCTGTAATTGAGCTTTTGAGATGAGTAGTTTAACAGAAAATTCAATGCCGTATTCTTTAGTAAATATCAAAAGTACAGAATTTTGAAGTGTCTTTTTTCTTAACTTTTGTTTTAACTCCAGGGGTACCAGTGCAGATTTGTTATGTAGATAAACTTGTGTCATGGAGATTTGTTGTACAAATTATTTCATCACCCAGGTATTAAGCCTAGTACCCATTAGTTATTTTTCCTGATCCCCTCCCTCCTCCCACTCTTGTGCTAGGTTGTTATACATTAATGTTCTTTTTTAGGGCAAATAAAGCATTTAAACTAATTTGTCTAGAGATGACCAGTTTAATTTCACTGAATCAGGCTGACAAGGATATAAAGCTTATGTCTGTGTTTATGATTAGAGATAGTGTTTTGGGGAAATCGAGATGACTTAAGTTTTGCTTATGAGTTTATGGGATTTGGCTTTGGAATATATCTGAAACGTGGCCTTTATTTTTATTTTTCTTGAACAATAAGAATCTACATTTTGCAGTGTGCTTTGGACACATTTTGTAAAGCATTGCTCTAGACATGGTGAATCTCTCCTCTGGGGCTGAGATTACTGCCATGTTAGTAAAAATTGTCAGTGGGCTATTATTAACAAATTTTGTTTCTTTTAATTTTCCCCCTTTGGAGGTGAAAGATTATGTCTTTTTCTTAGGATTTTTATAAGATTGCCTTCATTCATTTAAATCTAGATGTTCAGGGAAAGATAAAGGAGACTCCCTGGGGGTAAGATAAAAATCTCTCCTAGTTAAGAATTTTCAGTGAATGCTGTACAGTGAAATTGCCAGGCAACAACTTTGTATTTATACTGTATTAATATAGTTCATCGACTTTTAGTATTATTATTCTTGAAAACTTCTTATTGTTCACAGTACGCCTGAGGGAGACCATATTATTTATAGTTGTGTAGCTATAAACAGACATGAGCTGCATTACTAAGTATCAAAAAAAATGGGGCATAACTGGGCAGAGGAGGCAGTTTTGCTTCCAGCATTCCACGGATGTGCTGGTGAAGAATGGATCACCCGGCTAGGCTACCTGCTTGAGTGGTTCAAGCAGGTGAAGAATTTGCATATTTTTAGCTCCTCTGCAATCCAGTCATTTGCCTTCTTAAAAAGAGAGCTGCCAAAAACATTGTGTCATGCTTAAATTCCCACTAACAGCAGTAACAAAGAATGAACTTTTCTTTCTCTGTCTTCAACTCTGGATTAATTTACCTAATCATTTCCAACATTACATTTTCAGAGTCAAACACTGAAGAATGTAAATTTTTGACTAAAATATTAAAACTGACATGCGTTCTTTCTACCATTTCCCAGACAGTGTGTTGGGTTGTGGGGATGAAGGGATGAATAAAGCTGATAGCCCCAAGGCATTTATATCTAACACTCACTTCATCAATGGGTTCTGCACTGGTTTACATTACTCTCTGTCCACTCAGATAATTTCTCCTTGTGAGACAGGTCACCAGATGAAGAAATTTCTTCACTAGTTTATTTTCTATTACTAGGGCTTTTAAAATCTTATGTTTGGGCAACAAATGTTGCTATATTTCTAATATCAGTGAGTAGGGGTAGCGAATGAAATCAATTTTTTCAGAAAAATATCAGAAGGACAAAAGGAAAAATGTAGAGTAGGCAATGAAGCGGCTATGATTTTCTTTTCATCCAAAGATAACTCAATCCACAGAGGTTTCGTGTTGCTTATGTTAATGTTGTAGATTTTCTTTCCAAGTGAGTGAGTGAGTGAGTGAATGAGATGTTGGCAGTTATGTGCAGATGATACAAAATTCTGGGACTCTTGAATGAGAGCAGTTTTCGTCAGTTAGTGTGCAGCAGTCTTGCCTTCTTGTAAGAGTGGCCTCAAATGAAAGCCCCTGCAAAATGGCTTTGGATGCAAACTTGGTTCCAACTTCTGTAGAAAAGCCAAGTGTAAGAAACACTGAGCAATCAAGAAGATGGTTGATGAGTTAAAAATGGGTGATGACAGGAGTTTGACACTGCAGTGGGCTATGACTGTGTCACTGCACACCAGCCTGGGTGACAGAGTGAGACCCTGTCTCTAAAAATAAAAAGGGGTATTCTATTCCAGCTGGGTGACAGAAAGTAAAGTTAGGCCAAGTAATAACTGATGAAAAATGATTTTAACATGCAACATTAGTGAGAAAATTAGATATGTATCCCTGGAGTACTTAAATATTTATCTAATTGATAGATCATCTACTTTAGTATTTTCAGTGAATTTGTAGTGTATACTTGTTTCCATTTTGTTAAATTATTTTATTAAAAGCCAACCAAAAAGAACTAAGAGTTTAGAAATATGTTAAACACACACACACTTGCCTGTGTTAATTTTATCTATTGGGGTGTTTGGTTATTAGGACAAAAGACCACAGGAAGAGATCGCTGCTTTACCTACAGTACCTTTCTTAAGAAAGAAACAACTTTATGCAGATTGGTTGTCAGATTGAATTAAAGAAATTTTCACCAAACATGGCTTCTTCAGCTGATACTCTTCACATAGGCATACAACATGGGCTTCCCAGACTGATTTCTTTGCTCATTCTCCCTTGCTTTTCTTGAAGAGGACATTTTCACACAGACTTTGCCTCTACTCAATATTCACTTCAAATCCTTCCTCAGAGCCTACGTCCTTCAGGGAGGCTTCCCTGAATCCCTCTTTTTGACCCTGATCATACATTTCCTTCAACCTTGGCACCAACATATTACAATAATTCAGTGGCTTTTTGCTGTGTCAAGGATTACACAGAAAACTCACCTAAAGGGCAGACAAATGCGGTCTCTTCCTCTGCAGTCTGATGGCTCTTCTCACAGTGGAAAGAAAGGAAGTGTGAGCTGAGGACCGAACTAGTGAATGCAATGCTTGGCTTCTAGTCCACATTAGGCACGTGGTCAGCCATGGAACTTGGGCTAGTTAGGCATTTCTCCAGTTCTTTAACGAATAGTGCCTGCTCACCAGCAGACAAAACTAATGTCAGTTCAGAGGTAAAGGGTAAGAATGTGTTTTGTAGACTATAAAGTGCTCTATAAGTGCAAGAACTTTGTGTTGCTTTCATTCTCCCTTGTCTGCAGCTCTGGCCTCCTAAGCCTACGACTTGTGCAGTCACAGGGGCCTTGCTCTCAGGTGTCACGCCTGGTTCAATGCTCTGCTATCACCATCTTGAAATTCTCAACAATTCTTTTAATTTGTATTTTGTAAGTGAACTCCAGTGGGAAAATGGATCACCAGAGATGTACGCAATATGTGTAACATGGATGTCCACAGTTCCTTACTGCCTTATTTGCACATAGCACAGAAGTCTAGTGAAATATGACATATGGGAGTTCAGTAATACTCAAAGCCACTGGGAGATGGAATGTTATGTCTATGACTGACTTCCCTAGAGGCCACACTTTTCTTTTGAGCCAAAACTTGCTTTTAATCCAGAAAGAAGGCAATGATGGCATTCTCAAAACACAGCCAAGGAACCCTATCATGCTCTTATTTGTGTTACTTCCTTGCATTAGCTAACCACTTACATTGAAAATATTGACATAAAAGGAAATACAGAGCAACTAGATTATTTCATTTTCAGTTCTTCCTTACTCATCACTCAGGTAGAGAGTGTTGCTAGAATGTGTGTACATCAAGAAGTGAAATGAAGATGGTGATGATTGCACAGCAATATGAATGTACCCAATACCACTGAATTGTATACTTACACATGGTTAAAACAGTAAATTTTATGTTATATTTATTTTATCAAAATTACATTTACCAACATGATTTGTTTTCACCTAATTTTTAAAAAGCAGTAAAATTAAAAGAATCAGCTTAATTTATAGCAGGAAGTTCTCAGCATTCTGGCTGGGCCTAAAAATAAAACTGACAATGAGAGACAGGAGAAAAGCCTATTAATTAATAAATAAATAAATGTTACATGACATGAGAGATAGCCTTTAAAAGGAAATGAAGATCAAAAGAAACAGGGAAATCTGTGTATACTTTGTGCTAAGTCTGATTAAAGAATCTAGCTATGAAGCAATGTGATTAGACACAAACGGTTATGCTCTGATGATAATAGGTTGGGAATTCAGCAAGTCCTGTTTGTTCAGATTCTTTTCTGTGTCTCTGTGACATTCTCGTTCTCCATGTTTAGGGCAGGATGCCTGCTACATGAAGGCGTTTAGGGGAGAAGGAGGGGAGGAGGTCAGAGAGTTACCTTCCTAGGTTTTAGGGCCTGCTTTTAGGGAGAAAGGGGGATTGAGAAGATCAGAGAGACCATCTATCTTCTGTAGTTTTCTTAATTTTCTTCATGTTAAAATACTTATTATGCTAAGGTGCCTTATTTTGGGGTATCACATTCTGAGCCCAACATTAGTTTTGTGGAATCATTCCACCATTCTGGTAAGATTGATGTACATATACATATACAAGATAAGGAATACAAATTGTGTAATTTGGTGATGCTACATATAAGTAAAATGCACTCATTTTTATTTAAAATGAACATTGTGTAATATAAAGAAGAATGGTAAGATTCATACAAGTTATTTAAAATTTTAACTTTTAAAAATTTAGAATGCTGTTAAATGGCAAATAATAAACACCGTGATAAGTCGAGTGAGAGACTGTAGAAGAAAGGAAAAAAAATATCTAATTTAGTAATTTTAATAGCATGGCTTTTTTCCTGCCTTTTGAACAAGAGGCCCCACATGCCATTTTGTACTTGACCTCACATTATGTAGCTAGCCCTGTTCATCTGTAGCATGTTTACATTGGTGAGGAATGTTTTTGCAAAAGGTAAAGAATACATAACCCCACGTATGTAGTGTGAGCCTTTTATTCATTTTATGTTGTTAACAAGCTTCTTCTGTGGGTTCTCTTGACTCGCTTTTTTCCTTTGATCTGTATTTTGATATATGTGGTCTTTGGGAGACATATTCAATGTCTCAGCCTCACATTTAATCAGTGACAACATTTAACCATAAAAACCTAATGAAACAGAAAGGATTTTAATTGTTCATAACCATCTTTTCACTTTCCCTAATTACCTTGTGGGTTTTTCATACATCTTCTTAAGGTTAAAATAATTCTCAAAAAGAAAAGAAGAAAGAAAGAAAGACTTTTAAATTCCTACGGGCCTTTTCAAGTTGTTCTTATCAATTCCATGGCAATAAAAAGAAAAAAGGAACGTTTCCCACTGCTATGAAGACCCCACAGTGCTAAGTTGGGCATTGAAGTCTGGTCTGTCTCCTTTTTAATCAATTTTTACATCTGTGGTTCTTTGTTGTAACTTTTTGTATAGAATTTATCTTTAAATGTTCCTTATGCTAATATTTCCATATATTACTGATTACTGTCAGGAAGAAGATAGGAATTATCAGTAAGTTCTTTTCTTTACTATATTTCCTTTATTTCACTTTATCTTTTTTTTCTCCCTTCCTGCACCTACATGACTGACTCAAGTGCTTGTCATCTTCAAAGCACACTTGGGGCCTGTGTCACAGCTGCCGGGAACTAGGCAGACAATGATCCTTGGAATCTTGCTGTTCTTTTAAATGTGAAAGGGTCAGGAAAGTCTGCCCTGTTGCCCACTTGGTAGGTATGTCTAAACTTAAGCTTTATTTTTATTTTTAAGGGATATAAAGTAAGCTGTCTTTTATAGTAAGAAAGATCCTACTGTCCTTCTATCAATAAAGCCTGCACTTCGAATTGTATTTTTATGTGGAGCAATGATTCATCAACATCCCTTTTCATCATCCACTCTGGGACTAACAGCATGCTGTGAAAGGCACACTTGATGGGGTTGTGCATATGGCCCAGTGTGTGGATGTGAAACAGATTGTTCACAGACAGATTTGTTAGAACCTGATTCCTGTTCCACTAACATGCTTTATCAAACATCACCAAATATCCCAAATCTAGTGAATAATTTTCTGTGCATGGTGTAGGGGAAGAAAAAATAATTTTACTTCTACACTTCTAAATTTTCAGCTGGGACTCCTGTAACAGAAAACAGATAAATAAGGGAAAAGTAAACAAGCTTATTAACATCTATATCTCATAAACACATGGGAGATACTCAGGGAATGAGTAATTCTCAAAAGGTTAGCCTAAAACTCTGGTTTATATAGCATCTTCAACTGAAACAAAGAAAAAAGATATGAGGAAGTTCAGTTGTAAGGAGGCGACCAGGAAAAATATGGTAAACAAGAATAAGATTTGTTATGCAGATTTAAGTCCCTGCCTTCCCTATTGATGAATCTCTTGGGATTTAGTCATCCTTCTTTTCCTGGTACAGAGAGGGAGACACTATTGAAAGGAGATTTTCTTTATAGATGCATTTTTTTTCTTTTTCTTTTTCTTTTTCTTTTTTTTTACAAAAGGGTATGTTCTACTCTGTGTTTAGAACTTCTCCTGTGTCTGCTGTTTCTCAAAATAATCCTTGTGCTAAAAAGACATATTTTGGGCTGGCATATTCTGGTCTCCTGCAGTGGTTAGTTCTACTTCTTTGTAGCATTTGAACCCTGACACGTTTTCTCTTGATTTCTAGGACATAATTTTCTCTTTTCAGTCTCTCTCTTTATGGTTGTATGCCTTTCTTCAGTTGCTCCTTTCTCCTACCAGTTTCTCTGACATGAGAATATTATACAACACTTGATTCCTCGCCCTCTTTTTATTTTACTCTATAATATTCTCTCTTGGTGATCTTATTCAAACCCAAGGCTTCAACTGCTATAACTACCCAGCTGATCTGTCTCCTGCCAAGCCCTCTTTCTAGAGTTGTTCTTTAGGTATACCCTATATCAATTAGGAAAGTGTCAGCTGTAACTAACAGAAAATTTGACAAACAGTAGCTGAAAGAAATAGGGCATATTTTTTCCACACATGTTAACTATTAATTCCAGAGGTAGGCAGCCAGTGGCTTTTGCAGGAGTCCGTCTAGTCATTAATATCCCAGAGTTCCAGCTGCCTTTCTGCTCCAGAATTATTACATTGTTTTTGTCAATAATGCTTATTGCTTCCTAGTCACACAATGGCTGTTGCATCTCTTGGCATTGCATCCGTGATCCAGAAAGAGAGAAAAAGGAGGAAATCTGTCTCTTTTTATTAGGAAACAGAATCTTCACTAGAAATCTCACCAAGCACATATTCAGATATGTCTCTGATAAACTGTCTATATGGCCACCTGTAACTTCAATGTGGGCTATAAGATTATTAAGATTTTTCTCCTTTATAATTGAGAAAGGCAAGGCTGAATGTAGTTATGAATAGCTCATCTACAGTTTGGGTACCCAATCCACAGTTTGGGCCCATTTATTTACATACTTTACATCTCCACCTGGATATTCCGTGGACACTTTAAACTCAGCCTGTTGATGTAAAATATATATCCCCTCTCTTGTAATCCCTATCTCCATGAAATTTATTATTGGTTAAAACGGAAACTCAAAGTCCTTCTAGACTCTTCCTACCTCCTTACCCAATTATTTACCAGGTCCTATAACATTAGTATCTTAAAGAAAACTTATTTCCTTTGTTAATGTATGCCCCTGGTCAACAGACAAAATGAACTCCCTATGGCCAACTGAGGTGCTTAAAGTTAAAACAGAACCTGGTAGCCATAGTAATATGCCTCCGATGACTGGAGGGACACCAGGGTTCTTGATCTCACATGGATGGGATTAACAGTACAGACACATGTGGAGTAGTTTTAAGGAGAGAAAAGTTTAATGGGCAAGAAAGAAAGAAGGAAGGAAGAAGAAAACAGCTCCCCCGTACAGAGACAGAGGGAGGGGGGATTTGAACAAAGAGAAAACCTGTGTGGTGTGGAAAAGTGGCTGCTTATATTGGGATGCTCTAGGAGGCGGTGTCTGGTTTCCATAGGGCCCAGGGGACTGGTTTGACCAGGTGTGTCATTCATGAAGCCCACGAAAAAACTCGCCCTCCCACCCTAGCCTTTTAATATGCAAGTGCAGGGCACCATGATGTTCTACACACATGGGGATATGCGGGGTTGCCATGTCATGTTGCTAGGCACATGTGGGGGCAAGGGCAAGAAGAAGATGGCAGGAATCACCATGTTTAGGTGGACCCCGTTTCTAATGGCCAACATTTGCATATCAAAGCTTGCCAGCCAAGCTCTAAGAGCTGGTGCTTTCCTGCTAGTCAACAAACATTTCTAGAGCTGCTTTAAAAGAAATGAAAACTTCCCAAGGACCCCAAGGACCCCCTTTCCCTCTATCTGCCTAAAATAATTTCTTAATAACTCCTTTAACAATAGCAGAGTGAAGGAGTGGTCTTGTACTTTATATTTTCAGAAAGATGTAAAAGTGTCACAGGACCTCCCTTTCTGCAGTCAAGCCAAACCAGTTCCTGTTGTCTGTGCAGAGATAGACATCAGCTAGCTATTCTCCCAAGTGGCCACCAGCAGACCATTTGATGCCAGCCAGTAAAGAAAGACTTGCAATGTCTGACTTAAAGACCATTCCATTGAACCCTGCACCTGATTGCTCCCCGCGTCCTATGCTTTTTGCCTTTTTAAACTTCCGCTCCCTAAACCTTCCTCAGACATCACTTAGTGTTGCACTGAAAGCTGCATCTCCCCAGTCTCCAAGTTGCCTTTAGAAAATAAAGTTCCCCTTTTGCCTCTGCAGATCTTACTGGTCTGTTAATACCTTTGCTCAAAGAAGGACAGATCTCGGCCCAGATCTTTATCATTTCTCATTTGGATCACAAAAGTAATTTTCTAATTGGTTTACTTGTCTCTTTAAACCACTGCAAGTCATCCTCTACAGTAGTGTTTCTCAAACCTTAATGTGGAGATAAATTGGCTGAGAAACTTGTTAAAGTGCAGATTTTGATTTAGTAGGGTTCTTTTTCTGAGACGGAGTCTCTCTCTGTCACCCAGGCTGGAGTGCAGTGGCTCCATCTTGGCTTGGCTCACTGCAAGCTCCACCTCCCAGGTTCACACCATTCTCCTGCCTCAGCCTCCTGAGTGGCTGGGACTACAGGCACTTGCCACCACGCCTGGCTAATTTTTTGTATTTTTAGTAGAGACGGGGTTTCACCGTGTTAGCCAGGATGTTCTCAATCTCCTGACCTCGTGATCTGCCCACCTCGGCCTCCCAAAGTGCTGAGATTACAGGCCTGAGCCACCGCACCCGGCTGATTTAGTAGGTCTTTAGAGGGGCTGAGTTTCAGCCTTTCTAAAAAGTTTCAGCATTCCTTTATTTTTTAAATTTTTTAGAGACAGCGTGTTACTCTGTCACCCAGGATGGAGTGCTGTGGCACAATTATAGCTCATTGTAACCTCGAACTCCTAGGCTCAAGGGATCCTCCTACATCAGCCTCCTGAGTGGCTGGAACTGCAGTTGTGTACCACCACACCTGGCTAATTAAATATGCATATTTTTGTAGAGATGGGGTCTCTTTATGTTGCCCAGGCTGGTCTCTAACTCTTGGCCTCAAGCAATCTTTCTAACTTGCCTTCCAAATTGCTGAGATTACAGACATGAGCTACTGTGCCTGGCCAAGTTTCAGCATTTCTAAAAAATTTCAGAAGCTGCTGTCCTGTGGGCCACACTCTGAGAAACAAGGCTCTGCAATGATGTGATGAAATGCAAATTTCATTATATTACACTACTGCCTAAAACCCTACAGTCAAAATTCCATTTTAACTATGAAGGAATAAGGTTGCAGTACACTGAAACTTTTCATAGGTAAGGATAATCTTTGGAGAAAGAAAGCAAAACAAAACAAGTGCTTGAAGGCTCTGGAGCATGACCCAAGGCAGACAGATTTTGAAGGGGATAAAAACTTGGAAAAAGTAAGTGGTAAATAATAAGCCTCCTGACTTGTGGTTGTAGCCTCATTTCTTGGTGTATGACAATTGACACTTCTGTAGAAAACCTGCTGGCTTTATATCCAGAAGCATCAAGAGACAGAGCCTGTGGCAACGACAGCTGGAGGAAAGAGAGGAGTTCGTCCCAGAATGGAATGATCCAGAAAATGGAAGCTGAGGTATGTGTGGGAACTTTAACCAAATGCCTGGCTGACTGAGAACTGCACTTGAAACAACAGACTCAAAGATGTTAAAAATGAAAGGATTGAGATTTGAATTGTCACTTGCTGCAAGGGAAATAGAATTAGAGTTTGGTGTAATCAAGTTAATTGCCTGCATTTTCTGCCAAAATAAAAATAACATTATTCAGAACAATATAACAAAACTAGACACTCTACACATATATTGTGCAATATATAGAACCAAATCCTTTTTTTTTTTTTTAGCTTGAAATATGAAAAGCTGGGAAAAACGTGAGTCATTTTCAAGGCAAAAAAACATCAGCTGAGATCAACTCCTAGCTGTTCCATAGTTTTGATTTTTTTGTTTTAAAGTAGCTGTTATAAGTGGGCACAAATAGTAATTAAAGAAAAAAATCTTTATAGATGAAAAGAAAGTATCAGGGGATCTGAAAAATACCTGAAATATAAAATAGTGCATAGGTTTAGAAACACAATAAATATGATAGAGTCAGTGGATTTAAAAAAACTAAAGATGAGAGAGAATATATTTTAAAAAATAGAACAGAATTTCACAGACTTGGAAAAATTTCAACAAATTTAAAATATAGGCAACCACAATGTAGAATAAAAAGAGAAAAAGAATGAATCCCAAAAAAATATTTAAATAGTGAAATTTCCTAAAGTTCTTAAATGATGTGCATTTACAACACTTTCAAGAAGCTCAGAAAACCCCAAACAGGGTAAATTACAAGATAACTTCACATAGGAACATCATAGTCAAACTCTTGTTAACTAAGGATAAAAATGAAATCTTGGAAGTAGCCGAAGAGAAAAATAACAATGTACACACAGAGGAACAATAGTTAAAATGACTCTGGATTTATCAGAAACCATGGCAATCAAACAATAGTGGAATAACATCTGTGATCAACTTATCCATGTATAGTACTTACTCTGGTAAAATATTCTGTAAGAATACATTTTCAGATAAAGGAGAGCGAAGGAAATTATCTGACAGCCAATTGGTACTGTAAGAATGCTAAGGAAGTGCTTCCTTCCTTCCTGCTGAGGGAGACTGATTCCAGAAAGAAACTTAGACTTTTAGAATTGACTGAAGACCTTGAGAAAAAGTGAATATTTCAGTAACATAAAATATAATTTTTTAAAGATTCTGTTTAATAAATCTGACTGTTTAAAACAAAAACCATATAGTAATGTCTTCTGGAGTTTATAATATAAACAGGTGGATACATATAACAACCCTAACATAGCATATAGGAGAGTAAATTGTTACATGGTTAAACAAGGCTTCTTAATTTTACATGAACTGGTCTGGTAGTAACTCTACATAGTATATACAAATTTAAATATGCAAATTTTTGTTTCTAGAACAACCACAAATTAATACAAATAAATGTAGCTTAAAAGCTAACAAAAAAATTAAAAAGGAATTTTGAAATAATTAAAAGAATTGTAGGCAAAATGGGGATCAATGTAAATAACTTAGCAAGAACAAAGTTAAATAATAAAATGATAGACCTAAATGCAGTCATATCAACAACTAAAATAAATCTTAATGGACTAAAGCCTTCGATTTAAAGATAGATGTTTTTGCCTCCAAGATGGAAGATTGGAGACTTGAGTGGGCCTCAGCCACTTGGAAATAGCAAAATAGTGCATAAAGATAAACTCTGTGAGCCCTGCTTCAAAAAGGAAAATGGGAATCCAGCAGCATTGTGAAGGACACCCCAGATGCTGGGGAGGAGAATGTGGGCAAACAGTCCCCATGATGGTGTCCAGCTGATAGAAGTGAGTGAAGCCCCAGTATGTAACAGGGGCAAAGACCCTCCCTCTTTGACTCACCTGTACACTGGGGATCTGAGCAACCCAGGGTTAGGGAGAGCACTTTGTTTCTCTCATGCCCTGGCACTAACTTGGGAAGAGGCTGGGAGATGCTGAGAGGGAAAGACATTAGAAAAAGCTCCATGCAGTTTCCCAGACCCAAGATTGAGAGAAGGATGGCATTTTTAATTTGGGTGCATACAAAGTCAATCATTCTTTGGTGACCTGGCACTATGGACATGCAGGCATTTTAGTCTCAGGCAAAAGATTGGAGTGCTTGCTCCAGGGCAGGGTAGGGCCCTCCACAGCCAGAATTATGGAAAGCACCTCAGTTGTAGGTGCTGTAATTGTTCCTTCCCCCATCACAGGCCTGAAGTGGGAGGAGAGTTGCTACAGCTGTGATTTCTCCTGAGGCAAAAAGATTTGCAGCCAGAACCAGCTTGGCAATGTGGAACTGGTCTGTGCATATCACAGCTGGGTGCCCTATCCTGTTCCCCTGAGATCCTGCAGTGGACCCCTTCCAGTTCACTCAAGGCAGAGCTCCAGGCATTGAGAGCAATTTCTTGGCTGGAACAGCAGCCTGAGCTTCCCCACCCTTTCTGGGCATAGATTGTGGTGCAGTGGGACCCTCTGCTCCATCCACAAGCAGAAATAAAGGTAACCTATAGAGTGGGAGAAAGTAGTTGCAAACTGCATATGACAAAGGTCTAATATCCAGAATTTATAGTGAACCTAAGCAAATCAATAAGTGAAAAACAACCTCATTAAAAAGTGGGCAAAATACATGAATAGATACTTCTCAAAAGAAGACATACAAGTGGCCGAGAAACATCAAAAAATGTTCAACATCACCAGCCATCACCAGAGAAATGCACATGAAAACCACAGTGAGATACCATCCTACACTATTTAGAATGACTATTAAAAAGTAAAAAAACAAAACATACTGGCAAGGCTTCAGAGAAAAGGGAATGCCTAAACACTATTGGTAGAAATGTAAATTAGTTCCGCCACTGTGGAAAGCATTTTGACGATTTCTCAAAAAATTTAAAACAGAGCTAAAATTTGACCCAGCAATCCCATGATTGCGTATATACCTAAAGGAAAATAAATCATCCTACCAAAAAGACACATGAACTCGTATGTTTTCGCAGTGGTATTTACAACAGCAAAGACATGGAATCAACTCAGGTGCCCTAACAGTGGACTGAATAAAGAAAATGTGGTACATACACACTGTGGAATACTACGGAGCCATAAAAAATAAAATCATGTCCTTTGCGCAACATGGATATAGCTGCAGGCCATCATCCTAAGCTAATTTAAGCAGGAAGAGAAAACCAAATGCCACATGTTTTCACTTATAAGTGGCAGCTAAACATTAGGTACTCATGTACATAAAAATAGCAACAAATGGGAACTAGGGACTACTGGAGAAGGGAAAGTAGGAGGCAGACAAGAGTTGAAAAACTACCTATTGGGTATTATGCTTAGTACCTGGTTGATGGGGCCAATTTTACCCCATATCTCAGCATCATGCAATGTATCCAGATAACAAACCTTCATATGTACCCTTGAATCTAAAATAAAAGTTGAAATTATGTAAAATACAAAAACAGATTACAAGAATGGATTTTAAAAGTTGACACTTAACGCTTTTCTAAAGATGCAATTTAAGTAGAAAATTCCAGATAGATTGGAAGTAAATGAATGGAGAAAGACATAATCAGCAAGCATAAGAAGGCCACAATGGCTATGTTAATATCAGACAAGTAGACTTCAAGACAAAGGATGTTATCAAAGATAAAGAAGAGCATTTTCAAATGATGAAAGGATCAACACAAAAGAAAACAAAGCAATAATAAATTTGTTTGTTCCTAACCTGCAAGAACGTGTTGAACCTGAAAAAAAAAAAAAAGCAAAAATTGACAGAGAAACAGAAAATTTGACAAGCACAATGGGAGATTTTAACATCAATCTCTTGGTAAATGATTATACAATAAAAAGAGAATCAATGAAGGTAAAGTTTCTGAACAAGCACCTTAAACTAATTAAAAGTTTTAGAATATGATACTTAAATACCCAGTTTATACCTGGTTTCAAATGCATATATTACAACAAGTGCCCTATCCTGGCACAAAAAATAGTGTTAAATTATACTTCAAAAGATTGAAATGACACAGAGTATATTCTTAGATTAAAATAAAATTGGGAATCGATAGCAAAAAGTTGTTTAAGAAAACTTCAATGATTGGGAAATTTAATAGTATATTTTAAGAATTTATATATAGAGAGAGAAAAATACAACTTATCAAAATCTATGTGATAAAGTAAAAGTAGCACTTAGAGGAAAGTTTATAGTTTTAAATGTGTTAATTTGAAATAAGGAAATGTATCAAATCAGTGACCTGAAAATCCACACTATAAAGGCAGAATAAGAAAGAGCAATCCAGTGTAATAAGAAAGAGCAATCCAGTGTAATAAGAAAGCCTGACTTGTAAAAACTGTAGTAAAGCTCAATAAGCTGGACTGATTTACATTCCCACTTATAGTATGTAAGTGTTTTCTTTTCACTACAGCCTCACCAGCATCTGTTATTTTTTGACTTTTTAATAATAGTCATTCTGACTGGCGTGAGATGGTATCTTATTGTGGTTTTGATTTTTTGATTTGCATTTCTCTAATGATGAGTTATGTTGAGCATTTGTATGTTTGTAGGCAATTCGTATGTCTTATTTTGAAAAATGTTCATGTCATTTGCCATTTTTAATGGTGTTGTTTATTTTTTGCTTGTTGATTTGTTTATGTTCCCTTTAGATTCTGCATAGCATCAAACGCATAGTTTTGCAATATCTTCTTCCATTCTGTAGGTAGTCTGTTTACTCTGTTGATAGCTTATTTTTAATTTTTAAAAATTATTTAAAAATTTTGGTGGGAACACAAAAGATATATAGCATATATTTATGGGGAACATGAGATGTTTTGATACAGGCATGTAATGTGAAATAAGTACATCACGGAGAATGGGGTAACCATCCTCTCAAGCATTTATCCTTTGAGTTACAAACAATCCAATTACATAATTTATTTTAAAATATAGAATTAAGTTATTGACTACAGTCACCCTATTGTGCTGTAAAAATTCATTGTTTTTTTTTTTTGGTACACATTAACCATCTCCACCTCCCCCTGATTTCCCCACTACCCTTCCCAGCCTCCAGTAAACTTTATATACTCTCTATTTCCATGAGTTCAATTGTTTTGATTTTTAGGTTCCAAAAGTAAATGAGAGCATGTGATGTTTGTCTTTCTATGCTTGGCTAATTTTACTTAACGTAATGATCTCCGGTTACATCTATGTTATTAAAAATGACTGGATCTCATTCTTTTTTATGGCTGAATAGTATGCCATTGTGTATATGTACCACATTTCCTTCATCCTTTCATCTGCTGATGGACACTTAGGTTGCTTCCAAGTCTTAGCTACTGCAAACAGTGCTGCAACAAACATGGGAGTGTAGATATCTCTTAGATATACTGATTTCCTTTTTCTTTTGGGTATATACCCAGCAGTAGGATTGCTAGATGATGTGGTAGCTCTACTTTTAGTTTTTTGAGGAAACTCCAAACTGTTCTCCATAGTTTATTATAATACATTTTCATCAACAGTGTACACGGTTTCCCTTTTCTCCTCATCCCCACCAGCATTGTTATTGCCTGTCTTTTGGATATAAGCCATTTTAACTGGGGTGAGATGCTACCTCATTATAGTTTTGATTTGCATTTCTCTGATGATCAATGATGTTGAGCACTTTTTCATATGGCTCATTGCCATTTATATGTCTTCTTTGGAGAAATGTCTATTCAAATCTATTGCCCATTTTTTGATTGGATTATTAAATATTTTTCCTATAGAGTTTGAGCTTCTTATATGTTCTGGCTATTAATCTCTTGTCAGAGGGGTAGTTTGAAAATATTTTCTCCCATTATGTGAGTTGTCTCTTTACTTTGTTAATTGCGTCCTTTTCTGTGCAGAAGCTTTTTAACTTAATGTGATTCCATTTGCCCATCTTTGCTTTGGTTGCCTGTGCTTGTTAGGTATTGCTCAACAAATCTTTGCCCAGATCTATGTCCTGGAGATTTCCCTCAATGTTTTCTTGTAGTAGTTGCGTAATTCAAGGTGTTAGATTTAAATCTTTATTTTGATTTGATTTTTGTACATGGTGAGAGATTGGTATCTAATTTCGTTCTTTTGCATATGGATATCAAATTTTCCCAGCACCATTTATTGAAGAGACTGTCTTTCCCCAATGTGTGTTTTTAGCACCCTTGTCAAAAATTACTTCACTTTAGGTGTGTGGACTTATTTCTGGGTTCTCTATTCTGTTCAATTTGTTTGTGTCTGTTTTTATGCCAGTACCATGCTGTTTTGGTTACCATAGCTTTGTAGCAGAAGTTGAAGTCAGATAACGTGATTCCTCTAGTTATTTTTATTTTTGCTTAGGACAGCTTTGGCTGTTCTGGGTCTTTGTGGTTCCATATAAATTTTAGGATTGTTTTTTCTATTTCTGTAAAGAATGTCGTTGGTACTTTGATAGGGATTGCTTTGAATCCCTAGATTGCTTTGGGTAGTATGGATATTTTAATAATACTGATTCTTCCAATCCATGAACATGGCATATCTTTCCAATTTTTGCTGTCTGCCTCACTTTCCTTTCTCAGAGTTTTATAGTTTTTATTATAGTGATCTTTCACTTCTTTGGTTAATTCCTAGGTATTTGATTTTATCTTTGGCTATTGTAAATCAGATTACTTTTTAAATTTCTGTTTCACATGGTTCACTTTTGTCATATAGAAATGCTATTGAATTTTGTATGTTGCTTTTGTATCCAACTTTACTGAATTTATAATTTCTAATAGTTTTCTTGTGGGGTCTTTAGGTTTTTCCAAATATAAGATTAAGTCACCAGGAAACAAGGACAGTTTGACTTTTTCCTTTCCAATTTGGATGCCCTTTATATGTTTCTCTTGTCTGACCCCTCGAGCTAGGACTTTCGTACAATCTTGAATAACAGTGGTGGCAGTGGGCATCCTTGTTGTGTTGCTGATATAAAAGGAGAGACTTTCAGTTTTTCCTCATTCAGTATGATACTAGCTGTGGGTCTTACCTGTATGCTTTTTATGATATTGAGGTATGTTCCTTCTGTCCCCAGTTTTTGAAGAATTTTTATCATGAAGGGATGTTGAATAATATTAAATGCTTTTTCAGCATCGGTTAAAATGATCACATGGTTCTTATCCTTAATTCTTTTGATATGATATATCACACTGATTGATTTGCATATGATGAACCATCCTTTAATCCCAGGGATAAATCCCACTTGGTCCTGATGAATGATCTTTCTAATGTATTGTTGAATTTGGTTTGCTAGTGTTCTGTTGAGGATTTTTACATCAATACTCATCAGATATATTGGCAGGTAGTTTTCTTTTCTTGATGTGTCCTTGTCTGGTTTTGATATCAGGGTAATATTACCCTTATAGGATGAGTTAGGAAGGATTCTCTTCTCTGTTTTTCAAAATAATTTGAGTAGGATTGGTATCAGTTCTTCTTTAAGTGTTTGGTAGAATTCAGCAGTGAAGCCATCAGGTCCTGGGCTTTTCTTTACTGGAAGACATTTTATTATGGCTTTGATCATGTTACTTGTTATTGGTCTGTTCAGGTTTTGGATTTTTTCCTGGTTCCATCTTGGTAGGCTGTATGTATTTAGAAATTTGTCAATTTCTTCTAGATTTTCCAATTTATTGCCATATAGTTGCTCATAGTAGCCAGTAATGATACTTCAAATTTCTGCAGTATCAGTTGTAATGTCACTTTTTTCATTTCTAATTTTATTTATTTGCCTCTTCTCTCTTTTTTCGTAGTCTGGCTAAAGGTTTGTCAATTTCGTTCAACTTTTTAAAAAACCAACTTTGTATTTTGTTGATATTTTGTATTTCATTGATATTTTGTAATTTTTTCATTTTATTTGTATTTATTTCTGCTCTGATCTTTATTATTTCTTTTCTTCTATTAGATTTGGGTTCAGTTTGCCCTTGCTTTTCTAGTTCTTTAAGATGCATCATTAGATTGTTTATTTGAAGTTTTTTTCTCTTTTTTGATGTAGACACTTATAGCTATCACCTTCCCTCTGGTTACTGCTTTTGCTGTATTCCTTAGGTTTTGGTATGTCGTGTTTCCATTATCAGTTGTTTCGAGAAATTTTTTAATTTCCTTATTAATTTCTTCATTAACCCACTGGTCATTCTGGAGAATATTGCTTAATTTCCATGTATTTGTATAATTTTCTAAATTCCTCTTATTAATTTCTAGTTTTATTCTACTGTGGTCGGAGAAGATGCTTGATATTTTAATTTTTTTGAAAGTTTTAAGACTTGTTTTGGCCAGGCGCAGTGGCTCATGCCTGTAATCCCAGCACTTTGGGAGGCAGGCGGATCACCAGGTCAGGAGATAGAGACCATCCTGGCTAACACGGTGAAACCCCGTCTCTACTAAAAATACAAAAAAATTAGCCAGGCATGGTGGCGAGCGTCTGCAGTCCCAGCTACTTGGGAGGCTGAGGCAGGAGAATGGCATGAGCCCGGGAGGTGGGGGTTGCAGTGAGTGGAGATCGCGCCACTGCACTCCAGCCTGGGCGACAGAGCGAGACTTCGTCTCAAAAAAAAAAAAAAAAAAAAAAGACTTGCTTTGCTTTGTGACCATACATATGATCTATCTTTGAGAATAATTTTTCTGCTGAGAAAAAAAAAATGTGCATTCTTCAGCTTTTGGATGAAATGTTCTGTAGATATCTATGACATCCATTTGGTCTGTAGTACAGATTAAGTCTGATGTTTCATTGTTAATTTTCTGTCTGGAAGATGTATCCAGTGCTGAAAGTGAAGTGCTGAAGTTTCCAGCTTTCATTGTATTGGGGCCCATCTCTCTCTTCTGCTCTAATAATATTCCCTTTATATATTTGAGTGCTCTTGTGTTGGATGCGTGTATATTTAAAATTGTTATACCCTCTTACTGAATTGACTATAATGACCTTCTTTGTCTCTAGAGTTTTTGTCTTGAACTTTATTTTCTCTGATATAAGTATAGTGAATCCTGCTCTTTTTTGGTTTCCATTGCATGGAATATCTTTTTCCATCCCTTTATTTTCATTCTATGTGTGTCTTTATATCTGAAGTGTGTTTCTTGTAGGTGACAGATCAATGGGTTTTGTGTGTTTTTTTAATCTCTTCAGCCACTCTATGTCTTTTGATTGAAGAGTTTAGTCCATTCACATTCAATGTTATTATTGATAAATAAAGACTTATTCCTACCATTTTGTTATTTGTTTTCTGGTTCTTTTGTGGTGTTCCCTTTTTTCTTTCGCTTATTTCTCTTTTTTTTCTATTGAAGATAATTTTCTCTGGTGATATGATTTCATTTCTTAATTTTTATTTTTTGTGTATTAATTGTATGTTTTTTGGTTTGAAGTTATCACAAGGCTTGCAAATACTATCTTATAACCCATTAGTTTCATCTGATAACAACTTAACATTATTTGCATCACCAAACAAATAAGCAAAAGGAAAAACTAATAAAAAATGCACCTTAACTTCATGCCCATACTTTTTCAGTTTTTGTTGTTTTTGTTCATATATTCATATACTATTGTGCTGACTATGTCTTGAAAAGTTGTTGTAGTTCTTATTTTTAATTGGTTCATTGTTTAGTCTTTCCACTTAGGTAAGAGTAGTTTACACAGAACAGTTACAGTGTTATAATATTCTGTGTTTTTCTGTGTATTTACTGTTACCAGTTAGTTTGTACCTTTGGGTGAGTATTTCTTGCTCATTAATTTCCTTTTCTTTCTAGTTGATGTATTTCCTTTAACATTTCTTATAGGATGGGTCTTGTATTGATGAAATTCCTCAGCTTTTGTTTTTCTGGGAGTCTTTATTTCTCCTTCATGTTTGAAGGATAGTTTCACCAGATATACTATTCCAAGGTAAAAGTTTTTTTTTTTTTTTGTTTGTTTGTTTTTGTTCAGCACTTTAATATGTAATGCCACTCTCTCCTGACCTGTAAGATTTCAACTGAAAAGTCTGCTGCCAGATGTACTGGAGCTCCATTGCATGTTATTTGTTTCTTTTCTCTTGCTGCTCTTAGGATCCTTTCTTTATCCTTGACCTTTGGGAATTTGATTATTTAATGCCTTGAGGTAGTATTCTTTGGGTTAAATATGCTTGGTATTCTATAACCTTCTTGTATTTGGATATTGATATCTTTCTCTAGGTTTGAGAAGTTCTCTGTTATTATCCCTTTGAATAAACTTTCTACCTCTATCTCTTTCTCTACCTCCTCTTTAAGGCCAATAACTCTCAGATTTGCTCTTTTGAAGCTATTTTCTAGATTCTGTAGCCATGCTTCATTGTTTTTTATTCTTTTTCTTTTGTCTCCTCTGACTGTATATTTTCAAATAGACTGACTTCAAGTTCACTAATTCTTCTGCTTGATCCATTCTGCTATTAAAGGACCATGATCCATTCTTCAGTATGTCAATTGCATTTTTCAGCTCCAGAATTTCTGCTTGGTTGTTGTTCATTGTTTCAATTTCTTGTTAAATTTATTTGATAGAATTCTGAATTCCGTCTCTGTGTTATCTTGAATTTCTTTGAGTTTTCTCAATGCAGCTATTTTGAATTCACTGTCTGAAAGGTCACATATCTCTGTTTCTCCAGTATTGGTCCCTGGTGACTTATTTAGCTCATTTGGTGAGGTTAAATTTTCCTGGATGGTGTTGATGCTAGTAGATGTTCTTGAGTGTCTGGGCATTGAAGAGTTAGGTATTGTAGTATTCACTGGGATTATTTGTAGTCATCCTTCTTTCTCTGTTATTATTCCTTTGAATAAACTTTCTACTTCTATCTCTTTCTCTACCTTCTCTTTAAGGTAAATAACAATCAGATTTGCTCTTTTGAGGCTATTTTCTATATTCTGTAGGCATGCTTCATTGTTTTTTATTCTTTTTCTTTTGTCTCCTCTGTGTATTTTCAAATAGCCTATCTTCAAGGTCACTAATTCTTTCTTCTGCTTGATCAATTCTTCTATTAAAGGACTGTGATCCATTCTTCACTACACCAACTGCATTTTTCAACTCCAGAATTTCTGCTTGGTTATTTTCCATAATTTCAATTTTGTTGTTAAACTTATTTGATAGAATTCTGAATTCATTCTCTGCGTTATCTTGAATTTGAGTTTTCTCAATGCAGTCTTCACTGTCTGGGATTATTTGTAGCCATCCTTCTTGGAAAGGCTTTCTAGTTATTTGAAAAAAACCTGGGCATGTGATCTAAGTTGTATCTGCTTTAGGGGGCACCTCAGGCCCAGTAACACTATGGTTCTTGAAGACTTATAGAGGGTACTGCCTTGATAGTCTTGGACAAGATATGGGAGAATCCTGTGGAGGGGAGATACTCTTGTTCTTTTCCCTTGCTTTCTCCCAAACATACAGAGTCTCTGTCTCTGTTCTGGGCCACCTAAAACTGGAAGTGGAGTGACACAAGCACCCCTGTGGCCACCACCACCATTACTGCACTGGGTCAGACCTGAAACCAGCACAGTGCTGGGTCTTGCAAAAGGCCCACTGTAACCACTCCCTGGCTAGTGCTTTTGTTCACTCAAGGCCCTGGGGCTCTACAACAGCAGTTGGAAAAGCCAGCTGGGCCTGTGTCTTTCCCTTCAAAGCAGCGAGTTCCCCTGGGCCCTGGGTGGGCCCAGAAGTACCTTCAGGGGTCAGAGCTAGAATCACAAACTTTAGAAGTCTATCTGGTATTCTATTGTATTGCAGCTGAGCGGACACTCACACCACAAGATGCAGTCCTTCTCACTCTTCCTTCCACTTTCCAAAAGAAGAGGAGCCTCGCCTAGTAGCCACTACCGCCCCTGGCCATGAGGAATACTGCTGGACTGCCACCGATATTCCCTTAAGGCCCAAGGTGTCTTAAGTCAGCTTGTGGTAAATGTTGACTGGCCTGGGACTCACCATTCATTCAAGGCAGTGGGCTCCCCTCAGGCCCAGGGCAGGTCCAGAAATGCTGTTCAGGAATCAAGTCCTGTAAATGGGGACCCCAAGAGCCTATTTGGTGCTCTAACCCCCTGTGGTGGTCTTGGTACCTAAGGTGCAAGACAAAATCCTCTTTCCTTTTCCCTCAGCTTTATTAAAGCAGAAGGAGCTTTGCTCCATAGTCATCACATCTGGTAATATGCTGAGTCTCATCTGAAGCTAGCAAGTCTCAGAGGCTGACCTGGGTCCTTGATGTGGTATCTGGGTATTGCTGCTGGTTATTCAGGGCCCAAGGGCTTTTCAATTAGCAGGTGATGAATGCTAGCAGAACTGGGTCATATCCTTCAAGTCAGTGGGTTCCCTTCTGGCCCAGGATTGTCTAGAAATTTTGTCTGGGAGCTAGGGCCTGGAGTGGGTCCCTCTTGACTCTGACCAGTGCCCTATCCTACTGTGGCTGAGCTGGTATTCAAGGTGCAAGACAATGTCCTCCCAACTTTTCCCTCTCCTCTCCTCAAGCGGGAGGAAGGGGTTTCTTTTGAAGCCATGAGCTGCGCTGCCTGGGGTTAGAGGAGAGGTAATACCATGCCCCAGCTGGTGTCTCAGTATGTGGTATGCCCCCACAGTCCACTGTCTTCACCCTAGGACTCACCTAGGAGTTTAGCCCTAGGACTTGCCTACAAGTTGCAGTCCTTATGGCATAGTCTGCCTTTCAAGTTTACTTAGAGACCAAAAGCACTTTGGCTCTAGATAATGAGGTTTGTGGGTACTCAAGTTCAGACCCCCAGGATTGGTGGTTCCTCTCTGGCTAAGGGCTGGTTGAAATGCTCCCTCTGTCAGTGGGCATCAGCTGAGTTTGGTCTGGTTTTCCTTTCTGCTCTAACAGAACAGCACTGAATTCACTTCCTTACAAGTGCTGTGTTCTTTCTTCCACAGCACCTAGAGATACTCTCCAAACCATGTTGCCACTGCTGGAAGAGGGGGAGAGATGGCATCAGTGATTTAGGACTAGTTTTTCTATCTCTTCATTCTCTTTCAAGATATGAAGTTAAAACCAGGTACTGTGAGTGCTCACCTGATTTTTGGTTGTTACAAAAGTTTATTTTATTTTATATTTTTGTAGATAGTTGTTAACTTGGTGTCCTTGCAGGGGGAATGACTGCAGCTTTCTATTTCACCATCTTGCTTTACCTTCTGTTGTAGTTTCTTTTGCTGTGCAGAAGCTCTTTACTTTAATTAGGTCCCATTTGTCTATTTTTGTGTTAGTTGAAGTTGCTTTTGGGGATTTAGCCAACAGCCTCTTTGGAAAGCAGTCTGGAGATTTCTCAGTGAACTTAAAATAGAGCTACCATTCAACTTAGTAATCCCATTACTGGGTATGTACCCAAAGGAAAATAAATTATTCTACCAAAAATACACGTGCACTCATATGTTTATTACTGCTTTAGTCACAATAGTAAAGTCATGGAATCAACACAGTTGCCATCAGTGGTAGATCATATAAAGAAAATATGGTACATACATGCCATGGAATACTACACGCCCATAAAAAAGAACAAGATGCAGGAACATAAAACCAAATACCTCACTTTCTCACTTTTAAGTGGGGGCACATATAGATGTAAATATGGACACACATAGACAAAAACAATTTGACACTGCCAAGGTGGGGGAGGGGGGTGTGGGTTGAAAAACTACCTATCAAATGTTATTCTCACTACTTGGGTGATGGGATCTTTACCCCAAACCTCAGCATCATGCAGTATTTTCATGTAACAAACCTGCACATATACCCCAATATCTAAAATAAAATTTGAAATAAAAAACTCAGTAAACTAGAAAACAGGCAAATAATACAGAAGTTTAATAAAGCCAAAGTGAATTCTTTAAAAAGATCAACAAAATTGATAACCCATGAATTAAAAATTCAAAAAGAAGAGAGAACCCAATTTATAGGTTATTACTACATGTTCTATAGTCATTAAGCGGAAATAAGTACTTTGAGTTTAAGAAGAAATTAAGATGAAATTTGAACTTAAATAGGAATATTAACAACAGCATGAAAACACTTCCAACAAATTATACTAAGTGGTTAAATTTCTTGAAACACCAACAAAACTTAAGAAATGTGAGTTAAATAGTACTAAATCTATTCAACATTCTGAATTTCCAGAAGGTGGTGAATTCTACAAAACATTTAAGTGTGCTATCAAACAAATGCTTCAAAAAATAAAAAGGTGAACAAATTTTTCCAAACTTTTTATGAAGCCATCATTACTGATAACAAAACCAAATATATTGCAAAAATAAATCCTGCAGACCAGTATTTCTCATAAACAAAAGTTTATAAAATATTTTCAAATAGAATCCAGAAATACCTAAAGTGAAACCAAGTGACCAGCTGCGGTTTATCATAGAAATGCAAGGTTGGCTTAATATTAAAAAATCAATCAATCATGGAAACAGAATAAAGTACAAAAATCATATGATCCTTACAATCCATGTAGAACAAGCGTTTTTTTTTAAATAAATGTCTGTTCATTATAAAAATTATCAGAAAACTATCAAGAGTTATTAAATTGATAAAGGACATTTAAGAAAAGCTTATAACTAGCATACTTATTGGTGAAATACTGTACAGTATCCCCCTAAAATCAGGAACATAGTAAGGGTTTTCATTCTATTTTTTTTTTTCCAACCCTGCACTGGAGATTACAGCCATTGCAAACCTGTTGTACTTCTAATTCTGTCTGCATCCTGGAGAACCTGCCTGATAGAGTTGGTATAAAGATTGTTTTGAGAAAGCAGCCAGAAAAATAAATGGTTCTCTCTGCCTGATTGACAATGAGTACCCCCATCTAGATGCTATGTAGGACAGAAATTATCCATGGCACACAATGGCAACGTAATTTCTTAAACTTTCACAAGGAAAATATTTTTGGACAAAATTCCCTTGGAGGGGGATATGATGCTGATGTAATGATTCAAATCTTTGAAAGGGACAAGGGGAGAGTGAGCTAATGGAATTGGTTGGTTGTTAGTAAATTGCATCGAAGCCCGACAGAAGTATATTGAAAAGCTTAGGGCAGTTAACAATCAATTAAAAACTTAATACAAAGGTTATTGAGCTTCTTCAGAAGCTTACAAAAGGTGTTTATCTCTTGCCAGAGGGAAGTACGAATAACTGAAGACCAAGTCAGGATTTAAAATCAGAGTTGCCTGCTGCAAAAATGATTGAATGCTCAACTGAAGTGTTTGTTATGACAAGGTCAGACCTCGGATGGGTAAACCCGGGAACAGGACAGATAGAATAGGGACCACTGGATGAAGGTCCTTAAAGATACTGGCTCCATAAAGTTCTTTGAATCCTCAGAGCTTACCAGATGCCCATTTCTCCCCCATAAAGAGCTAGTACTCTTCCCGTTTAGAAAGACACTGCAGAGGCCTTCCCTTGCAAGGCAAAAGGAAAATCTTTCATTATCTATCTTCTTCTCTCCTCATTCCTAGAGTTAATTACAGCATAAAAAAGCCAGGCATGTAAATCTGGTAAGATAGAAAAGAGATTATCTTCTCCTTGCCTCCAAAGAATTTTGGAGAATTAACCAGAGTGTATCAACAGGAGCTAGGTGAATACCCCTGAGGCTAGACTTGGAGATTGCTTGATCAGGAGAGCCAGAACATAGCACTTCATAAGGAATAGCTTATTGGCTTGGAGCATGCTCATGGAATTTAGGATTTTAATACCACGAGAAGTAGGCCAGGTTATGGTGCGAACTCTTCCCTAGAGTGGCTTCTAGAAGACTGAAGAACATGATGGCCTACACAGAACAGAGGTGTCATGTATGAATTGCTGTGGCAGATGATGGCTGGAAGGGTTTAAAAGGTTCATGAAAGTGTGTTTTTCCTATTGAATTGTTTGAGTTCCTTATATATCTGGTTATTAATCCCTTGTCAGATGGATAGTTTGCAAATATTTTCTCATGTTCAAAGGTTTATGTCTTCACCTTGTTGATTATTTTCTTTGAGAAGCTTTTTAGCTTGACATAATCCCATCTGTCTATTTTTGTTTCTGTTGCCTGTGCTTTTAAGGTCTTCCAGAAAAAATATTTGCCTAAACCAATATCCTGTTGTGTTTCTTCAAGCTTTTTCTAGTAGTTTCATAGTTTCAGATCAAAGACTTAAGTCTTAAGTGCATTTTGATTTGATTTTTATATATGGTGAGAGATATGGGTGCTGTGTAACTCTTTTTCAAATGGTATAATGTTATTATGTGAAACCAGAATACTCACCAGAGGATTATGTATACAAGACAGTTAGGTTCTTCACATGATTATGTCTGCTGGACAGTCTGGAAGACACACTATTTACCAAGGCCACCAGGAATGTGATGGTAAGAGAGTTGCCAGCATCATCAAGGAGATTAGTGATGCCTCTTTTCTGTAGGTCAGGGCTGACTGCAAGGGAGGTTGTTTCAGAGCCTCTTTGCTTATTAATAGCAAAGGGTATGATGAGACCTCAAAGAAGCAGAAGCCAGGTGTTTATCTGCCAGAAGCTAGGACTTCTCAGCTAATGCAGTGACTGGCAAGGTAGGAATAGTGAGATTTAACCCCCCAAAAATTGTGGGGTTTGTGGAACATGGTATTCCTATGGATAAAATAGGGTAGGCAGCTAATAAGGGTAATGTTAAATATTCTTGTTAAATATTGTTAAATTGTGCAAGAGAAAGCAAGAATAGATGAACTCACGGTGGTTTTCCCAGTAAAAAGCCATGATTTTTTTACCCAAATACGTGAGGCAGTTTTCAGACCCAAAAATCATTGACTAAAGAGATGGAGTGTCTGCAGGAGGAAGCCTGCAAAACCATAACAAATATATATTTGCCTCAAAAGACCCATGGCTATTTACTTGGGTGAGTATACATAGGGGAAGAATGAATATCCAGACATTTTGAGGATTATTAGATACAGGATTTGAGTTGACATTGATATTTGAGGACAAGAAGAGTGGCATTGACCTATATTAAAGTAGAAAGCTCTGAGGACCAAGTAATAAATGAAATTTTGGCCCAAATTTGGCTTACAGTTGGTCTACTAGGTCCATATACCCAGCCAGTGGTCACTGAATGCATAAATGAGATTAACAACATTGGCAGTTGGAACAACTTCTACTATCAGTCCTTGACTTAAGTGGAAATGACAACCATAGTGGAGAGGGTTGTCCTCTTTCCATTGACTAAGGGACAAATAAAATGCAATATCCCATCCTGGTGGTATGTGTGTTAGGGAGGTGATGGCAGAGATTAGTGGGGATGTAGAATCTCAAGGATGCAGGGCTGGCATTTTAATCTGTTTGTGCTGCTATAGCAAAATACCTAAAACTGAGTAATTTATAAAGAACAGAAATTTATTTCTCATGACTTTAGAGACTGGAAATCCAATATCAAGGCACTGGCACGTTTGGTGTTTGGTGAAGTCCTGGTCTCTGCTTGCAAGATAGTGCGATATTGCTACCTCCTTGTGGATGTTTCCTGATTGGCAGATAAGATGAAAAGCAAAAAAAAAAAAAAAAAAAAAAAAAAATTGAGAAGTGGCTATGCTAGTTCTCTCTAGCCTTTTTATAAGGCACTAATCCATTTATGACTTAATCACTTCCCCCAAAGGCCCAACCTCTTAATAACACTGCAATGGATATGTTTCAGCACGAATTTTGGAGAGGAGACACATTCAAACCATAGCTGGTAACCACCAATCTATCTATCTTCATGAGCTACATGCTTTTTTAGATCTCACATATGAGTGAGAACATGCAGTATTTGTCTTTCTATGCTTGGCTCATTTCACTTAACATAATGAACCTCTTCCATCCATGTTGTGGCAAATGATGGGATTTTATTCTTTTTTATGGCTGAATAATATTTCATTGTGTATATATACCACATTTTCCTTATCCATTCATCCAATGATGGACACTTAGGTTGATTCCATACTTTGGCTATTGTGAATAGCGCTGAAAAAAACATGGGAGTGCAGGTATCTCTATGACATATTGGTATCTTTTCTTTTGGATATATACCCAGTGGTAGAATTACTGGGTTATATGGCAGTTCTATTTTCAGTTTTTTGAAGAACTTGCATACTGTTTTCTATACTGGCTCTACTAATTTACATTTCTACTAACAGTGAACAAGAGTTCCCCTTTTTCCTCATTCTCACCAGCATCTGTTATTCATGTCTTTTTGATAAAATTCATTCTAACTGGTGTGGGATGATATCTCACGTGATTTTGATTTGCATTTATCCAATGATTAGTGATGTTGAGTATTTTTTCATATGCTTGTTGGCCATTTGCATGTCTTTTGAGAAATGTCTATTCAGATATTTGTCTATTTTTAAATTAGATTGTGTTTTTCCTATTGAATTGAGTTCCTTATATATCTGGTTATTAATCCCTTGTCAGATTGATAGTTTGCAAATATTTTCTCATGTTCAAAAGGTTATGTCTTCACCTTGTTGATTGTTTTCTTTGAGAAGCTTTTTAGCTTGACATAATCCCATCTGTCTATTTTTGTTTCTGTTGCTTGTGCTTTTAAGGTCTTCCAGAAAAAATATTTGCCTAGACCAATATCCTGGTGTGTTTCTTCAAGCTTTTTCTAGTAGTTTCATAGTTTCAGGTCTTAGACTTAAGTCTTAAGTGCATTTTGATTTGATTTTTATATGTGGTGAGAGATACGGGTGCTGTGTAACTCTTTTTCAAATGGTAATTCAGTTTTGTCAGCACCATTTATTGAAACAACTTCCCTTTCTTCATTATATGTTCTTGGTGTCTTAGTAAAAAATGTTGTAAATATGTTGATTTACATCTAGGTCCTCTATTCTATTGCATTGGTCTGTGTCTCTTTTTAACACGTTAGACTGATTTGTTTACTATAGCTTTGTAGTATATTTTGAAGTCAGGTAGTGTCATGCCTTCAGTTATTATTTTTTTTCTTACGATTGCTTTGTCTACTTAGAGTCTTTAATGGTTCCATATAAATTTTAGGACTTTTTTTTTCATTTCTGTGAAGAATGTCATTGGTATTTTGGTTAGACAGTTCACTGAATTTACATATTGCTTTGGGTAGTATTTTAATTTTAACAATATTAATTCTTCCAATCCATGAATATAAGATATTCTTCCACTTTTTGTATGTCCTCTTGTATTTTTTTCAGCAGTTTTTTATAGTTTTTTTAAAATGAGAACATCACATCTTTGGTTAAGTTGATTCCCTATTTTATATTCTTTGTAGCTGTTTTAAATAGGATTACATTCTTGATTTCCTTTTCAGATTTTTGGTTGTTGATGTAAATAAATGCTATTGACTTTTGTATGTTAATTCTGTATCCTGCACTTTTACTGAATAAGTTTATCCATTCTGATTTTTTTTTTGGTGGAGTTTTTAATTTTTTCTACATATAAGATCATGTGGCTGGGCGTGGTGGCTCACACCTGTAATCCCAGCACTTTGGGAGGCCAAGGTGGTTGGATCACCTGAGGTTGGGAGTTCGAGACCAGCCTGACCAACATGGAGAAACCCTGTCTCTACTAAAAAAAAAAACATACAAAATTAGCCAGGCATGGTGGTGCATGTCTGTAATCCCAGCTACTTGGGAGGCTGAGACAGGAGAATCACTTGAACTTCAGAGGCAGAGGTTGTAGTGAGCCAAGATCATGCCTTTGCACTCCAGCCTGGGCAACAAGAGTGAAACTCCATCTCAAAAAAAAAAAAGATCATGTTGCCTGTGTACAAGGTTAATTTGGCTTCTTCCTTTCCAATTTTGTTGGGCTTTATATCTTTCTCTTGCCTGTTTGCTCTGGTCCAAACTTTTAGTATTATGTTGAATAAAAGTGATGATGCTGTCTTATTCCAGATCTTAGAGAAAACTCTTTCAAATATTTTTCATTTAGTATGATGTTAGCTGTGGGTTTGTCATATATGGCCCTTATGATTTTGAGGTATGTTCCTTCTATACTCAGTCTGTTGAAGGTTTTTGTCATTAATATGTTGAATCTTATTGAATAAGTTTTCAGCATCTGTTGAAATGATCCTATGTTTTTTTGTTCTTGGTTCCATTACTGTGATGCACCATGTTTACTGATTTGTGCATATGGAGCCAGCCTTGCATCCTTAGTATGAATCCCACTTAATCGTGGTGAATGATATTGTTGAATGCAGTTTGCTAGTATTTTGTTGATAATTTTTGCATCTATGTTAATCAGTGATATTGATGCCTGTAGTCTTTATTTTTTGTTGTTGTAACCTTGTTTAGTCTTATTTTCAGGGTAATGTTAGCCTCATAGAAAGAATTTGACAGCATTTCTCCCTCTTCATTTTTTTTGGAACATTTTGAGCAGAATTGGTGTTTGTTTTTCTTTGAATTTGGTGGAATTCAGCAGTGAATCCATCAGGTCCTGGGCTTTGTTTGATGGGAGACTTTATTATGGCTTTGATCTCGTCACTCATTATTGGTTTGTTGAGGTTTTCTTTTCTTCATGTTTTAATCTTGGTAGATTTTATGTCTCTGGGAGTTTATTTCTTCTAGGTTTTCCAATTTGTTGGCTATAATTATTCGTAATAGTTTTTAATGACTCTTTGTGTTCCTATGGTCTCACTTGTTATGTCCCCTTTTTTGTTTCTGATTTTATTTACTTGGGTCTTCTCTCTTTTTTTCTTAGTTCAGCTAAATAATTTTTTTCCAAAAATCAACTTTTTATTTCATTGATCTTTAGTATTTTTTAGATTCAATTTCATTTATTTCTGCTCTAATCTTTATTATTTATTTCATTCTACTAATTTGGTTTGTTTTGCTTTTCCATTTTCTTGAGGAGCACTGTTATAGTTTATTTGAAGCCTTTCTGTTTTTTTTTAATGTAGGTGGTTATTGCTATAAACTTCACATTTGTACTGTCATTGCTGTATCCCATAGATCTTGGTATGTTGTATTTGTTTTCATGTGTGTGTGTGTGTGTGTGTGTGTGTGTGCGTGTCTAGCTTCATTTACTCAACATAATGTTTATTAAATACATCTATATTGTTACAGATATCAATCATTATTTTATTGCCTTGAATATTTTATTATATAAATATATCACAATGTATTCATTCTCATGATAATGGACATTTGAGTATTTCTCAAGCTTTGTTATTATAAATAAATCTGCTAAGAACTTTCTTGTATGTGTCTTTTGGTGGATGGACGTATACACTCATTTTTCTTGAATATGTAGCTATGAGTGAAATTGCAAGATCCAAGGATATATATATGTTTAGCTTTTGTAGATACTTCCACATAATTTCCTGATTTTTATGTTGTAAAGCCAGCTTTATTTTTGTCAGTTTTTGCATGGTATATTATTTTCCATTCTTTTACTTTCAAAAAGTCTGCATATTAATATTTAAAGTATATTACAAACAGCACATAGCTGGGTTTTGGGTTTTTAATTTTTCAAATTCAGTCTTCTATTTTTTCTCTTCTGTACACCTAAAGTCTTTGTTTTTTTTTTTTTGTTTTTTTTTTTTGTTTGTTTTTTTTGAGACCGGGGGATTCACTGCGTTGCCCAGGCAGGTATCAAAACTCCTGGGCTCAAACAATCCCCCCACCTCAGCCTCTCAAATAGCCAGGACCACAGCATGTGCCATCAGGCCAGCACACAAACACACACAGCTTTTTAGTTGGAATGCAGTATATATTGTCTAGTTACATCTAATGTAATTACTCATATAGTTAGGTTTAAGCTTACATCTTGTTATTTGTTTTCTATTTGCTCCAATTATTCTTTATTTCTTTATTACTACTTTTTCATCTTATGATAATTGTAAATATTTATGTTTTTCAATTTTATCGTCTCTGCTAGTTTTTTAATTATATCTTTTTACGTTACTGTTTTAGTGGCTACCCTAGAGATTACAATAGGTATCGCTGATTTATTGTAATCTAACTTAAATTGGTATATTTATCACTTCCTGAACAACGCTAGAGCCTTTCAACAATTCAGTTCCATTTACCTGTCCTGCCATTTGGGTTACTGTTGTTATATATTTTCCTTGTGTGTATATTCTAGACCCTACAAGACATGGTGATTGCCTAAAACAATCAATTTTCTTCATATTTATTGTACTCACACATTTACCCTTGCAAGTGTCCTTCATTTGTTTTTACACTTATGCGATTCTTTGTAGAATCATTTTTCTTCAACCCGAAAAACTCCCTTCACTGTGCTGAAGATAAATTGTTCAGTTTTTGTTTGTCTGAAAACATCTTTATTTTGCCTTCCTTTTAGATATATTTTTACCGGTTATATAATTCTAGGACTGCAAATGTTTCTTCTGTTTTTCAACTTTTTAAACATGCCATTCCATGTGTTCTGGCTTCCACAGTTTCTATTGAAAAATCAGACGTGCTGGGTGCAGTGGCTGACACCTGTAATCCCAGCACTTTGGGAAGCCGAGGCGGGTGGATCATTTGAAGTCGGGAGTTCGAGACCAGCCTAACATGGTGAAACCCTGTCTCTACCAAATACAAAAAAATTAGCTGGGTGGGTGGTGCATCCCTGTAATCCCAGCTACTTGGGAGGCTGAGGCAGGAGAATCACTTCAACCCGAAGGGGGACGGAGGTTGCAGTGAGCAGAGATTGTGCCATTGCACTGCAGCCTAGGCAAAAAAATAAAACTCCATCTCAAAAAAAAAAAAAAAAAAAGGAAAGAAAGAAAGAAAGAAAAATCAGACATTATTCTTATGTTGCCCTTTTAAATACAATGTCAATTTTCTCTATCCTACTGTTAAGGTTTTTATCTTTACCTTTGATTTTTAGTGATCTAACTACATGAAAAACTGAGGTGTGGCTTTCTTTGTATTTGTCCCACTTAGGGTTTGCTGAACTCCTTGAATCTGGAGATGGAGTCATTCATCAGATTGGAAAGTTTTCAGCTATTATATTTTCAAATATTGCTTCTGCCCATTACCTTTATCCTCTGCTGCTAGAACCAATTACACATCTCTGTTATATTCCATTCTTTTCCATTTTTTGCAAGTATGTGTGAGTCAATTTGGATATTTTCTATTGACCTATCCTTGAATTCACTAATTCTGTCTCCTGCTGTGTCATCCGATTTGCTGTTAAACCCATTCAGAGTTGTGTTCCAGACGTCCATTTGTGTCTCCTTTCAAATTCCAGTTCTCTGTTGAAATTCTCCATCTTTTCATCTACTTTCCATCTTTTCCTCTATTGTTTAAAAAATAATCCTAATTATTTAAAGTTCTTATCTGTGAACTTAAACAATTGGATCATCTTTGTTTCTGCTTCTATTGTTTGCTTTTTTCTCTTGATTATTAGTCACATTTTCCTTTCTCTTCATATGTCTCCTCATTTTTATTGTATACTGGCCATATACAGTAACTGTATATACTGAGTTAGATGTTTTCTGCCAGAAAGCTTTTCCTGTTTTTCTGTCAGGCAGAGAAGATTAAAGTTGATGACCTCAATCCATTTGGATTTAATCCGGGTCATGGGTAAGTGCAACTTTGTCAGATTCAGCCCAACTCTTAATATCAGTAATCTCCGAAGTGAAATCTGACATGTATTTATTGCAGACCACTCCCTTTGGCAATCTGTCTCCCAGGTACTGAGAGATTGCAGGAGATTTCACTCTGCCTTATCAGCTCAGCACCAAACCTTCCATGCTAGCCGAGTTCTCAACAAATGTTGTATGAGAGAAAACAGCCATTTGTTTGATACTCCATCATGTTCCAATCTGTCAAACCGATTGGCCTGCCCATGAACATTTCTACTGGTTTCTCCTTCCCTCAGTAGAATTCCTCTGCCTAGGTAATGTCTGAACCTCATCTCAGACTCTGACTCAGCAAATTTCCTAATAGACAGCAACCTCAATCAATTTACCTAATTGGGACTATTCATTCTCTGTAATTTTAGTTCATCTAGTCTTTTTTTCTTCACAGTTTCTTCACAGTTTTTTGATAACCTTATTTGATAACAGTTATTTGATAACTTTATTTGATAGTTATTTGATAACTTTAAAAAGTATATTTATGTGTGTAACTTTAAAAAGTATATATATGTGTGTGTGTGTGTACACACATGTGTGTGTAGGTTTTCACTCTGTCCCCCAGGCTGGAGTGCTGTGATATGACCATAGCTCATTGTAACCTTGAAACCTTGGACTTAAGTGATCCTCTCGCCTTAAGCTGGGACTGAGTGGCTGGGACTACAGTCATCAGTCATGCATCACTGCGCCCAGCTATCTATTTTCATTTGTTTCAGAAAAATTGTTAATTCCCTTAGTTTCTTCATTAGCCCATTGGTTGTTCAGGAGCATGTTGTTTATTCCTTGTGTTGGAGTAATTTCTGGGGTTCCTCTAGTTATTGATTTTTTAGCTTTATTTCATTGTGGTCAGAAAAGATACTTGATATAATATCTACTCTTTAAAATTTGATGAGACTTATTTTGTCGCTAAAATGTAGTCTGTTTTGGAGAATATTCCATGTGCCGATGAAAAGAATTTGTATTCTGCAGCAGTTAACATGAAATGCTCAGTAAATGTCAGTTAGGCCTATTTGGTCTAGTATGTAGTTTAACTCAGAGGTTGCTTTGTTGATTTTCTGCCTAATGATCTGTCTATTACTGAGAGTGGAGTGTTGAAGTCGCCTACTATATTGTATTGCAGTCTATTCCTCCCTTTAGATCTAGTGATGTTTGCTTTATATGCTTGGGAGCTCTGGTGTTGAGTGCATAGATGTTTATAATTGTTATATCCGCTGGCTATATTGACCTCTTTATCATTATATAGTAACCTTCTTTGTCTCTTCTTACAGTCTTAGTCTTGTAGTCATTTTATCTCATGTATGGAGTTAAGCCTATTTATTTGGTTTTCACTCACATGGAACATCTTTTTCTGTCCTTTCACTTTTTGGTTTATGTGTGTATTTTTTTTTTTTTTAAGAGATGGAGTCTCACTCTGTCACCCAGGCTGGAGTGCAATGGTGTGATCTCAGCTCACTGCAACCTTCACCTCCCTGGTTCAAGTGATTCTCATGTCTCAGCCTCCAAGTAGCTGGGACTACAGGCATGTACCACCACGCCTGATCAATTTTTATATTTTTAGTAGAGACAGGTTTTGCCATGTTGGTCAGGCTGGTCTTGAACTCCTGACCTCAAGTGATCCACCTGCCTCAGCCTCCCAATGTGCTGGGGTTGCAGGCATGAGCCACTGTGGCCTGCCTATGTGTGTCTTTAAGGTAAGGTGGATTTCTTGTAGGCAGCATATAGTTGCATCTTGTAAATTAGTGGTTACCAAACACCAGGAAGGGTAGGAAAGAGATGTGGATGAAGAAAGGTTGATTAATGTGTATCTATACACTCATATAGAAGAAATAAGACCTGGTGTTTGATAGATCAGTAGGGTAACTATAATTAACATTAATTGGTTGTACATTTCAAAATAGCTAGAAGAGAATGATTAGAATATAACTAGCAAAAATGAAAAATAACTATTTAAGGTGATGAATATCCTAATTATCCTAACTGGATTATATGAATATATCAAATTATCACATGTAATCTGAAAATATATATATATATATAAAATAGATTATATACATATCAATTTAAAAAAGCATAATCCACATATCAGCTGATTGTTAATTTAGGGCCACCACAGATGGTTGAACAGATTGAGTACATCACTATTTTGACTTCTACTAGAAAGTGAGTAGTACTTCCCCAAAGAGTACACCACCTAGACAAATACACCCAGTGTCCTCCTCTCATAGCTCCTGTGCCCAGGAGTTCTGTCTCCATGTTTTGTTTACATCTACCAGAACATGGAACACAGCACATCTTCAAACACTCAAATATTCACTCACGCAAAATTGTTAGTACCATACATTTTACTGAAGATTTTACGGAAAAGATAGCAAAAGAAGTTTATATCATATACCTTCAGTGAACATTTTAAAAACTACCCCTTAGACATTTCTATTATTCTGCATATACTCTTCTGTTTTTCCACTAGTGGGCGTCTTTTTTCTCCATTTTTCCTAGTTACACAGATTTTCCTCCTTTTCAGAATTCTGATTTTTTGAACCACTGTGACAATGCATTGAAAAAGGAAGTAAACATCCTGAAGCCACCATGGAAAGTCTTTATTACATCAAAGAGGTACAGATAGTGTTTGAAGGTTTTCAGAGATAAAGTTGGAATGCTAGCAAGACAAATCAGCACCAAAAACTATTTATATAGATAAACTATAAATATCTATACTTATGAATTGGCTCAAGTGACACAATATGATAATGCCTATACCACACATTATAAACCCTTCCTTGCTGAATTGATAAAGTGTGGTTCCCTACCTGTCTGAAACCTTCAGAGCTCATAAAATGCTAACAGTAGCATACGCGAGTCCTGAGAATTCCCACCAAGAAAACAGGATTGGGCTGGCAGAACTCTATTACGGGATAGAATCGAGGCTTGTCCTCCCCACTGAAACATGGGCAGATAATTTTAGGGTTAATCTCCGGACAAGTGCAATTTGTACCTGAGGTCAACTGAGGGGTGGCAGGTGAGAATCAATATGAGGCAGGATCAGCTAATTTCCCAGCCGATAAATCCAAAGAGAGCCCTATCATATCTAATGCTTTTCAGGCAGCTGCTATATAGGTTAATGACATGCGAAGGGGAAGACTGAGGAGCGTCTTTTCTTTTACTGCAACAAAGGCAGAAATCCAGTGAAAGTGGAATCACCCTTCAGCTCGAAACTACTGAGAAGCCCAGTAAGGTCTTTGGACCATTTGATGAAGCAGTGTTCAGTCAAACCCTGGAGCTCTGCACAGAAGGAGAGAGCTGTATGTTGGTTTAAACCCACACTACATTGTGTTTGCCACTTATTCCTCTGACAAAGTTACGTTAGTGCACAACAGAAAAGCCCAGCAAAATATACCATCTTGGGTTGATTAAACCGTGTGCTGATAATTAGTGCAAATATGCAGAAATATTTTATTAGGCCTTTTAGTTACCCATGAGGCTAGTTCTAGCTAAGGGAAACTTCTCTTTCTCCTTTTAACTGTGTTCAGATGACAATGAACCATGTCTGGCAGGCAGAGGAGACACTGCAAACTTGTTTAAAGAAGAACACAGTTGCAGACTAGAGGAACATGAGTGACAAAGCTCTCCCTAGCCCTTCCAGTTAGTTCACATAGCTGCATTGCAGATTTGGACTCACTGACATACAAGAATATTAGAAGTATCCTCAGTCCATGAAGAGCAAGGCTCTTCTTGTTAGAATGCAATTTGTTGGCCGCTTAGAATCCAGTAATTCTTTCCAAAGATGTTGGCTGCGTCCACAGGATATATTCTTTACTGCTCTGTGTTTTATTCTTTGCTTCTCAAAACGGCATTTTCTCTCCAGTTCTGTGGGTCTCTGAGGGGTTTTTGTTTGGTCAGTATTGCATTTAAGGCAGCCAAAGTAGTAATGTTATTAGTTCCAAATAGCAGAAAATATTTTTTTTTGATTATGTGAGTAGTGCTAGCTCATTGTTGAACATCTCCAAGGTATAAAAGAGTATTCTAAAAGATGCTTATATTCCTACTGCCTTGAGATAAATAAATACAATCATTTTTTTCTTGTGTAATTTGTAGTAATTGGAAATGGGATAGAAACTACAGACACATAGAGAAACAACCACAATGTCAGCAGAGCGCTAGAAGAGGGATCAGTAACCTCTCAGCTGAAGAAACTTAGATCCTTTCTACTCAAAGTGGGGTCTATAGACCAGCAGCATTGGTATCACCATGAGATTGTGGGAAATGAAGAATCTTAGGCCAATTCTCAGACTTAATGAATCAGAATCTACATTTTCACAAGATTCCCAGGTGAATCTCACCTTAAAGTTTGGGAAGCACTGCTCTAGATGATCTGGTGGCCACAGCTGTATTGGATCCTGAAAAATCTTCCTTCTGCCTTTGTGAGGCCTGATGGTATGCTCTGTCTTCCTGTATTTCCATGAATCCTGGTTCAAGTTCAAGAAGTTAATCAGCAGAAGAGCTGGGATTCAAAGAGGTGTTTGCCTCTGTAGTCCATCTAATTAACTATGATATTATATTTCTAGTCCTTCTACCCAGGAACACACAATGTTTTTCCATTAATTGAAGTCTTCCATTAGGTGTTACAATAAAGTTTTATTAATTTTTCAAAATAAAGCATAGCAGATTGTATTACCTATTGTAGGTCCATTTAAATAATTGCTTTGGCTCCTGAAGAAACCAGGTGGATTCTGGAGATTGACTGTAGACTTCAATACAAACTTATCCAAGTGGTTCTGATCATGCCTGCTATGTTAGACATGGTATCTGTTGCTAGATCAAATTAATATGACTCAAGGATTATGATATGCATTATTTTCTATTCCAGTGATGAAAAAGGAGGACACGCAGTTCACATGTACACGGAACAAACAAAAAATACACATTTAGTCTTTTGTCCCAAGTTATATTAACTCTCCCATGGTTTAATATTCTTAGAGAACAAAAACATGAATCATAAAATAAAAAAATAGAATAAACTGGATGTTATCAAAATTAAAAAAACTTTAATTCTTTCAAAGATAATATCAAGAAAATGAAAACTTGAGATGCAGAATGCAAGAAAATATTCACAATAATATATCTGACAAAGATCTTATATCCAGCATATATGCAAAACTCCTATATCAGTAACAAGATAAACACTTCCTTACCCAAGAAAAATTAGATATAATATTTAAAATGACAACCCACCAAAAAAGCTGCACTTGTGTGAATAAACAAAAAGTACATGAAGAGATGCTCAACATCATTAGTCATCAGTGAAATGCTAATTAAAACCACGAGATAGCACTACACACCTATTAGAAAACTGATAATACCAATTGCTGTTGATGTTGCAGAGAAATTGGAACAATCATACATGGCTGATGCAAATATGAAATCATATAACCACCTTGGAAAACTTGCAAACTCTTGAAATATTAAACATGCATGTAACATATAGGCCAAATAATTCCACTCCTAGGTATTTTCCCAAAAGAAATGAAAACATATGTCTACACAAAGCTTGTTCCTAAATGTTTATGGTAGCTTTATTTGTATTAGCATCAAACTGGGACACCACTTGTTTGACACACACAGACAACACTAATCTACAGAGACAAGAATAGACTATTGGTTGCCTGGGGCTGGATTGGGATAGGGGAATAGATTACAAAGAGACCTTGAAGAAATTTGAGACAGTGATAGGAATGTTCTGATATTCATTATAGTGATGTTTATACAGTTTTATTTGCCTGTCAAAACTCATTGAATTACACTTTTTAAATGAACGCACTTTATTGTACATAAATTATAACTCAAAATTTATTTTAAAAAATTTTCAGCAAATTTCCACATCTTAATTCAGCCTCATAGCCAGTTGCCCTTGTCTCAACTCCTGGCACTCCCCCATATAAAACATACATAGAGACTTGTATTTTCCAACTGCATCACGCTGTTTGCACTTCAATGTCCTTGTGCATCCTGTTCCTGCTGTCTAGACATTCTAATCTCCTTTTCTCTACCAAAAGAACTTTTACCAATTCTTTAAGCATCAGCTCATGCAGTGTCTTCTCCAGGAAATCTTCCATGGTTTCCTAGCGTGAGTTGCATTTATCTCCTGTGCCCCTGCAGTGCCCTGCACACAGCTCTCATGTCGCACGCTGAGTTGTTAATGTTGCCTTACTTCTCAGTCTTAGATTTTACATTCTGTGACATTGTAGTCATCTTTCTATCTTCAGTGTCTGGCAGTGAGTAGATATTCAGATATTTAACAAACATTTGCTGAATATACTATTATATGTAAAGAATACTGTTTCTGGCATTTACATTGTTCTCGTTTGTAAGTTCAGAGAAATGGGGCAATCTAAGAAACTTCTGGAGGGAGGGGCAGCTATGTATGTGTGAATATTACGTAAAGTAAGGGGATTGATTTCTCCCATAGACTTTCTTCCTGTACTGTAGAACCCCTCCATGCTTGATAAAAACATGAAATAGATAAAACCTAACTATGGTTCTCTTCTTGGGGGCACTGTCTTTTCAATGAATACTAAATCTCAAGTGGCCTACGGTTCTTCAGAGCACTCTTTCATCATGCTGAAATATGTCTGGCCTCCTGAGTCTTCTCTCCCCAGGCATTACTTTTATTTCTCCTGTTTCTTGGCTATCACATTATGCACCATCCTTTTCTATTCTTGTTCGAAAGCTCATGCTCTTCTTTAAAAATCTAGGTTGTATAAAAAATAATACTGAAATTTTAGGACTGATACATGGAAAGAGTGGTATTTCATTAGGCTGATAATTGAAGTAGTTTGGAACCTATCACTAATACAATTTTTAAGAACTTAACAGTTGCATTGAATGGTAGTAGCACATACTTCTTCATGCCAATCAGGTTCGTTTTTTTTTTGCTAGACATGACAAACTCTAGACTTTCAGGCTTTATTCTAGAAGAGACAATGGTTGTAGAAGGAAAATATGTTAAAATTGTATCTTCCCTGTGCCTTTTACCCATAAACTTAAAATGATCTCTCTTCTTTTTCTTGACACATGTGATTTGTTTCTCTAACTGGTAGCCTCTGTTTTTCTCTCTCCTTCCACACCTCTCTGCCTTTCCTCTTTCTTTTCTACTCCGCCTCCCACCATCATCCTTGAGAGCATCCTAATAAAGAGCTCTTAAAGATTCTGATGTACACCACTTTCTGTTGTGTGGCTGGCTCCTTTTCAATATTTCTTTCTGAAAAGTAAAATAAAAGCAACCACAGTAATGATTGTTAAGAATAACAATACTAATGATTAGTAACAATAAAAACAATAATGTTAGTTTTATTTACCTTCTTGAAGGGATGATGTGCATTCTACAGCTCATTATTTTATAAAGTGCTCTTTTGATGAAGCATTGTAAAACACAGAAATTGTTCCTACCATTTTGATTAGCATTAGAGTAAAGCAACACTTGAGACAAACAGGGATGTGTGATTGTTTACTCTTTTTGTATTGAGAAAATAATGCATATGAGTTGATTCTAGAATAATACTGTGTTCAGATCATATCAGTGACTCATTTTTTCCCTTTAAAAATAGTTACAGATGGAAAGTTTAAAGCCTTTATTTTCTAGGGCTGTTTTGAATGTTTCTTAAGCAACTCAATTCTCTATATGGTAAATACACACAAAAAGTCCTGGTATTGTTTTTCGCAGTATTCAGTGCAGGACCATCTGTCAATCTATCACTCCCACTTGTGACAGAATATGGAAAGGTCAATGGAGTTGTCATTTTTACAACAAACTTGAACAACGCTTTTGCATTCATTAAATTTAGAATCTCTCCCAACTAATAAATGCATAAACTCCTTTTAAAACAAAGATAAAATATGCAATGGAAATACCTTCACTTACACTACACATTTTTTAGGATGTTGAAAGTTATGTGTTTCATGCTCCATGAAAGAATTCTATTTTCTCAAAAGTACAATGGACTTCATTATAGAGATAATAGGTGACCACTTAACCTGCCCAAGCTCACAAATATGCAAGATCTGTTTGCAGCAGTGAAATTATTTCTAAATTAAGCAAAGGAGGAAAATGTGGCACCAAAATAAATTACTTTTCTGGCCATCTTGAATTCAGCAGCTGAAAAATCCTCATACATAAGATCAAGATGAAAAGGAAATAGGCTTTACCTGAAGCATTGATTACTCAGCCCACCTGAAGATTAACCTGGGGATTCATTTGAAGGAGAAGAAGAATCTCGACGAGTAGGTTAGATGAAAGGGTTTTAGGAGGCCAATGAGATTACATGGGTTTAGTCACAGGCAAATAGACAGGGGTGACACATCTGTGAGGGAATAACAATAGGGGCTTGTCTAGGACAAAGAGGAAGAAATGCAGTCAGAGACTCAGCTGTCTTATTGGGGTACAATAAATATAAATTCATTAAAGGCAGGGGAATACAGGGCAAGTGACGATTTAATACTAAAGGTTACCAATTCACTTGTCAAGCCTCCATCAACTCTGCGTATTTGAAGGTGGGTTATTCCTAGTTGGAGGTTAAATTTTATGATATACTAATGCACATTATAGCTAATTTGTATTTAATTAAAATAACAGGTACATGCTTATTCATAATGCATTTAAATTTTTTAAAGTAAAAGAAATCACCTATTATACTCAGGCATTATTTCTTTTACATTGAAGAATAAAAACTGAAGCTATCTTAACATTTAATATTCAATTTGTTCTATTCTATTTACTTAACTATCCTATTGTCTGAGATTTTTTCATTGGCATTTTCTGCTTCAATGAGTAGGGGACAAGTACTAACAGAAGTTCCTACATTTTGGAAGAATGTCAGCAGTCTCCTTAGCTCCCCAGGATAAATTAATTTTTCCTCTCTTTGTCCTTGTTTTAAATTCAGAGCCTTGTTCTTCTCTTCGTGAATTATGTCACTGAGCACTGAGAAGCTGTGTTGCTTTTGCTCTTAGTCATGTTTCATTCGCCAATATACACTAAGTGCCTAGGTGCTGCTCTAGGTTCTCCTGAGAGAATAGATCAAGGAGATTCTATCTAAAGAGGGGAAGCCAAAATTAAACACTAAGCACATTTTAAATATTTCTATCTGCAATGGAGACAGCAAAAGGGAGTGATGTGGGGAAGTGACTGGATCGGGGGTGGGAAGTCTTTAGATAGAGAGACTAAGATTTCTCCAAAGAAGTAACATTTGGGTTGACTTTTCCAGGCACCCAAAAGAGCAAGTGTAAAGGACCAAAGGTGGGATGACTTGGGTTTGACCAAAGACAGAGAAAAGGCCAATGGAGTTAAATAAAGGGGTTAGTAAGACTGGGACAATGTCAGAAATGCAGGGGTCAGATCTTGAAAGTGCTCATAGGGCATAAAAAATTTACATTTTATTTTAAGCACAGTGGAAACACCATACGTTGTTGCTGTTGTGGAGGTAGTGCTTAGCATAATTAAAACTGTGGTCTAATTTTTTTAAATGATCTAATTTTTTAAAAAAGATCGAGTGGAGAAAGGCAAGAATAGAAGCAGGGAGATATACTGGAAGTGACTGCGTGATTCAAGGGAAGGACAATGGAAGTCTGCATGATAGGAGATAAAATTAAATCAAGCAGGGATCTCTTGAGTGGGTTTCTACCACCTGAAAGCAGAGTAGGTACTTATCTACAAAATTTAGTTTTAATGTTCATAGTTACGGTCAATGAGTACTTTCTCTTACAGATTACAATGGATAAAACAACACCTAACTTTAGTTGTCTGTTGCTTGGACTAAATTCTCCCTTTTGAAATGAAAATAATTTTCTGAGAAATGCTATATTAAAACATTAAAATAGTTAAGCATTTCTTGCATATCATGGAAGATCTTCACCAGAAAAAACAGCTGGTTTAGAAGGGCAAGAAATACACAGAGGAACACATCTAAGAATGTAGCATTGCATGTTCTTGATCCATTGATTTGCAGAGACCACTTATATTAGATTTTTCTGCATCCTCTCCTTACAGCATTACATCTTGGTTACTGAGACAGTATTTGTTATATTTGTTGACAAATATTGCTGCACTGTCACCTCAGTGTAACAGTCCAATTCTGCCATGTGATGAACACACATGGCTTTTTCAAGAGGCCTACTTTTGGATGTTCAAATTTACACATGATGAAACACTGAATTCTTTTCTTAAGGGCAATCAAAGACAATGATGTTTTTGGGAGATTGGTTTAAGTTGAATCCCTTTGAGTCTCAGCATATAATATTGGCCAACCTGCCATATTTTAAGCAAAGTGTCATATTTTATGAGGCACAGCTTGCAAGAACAAATTCCACAGTGAGAGATGCAAACATCAGTCAAAAGCAAGGATTCTAGTATCACTAAGCATCTATTAAGGGCAGGCATGCGAGGTACCCTGGTGAATATAAGGCCTTAGGGAGACTACATATAGATGTATAAAATTGCAAAAGATGTTACATATGATTTTGTAAAATGGGTGATGCAAATGTTGCTAAAAGGGTTCAGAAGAATTCAGGGGAGTCAGGGGTGATTGTAAGAGGGTCAGACATACTTTCCTAAGAACCGTAGTGCTTTAACTGGATTCCAAAGATTGAAGTTGTTTTCCCAGAGAAGGATGATAAAGAAGCATGACAAATGAACCATCAAAATTAACAAAACTCTTGGACTCTACAGAGTAAATAGTAGGAAAAGCAATATGGTGGATCCTACAGACATTCCTGGAGGGAAAGTTTGAGTCCCTAGTGCATTTAGGAAGCTCTTTAAAACTAAAAAATATACCAAGCCTATACCTGGACTTCTAGAAAGAGCATGATAGAAGCATCCTGTTAACATTGTTTTTGTCTTCCTTGATTAGTAACAAAGTAAGTGCACATAACAACAACAGGTTCCTGCAAGCTGAAGAATGTCAAGGTAAGGTGAAAGGAAGGAAACATTGATCACAGCAGTTATATGTTAGAAAGTATGGGTACTGAAAGTAATGGCTTATCTTTGTTTTCCTTCTCTTGTTAATTGTTTGGATTCTAAGTTACCTAAAAGAAATAGACAGTTGGCCAGGCACGGTGGCTCATGCCTGTAATCCCAGCACTTTGAGAGGCCGAGGTGGGTGGATCACGAGGTCAGGAGATTGAGACCATCGTGGCCAACATGGTGAAACCCTGTCTCTACTAAAGTAGAACAAATTAGCTGGGCGCGTCTGTAGTCCCAGCTACTCAGGAGGCTGAAGCAGGGGAATTGCTTAAACCCAGGAGGCAGAGGTTGCAGTGAGCCAAGATCACACCACTGCACTCCGGCCTGGTGACACAGCAAGACTCCATCTAAAAAAAAAAAAGGAAAAAAGAAAAAGAAAAAATTAGACAGTTCATGTAATTACACTGTTAAAGAGAATCACAAACACTTTTTAGCTTGTGGCATAATTATTCAAGCATAGATGCAAAATGCAAAAAAGTACATATTTTAAATTGTGTTTTGCTGACTATGTTTGGCAGTACATTTTTATTTTTAGCCTAGTATAAATTACATTCTTTTCAGGATAGCTTCTTGTTGTAGTCTATAATGGGGAATGGGTGACAAATGGTCAGCTTACTCCTTATCAGAATGGATATCTTTTATTTTAAGTCTTTCATAGATTTTTTTTTATTTGAACAGAGCACATATAATCAAGTTTTTATTCTAGTCTTTAAAAAACAACCAATGTAAAACTGTATTGGGGCAATTTAGATAAAGAAATTATATTCTGGTGAAACAAAAACACATACTAATATTGTTTTAATGTTTGAGAATTAGAAGTGTTAATTGCTATTTTATAAAACACGTTCAAAATATCACTATTCTAAACCAGAAAGTGTTTGTTGGTTTTACTATGTGGAATTCAACTGGGAAGACTACATTGGTTAACCAAAAATAACTCATATGTTTCATGACTTTATAAAAGAATATATTACTTTAGGAGAATGTTAAATGCGTACAGCAACAGTAGCAAGCAGGAGCAAGTAGATATAATATAGGTAGCTTATTTTCATTTTTATATAATGTATTTTTGGTTTTACCAAAACCAAAATAAAATAATACCTCCTCTTTTAGGAGTAGCAGTTGTACTTATGAAAAGAAACATAAAACAAAGTAATAGATTTGGAGAGATGATGTAACTCTAAGGAATAGACAATATATACAGTTTTTCTTTGTTATATATATGGATTTATATTTCAATAGTGAGATTTAAAGAATCTAGTGGATTTTATTCTTATTTTTTCTGGAAAGAAATTGATTTACATTTTTAAAAATTATGGCATTCAAAAATTTAATCTTTTTTGAAACACAACAATGCACTCTGTTGAATATTTAATTGAATATGGTCCCTACTGATTGAGTCTTGAATAATTGCTAATTGGAATGAATTATGAAAGGAAAACATGTATGTACACTATCCCTATCATTTCAACAAAGAAAATACAAATTTCAGTGAGAATCAAAATGTGTTTGATATTAGCCAATACAATCTTCCCTTTTCACTTTTTTGGCTGCTGTAATATACTTCATGGAGGAGTACTGATGAATAAAACAATTTCTTCTATTCTTTTTATAAACTCTTGTTACCCTAACTCCATGATTCTTTGTTCATGAACCTGGTGTAAAATATCTGATGACCCTGAAACAGATATGGAACCATCACATACTAATCATGAGTGCAGTGATGACAACTATGCCAAAGGAATTCGCTGAAGATAATTCTTCTCAATGTAACTGTCCATCCACAGTTCTGCATGATCTGGAGAGATCTCCCTAATGAAATGATTTCATTTGAACTGAGTGACATGGGCTCATGTATGAGCTAAGGGTTGAAGTAGATAATAATTATAGCTAATATTTGGTGGTTGTTTAATATGTGATGAGTACTGTTATAAAACATACATACATACACACACACTCGTTTAATGTTAACAAGCTTATGGTATAGGTGTTATTACTAACCCCACTCTACAGATGAGAAAACTGAGCACACCTAGATTAAATACTTTGCCCAATTTCACACAGTATTAAGTAGCAGAGGTAGACCTGAAACCCATTCCATCTGGCTGCAAAGCCAATGTTGCTAACCAGGATGCTACTTTGACTCTTTTGGTGAGCTCTAGGCTCCTTCTATTTCCAAGATTATGAAACCACAATACTTGCCTTCTCCTTCAATAACTCAATGAAGAAGTATCTCTCAATAATAAAAGGATATGACATTGAGAATATGTCTTTATCCATGTAGGCCTGGAAACATATCTAGCCAATAATGAGGGTTTGAAAAATGAGAAAGAGATGACATTGCAACTTTTTTAGTAAATTACTTTAGTTAGGATGTGTTAGTTTTCAATAACCCAAGGTAAGGATGATTCATTATCACACTTCAGGGCGACCCATACTAAGAAAATATTTGTATGTTTGTTGGTGTCTGATATGAATCAAAATATTTATAAAGTTAAGTACTTTAGTGTAAACGCCTATAAATTTGAAACTAGGTGTTGACTTCATCACTGTGAACATTATCAAATTACTAGTAATATAACAACGTTACAGATTTAAAATTTTCTTGAGCTATGGCTTCAATAACATTTTCATTTATTGGAGTTTATGTAACATCTTCAGAAGCTTTAAAAAATAATTTGCAAGCAGCTTGGAAATGTTCTAGCATTTCAGTGAGGTAAAAAGCATATATATATGTGTGTGTGTGTATGTGTGTGTGTGTGTGTGTGTGTGGGTCTGCATAACTAAAACAAGTAGTATGTTAATGTCACTGAATAAATTTGAATTAGGGTGAAGAATACTTCTTATACAAATGCTTTTCATAGCACTTCTCTTGAACCACAGTAAAAACCTATATTAGGACTATCCTCAAGTTAGCTTCTCTAATTTACCTTCTTAGGCAGAAAGCCACTAATTTGCATTAACAATTAGCAGCATGAAGAACATCCTCATTTAAATGACAGGCAAAGAAAAATGTGCCACAAGTGATAATCATGAGAAGCAAATGAAGAGAGGAGGAAATCTGTGAGATGGCAGTGTTATTAAATTGGCTGTTTTGATATTGAAAGAGTCATGAAAAGAAGAAAGCCCTAAAAAGTTTCCAAATTATCAAGCAACATGATGATGAACTAATGTGTATGAGATTTGGAAAACGGGAGATCTTTGTCAATCTTGTTGAGAGGAATTTTAGTTGCATCAAAGAGATGGGATCTAGATTGCCAGAGTTTTTAGGAAGTGAGAAAGAAGGTGTAGAGAGTAGAGGTGACTCAGATTTTAATTAATCAAATGCACACAAACTTGAAAATTAAACTACAGATATATAAATAACTCATGGGTCAAAGAAGAAGTCACAAGAAAAATTTGAAAATATTTTGAATGGAATAAAAATAAAAACACATCTAAATATATGAGAGAGATAGCTGACAGTGCTTACAGAAATTTATAGCTTTAATGGAAATATAAGCAACAAGGACATATCTCAATCATCTGTTTCTACCATATGAAATTTAAGAAAAGCCCCAAACAAACAGAAAGTAATAAAGATCAGAACAGAGGCTGATTATGGTGGCTCAAGACTTTAAGACTGAGGCAGGAGGATTGGTTGAGCCCAGGAGGTCAAGACCAACCTGGGCAACATAGCAAGACTGTCTTTACAAAAAATTAAAAAAATTAGTCATGTGTGGTGGCATGTGGCTGTGGACCAAGCTACTCAGGAGGCTAAAAAGGAAAGACCACTTCAGCCTGGGAGGTGGAGACTGCAATGAGCCGTGCTCGTGCCACTGAATTCCAACATGTGTGATGGTTTAAAAAGCGTCTCAAAATTTAAAAAGTATCTCAGAAAATTAAAAATAAAAGATCTGAGTGGAAATCAATGAAATAGAAAATGAAAAGAGCAATATCAGTGAAGCTAAAACTTGGTTCTTTGAAATATTAACATTGATAAACCTTTAACTAGAATGACCAAGAAAATTGAGGAAAATATTTCCCAACAAAGTACTGTTAGCGAGCCTAGTCCTGCAAAATATATAAATAATTATACATTATGACCAAGTAGGACTAATCTCAAGAATGCAAAGTTAGTTTAACATAAAAAAATTAACAAAATATTCCATGTTAATAGAGTGAAGGATGAGTACTACATGGTCATTCAAAAGGCATGGAATGGTTTCTGGCAAAATCTAGCACCTATTCATTAAAAAAACTCTCAAGAAACTAGGTTTTAAGGGGAACTTCCTCAACCTCCTAAAGGATATCTATATAAAATTATGAGCTAACATGATATCTAATGTTACATATGTTAGTGAAAGACTGATTTTTTTTTTCTCTAAGACGAGAACCAAGGCAAGAATGTACCTTTATACCATTTTTATTTAACATTACATGGGACGCAGGGGCAGAAGAAGGCATAAATGCATCCAAGTTGAAAATGAAGAGATAAAATTATCTTGATTCATAGATGGCATATTTTTGCATGTACATTTGGATTTCACAAGAAATCCAACATTATTAAAATTAATAAACAAGTTTAGCATATTTGTAGGGCACAAGATCAATTTATAAAATCATTGTGTTTCTATATACTAGCAATGTATTTTCAGAAAATGAAATTAAGCCATCCCATTTACAATAGCATCAAAAAGAATAATATGCTGATTAATAAATGCAACAGAAGAGGTTCTAGACTTTCATACTGAAAACTATAAATCACTTGAGAGTAATTAAAGAAGATCTAACTAAAATGAGAGGCAAAGCATTTTCATTGATTGTTATGCATATTCATTGGTATATTTTAATGACAATACTTCCCATTTATCAATGAATTCTAAGCAATTCCTATCAAAGTCTTGGTAAGCTTTTCAGCAGAAATTGACATGATTGGAAAATTTATATACATATTCAAAGAGCTGGAATAGCCAAAGGAGCTTTCAAAAGGAAGAACAAAATTTGAGGCTTACACTACCCAATTTCAAAACTAAGCTAAAGCAATGAAGACATTGGTATAAGAAGAATCAGATAGACTGATGGGTCAACAAACTAATGTCTGTGGGCCAAATATGTCTGACCTCTTTTTTTTTAATAATGAAAATCATATTGGAACCCAGTTATGCCCATTTATTTACATTTTATCTGCTGCTTTACACTGCAATGACAGATTTGAGTAGTTGTAATAGAGATCACATGGCCCACAAAAGCCTAAAATGTTACCTATCTGGCCCTTTTATAAAAGTTTATTTTCTTCTGATATTGATAAATGGAATAGAATTGAATGTTCAGAAATCCTTATATTTATGTCAACTGATTTTTAAGAAATGAGTCAAGACAAATCAATTTGGAAAAGAATACATTTTCAACAAGCAGTTCTGGAACAACTGAATTTCTGTATATATATATGTATATATATATATGTATATTCACACACACACACACACACACACACACACACACACACAAGACACTTGGGAGTACTTAGACCCTTACCTTACACCATAACACAAATTAACGCAAAATAGATCAATAGATCATAGACTTACATATAAAATCTAGTACCACAGAACTTCTGAAAACTTTGGTTCGGCAAGGAGTTCCTACATATGTAGCCAAAATGTTCACAAAAAGAAATACTGATAACTTGAACTTCATCAACATTAAAAATTAAAATCTTTTGCTCTTCAAGACTAGGAGAAAATATTTTCAATATCTATTTGACAAAGAGCTTGTATACAGAATATCCAGGATATATAAAGAACTCTTACAACTAAATGACAAGAAAATGAACAAAGGATTTTTTAAAAAGGGACTAAAGATATAAAGAGACAATTCATCCATGAAGATATACAAATGGTTAATAGCTATGTTACTAAATATGCTCATATTGATTAGTCATTAGGGAAATTATAGTTATGAAAATTGAAACCACAATCAGATACCATTAGACACTCGTTATAATGGCTTTAATCAAAAGAAGAAACTACTAAGCGTTTACAAGGATGTAGAAAGACTAAAAAGATTATACATTGTTTATGGGAATGTAAAATGTCAGAGTTGTTTTGGAAAACAATTTGGCAATTTCCTAAAAGTGAAACATACACTTACATGTGACCCAGTAATTCCATTTCTATGTTTACAGAAAGGAAATTGAATCATATGCCCACACAAAGACTTGCCAATTAAGATTTGAAGCATGAAACATTATTCGTAATGTATTCCAACACTGGAAAGAGTGCAGATGTTGACTAACTGGCAAATGGATGAGCAAAATTTGTATTTCCATAGAAGGGATTACTACTCAGCAATAAAAAGGAACAGATTTACTAATACATGCTATACAGGGATGAACCTCAAAACCATTAGGCTAAAGAAGCCAGGCACAAAGCAGTATATATTTTATGATTCTGTTTATATGAAATGTCAAGAAAAAGCAAAGATACATAAGCAAACTTTTGGAGTGATTATGATGTTTGAGAACTGGAGTATCATGATAGTTGCAAAACTATACATTTAAAAAAATTCACTGAATTGGACACTTACAATGGATGAATTTCATGGTGTAGAAATTATAAATCAATAAAGATGTTAAAAATAATCTTTTTTAACTTTTTGAAACATAGATTACTGATTTCAGGCATTTTTATTACATAAATTTAGAGCTCTAAATGATACCTAAAGAATTGTATACTTATTTTTATTGAGGTAACATTTATATATGGTCAGTTCTGCTATAATGTTATATATGTGCTCCCCAAATTACTGTGCCATGGAGAATTGCCCAACAAAACACAGTGCTTATAGGAAAACTGGATTGAGTGGAACGATATACAATGTCATATATCAGTGACATAAAAAATGATATGAACCTAGATAAATGGTAGCAAAATTTTACATGTATTAAATGGACACGATAAAAATAAATGCTACAATAAATATGATGCTTTAATTTTTAAAAGACCTAACATTTGCTTGTGGAAGTGTGCTTCCGAAGGGTTTAGCTTACAAGTTATTGTGAAGTGGTGGAAGGTGGGTCTATTAGTTTTCTGGGGTTGCTATGACAAATTAATACCAACTGGGTGGTTTAAAACAACAGAAATTGATTCTCTTATGCTTTGGGAGGTTAGAAGTCTGAATTCAAGGTGTTGACAGTTGCTGCTTCTTCTGAAGTTTCTTGGGAAGAATTCTTCCTTGTCTCGTCTAGCTTCTGGTGCTTGCTGGTAATCCTTGGAGTTTCTTGGCTTGTAGACGCATCACTCTAATGTCTGCCTCTGTCTTCACATGGCCTTCTCCCCTATGCCTCTGTGTCTTTGGGTCCAAATCTCCCTTTTATGACGACACCAGTCACATTTATTTTAAGGCTCACTCTAATCTAGTATGACCTCAGTTTAACTTGATTGCATTGGCAAAGACCCTATTTCCAAATAAGTTCATATTTATCGGTTCTGAATGGGCATCAATTTTGAAGGGACACTATTCTATCCAGTATAGTGAGTTATTTGAAATTGGACAGAAAGTTGTAACACTAGATGAGCATGGGAATGGCTTACAACACACATAATGAACTGAAATAATTGCTAGATGTTTGAAATGTATGTTTGTGCATTATTTAACTCATTTAAACTTGGTGAAATTTTTGGCATGCAGCTAGTTTTTTTTCATGGGCCAAATCCTGCACAAGCAAACACAAAATTCCATTCTGATTAATATATTAGTCAGGTTGGAATGAATTTATGGTTTCAAAACAAGTGTTATAACAGAACTGATTGTCAATAGAATGTATAATTTTTAATCACATTGTTCAGATTTTGACAAATGCATAAACTGCATAATCCACACCTTCCTCAAGATAAAGAAAAATTTCACCAGCCTAGAAAATTCTCTATCGCTTCATATAAGTTGTTCTTCACTATAGGTTTGTTTTACCTACGCTAGAACTTCATATGAATGGATTATGTAATATGTACTTTTATAGGTCAAGCCTCCTTTATACAATATCATGTGTTTTGGTCCACCCGTGCTTGTTATATTATCACTACTTCCCTCTCTATATTCTTTTAATGAAGTAAAATTTTTATAACATAAAGTTTACCATTTTAACCATTTAAAAATATACATCAGTGGGTTAGTGCATTCACAATGTTGTGCAACCATCACCACTCTCTCATCCCAGAATATTTCCATCTCCTCAAAAAGAAACCTCATACCAGTTAAGCAGTCATTTCCCATTCCCTCCTAATCACAGCCTCTGGAAATCACTAAGCTACTTTCTATCTCTATGAATTTGCTTATTATGGATATTTTATATAATATGAATAATAAAATATGTGACCTTTGTATCTGGTTTCTTTCACTTAGCATAATGTTTTCCAGATTTGTCCACATTGTGGCTGTATCAGTACATCATTCCTTTTTATGATTGAATAATATTCCATTGTATCGATATACCACATTTTTTATCCATTTATCAGTTGATGGGCATTTGGACAGTTTCCACTTTGGGGCTACCGTGAATAATCCTTCTATGAACATTTATGTTTAATTTTTTTTGGAACACGTATTTTCAGTTCTTGGTAGTGGTTAAGAGTAAAATTTCTAGGTCATATGGTAATTTTATATTTAACTTTTTGAGGAAATGCCAGACTATTTTCCAAAGCAGTTGTACTCATTTTACACTCCCATCAGCAATGTATGAGAACTCCAATTTCTCCACATTCTCACCAATACTCTTTGAAAAGTTATAGTGTGTGTGAAGTGATATCTCATTTTTAAAATTTTTCATTTCCCTAATAACTAGTGATATTTAGCATTTCATTGTTCATGGCTATTTGTCTACCTTCTTTGAAGAAATGAGTGCTGAAATCATTTGTTTGCTTTTAAATTGGCTTCTTTGTCTTTGTGTTGTTGAACTGTAAGCATGCTTTGAATAGCCTAAATACTACACCCTTATCAGAAATAACATTTGCAAATATTTTCTCGTATTTTGTGAGGTTTTTTTCACTTGGTTTTTTTAATAGTGTCTTTTGAGATACAAAAAATTTTAACTTGAATGAAGTTCAAATTATCTATTTTTTCTTTTGGTGGTTGTATATTTGGTGCCGTATCTCAGTATGTATTGCAAAATCCAAGGCTATGAAGATTGATCTATATTTATTTTTACTAAAAAGTTGTATAGTTTTGACTCATATTTAGGGCTTTTATCCATTTTGTGTTAATTTTTGTGAATGGCATAAGATAGGTGTCCAGCTTAATAATTTTATATGTGGATATCCAGTATTCCCAGAATTTGTTGAAAAGGCTATTTTTCCCCATTGAATAGTTTTGGTGCCATGTCAAAAATCAATTGACCATGGATTATGATGGGTGTATTATTGGACTCTCAATTCTATTCTCTAACCTATATGACTTAGTATCTCATTGTTTTTGTTACTGTAGCTTTATGATAAGTTTTAAAATCAGGAAGTGTAAGTCCTCCAGTTTTGTTCTTTTTTTTAAAGATTATTTTGGGTATCTGAGTTCCTTTGCAATTTCTTAAGGATATTAGGATTATATTTTTCATCTTTGCAAAAATAAAAGTTGGATTTTGTTAAGGAATGGATTGAATCTGTACATTTTTCAGTCCATTAATTATCCATATAACTCAAATTAATAGACATGTTCAAGACACTGGTATATATATACATGGTATGTACCTAATGAAGGGTGAAAAATTCAGGCAATCAAATGGAGTTTTACATCAAATAGGAATTTTTTTCTTCACTTAATTACATAAATTTTGCACTTTTCAACAAAGCCGTCGGTAATTTTTGATGTTTTCAACCTTTTTATTTTAGTCATTCTTATTGGTATGTAATGGCTAAATACAATGCTTTATATTTGATTGAATTACAATTTGTGAGGCATAATATACTTAAACTAAATTTTTAAGTCATTCACTTAGATTTGTCACCCCTGATGATGAAGAAAAGTAAATATTTAAAGAGACATTGGTTACCTCAGAAGATTGTCCCCCATCTGTTAAAGGAATCATCTGGCCCCTTAAATTCCAAGATAAGATCAGTTAGGGAGGGAACTGCCAATATTTACTTTCACCTATCCACTTCATTTGTTTTTCCCTTGACCTATTGAGGATCCTGGAATATGTCCATTAATTATCCATAGAACTTGAATTAATAAACATTTTCAATTTTCTGGTATATATATGATGTGTACTTAATGAAGGATGAAGAATTCAGACAATCAAATGGAGCTTTACATCAAATGGGAAATTTTTTCTTCACTTAATTTCATAAATATTGCAATTTTCAACAAAGCCATTGGTAATTTTTGCAAAAATAGCACTTCAAAATATATTTCAGTTTGATATCTGAGTGCTAAAAGGATATAAACAACTTTCATATACGTAAAACATTAAAATCAGTTTTCTAAAGAAATCTTTATGGAATTTCTCTAAAAGAATCATTTTTTCCATTTATAATATGTGATTTAGGCATTTATAACACTCAGGGAAAAATGAGAGCAATCATAGGAAAAATACCTTTTTAGAATGTTACCATTTCAGTTTGTCTCAAATTACTTTTAAAGGTATATTTTTGTAAGAGAAGAAATTCAACATATCTGAATTTAATATAGGCTATGGAATGTATGTCCTTTCCTATAACAATTTTGTAGAACACCATTATTAGTACATATTGCTCAAGTGAGAGTTTAAAAAACAAAACAACAACAAACATTCCTATGGAATGCATTGATGTTGCAGAAGTATCTTCTACTAAAATTAATTTAAAGTTATATCATCGTGGCTGATTTAGATTTCAGTGTAGAATATTATGCCTTGTGGTAATTATCTTGTGTCTTTTAGATTTGATATCATCTTATTATGCTTCTGTAAATTAACCACATTGTCACCAAATAGAATTGGGCCTTGATTATTCAATGTAAAACAGAACCCACGTAGCCAAGACGTATGATTAAGGTTATTTAATAACTATTAAAGAGACAATTTTGATGCATAAATCTGGAATGCCATCTGTCAACCTAATGAAAAGAAATATTATCTTGCATTTTCTTTTTCTGTTATTGATTTGTGGTGCCCCAAGACCATTTTAAAAATGATTGGTGTAGTCCTTATCTGTCATGGAAACAAATTCATTCCTTGGGTGGCTGAGCAATATGAGGGGAAATAAATTTCTCAGAAATGTATCCCCTGCAGGTTGCTATCCATTATTGTTATAAGTTTGCAATGGAAATGGCTTTATTGCTACATAGAGAATATGATAAAATTTAAAGCTTGTGAAAGATGATTAGAAAACAAGTATAATAAATATATATCACCAACAATATATCAACATATGTAATACATTTATTTATTTAGACAATGTTTTGAGTATATCAAAGCAAATGGGAACAACTCAAATCTGAATGTTAATCCAAAGAATAATAAAAGTGAAAAATTAATGCCTTCAGGGAATTCGGAATTAAAATATTCTCCCATTTCCAACATAGAGCATTTACATTTTCTACTTGGATGGCAGGTATGAGCTCTATAAATCAGATTTCATCATATAAATCTGTTTCACTTTACCTCTTCCACACTGCTTCTAGTCTGAGCTTTAGTAAGGCTTCATGAATCTTTCTAAAAGATAATCTCAGCAGAAAAATAAAGCAAAAGTTAGTGGAACTAATTCTGTTACTTGAGTTTAACCTTAGTTCTATGTTATCTTCGGCCACTTTTATATGAACACATCACAGAAGCTGGGATATGTTATTTTATTGTATTTAAGTAAAATCCCTCGTTTTCATATATCTATACACAGGTAAACATATCTATCTGTTTTAAAACAGTAATATATATTTCAACTTATGTGGATATATCAACAAGGATATTAAAGGGTTCATATTTTTATTACAGCAAAAAACTAGAACAAATGTAATGTTCTGCAAAATATACTCATGTCATTCTCTCTGGATACTAAGATTTTGCATAATTTTAATAAGGTTCTTCTTATATATATAATTTTGAATTTGTTTTTCCAAGTGACTTTTTGTGATTACAATTAGCAAAGCTAAATAATTGCCATCTATTGTACATATTACCTATTTTTCATTAAGCTTTGCTTTCTATTTTTTTTAATATCATGATTCCTGGAGGTAGGCAGGTAGAAAGCAAGATAGCTTTATTAGAGCAAACAAAAATTGAGAAAAATACTGTATAGTATGATTAGAGGATTTATTGTATCAACAGCTGAAGTTTCCCATAGTAGCATTTGTGTTTGTAAATCCAAATATAAATCTATATTTTAGTATCTTGGTACCACAGCAGCTAACACTTGAATTTCATTTTATAACTACCTATTCTATCAAGCTTAAATATTTCCCATTAAGAATCATTGCAGTCAATAAAAATATGGCTATTATAAGTCTGTCTTTTAAATATCTAGTTTCAATGACTCCATGTTGAAAGGCCTATCCTTTAAAATGATATTAATCACATTGCATGGTAAGGTCTAAAATTTCAAGTGCTGCTTTGACATTTTTGAGACTCACAAGATCCGTAAATCTTACAAGCTCCCCTGCTCTTGCCAAATATGTGTCCTGACCCTCTTACCCCACCCCTCAGCAGGAAAGCACCCCTACCTGGCTAGTTCCTCTATTAGTCAGATGAGTTGCACTCCACCTGGCTCTCAACCTAACTGTCATTCTGGGGAATTATTCTAACAAACCAATCACATTCTCCTGCAGGAACCAGAAGACAGACACCTCATCCTCCTATTACTATAAAGCCTGTCTCCAATATCCCTGTTCACTCTATTACCAAGTAAAAACCCCGTGTAGCCTTGCATGGCATGGGATGTCCTAGACTGTGAGTATCTGTGACTCATAAACTGCTGTCAGTTTCACTGGGCCAGTGATGGGTGTCATCCATTTGGCCATCTTGTACTATTTAGTCCAGGGGATTCCCTCATTAACAATGGAGTGAATAGGAGGTGATCAGAATGCACTACGATGAAAGTGAATAATTCATTAAATTACTTTTCATATCTTTGTGAGATTTAAATGTCCATATAATAAAGACTTTGCTTTAGCTTAATTTTGTTGTATTAAACCATTCAAAGACAGTAACATAATTTTAGCTTTACCGTAAAAATGCTATCCGCAAAAGTACATAAAATGGGGTTTAGCAAAAACTAATGGCTTTTCTTTTGAAAATGATAACTTATCCATTTATATTTGCTTATTTAACTCAGGAATAAATAGCTCTTAGACATGATGCATGCTTGGTGTTCTTGTGTCATACATTAGTCATAAATTTAACATTGCAGCAATGATATTTGAGAATTAAATTGAATTAGTTTTGATAGATCCATGAATGATCATCACTATGGACTTCATGCCACATAATTTGTAAGACCTAGCATAGCTGCTTTGTCTTCTCCAATTTAATTACAGATCCTCAAAATTTACCTGGGCATTTTTATATTCATGGATTTTTTAAAGCAACAGTTTACTTACCTGCTAATCTTTTCCATCAGTAGCCAATTAAATGGCTAACAGGAAGTCTAAAATGCACAGACACATTCACATGCATCACATATATAATTTTCTACACATAATTAAATATAAACTGATAATAAAGGATAAGGGTTGATTATTTGATAGTGTCATTATAGTGTTTAATTAGGATTCTTGGAGAAAAGGCATAGTTTTAAAAAATAGTCTACAATTAAAAGCATAACTGTATAAGCAAAATCATTGGAGCAGATAATGCTTAGGGAAGAGGGAGAAGTAAAAGCATTCAAAGGGTCTCACTGGTGAAAGAAATATCTATGTTTTTGCTCTGAAAAGTTGATCAGGTAAGAGAAGTTGGAGGATAGTGACTGCATTCACTTTTTTTGTGATTTTTCTGTTCTTTAACAAAATGTAGTTTAACAAAAAAGATTTCACTCGTTTCAAAGAAAATTAAACTGCAGTAAGATATTTTTCTTCCAAGAAGTAATACATAAACCTCTCTTGCACCCTGCCTCCCATCCTCTTAGCCTCCCTTTACTACAGCAATTCTTGAGACAAGCTGCTGCAAGCAGATGTGACTTGCCATTACATCACCACAGCTGCATCAGGTATCCTTGCTCTCTACTCAGGGCTTGTCTGCTGCCACTGTGTGGATTGCCTGCAAGGAGCTGCTCAATCTGACTCAGGCATAAGCTTAAAAGTGCAAGGGGATGAACACCCCATGAAGCCACCCATGCCAAATACGGTGTAGGAACAGATGGATATCTAAAGTCTCTCCTCTTTCTCCTTTTGGGTGGATAATTTCGAGGAGGACCTAGCTCTTCACAGGGCTCTTCACAAGGTTCCTAGCAGGGTCAGGTCCTAATTGCCCACAAGGCTGGGTGGCTTGGTTACTCACCCTTGGACTTTCTTCTCTCCTCGTTTCACTCTTCGCCTTTCTTTTGATCCCTTCCCTTTTCTTGTGATCACTTCCTTTTTCTTGGAATCACTTTCTCAAATAGATCACCTTTATTTTCTTGGCAGAACCTAGGCTAAGACAAGCTGACAATGGTACAAAGTGAGTTAAGATCTGCTGTTTCTTCACCATAGAAGAATATACTAATGGAGATCTCTTTCCTGCTACAAGTGGATAAACAAAACGTACAACGAAAATAAAACATCACTCAAAATATTCTAAATTCCTGCCAGGGTCAAAAGAAAAAAAGGAAACCCTTGGTACCAAGCTACAATAGGGGAAAAAGAGCTAAAGAAGAAAGGCCAGGCACTGAAGCTCCAGTGACCTAGCGCGAGAGCCATCCAAGTATAAATACAAAGATGAAAATCATCCAACTACATTTCTTAGCCAATTTCATACCAGATTCTCACAAATAATGACTGCTTTTTCATTGAAATATTTAGTTGTTAACTAAATTGGCCAGATAACTGATTTTTGGAGCCATATAGTCGTGCTTCAATATAATAGGGATACTTGTTTCTTTCCCAATAATGAATATGAATCTATGTTCTCTTCTCCTTGTCATTAGTTATAAACTGTAAGAAATTTCAGTAAAGCATAAGTAGTAAATACTATACTACCACAAAATCCAGCAGTTTATTTTTTATCTTTGTTTAACATTCTTAGCCCATCCCACTGCATTTTAGACTTAATTTTCAACACCGTCAAAGATATGGTCCCTTATTTAAGATGCCATCTAGAGTATAATAGCATTTCTCTGAGTTGTCAAATTTTACCTTTGTAATTAATGAGAAATTATTTATTTAGGTTAATTATCCTGATTTATCAAGCAGACACTTTAAAATCATAGTGATAGTTCTCTGTATTTTAATGAATGAAGAACATATGAAGAGAAGTGTTTTATAATATATTGAATTTAATTTTTCATAGAAGAAAATAGGGTTTCTGCCATTGCTGGCAGTTTATAATTACTTTTAAATCTCAATTGCCTTAGGAAAATAGTCATTTGATTATAAAATCACTGTATGCACCTTCTCTTGCCATTGCATTACCAAGCCTTTCACAGTGATTATAAAAAAGCATATTTTAATTGTATTGTATTTGATGTATTTATACTATATTAAAATCTCTTTGAATTATAGAAGATTTTAATATTTGAGTGCTAATAAGAGTCAATGTATAGAACTGAAAAATTTAAATGCCCTTTGCATGTGGACAATACACATTTTATTAATGTCATTTCAGTAGATATTATCTCTGGAGCTTTTATCTTGATAATTATTTGGGATATTTTAATTTGGTGAGTTATAATGTCAATGAAACCAAAGTTTAAAAGTTAATTTCATAAGGGAAATTTTTCTTAGCAGAAAGGCCAACTGCCACGTGGAGAAACACATCATCTTTAACTTGTACACATGCCCCAAGCCTTGGTACTGTGAAAAACCATGGCTGTTGTCATAGACCTTCACCCTTAGAAATTATAATGCCATTGTATCCCTTACTGTATTAATTCACTAGTAATTTATATCAGATTGTCTTTCAAATGGATAATTTTTCCTCCAAAATAGTTTATTTTTGTATGAAATATGTATTAGTCCATTCTCATGCTGCTATGAAGAACTGCCTGAGACTGGGTAATTTATAAAGGAAAGAGGTATAATTGACTCACAGTTCCGCATGGCTGCTGAGGCTGCAGGAAACTTACAATCGTGGTGGATGGGGAAGCAAACACGTCCTTCTTCACATGATGGCAGAAAGGAGATGTGCCAAGCAAAAGAGGGAAAAGCCCCTTATAAAACCATCAGATCTCATGAGAACTCACTCACTATCATGAGAACAGCATGAGGGTAACTGTCCCCCTGATTCAATTACCTCCCATCGGGTCCCTTCCATGACACATGGGGATTGTGGGAACTACAATTTAAGGTGAGATTTGGGTGGGGACACACAGCCAAACCATATCAAAATCTTTTGCCAGCTATAAAGTAACTTATGATTTGCAAGTGATTGTGGCACTGAGAATATAACACTTAGGAGCCTATATGTTTGTTGAGTGAATGTAAATATATTGGAGGAACCAGCCCCCAATATTTCAACATAGGTTCTTTTCTATTTTCCCTAAGTGTCGGCCGGTCTGAGAAATAAAGAGAAAGAGCACAAAGAGAGAAATTTTACAGCTGGGCTGCCAGGGTAGACATCACATATTGGTAGGTTCCGTGATGCCCACCTGAGCCACAAAACCAGCAAGTTTTTATTAGGGATTTTGAAAGGGGAGGAGGGTACAAATAGGGAGTGGGTCACAGAGATCACATGCTTCCTAGGGCAATAAAAGATCACAAGGCAAATCGCGGAACAAGATCACAAGCCCAGGGCAAAATTAGAATTACTGATGAGGTTCCATGTCCCACTGGGCACGCATTGTCATTGATAAACATCTTAACAGGAAACCAGGTTCCAGAGCAGACAACCAGTTGCCAGGCTGGAATTTCCTAATCCTAGCAAGCCTGAGGGCATTGCAGGAGACCAGGGCATATTTCATCCCTTATCTTCAACTGCATAAGACGGTTGAAGACACTCCCAGAGTGGCCATTTTAGAGACCTCTCCCCTGGGAATGCATTCCCTTCCCAGGGTTATTCCTTGCTGGGAAAAGAATTCAGCAATATTTCTCCTATTCGCTTTCTGCAAGAAGGGAAATATGACTCTGTTCTGCCTGGCCCCACAGGCAGTCAGACCTTATGGTTATCTCCCTTGTTCCCTGAAAATCGCTGTTATCCTGTTCTTTTTCAAGGTGCCCAGATTTCATATTGTTCAAACACACGTTTTAAAATTTGTACAGATAATGCAATCATCACAGGGTCCTGAGGCGACATATATCATCAGCTTACAAAGATGATGGGATTAAGAAATTAAAGTAAAGACAGGCATAGGAAATTATAAGAGTATTGATTGGGGAAGTGATAAATGTCCATGAAATCTTCACAATTTACGTTCAGAGATTGCAGTAAAGACAGGTGTAAAAAATTATAAAAGTATTAATTTGGGGAACTAATAAATGTCTGTGAAATCTTCACAACTTATATTCTTCTGCAGTGGCTTCAGCCAGTCCCTCCTTTCGGGGTCTCTGACTTCCCGCAACATAAATATAATAATGTTTGTATATCAGGTGCAGATAAATAGCCATTAAGGTTGGTATTTTAGCATCTAAGTATTTTTTCACTCAGTTGGGTCTTAGAACAGAAAACATGCTATTTTCTAATTATTGGTATATACATCCTTATTGCTACATTGATCCAACATATTCTTAGGAATTTACAGTTTTTGTATATTTACCTTTGTATATGTACTTCTATTTTTTAAATTCCTACCATTAGAAATTAATATATTTGAAAGTTCTGGGAATGAATACATTTTAACATTATTGAAGGAATTATGTGATATATTCCAACTGTCATAACTAGAGGAGAGTATGATTACTCTAGAATGTTACACATGGTAGCTGTGTGTGTGAGTGTCTGTGTGTTTAGGGAGAAAAAAATTATTTGGGGGGAGATGTGATCACAGGATAGCAGAGATGTTAAAAAGGAGGTATGAGTTTATGTTAGAAAAATTCTAGGATGCCTCTGGACTAAACTGGACTTAAGTTATTTTATGACTACTAACAATTACTCTCCAAGGAAAGATAAGATATAAATATAAAACCAGTGAATAGTCGTATTAGGAGGAAAGCACTTAAAAAAAAGACACAAAGTCTATTTAGCCAGAGGTCAAACAAACATTAATAGAATGAAATAAATGAGTTTGCTGAGTTCAAAGACAAAAATAAACCACACATTAGCTTTAACTAAATATCTACTTTTAAAGAGAATATATATATATATATATATATATATATATATATATATATATATATATATGTGTATATTCCAATTTATGTTATAAATCCTTTTTTGTCTTCAAATGATGTTTTTCTGGGGAATATCTCTAAATTGACTTCTTAAATGCCATGCATATATACTTTAATTCCCCTAGTAAGTCTTCAATGACATAGAATTGGATAATATGGCCATCTTGATTAAACTTCCACATTTTACTAAAAAAAGAACCTGAGAGCATAGTTGGAGGTTGGACTGGTCATGGCTATAATGGGAGGCTGGGAAAAGGGTAGAGAAAAATGACCTTCTTTCCTGCTGGGCAAGTGGTCTCTGAAGCTTCAGAGGTTTCTATTTGGCTGTCTTATAGATCCTGCCCACAGTCATAAAGAAAATGACCAGAAGCAAGAACTTGGAGGTAAAATTTTGTCTTCTACTCTTAAAATTATTAGGGACCTAGTCATTACCTAACAAAAAACTTCTAAATAATCGATTCAAGGAAAGTAAAAGAAAATATTTTAAAAGAATGATCTGAGATGGACGAGGGCATGGTACACAAAATTTGGTAAACATTGGTAAATCTAAACATACAAGCATGAATTATGATAGCAATATTCAAATCGTGGTGTTACAGAAATACAAAAAGAACTAAAATTCTGGAATGTTTGGGGGAAAATAGCATAGATAATGAGAGAGAACTGGTTTTTTAAAATGTCCTTTTATTGTTCAGTAGAAGGGTAGAGATGTTGACTAACTTTGGACTTCATCTATACATGTTAAACATTATAACAGAATGCAAAATGTTTATCATTATAAAGACAACTGTAGAAGGATAAGAAAGTAAAACAAATAAAAAGCAATAAAATGATAAAATCCAAATATGGTAGAAGACAACTAGTAGGACTATCATTTCCACTGAGGATATTAAGGTATTATCAGACTAAGACAATAAACAAATCAATAACAATGGAAATATATGTTCTATTTATAAGAGATTTATATAAAACTCAAGTACAGAAAAGCTAGACGAGCCTTAAATATTTTCCTGACTGATTGAGATCTGGCATTCTGATTTAAAAACACGTTAGTCAATGATTAACTCAGTGAAGTAGGGATTGTGGCCTTTAAATTCCATTTCCCACTACAGCAAGTCAGGTTTCTTGGAGAAATGTCTGATTCCAGGTCTAGGAAAAAATAGGGTAAAAGATCCTGGGGTTTCTTATTGTAACAGAAAGTGAGATAGGTATTTAAGACTACTAAAGTTGTATAAAGAACTCTAAAACCAAATTGTAAGGTCCTTCTATTTCATGAGCACCAAAAAGAATAAGAATAATGCGATGCAACATATTGTATATGTTAAAAATCAGTTAAAAAGAATTCGTTTTTCATTGTCCAAATGTGGATCATCTATGGAAACACTTTATAATTCTAAAACCCAGTGAATTAAATGAAAAAGCAAGCATTTATCTTCCATTTATTGTAAAATCTGCACCTCAAGTTAACCAAATAGTAGATGAATAAGTGTTTGCCTCTATAGAAAAACACGCAGCTGATAAATGTACAAGGAACAATTGAGTTGGAATTCTACCACTTTGCAATAGAGATTTTTGGATCTCTGTAATTACTGAATCTTTGTAATATCAATGTCGGCTGACACTAGTGAGTGAAAAGCAGATGGGAAACTTTTTATTTATTTATTTATTTTTGAGATGGAGTCTTGCTCTGTCACCCAAGCTGGAGTGCAATGGCACGATCTCTGCTCACTGCAACCTCTGCCTCAGCCTCTCAAGTAGCTGGGACTACAGGGGAATGCCACCACGCCTGGCTAATTTTTGTATTTTTTTAGTAGAGACAGTGTTTCGCCATGTTGGCCAGCTGGTCTCAAAATCCTGACCTCAGGTGATCCACCCGTCTTGGCCTCCCAAAGTGCTGGGATTACAGGTGTGAGCCACCGCCCCTGCCAGGAAATTTTTTAATGAATGAGTGGAGGTGGCAACACCTGAACCTATTGACCAATCTCAAAAAGAAAAGCAGTCACTTGTTAGGTGCCTTCAGATATGGTGCAAAAAAAAAAAAAAAAAAAAAAAAAAGAAATAAAAGCTATATTCATTTTTGACAAAATCCTAATCTATTAGTCTGTCATTTTGTGGGAAGTACAAGAGACAAAGAAACAGGAATGCAATTAGCAAAATCTAATCTTTAGAAAATGTTTTAAGAAAAATAGTCCAGGTTCTTCAATAAATAAATTGAATAATGAAAGTGAGAGAAGAAAGCTACAAAAGAAAAAATATGTAGACATATTAAGTAAAAGAAATGGAACCAAAGTGTAGACATTTGAATTTAAACTAAATATTTGATGGTATATAGCAATTACTATTATTTAGGATTATAATGCTATTGTGGTTATGTTTTTTAAAAGAGTATCTCTTAAAGATACATCATAAAGTAGAGAATAAGTTTTAATAGGTTTTGTGTTTGTTTCAAAATAAGTACAAAGTGGAAGGAATAGATAAAGCAATATTGGTCATTTGTTGAAGCTGTTTAATGGAAATATGAATGCCCTTTATACTATTCTAATTTGGCAGATGTTTAAAAATAATAAAAAGTTGAAAAGTGTTGGTCATATTAATATTCATTTAAAATGTGATTTCATTAGGAAGAAAACCCTTTGGCTGTATTTCTAATTTCAAGGATATCTCTATATATAGCTACAAATAGAATACAATGATAAGAAAAGGAATAATGGAAAAGCATGTGATCCTCATTTAATCTGAGCATTTCATTGGAGAGAGTTATTTTATGTTTATAACATTGATGATAATTCATTGTGAAAAAATTGTGAAGTACCTTGTAAAATATTAACCTCAACTTTAGTAATATGCAACTTATTTTTTTCAAAAAATAAGCACCGTCATTATCAAACACCCTAAGTTCTAGTCAACTGATGAATGGCCTAATAATACATTTGCCCTTGAAGGACTTATGCACTGTAATATTTTTAATGCATAAGGGAGTATAGATACACATCTGCATAATCATTATAACTTTGTCATTTCAGTAGTCTGTTTCTATTTTCAATTCTATAAAAAGATAGATTTTGAGTTTTTTGCATACCATATAGTAGTAAATCCAAAAGAGAAACAATAGTAGTCAATAGGTAGAGACATTAAGTATATGTTAAATGAAAAAGTTATTTAATAAATGGTTGCACATTTATAGGTAAAGACTCATGATATTTCAACAACATTACAATCTTAAAGTTCCTTTTATTGACTATAACTTGGTGAAGATTTAATTAATGCATATTACATCTATTAACACATCTCCAATGTGTGTACATTAATAAAAACAAAAATTTCAACTTGGTTGTTTGAAATTCATCTTTTGGATCCAATGGATAAATTCTTTCAATATTTATCCCATTAGAATTTTCAATATTTATCACCTGTTAGAATATTATCACCTGTTAGAATCACCTTTAGTAAAGACTTAGCAGTTTTTCTTTAGGAAACAATAGTACACAAGTGAATTTTCTTAGTACACATGAAACATTGGAAGTAGGCTATACAAGTTAATGAGAGAAAAGTTTAGCTTTTTTCTGACTTAGAAATCAGGGGAGCACAAGGACAGAAATAAAAGTGTCTGAAGTTAAATAAAACCTTCAAACAAACAACTGTTCTCAGTAGAGTGCCAGAGGGAATTTGTATAGCTAAAAAAGACTAAAGTATAGCAAATATTAAATTTAAAAGTAGCAAAAACTGAAAAATATTTAGCATATCTGGTTCAGACACAGTATTTTATCTATTATGGTAACAGTGCTCTCTTTAATCTTAAGTCTCCCTTAAGAACATTTAACTGTGAACTAGAAGAGTAATGCTCAAGGTCTGTTTCTAATAATTAGTAGTATTATGACCCTGGGCAATTCACTCACTCTTTAGATTCAGTTTTTATCCTCTTTTAACTTCAGTTTTATTTTTTATTATTATGACAAAGTAATCATAAAAATACTTCTTATTCTTTCCTTAGGATTATTGTGAGATCAAATAATTAGTTGGATGAAAGTGTATTGTAAATTTATGTCAATGTTAATACCAGTTCAGACTTACACCCTGCATTTCTAATGAGTGAGGATCAGTTTGGGCATATGGGACAAAGAAGCAGTGGAAGACACTATGGGCCAGTCTTATCTAGGGAAGTGGGGGAATGATGCTACCACATTCAAGACTATACATTCAGTGAAGAAATGTTTCCCTTTTCAATACAGAACATGTGTTGAACCTCAAACTGTGCGGCTCTTAAAGGACTTTAAGGGAAAAGAATCCTTCATAAAGAAAGTCTTACTCTTGAATGTTCTTCTGCTTCAAGGCATTGGGGCCAGAGTGCTTCTTCCACACAAGTCAATTAGAGCTTCGATTTTCCTGTTTGCCTTTGGGCTCCATCATTTCTTAGTTGTATGGACTTGAAAAGGTTAATTCACTCTCTAAGCTTCATTACTCCTCTAGTAACGCTGACTGTCACAGTTAAGTTCAGAGAGTAGAACTTAATAGGACTTGATCATTAAGCAATTTTATTTTCCTCCCACTTCCTTTCAAACGACCTTGGTGCATTAGTTGTTAGTTACTTCTAATATGGACTCTCACAGAAGTCCCATGACTTTTCCAGTTGCTCTTAGATTTAAAAAAAAGTCCTCAGTATGTTTCTAGTTAGAAGCATGCTCACTCTCATTTCATTACAATGTGAGTGCAATTGAACAATCAAAATTCCAACTTTCATTTGAGGTTCCAACATTCCCCTCCCACACCTTGAGTGTTCTGCAGGGTTGAAACAGAAGTGGGAGAGGTCAGTGTGATCTACTTCCCTATTCCCCCTTTTTCTGCTAATCCTCCTCTCCTTCCGATCCCCCAATCTCCCATCTTTCCACCTGTATTAGTCTGTTCTCATACTGCTAATGAAGACATACTTGAGACTGGGTAATTTATAAAGGAAAGAGGTTTAATGGACTCACAGTTTCACATGGCTGGGGAGGCCTCACAATCATAGTGGGAGGCAAACAAGAAGCAAAGGCTTATCTTTTTTTTTTTTTTTTTTTTTTTTTTTTTTTTTTTTTTGTGAGACGGAGTCTCGCTCTTTCGCCCAGGCTGGAGCGCAGTGGCGCTATCTCGGCTCACTGCAAGCTCCACCTCCCGGGTTCCCGCCATTCTCCTGCCTCAGCCTCCGGAATAGCTGGGACTATAGGGAACAGCCACCGCAAGCAAAGGCATATCTTACGTGGTGACAGGCAAGAGAGCTTCTGCAGGGGAACTCCGATTTATAAAACCATCAGATCTCATAAGACTCATTCACTACCATGAGAACAGTATAGGGGAAACCGCCCCCATGATTCAGTTATCTCCACCTGGCCCTGCCCTTGACATGTGGGGATTATTGCAATTCCAGGTGAGATTTGGGTAGGGACACAGCCAAACCATATCACTACCCATTAGTTCACCCCTGGCTTCTCCAGTATTAGGATGGGTAAGGTGAGAGGAGAGATATGAGGAAACGAACCATTGTGAAATGATATTTATCTTTTCTAGGCTTGGCAGGTGGTTGAAAGTTGACTTTCACCTTGGATATTTTTGGTTTCGCAGAGTTCACCCCCAAAGCTCCGTAAATGTCCAGGTAGACTCCCTGTGATGCAGCCAATGCATCTTTTCTGAGGTGGCTGGTCACTTCAGATTCCTCCTGAATTCAGGCCCCTGTTACCACCTTCTACTAGACCTTTCTTCCCCTACTCCATGGCTTTTTTTTGGCCAAAGTACTTTTCACAGTTTTACATATTTCCTTATTTTCTTTCCTTTTCTGTGAATATAAGATTTTAGAAGGCAAAGATTACCCATGTTATTCATTACTACATCTCCTATACCTGGAATTATGCCTGGCATGTAGAAAATGTTCAATAAATATTTGTTGAATGAATGAGTGAATAAATGAGCATTTGGAAGAAGATCCTCTGTATTGGGGATCCATCGCCTCTTACACAGCCCTGTTTGGTATAATCCAGACTAAGTTCTTGCTAGCTCCCATCAAAATATACATAACTAGTTCCCCCCAAACACTAACATTTGACAAGTGGAAGTGCAGCTACTTCCCAGTTTAACTCTCTGTACTGTTGCAGCAACTAGATAACCATAACCACAAACTCATATATTTGGACCTTCATAGATAACAGTCTGGCATCTGTCTCAATGTCTCATAAGGTACAAAGTCAAGTTCCCTGAGTCTTAACATACCCTCTTGATGGCTTAAAATGTGGAATAAATATTTATCACTCGTCTCATATGAATACCACCACGATCCAAAGAAATTCAAGTACTTTCCCTCTCCCTCTCTAACCACTTAAATATTATTGATGTGGATGTTGAGGTGAGATGTGCAAAGCAGAACAACAGGCACCTTCTTTGCCGTTTCTGCATAGGTGTGGTCAAACAACTTGTGGTCAAAAATTGCTTTGCTCTTTGACATCAGAGCCTCAGTCAAATTTGAGACAAGAGGAGTTCTACTTTGAAATCCTGTTACATCTACTCTGAAAAGTAAGTAAGTGTGTAATGAGGTAAAATTAATCTATAGTTTAACAAAATGCTTAATATAAAAGAAATATTTCTTTCTCGAGTCTCTTCCTTAAACTCATTGCTTGCTGTTCCTACTACAATAAAAGATAGAATCTTAGCCCATAAATGCATGTCCTTAGAAATTTGTAAGTATAGAAAAATAGCAAAATGACTAATAAATTCCTTTGAATATCCAAATAAGAAAAAAATGTATAAACAAGAAAAATCCCAAGATCATCATAAATACTTCACATGTAAATTAGAGTTATAGTATTTATTTTTCCCTGACAAGAATTTATTATCTCCTGTTACTAATTTTTAAATTTCCCTTTAGATGTGCAAGCTAGGCAATTTTAACTTGTCAGAGTCACATAAATTACTGACTCACTTTAACAGCAAAAGCTATTTTCTGGTTTCTAGTGATTAGACCTAAAATACATTTTATAGCAAAGTATGAGATTAAATAGTTTCACCTCTAAATGTGGTATGCATGTGCTTCTTGTATCCTCCTTAAAAATTAACTATTCATGTTTAGTAGAGAGGAAATTCACCAGGGACAAAGCACCGCAGATGAGCTCATTCTCCTGTTACCTTGATGTATGGAATTATTCCCCCAGGTCCAAATCTAATCAAATGTGACCACAATTCATCTAATACTTTCTTCCAGATCTGTGCAGCCTTTGCAGTATTACCAAATAATGAATTCTTCTACAGAGACACCTATAGGAAAATCCTTCAATAATCAAGTAATTCTTGAGAGAAATATATTTTATTGTGAGGTTACGAGTAGCTTTATTTGAATTTTCAGTATTCTAGGAACTTGGCAGATTACCTGAGTGTAATAGGATGGAATGAAAGATGAAGTTAAAAAAAAAATTCCCAAATGTTAGGAACATTTACAAGTTGAAATAAATAACATGCATTAGAAAATATAAAATAGCACAATTGTTTGTGTATACCATTTGGCAAAGCTCTTCATTGTTTCAAAATATACTTACCAATAAGAATTGTCAATATCTATGGATCTTATATCTCAAATGCCTTTATAACAAAGGCACTCTGGAGGTATCCCAATTCTATGTATTTTGAGAACTTGTTTGAAGACTTAGGGCAAACGTCTTAAGAGGGATGCCAAGTAAATAGCTGTCTTCCATTTTCACCTGTATCAAAAACAATGTACTCAAAGGAACTTTTTATGAGTGTCAACAATTCTTCCATATCGTGTTCCAATAGTCCACACCATGTTTCATAATGCACATTCCTTGAAACCCCTTTGGGATCTTTGTGACAGTTTAGTTAAGTCAAAATTCAAACATCTATCTCCAGTCAGCCATGTTCTGGAGCCCATGATCCAAATAAGACTCATGCCCAGCCTTCCCACCAGCTGGGCTTTTGTAGGAACACTGCTTTAATGTAATAGTGGCCATAGTGCAGTGATGAGCCGTAGACCTAACAATATGTTATAGTAATTGAAAATCACCATCTTTGGGGCCAGAGCAACCCAAGTTCAAGTTCTAGCTCATGAATTTACAAGCTGGGTGACCCTGGGAAATTGTTATAATCTATATAATAAGCCTCAGTTGCCTGTCTGATGGGAAAAGGAAATCAGATATTTAAAGTGTTTACTATGCTTCCTTGTACATACTACAAAATAAATGTTAGTCATCAATATGTCTGTTACTATTAAAATAATCATAATATGGTAATAAATCATGGCCCAGACAATCACAGGTTTTGAGGGTGGACCAGCATGAAATAGCAGTGTCCTGGCAGACAGAAGGAGAGAGCCAAGTAGCAGAGAAATTAAAAGCAGACAATATTTAGCAATTCAGTGAGGCAGGAGGCATTAGGAATATTTGGCAGTAGTAAGCAAGTTTTTGGCCAAAGACCTGGGTTTCAGATTCAGGGCTGTCTGTGCTTTGTTTCACAGGAAAGGGTAAGTAGATTTAATAAAAGATGATGAGAGATGCTTCCTAGAAAAATTGGAAGACAGTAATTTAGACACAGGGAACAAATCTGGTAACCAAAAACAGGAGAAAAGCACTAATGTAGCAACCCTACCAAACCAACACCTAGTTTCTAAAGTTTGGTAGGGTTGACATGATGGTGAGTTTTTTGATGTCCTGAGATACCTGAAACTGGTCAGGGAAAGTCCCTGAGTTTTAGATACGGATATGCCTGTATGTGTCTGTTCTGTGCGGGAAACACACAAGGCAAGAAGAAAAGGCACACATACAATACCTTTAAGGGTAAACAAGATTTATCCCAAGTAAATGGCAATGGGATATATTAAGCAAATGATATAATAAGCAAAGTAATATAATAAGCAAATGATAAGCAAATTGCAATGGGAAGGGGGAAAGGAAAAGGTATATGTATATATTTACACACACACACACACACACACACACGTACTCTCACCAGACTATGGAGGATTCACCACCAGACTGGGAAGCAACAGCCTGGGCTCCAGAGTCAGCCACCTGTCCATGCACAGATGAGGAGAGGTCTCATGAAGATTCGGCGCAGTCTGGGACCCTAACTTTTTTTGTAATAAGTTGCTTGGCATGAGGCCCAGTCGCGAGGGCCCTTTGTGACTTGGCTTAATGAACACAAAAACGTTAACTTGTTTTTTCGATTGTCTATTGCTTTTCAATAACTAATGTATCGGAATAGATTGAAATAGAGATTTCTCCAAAATAGCACTGGATGAACGCCTCAAGGGGCCCACATAACCTGCTCCGGGACGTGGTGATCATTGTTTGTGTCCATGTTCAATTGAGTTCAAATTTAATATTTAATGTTTCCTCCACAGTGTCACAGGGGGAAGGATGAGGGAGAACACTAAGCATTATTTTGAGGAAAGCATGACTATGGGGATAGGTTCTGACAGTAATCTTGCTATATTGCTGTACAGCTCCCAAGTTTTAGAATAGTGATAAAGAGATGTTCAATAATTTTTAAATTAAATCTGTATATCACACATTTGCTGCCCCCACCTACACAGGCTGATCATGGGGGCATAATGTTAATTCAGTTTTGACACCAATTTCCCAAAGGAATCCATTCATTTCTTTAATTAGTTTTTAGAAAAGACCAAAGTATACAGTCATGGTGGAAAGAAGAAGGTATTGCATGGCTCACCTAGCAATTTCCTAGGTTTCTTTCTGTTCTTCCTTCTTCCCAAGTATTTTTATGTTTATATTTTTTTCATTTTTATAGTGATAAAATACACAACATAAAATTTGCCACGAGTGGCATTTAGTACATTCACAGTGCTGTGCAATCATTACCACTATCTAATTCTGGAATATTTTCATCGCGGCAAAAAGAAACCCAATACCAACTACAATCTGTTTTATGTCTCTATGAAATTGCCTACTCATGATTTCATAATGGCATCATACAATATGTAACCTTTTATATCATGCTTCTTTCACTTTGCTTATTATTTTCAAAGTCCATCTATGCTGTAGCATGTATCAGGACTTTGTTTATTGCTGAACCATATTCCATTGTATATATGTATCACATTTTATTTATGCATTCGGCAATAGATAAATTTTTTTTTTCATCTTTTGGCAATTATGAATAGTGCTGCTATGAATATTTGTGAACAAGTTTCGTTTGCACTCCTGATTTCAAATCTTTTGGATATATACTCAGGAGCTGAATTTCTAGATCATATGGTAATTCTATATTTAACTTATCAAGGACAATTGCACAGTTTTATATTCACATCAGCAATGTACAAGGGCTCCAATTTCTCCACATTCTTGATAACACACTATTATTTTCCACTTTTTGTTTGTTTGTTTTTAATTAAAGTCATCCTAGTAGATATCATCTATGATGTGAGATTTCAATTTACTTTTGATTTGCATTTCCCAAATGGTGAATAATGTTAAGTTTGTTGGCCATTTCTGTATTTTACTAAGAGAAACATTTATTCAAGTCCTTGGCCCATTTTTAAATTGAGTTGTCTTTTTGTTGTTGAGCTGTAAGTTTTCTTTATATATTCTAGATACTAGACCCTTATGAGATACATGGTTTGCAAATACTTTCCCCCATTCTGTGGACTGTCTTTTTGCTTTCTTGATAATGTTCTTTATTCCTGTCTTTGATGTTTTACCTCCAATGTCTTCTTTCTCTACTACCTCTCAGGAACAAATATGTTCCTTCCTCGGATGTGAATGAGAAGTTCCTCCACACTCTTTATAACCAAAACAACAGTCCAAATACAGTCAGGCACTGTGGAGCTTAGGCTTCATTAGGGATATTCTATTATCTCAAAAAAGATAGGTCTGCACAAAGAGAAATTTTATACCAGCAGCTAAGAAAATAAAGTATATTACATATTTTTTTCAGTAATGGAAGTTTCCTATACAGAGCAAGAATTCTTTTCTTTCAAAACATTATACAAAATGATACTGCTATTATAATATAGTTATTCCTAGCAAAGAAGTGGATTCAATGGTGATTTGGGTTTTAAACAATTGATAACTTGTCCTGGGAGCATTAAAAACCCTGATATAGACACATGAAATATAATTCTTGCAGATTCAACACTATGGGTAAATCCTATCTGCAGAAGAACAGCCGTATTACAGAGTAGTTGTCTAGAAGTCTTCAACTACATGGTAGAATTAGATCAAGTGTGAAATATTAGATACCCAGACAATTGAAAACAAGATGGGCTTAAAAATTTATACTAGCTTGTGTATTCATCCTCAACCATAAATAAATAAAACAAAAATGTAGACTTTATAATTCTAGATGGAAACATGGAGTCTTTTTTTACTATCATTTCCTCTAGTTTCAAAATATGTTTAAGTCCATCTTTATTCTTGTGCTATATAAAGAACATGCTTTTTGACATGTCTTTACTTTAGCATTGTCTGCTTTTCTGAACTGGTTTGATAGCAGTACCTAAAGAATAAATATCTGATATCATTCACAGACAGGGGCAGAGCAGATAATGTAAATATAAACTTATTACTTCCTTAAGGATCAGCTGTTTTTGGTTGGTTTCATATCTGTATTCTGTCATTCTGTATTCTGTCATTCTGTATTCTGTATATCTGTATTTCATGTCTGTATCTGTATTCCCCCAACAATTCTGGGTGAATATTTGTTTATTTCTATGAAATTTATTTGTTTGAATGCAATGTTTTCATCAGCTGTGAAAGTATGATTTGAACATGTAATATTACATATAAGCTGAATTTTAGCATCATTAATGAAACAAATTTGGTTCCACAGTTTTTAATCTTCCAAAATTTTAATCAGATCTATGTAGCTACATACTTTTCTGCAATAATACGTATGTATTCATATGTACATATGTATACACATGTACACATACACTTACATGTACATATAGTGTACTCTAGTAGATTGAATGATAGCTCCCAAAAGTATATGTTCAAATTGTAACTCTTGGTAACTCTGAATGTAACCTTTTTTGAAAAAAAGGTCTTTGCAGATGCAATTAACTTAATGGTCTTAAGATAAGATCATCTTGGATTACCTGGGTGAACCCAAAACCCAATCACTGGTGTCTTTACAAAAGTGAATCATAGGTGTATCATACAGATACTCCTCAACTTATGATGGGGTTACATCCCCATCAAACCTCATTGTAAGTTGAAAAATCATAAGTCAAAAATTGCATTTAATACACCTAATGTATGAGACATCATGGCTTGGTCTAGCCAACCTTAAATGTGCTGATAACACTTACCTTAGACTACACTTGGACAAAATCGTCTAACACAAACCTATCTTATAAAAAAGTTATAAAAAATTTGAATCAAAATTTAATATTCAAAGTATGGTTTCTACTGAACATGTATCACTTTCACATGATCATAAAGTAAAATAATGAGTTGAGCTATCATAAGTTGGGGACAATCTTACAGACAAAAAAAAAAAAAGAAGAAGATGATGTAAAGGCAGAGGTAAAGATTGTAATAATGCCCTTATTAGCTAAGGCGTGCCAAAGATTGCTGACAGCCAACAGAAGCCAGAAGAGCCAGAGCCATATGTATGTGTGTGTGTATACATGTATATATGTCAGAATATAGATTCTGTAATAATGTTTTATATATACATAAAATGTTTTATATATATAATTTTCCCTATCTATGTAAATTTCTGTTGTTCAAGTCCACTAAGTTTATGTTATTAATAGCTTTCTTACAGCATTCTTAGGAAACTAATAAAAATTTTCATACTGGGAAGTGGCTCTGGAATTAGATAATGGTTAGGGGCTTGGAGAATTTTGTGGCACATTAAAAAAGCCTAGATTTTTCTTGAAGATATTCTTGGTAGAAACATAGACATTAAAGGTGTTTCTGGTGAGATCTCATAAGGACATGAAGAGCATAATATTGAACACTGGAGAAAAATGTCTCCTGTTATAAGTAAGAAGACAACTTGGTTGAATTGTTTTCTGCTGGGTGGTAAACAGAACTTGTAAGCAGTGGAGTGGGTATTTAATTGAACAAATTTGCAAAGAAGGTGTTGTCAACCTAAAATAACAACAGAATGAGGGGCTCTTATAAAATGAATTTACTCAGGAATGGATAAGAGATTAAATCTGGGAAGATACTTGCCATGAAGAACCATAAAGGGCCATAGGTGTACCCACAGAGGCAAAGCAAGGCAAGGGTTTTTAAAGACAGAATAAGAAGAGTTATTTTGAAATATTTGTTCTTGGCTACCGGGATCAAAGGCTGAACAGGCATCAGTTTGAAGGCTGGACAGGCAGTTGCTGGGCAGATGTCCTCGCAGAAGTATTCTTCGTGTAAGGCTGTGGTGACCATTGGGAAAGACTGTGTTTTTCAGAGAATCCTTGTACTATTTTATCACAGGCATATGTGCATGAGAGCCTTTCCTGTATGGCCTCCCAGCTCTATTTTTGTTAGGGATTTGCGTAAGTGACTCCATTTTGATTCTGACAACTTTTTTAGTGTTAATTATGTGCCTTGGTTTCTCCTTATTGCATATAGCAAAATGTGAGAAGAAAGAGATAAACTCAGGAAAGAACTGTTAATCAAAGTAGAATTGGCACTGAATTCTTTGGATGGGTTTCTAACTTGTGCAGATTTTAAAGTATGCTAAACTAGGCTGTTTACTGTTAGGAAAGCATTCTCTGGAGAAAGGTTCAAGTATGTGTCAGGACAACTTTTGCTGAAGGAATTGGGTGTATGACTCCTGGATCCAATCAACCCTCTCAACAAAAGCCAGTAATAGGGCTGGAATTTTCTAGGAAGAATGTGTGGAGAACGCTCTTGTCTAATAGTATGTACACCCATGGCTTACATGGGAGACAGACAAGATGTTTGAGACTGCTGTTTTAGCAGAAACACTGCCAGCTTGGACAAAAGAGGACAGAGACAGAATAAAATGAAGAATGGGTGTTGGGCTTTTGAGATTCTATAGGAAGTGAGCTTATAGGGATCATTGATTTGAAAATATATGCTACCTTTCTAGAAACAAAATGACTCCAAGGGCAAAGCCAAGGATGCAGACACAGAGGCCGGAGGGGTGGGTACAGAGGGGTATGGAGCCTGCTGCTGCCAGAACTTCTGTGAGATAATACATTTTTTGTTATTTTACATTACCAAGTTTGTAGTAATTTGTTATGGCAGCCTCAGGAAACAAATGCATTCATATTTCCTGAAATTTTCATTCTAATTGGCATTCTATTTTAGATAACACTTTAAACCATCTTCCCAACAGAATGTGTGACTGGCAATTTCTTTCTCTCTCTCTCAACTTCTCTCCCTCTCCTTCCGTCCCTCTCCCTTTCTTGTGTACATGTAAAAGCTAGATAAAAAGCAGAGTAGAAGATAATATGGTATCATGAAAATAATTTTTGAATTAAAGTCAAACTAGTTTTAAAGTCTACTCCCTCACTTACTGTGTAAACTTGAGCAACTGAGTTAACCCCTCTGAACCTACTTTTTTTGTTGTTGTTGTTTTTTGTTTTTCTTCTTTTGAGACAGAGTCTCACTCTGTTGCCAGGCTGGAGTGCAGTGGCGCGATCTTGGCTCACTGCAACCTCTGCCTCCCGGGTTCAAGTGATTCTCCTGCCTCAGCCTCCTGAGTAGCTGGGACTACAGTCGCACACCACCGTGCTCAGCTAATTTTTGTATTTTTAGTAGATATGGGGTTTCACCATGTTGGCCAAGATAATCTCGATCTCTTGACCTCGTGATCCACCCCATAGAAATAATAATAATGAAGTTGAGAAGAGATTTAAGGTAAGAAAATATATTATATTTAAATTGGCAGGCACAATGCATAATTCCTCCTCTTTCCTTTATGCCAGTAGGAACATTATGTTATGAAAATCATTACAACTTTTGAATAAATAAAGCAGTTTTAATTGATATGACAATTAAGAGAGATTGATCAGAAAAGTGGATCTTTTGCAGTCATTGCAAAGCCTGCAGTGATATAGATGCAAATACTTATGGCCCCCGGGACTTTATTGAAGGACTATTTTTGAGAATGGCTTCTTGTTAAACTTCCAAGTAGAAAAAATGCTGCACATTCAGAGGAAAATAAATTATTGAATCAATGGGAAAGAGAAAAATTAATTTTATTAATTCTGTCTGCATTATCTGATCCTGATTATTTAATTAAAACATACTGAAAACCTCCTGGATTCCCAAATGACTTTAATGATTAATAAATATCTTTATTTATGCTCTTTGCTCATATTTGGTTTCATTTCTGAAGACACTTACAGTGGGTACGTGCCAAGGTTTTCATCTCTCTGGCGGTAGAGCCCTGTTAGCTTCACATGGGGCATGGTAAGGATACCTTAAAAAGATGTATCTATTTTTATTGATTGCTTCTGCAACTTACATTTGCTCCCTTTATGCATGTACCAAAATTCTGAAGTTGAAAAACTGATTATTTAAAATTATCGTCATCCTAAAACCTCAAATAATTTTGAAATAATTTTGTAGTAAAATTTCCTGAAGGGTAAAGAAGAGTCATCTACCACTTTATGCAATTTCTTTTAACTATTTCTATTCCCAATTTAAAACTAGTTTTAAAATATTGACTCTACATTGTTTTCTCTTCCCCAGATATCTCAACCCTAGTTGTACATTAGAGTCAGAATGCCTGGAGTTGGGACATAGTATTATAAATAAAAGTAAAGAAAATTGTGTGATGTATTTCCACATAACCAACTTCAACAACAAATTTATGGCCAATCTTGTTTCATCTGTTCCTTGTTTCATCTGTCCACCCAATTATGGATTATGCTGAACCATATCTAAGTCATCAAATAATTTCTTGTGGGAATAGTTTACACAGATATTTCATATAGAAACTATTTGAAACAAAACCATAACATTTTTATCATATGTAAAGTAACAATAATTCCTTAGTATCATCAAATATGAGTACTCATATTCCCCTGAATATCTTGTAACAATTTTGTATAATTTCTTTTAATTTGAATTCAAATAATATTTATACTTTGCAATTGACAGATACAATTTGTCATTTCTATAGAATCCCCTTCTATATCTCTTTATTTGTTTGCTATTTAGGTGTTGAAGAAATGTTTGATATGGTCCAATATAGTTGCTCCTAGCCACAGTTAGCTATTAAATTTCAATCAGTTAATAGTAAAAAGAATACAAGATTGAATTACATACAATGTACAATGTTAGAGCAGGCACACTTGCATATTTCAAGTGTTTCATAGCCCCATGTGGCTACTGGCTACTGTATTAAAGAATGCAGAAAAAGACCAATTCCATTACTGCACAAATTTCTTAGAGTGCACTGCTGTCATTTCCCAATGTAAGTTTTATTTTCCGATTCTACCCCTATATGTCAGTTAATCTGATATAATCCCTCTACTTCCTGTAAATTGATAGTCATATTTAGATCTTGATTAGATTTATATTCAATATTTTGCCCAAACTATGACATAATCCACCTACATCAGGAGGTACATGGTATCTGGTTGTTTCTTTTTTGTGATGTCAGTAGTCACTGATGATTGTTGTCTGGTTTTAATAAAAATGATATATTTTGATTTTCTCTGTAATTGTCATACTTTCTTCTTTGTTCCTATACGATTGTTGTTGTTGTTGTTGTTGTTGTTGTTTTTTGAGACGGAGTTTTGCTCTTGTTGCCCAGGCTGGAGTGCAATGGCGTAATTACGGCCCACCGCAATCTCTGCCTCCTGTATTCAAGCAATTCTCCTGTCTCAGCCTCCCAAGTAGCTGGGATTACAGGCACCCACCACCATGTCTGGCTAATTTTTATATTTTTAGTAGAGACGGGGTTTCATCATATTGGTCAGGCTGGTCTCGAACTCCTGACCTCAGGTGATGCGTCCGCCTCAGTCTCCCACTGTGCTGGGATTACAGGCATGAGCCCCCACCCCTGGCCACCATTCTTACCTGTCGAATCATGGTAGATTTATTGGAAGTGGTGCTGATTATCAATAGACTTGTATCTTTGCCTCTAGTATTTCAGATCCCTGTTTTCCTCTGGGAGAATAAAAAAAGCAGCTAATGATCTCACATTGTTTGTAGATTTTAGCTTACATTTTGTATTAATTTGTTCAAGAGACAGAGATCCTATCTTTCTGGGTAGTCAATTACTTTATTTTTATTCATTTATATATAATAATTTTAAAATCCTTTATACAGGATAAAGATGACAATATAAACAACTATTGATCCATCCAAACTTCACTAAAACTATCATAAAGTAATTTTTTTTCAGAGACATAGTCCCACAAAGATAGGCGAGAAAAACCACTGCAACAGCATTTTGGGTGTTAGAAAGCAGATGGGCAAGGACTACCCACTTAGCAAACACTAACCTAGAAATAGAAAAAAACTGTGAAAGAACCAAAATTGAACTGTAAAATTTTCAAAAACCTCAGGAACTAGCAGTTATGGAACTAGGAGTGAAGTAACTTGCTGTTAAAGAAGATTTGAGAATGTTAAAAAAGATTCCTGGATAATCTCTTGCATATCATTTAACCACCCTTCAATTACTCTGTCAGTGCTCTGGAGATTTGGGTGTAGCTGAAGGTTAAACTGTGCCTGGACTGGACTGTTGAGAGGAAACAAACAGTATCATAAGGAGAATGAACAGATCCCTTACATGTAAATACTGATATTTTTGTCTTTTGCTTCCACTTGACTGCTAGAACATGGGAAACTAGACGTCTGTTCTATAGCAGGAGACTAGAAGATCTGTCTCTGGAAAATTCGCCTTCCCATAAGAGAAAGAAACAAGGATACTGACATCCTGGTTTTCCTGAAAACTGGCCGTATCTCTCTGCAGTGGAGTTCAAGTTTGCTTAGTCCCCACTTGGATGCTCAGAGCTTTTATCTGCTTTTGAGCTCTCCACCCAATCTTAATTATAAGCAAGTAAATAGATTACCAAATATCTTGGGGGAAATCTTTTTTTTATTTTTTATTTTTTTGAGATGGAGTCTCGCTCTGTCACCCAGGCTGGAGTGCAGTGGTGCGATCTCGGCTCACTGCAAGCTCCGCCTCCCAGGTTCACGCCATTCTCCTGCCTCAGCCTCCCAAGTAGCTGGGACCACAGGCGCCCGCCACCACGCCAGACTAATTTTTTGTATTTTTTTTAGTAGAGACGGGGTTTCATCGTGGTCTCAATCTCCTGACCTCATGATCCGCTTGGGGGAAATCTTTAATGAGAAAGATAGAAACCAAAATAAACCAATAGGAAAAAATAACAGCATCTTCGAGGAAACAAATATGAAGAAAAAAAATGAACTTGATATTAATATCCTAAGAGTGGTAATAGAGGCTATTGCATTTATAAAACTAAAACAAAAATGACACAAAGGAAATTATCAGAAAACATAATAAAAACTAAAAACATATGCACAGTGGGAAAAAGAGCCCTGTGAAGATGTTATGATATGAAGTCTGGGAACTCTCTCAGAGATTAAAGCAAAAAGACAAAAAGACTGAGTAGAAAGTGTTACAAAATTAGACAACTACTTGAAATCTTGGGATTTGTCAACAACCACGCTGGAAGCAAGAAACAATGTGTGATGACTTCAAATATCTGAAAGAAAATTGTTTCCACCTAACAATTCTATGTTTGGCACAGATACCAATGAATTATATTTCAGACTTACAAGAAAGAGAAAATTTAATTTCTTATTCACCTTTCTTTGGAAGGTACTGGAGGATGTGTTCTACAAAAATGAGCAACTTAACCAGTAAAGGTGAATAGAAAGATGGGATGGGAACAGGAAACAGATGTTCAAACACAGGAAAATGAGAAAGACTCTCTATAATGATGGTGAAAAGGAAATCCAAGGTTGATTGCTGTGGTCTAGGCATAGATGATAACCCATGAAGATGGCTGCAATCTGGAAAATTGATAACTGAGTACAAGGTAGAACTTCATATTCACAGCAATCCAACCCACAGAGTGAACTGATAGGCACAATGGATGTCAATGGAGCTATAGCTTTCACTTTTACTGATTGAATCCATATTGATGTATGACTGAGACTGGATGAGAAGACAATTAAGAAGTATGTTATTATCACAAATGAAACCTTGCATCTCTTTCAGATAACTTTGTGATAAGACCTTCTGCTCCCCAATGTATCACAATGCAGAATAAAATACAAACTTAGTCAAATATGAATTCTTCTGAAAAGAAAAACCTGTTGATACATGTGTAAAATTCTGTCCCCCCAACCCTAAATTCATATTCACTGGGAATCTCAGAATGTGGTCATATTTGAAAATAGGGTCTTTGCAACTGTAGTTAGTTAATAAGAAGCCATACTAGATTAGTGTGAGCTCTAAATTCAGTGACTGGTGTCCTTATGCAAAGAGGAATGGACACCAAGAAACACAGGGAGGAAGGAGGTAAGAAGGCAGGCAGATCAGAGAGATGCAAGTGCAAGCCAAGAAATGCCAAAAACCACCAGCAAGCACCAGAAGCTAGGAAGAGGCAAGGGACGGTACTTCCCTAGCGCCCACAGAGGGAGCATGGCCCTGCTGACACCTTGATTCACAATTCCTGCCTCCAGAAATGTGACAGAATAAATATGTGTTGTATTAAGTCAGCCAGTTTTTGGTAATTTACATGCAATTAATATGTTTAATATTTAGAGGTTCAGAATTTCAAGTTGATAAAATATAACCGTTTCTATAAAAATTGGGCATTGGGCCATTTTTTAAAAGGAAAATCAAATCAACTTATTTCAGCTTCAAGTTGTAGTCCCAAACTATCTAGTCCATCACTACGTTGTGTTAGGACTGTTTGCAGGAAGTTGTGATCTGTCCTTTCGAGCAGACAGCCACGCTGACTATGAAGGGATGTGTTCTCAGTGAGAATGGCTTGGGGAAGGTCAATTCTCATTATTCCTCCTGCTCTACTGTCTTAGCCCTTCCCAGTTGCCTACTATGTCACCCGACTGCCTCCTTCATATTCTTTGTAATTGTCCATATGAAGCAACTGAGAAGGTTGCTTTCCTTCTAATACCTTCCTGAGAGTTCACATCACTATTTCCATGTGTCCTGGAGAGATGTCACATTAAACATAGACTCTATTCTATGCTCTTAAAATAGTTCTATCTTTTACAAAAGAAAATAAGCTATAAACTGAATTCTGAATGGTCAGAATATTCACAGAGAATGGAATACTCATATTATTTTAGAATGAGAGGATGTGTGTTAGTCTGTTTTCACACTGCTGATAAAGACATACCCAAGACTGGGCAATTTACAAAAGAAAAAGGTTTATTGATTGGACTTACAGTTCCACACAGCTGGGGGGCCCTCACAATCATGGTGGAAGGCAAGGAGAAGCAAGCCACATCTTACGTGGTGGCAGCAGGCAAAGAGAGATCTTGTGCAGGGAAATTCCTATTTTTAAAACCATCAGATCTTATAAGACCCATTCACTATCATGAGAACAGGATGGTAAAGACCTGCCCCTATGATTCAATCATCTCCCACCAGGTCCCTCGCATAACACATGGGAATTATGGGAACTACAGGAGGATATATATGGATTGAATCATAATGATATTGAAATCCTTTTTGCTTTTCAAGAATATTTATTAAGAAGTAAAAATTTTAGCCACATCAAACATAATGCAAATAATTATTCCCAGATTTCAACCAATTTGCTAAATGGCACACTGGCAGGAATTAAGGAATTCATCCTGATTCTTCTGTTGGTTCTTTTCACTTTTGGGGTTTCCTTTCTGGAATAAGAGTACAATCTTTTTTTTTTCCTGCCTTGAGGAACTTTAGGAGATTTCAGAAGATAAATGCTCTTTAAATTCAACGTGGCACAAAAGGTTACTGGGAAGAAAAAACACGTTTGCCAATTTGGACTTCCACCAAATGTTATAATTGGTATCAGAAGATGTGCAAGAATGGACTCATTTTGTAGTAGAATTTAGATGTGACTCATTTTAGTCATGGAACCAATTTTATAATGTATAAGCTAGATATAGGTAAAAATAAAAGAGCAAAAGGAAATATTCTTCTGTAGCATTGCAGAACCCATACATGGACATTCCCTTGACTCTTTTCCTGTGGTTACAGCAGACATCTTTGCCATGCAGATAGAGTTGTTTCCTTTTGCAGACAAATGGGTTTCCTGATATCACTTTGCCAGGAAGTCAATTTTCCTCACCAGCCATAGGTTTTGTTTCAATTTTTGTTTCTTGTTTTTCTGAGCAAGATGACCACACCTGTTATTTAGAGAGGAGATAAAGAAAGATGCCATCAGTGAAGTCAGTGGATCAATTGGGCATGCAGTAGACCATTGTAACCTGTTAATTCTCCTTAGGAGCAGATGGCTCTAACAGATGCTATCTTAAAGTGAAGTGGGCAAAATGAAGTGAGGAATATAAATGAACAGAGGCACATAATGGCACAGTAGAGAAATTACAGTATATAGAGCATACTGAAAAGTAATGACCAGAAGCATAGGAATTGAATCAAAAGAGGTAAGTGTTACAGAAACAGAGAAAAAAAGAATTTCAAGAAGAGTGATTAGCAGTTATTTATTCCAGAGACATTGTATAATAGGGCCTAAAGTTTTCCTGTGGGATCTGGTAATATGGGCTATTTTTGACACAGTATAAAATAATAACTAGTGTTGTTATTGAGAGGACTAGTGTTGTTATGAGACAGCATGGGTAGTTTGCATTGAGCTAAGGAGTGAATGAGCCATGAGAAAGTGCAGAGTGAGTGCCAATTTCTCATTTAATAAATTTGCTGTGAAGGGAAGAATAGAGCCGTGATAGTATATAGATAATTAAGCTGTAGCCTTTGGCCTCTAGGACTTACAGTATACAAGAGGGAAACAAAAACATATTCAGTTATTAAATATGGTTGGCCCCCCGTATCTGTGGGTTCTGCATCTAAGAATTCAATCAACCATGGATTGAAAATATTGGGGGAACAAAGCAATAAAATTAATACAAACAGAAAATACAGTATAACAACTATTTGCATAGCATTTACATTGCATTAGGTATTATAAGTAATTTAGAGTTGTTTTAAAGTATACCAGAGGATATGTGCAGATACATGCAAATAATATACCATTTTATATGAAGAACTTGAGCATCTGCAGATTTTGGTGCGCGTGAGGAGTCTTAAAACCAATTCCTTGTGAATTCCAAGAGATGACTTCAGAGTGTAGTGAATGCTAGGGTAAAGGCAGCCTTAGGTTCTTTGAGAATACAGAAGAGAGACACTTAATTTTTTTGAAAGGGAAGCCCTAGTGGTCAAGAAAAGCCTTACAAGCTTAATAAAGAGACTGGATGGGTACAGCTTTAGTTTCTCTGCATAATACTGTTCTAGACAAGTTGTTTTCTTGTGGCAAGGTAGATTGACAGATTAATCTGAGTATTTTTCTCAACTTTTTATCTCTCTTATCATTTTCTTTTCCCACTCTCACCTAGCACAACACACACTGAAATGGAAGCAAAGATGAAGGAAAATTGCCAAGTTAAGTATGACATAATAATTATTTTCTTAGATGCCTTCTTTCAGAGCTGGTTTTTGGATACTACAGAGTAGTGGCCTGAGGTAAGATGAAGCATAATGCTAAGTAGGAACAGATTTTTAAATTGGCAGGAAAAGATAGTTTAGAGAAAAAAGAGAAATATTTTTGTTAATTAATAGTAGTATTGGTTTTAATACTGTTGTTTTATTGCAGAGAATCAGGCTGAAAAGTTAGAAGGGACTCAGATGATGAGCTGGACTCAAACATGAATATTCCTTATCATAACTCATGTACAACTGTTTTTTTTTTTTAGCATTCCTGAGTACTTATAAATCTCCCTATACATTGCAAGAGAAATGGAACATAAATGCTTTGTAAATTGAATAAGATGGAAGTAAACTTAATCAAAGAGAATATCTCTACAGGCTGGGGCAGGAGTGCGTCAATCACTGCAAATCGAAACCTCAATGCCTTCATCTATGAATGGCTAGTAATAATATTACCTACCATAGTGTCACTGAGAATGTTAGATGACATACCACTTTAATACATCTGCCTAGAGGAGAAATGGATGTATTCTACCTGAAAAGAAATATTATTTATCTGGATGCTCTTCAGTTTTTAAATATAACAGTTCCAGTATTTAGTAAAAATAAATACTAGGTATATAAGAAACATGACTATATAACTGAACAAGAGAAAAATCAGACAATAGAACCAGACACATAAATGACCCTCATTTTGGAATTAGCCAACCAGGACTTTAGAAGGAGTATAATTTATATTTTCAAAAAAAGGGAAGAGATAGCTTAATAGATAAAGAATTTCAATAAAAATGAATGTATTAGAGAATCAAATAAAAATTATATAGATGAAAATGCAATATCTGTTATTAGGAATTTAGCAGAATTTAAATTAGGGGACTAGAATGCAGGCTGATAGAGAATATCTGACTTGTAGTTTAGAAGTGATAAAAAAGATGAGAGATAAAGAATACAGCAAAAGTGATATAAAATACAGTGAAAAGTTATGGAAATAAGCAGAACAATGAGGCTTCCCCAGGATGTCCATATCCTATTCTCTAAAACCTGTGAATGTGTTATCTTACATGGCAAAAAATACTGAAGATGTGACTTAATTAAAGATTTGGGGATAGAGAGAATATCCTGGATTTTGTGGGTGAACCTGATGTAATCACAGGGTCTCTTGTAAGGAAAAGAAGAAAGCAGAAAAGTAAAAAGTTAGAGACAGAGATGTGAAGATGAATGCAATTTCTGGCTTGGAAGATAAAAAGAGAGCCATCAGCTAAAGAATGCAGCCAGCCTCTAGAAACTGGAACGGGAAAGTTAAATGATTCTTTCCTAGAGCCTCCAGAAGGGATATAGCTCTGCTGACATCTTGATTTGAGCCCATAAAACTCGTTTTGGACTTCTGATCTCTAGAACTATTAACATAAGATAACAAATTTGTGTTGTTTTAAGATACTATGTTTGTGATAATTTGATAATTATCTTAATTTTATCTTAATCTGACAAATATTGATTATAGAAAACCCATAGCAAATATTCAATTATAACTTATTGAACACTTACATATTAGGAATAAAACAAGGTTATCTGCTATATTGACTTTTAGTTCACATTTACTCAGGTAGTAAATAGTACAATAAAGCAATAAAAACTAAAGAAAAATGCCAATCTCTAATTTTTTACAAATAATATAATATGTACAATGAAAAATTTGGAAGAAAGCTTAGAAAGATACAATGACTGTGTGGATAAGCAAAGGTTTTTTCCAAACAAAACAAAATTTACTAAACATAAAGGAAATTATTAATACATTCGACTACATTAAAATCAATAATTTCTGTTAATCAAAAGAGATCATTAAAAGTATGAAAAGGCAGGTCACAGAATTGAGAAAAAAACTGCAAAACAATAACTTTCAAAGGACTCAAATCATTCTAGATATATATCTAGAATATATAAAAACTTCTTAGAAACATATAAGAGTAGATTACCAAATAAAAAGAGCATTGGACAAAAGACTTGAGACATTTTCACAAAACAAGATGCCCAGACCATCAATAAACATTTGAAGGGGGCTCAACTTTGTTAGTTATCAGAGATACACAAATTAAAATGCAATGCAATACAACTTCACAGCCACTACATTGGCTATAATGAAGTGAATTGTTGGTAAGGTTGTGGAAAAATTGGAACATTACATATCACCAGTGAGACTGCAAATTGTACAATCTCTTTGGAAAACACATTGGCAGTAACTGCTGTAACAGTATATATGGAAACCCTATGACCAGATATTCTATTTCTAAATATATCCCCCAAAGAACTGCATATATACATATATGATAATCAAAAGACATCCATAGTAAAATTTATGTAGAAAACGTATAATAGTCCCAAACTGGAAAAAACCTAAATGTTTATCAGTAGCATAACAGATAATACTAAACTTCATTGATAATAAATAAAATAAAACTACACACAAAATAATGAATAATTTTCACAAGCACAGTTTAAAATACATATTGTATCATTGTACTTATTTGAAGCTCAAAAATAGTCAAAGCTTATCCTTGCTGTTTTAAACCTCAACAATGGTTTCCCATGATTTGTTTCTTGTTAAGTTTTGGTTAAAATGGCATGTTTACTTTGTGAATTCATACAGACCCAAACTTATAAACTGTCTATTTTTCTTTGGTGTTAAATTGTAAATAATTATAAAATATATATTTAATTTTACACTAAACATTTTAGTAGTCTAAATGTCAATATTGCCATTATGGTTAATGCTTTTGATTGTAGGTCCTGTGAAGAGCAAAATAATCAAAAGTTTCTTTTACCGTTTTTTTTTCATCTTCAACTTTTATTTTAAGTTCCAGGGTACATGGGCAGGATATGCAGGTTTGTTACACAGGTAAACATGTGTCATGGTGGTCAGCCGCACAGATCAACCCATCACCTAGATACTAAGCCCAACATCCATTAGCTATTCTTCCTGATGCTTTCCCTCCTCCTGCCCCTGCCAACAGGCCCCAGAGTGTGTTGTTCCCCTCCATGTGTCTATGTGTTCTCATTGTTCAGCTCCCAGTTATAACTGAGAACATGTGCTGTTTGGTTTTCTGTTCCCGCATTAGTTTGCTGAGGATAGTGGCTTCCAGCTCCATCATGTCAATGCAAAGAACATGATCGTGTTCCTTTTTATGGCTTCATAGTATTCCATGGTGTTTATGTATCATATTTTCTTTATCCAGTCTATCATTGATGGGCTTCTGTGTTGATTTCTTATCTTTGCTATTGTGAATAGTGCTGCAATTAACACACACGTGCATGTATCTTTATAATAGAATGATTTATATTTCTTTGGTATATACCCAGTAATGGATTGCTGGGTCAAATGGTATTTCTGCTTCTAAATCTTTGAGGATCTTCTACAGTGGTTTAACTAATTTACATTTCCACCAACAGTGTAAAAGCATTCCCTTTTCTCCGCATCCCCACCAGCATCTGTTGTTTCTCAACTAATTGCCATTCTGACTGGCATGAGAGGGTATCTCATTGTGGTTCTGATTTGCATTTCACTAATGATCAGTGTTGTTGAGCTTTCTTTCATATGTTTGTTGGCCACATGAATGCCTTCTTTTGAGAAGTGTCTGTTAATGTCTTTTGCCCACTTTTTAATAGGGTTTTTTTTTTCCTGTTAATTTGTTTAAGTTCCTTGTAGACTCTGGATATTTGACTTTGTCAGATGGAGCAAAAATTTTCTCCCATTCTGTAGGTTGTCTCTTCACTCTGCACGGTTTCTTTTGCTGTGCAGAGGATCTTGAGTTTAATTAGATGCCATTTGTCAATTTTTGCTTTTTTTTTGCAATTGCTTTTGGCATTTTCATCATGAAGTCTTTGCCCATGCCTATGTCCTGAATGGTATTGCCTGGATTTTCTTCTAGAGTTTTTAAAGTTCTGGGTTTTACATTCAAGTCTTTAATCCAACTTGAGTTAATTTTTGTATAAGGGTTAAGGAAAGGGTCCAGTTTCAATTTTCTGCATATGGCTAGCCAGTTCTCCCAGACCCATTTGTTAAGTAGGTAATCCTTTCCCCATTGCTTGTTTTTGTCAGGCTTGTTAAAGATCAGATGGTTGTAGGTGTATGGTCTTATTTCTGAGTTCTCTATTCTGTTCCATTGGTCTATGTGTCTTACCAGAACCATGTATTTTGGTCATTGTAGACCTGCAGTATAGTTTGAAGTCAGGTAGCATAATAGCTCCAGCTTTATTCTTTTTGCTTAGGGTTGTCTTGGCTATTTGGGCTCCTGTTTGGTTCCATGTGAATTTTAAAATATTTTTTTCTTATTCTGTGAAGAATGTTAATGGTAGTTTAATGGGAATACCATTGAATCTATGAATTACTATGGACAGTATGGCCATTTTCACAATATTGATTCTTTCTATCCATGAGCATGAAATGTTTTCCCATTTGTGTCTACTCTGATTTTCCTGAGCAGTGGTTTGTAGTTCTCCTTGAAGAGGTCCTTCATTTCCCTTGTTAGCTGTATTCCTAGGTATTTTATTCTCTTTGTAGCAGTTGTGAATGGGAGTTCATTCATTATTTGTCTCTCTGTTTGCCTATTGTGCAAGTTGATTTTGTATCCTGAGACTTCACCAAAGTTGCTTATCAGCTTAAGAAGATTTGGGGCTGACACAATAGGTTTTTCTAGATATAGAATTATATTATCTGCTAATAAAGATAATTTTACTTCCTTTCTTCTTATTTGGAAGCCTTTTCTTTTTTCTCTTGCCTGATTGCCCTGGTCAGAACTTCCAACACTATGTTGAACAGCAGTGGTGAGAGAGGGCATCCTCGTCTTGTGCCGGTTTTCAAGGGGAATGCTTCCAGCTTTTGCTGATACAGTATGATATTGGCTGTGGGTTTGTCATATATGGCTCTTATTATTTTGAAGCATGTTCCTTCAAAACCTAGTTTACTGAGAGTTTTTTTTTTAACATAAAGGGATGTTGAATTATATTCAAAGGCCTTTCTGCATCTTTTGAGAGAATCGTGTGGTTTTTGTCTTTAGTTCAGATTATGTTATGAATTACATGTTTTGATTTGTGTGTGTTGAACCAACCTTGCATCTCGGGCATGAAAGCAACTTGATCTTGGCAGATATTCTTTTTGATGTGCTGCTGGATTCAGTTTGCCAGTATTTAAATGAGGATTTTTGCATCGATGTTCATCAAGATTATTGGCCAGAAGTTTTCTTTTTTGTTGTTGTATCTCTGCCAGGTTTTTGTATCAGGATGATGCTGTCCTCATAAAACCAGTTAGGGAGAAGTCCCTTAATTTTAAGTGTTAAGAATAGTTTCAGAAGAAATGGTACCAGCTCCTCCTTGTTCCTCTGATAGAATTAAGCTGTAAATCAGTCCAGTCTTCAGCTTTTTTTGGTTGGTAGGCTACTTATTACTGCCTCAATTTTATAACTCATTCTTGGTCTATTAAGGGATTTAGCTTCTTCCTGATTCAGTCTTGGGAGGGTGTATGTATACAGGAATTTATCCATTTTTTCTAGATTTTTTTTTAGTTTATTTGCATAGAGGTGTTTATAGTATTCTCTAACGGTTGTTATATCTGTGGGTTCATTGGTGATAGTCCCCTTATTATTTCTGATTGTATTTGTTTCTTCTCTCTTTTCTCCTTTATTTGTCTAGCTAATAGTCTATTTTATTAATTTTTTCAAAAACTCCTCTCCTGGATTCACTGAGTTTTTGAAGGGTTTGTTGTGTCTCTATCTCCTTCAGTTCCACTCTGATCTTAGTTCTCTAGTTATTTAAGTTGTCATGTTAGGTTGTCGATTTGAGATCTTTCTACCTTTGATCTTTGAGGTTGCTAACCTTTGGATGGGGTTTTTGTGGAATCTTTGTTGTTGTTGTGTTTTCTGTTTATTTTGTTTTAACAGTCAGGCCCCTCTTCTGTAGGGCTGCTGCAGTTTGCTGGGGGTCTGCTCCAGACCCTAATTGCCTGGGTCCCTCCTGCACCTGGAGGTATCACCAGTGGAGGCTGAAAAACAGCAAAGATGGCAGTCTGCTCCTTCTTCTGGAAGCTCTGTCCCAGAGGGGCATTGACTTGATGCCGGCCTGAACGAGGTGTAGGAGGTGTCTGGAGGGGGTGTCTGGAGGAGGTGTCTGGAGACCTGTAGGAGGTGTCTGGAGACTCTGTTGGGTGGTCTCACCCAGTCCGGAAGAATAGGATTAGGGGCCTGTTTAAAGAAAGAGTCTGGGTACCCCCTGGCAAAGTGGGTGCACTGTGCTGTGGGGAACCCTCCCTGTCCAGACCCCCAGACTCTCCAGAGCCAGCAGGCAGGTAAGGCTGAGTTGACTGAACCACAGAGACCATGGCTGTCCCTCCCCTGAGGGTCTCCGTCTCAGGGAGATTAGAGTTCTATTTGTAAAACTCTGGCTGGAGTTGCTGAAATTCCTGCAGGGAGGCCCTGCCCAGTGAGGATAGATAGTTTGCTGTCCCATTTAAATAGGCAATCTGGCCACAATCTGCCACAGCAGCTGTGCTGTGCAGTGGGGAATTTCTTCCAGTCCAAACCAGCCAGAATCCCCAGAGCCAGCAGACCAGGACAGCCAACTGGAGCCACAGAGATAGTGGCCTCCCTTCCGCCCAGGAATTTGGTCATCTCAGGCATCTCCAGCCTGCTGCTGATGGCTGTCTGGAATTCCAAGCCTGTGGGCCTTAACTTACGAGGTGTTGTAGGAGTGGGGCCTGCAGAATGATGCCACTTGGCTCCCTGGCTTCAGCCCCCTTCGTAGGGGAATGGATGGATCTCCTGCCTCATTGAATTCCCTTGGCTCCCTGGCTTCAGCCACGTTCCGTGTGTCTTTGTGCATGCCTGAGCTGCCACCAAGAGTTTGAATAGCTCTGTGTTTCGGACCCAAGGCCCTGGTGACGTGGGCTCACAAGGGGATCTCCTGATCTGCAGGTTACAAAGATCCATCGGAAAAGCATGGTTTCCTCGCATGATCACTCACTGCCTCCCTTGGCTTGGGGTGGGAGCTCCCATTGCTCCATGCGGCTCCTGGGTGGGCTGTTGTCCCACCCTGCTTTTCCTTGCTTTCTGTGGGTCATGCCAACCACCTAATCAGTTCCAATGTGAGAATATGGATACCTCAGTTGAAGGTGTAGAATTCAATTGCTATTTTCCTTTTTCTCTGTGAGAGCTGCAGGCTGTATTTGCTTCTAATTGGCCATCTTGGCCTGTCCTACTTAATCTCTTTTATTCTTGATTTTATATTTAGCAATTTTATTTGTTTTAAATTTCTTGTACTGGTACCCCAAAACAAAAAAATTTAGTATTAAAATGACATTTATGCAACAAATTTTCCTTTAATTTCATTATTGTTAACACTGAACTCTAATAACTCAAATAATATGAAAGCCTGGCATGTCAAAACACAAGAAAATTTCAAAACAAAAGGAAACATGGTCTCATGAATAAAAGAATTGTAAGTATAGGTCGGGCACAGTGGCTCATGCCTGTAATCCCAGCACTTTGGGAGGCCGAGGCAGGCAGATCATGAGCTCAGGAGATTGAGACCATCCTACACGGTGAAACCCTGTCTCTACTAAAAAATAGAAAAAAAATTAGCCAGGCGTGGTGGCGGGCACCTGTAGTCCTAGCTCCTAGGGAGGCTGAGTCAAGCAGGAGAATGGTGTGAAACCAGGAGGCGAAGCTTGCAGTGAGCTGAGATTGCGCCACTGCACTCCAGCCTGCGTGACAGAGTGAGACTCTGTCTCAAAAAAAAAAAAAAAAGAATTGTAAGTATAGCTGCTGAGAAATGGTAATATGTACATGCTACCAAGATGAATATGCAGTTTTGTACGGAAAATAATCAAGAGTTTCACTTAGCCTCAATAATTTCTAGCTGATTGAGTTGTATTGTGAATTCAGATGATGCATGCCATTTTACCTTATATCATAAACATTATGTACATGTTTCTGTTTCTTTACTAGAATATATATCCAGAGAAACTGCCCACTTCCAAACTTTCAGGGATGCTGGATACAATTGAACATTCTTTTAAATTGTAGGCTTAATTTCAGTAAGTGAATGAAAAATCTGTTGGCAACAAATACCAAGAGTGAGCTGCAGTGATACGCTAACTTGGGAGCATGATTCCCTCAATATTTGTTATCTCTTTGACTTAGAGACTGAGATCTTATAGCAGCCTCTAGGTAAACATGGAAGTGGAATGGATTAGGTGTGGGTGCAATTAGGACTCCTTGGGCTTTCCCAGCATAGAGAATTGTATCCTTAAAGCTCCAGTCTTCACATCTTTAGTAAAATAGGACTAGAAAAAAAAAATCTGCCAACCTATCAAAAGAAAAACAAAACAAAACAAAACTGGAAGTGATCTAATTCAGCTTGGGCGCCAGGAGGTTTTGTTTGTTTGTTGTTTGTTTGTTTGTTTTTGTTTTTTTTTGGTGTGTGTGACTCCTCTCAGAAAATCTAACCACATCCCTGACACACTGCAAGTTTAAAGTTCAAATTTACATTACCCTTGTGTTCTGGCAAATTACAGCCTGGTAAATTAAACAGTCACTGATTAGTAGTACTTCAATCTAATTCTTGTTAGCAAAATATGTGGAATCTACCTTCAGAATACATTTGATATAAAGCCAGTTCTCACAATCTCTCCCAATACCATTCTACTCTTAGCACCATAATCTCTCCTCTAGATCACTGTTGTTGCTGCATACAAGTTTCTTTGAACTTGATTCGTTTATTTATTCTCAACAAAGACAGATGGTGCCACTCATCTGCTCGAAACTCAGTGTTTTCCTATCTCATACAGAATAAACTCCCAGACCTTAACCATGGTCTTCTAGGCACCTTGCCCAGGCTCCTCCAGATCTGATCCCCTGCTGCTTTTCTGATCCCATTTCTTTCCAGGCTTCCCCTCCTTCACTTCTGTACCATGCACACTGACATATGCTGTTCTTGGGAAACGCCAGGCAAGTTCCTACCTCATAACTTTTGACTAGTCCTTTTGCCTGGAACACTCTTCCTCAGTAATTCTTATGATTATCTTTCTCTTCTTCAGATCTCTGCTCAATTAGCATCTGTTTTAGGTTGAACTATGCACACCCCCATTCATATGTTGAAGTCTTAACCCCCCGTATCTAAGCATTTGATCTTATTTGGAAATTGGGTTGTTGCAGATGTAGTTATGTTCCAATGAAATCATTAGGGTGGGCCCTAATCCAATGTAACTGGTGTCCTTACATAGAAAGGGGAGGCTTGGAAGACAAACATTCAGGGGAAATGCCAAATGAATAGAAAGACAGCCATCTGCAAGTTAAGGATAGATTCCTGAAACAGATCCTTCTTTCACAGTCCTTAGAAGGTAACAACCCTGCTGACACCTTCATCTTGGATTTCCAAGGTCCAGAACTGTGAGACAATACTTTTCTCTTGTTTGAGCTACCTAGTTTGTAGAACTCTGTTACAACATCCCTAGGAAATGAATACATCCTCTAATGAAAGAGGACTTCCCTCAGCACTTGATATTAATTAAAACTATGACTCTATTACTCTCTCTCTTGTTTTTTGAATTATTTATTCTTGGCATCTGTTTCTGTCTCCTTATCACAAAAATGGAAGCTCCCAAGTGGGAAACTTTGCCTGCATTATCTGTTATTATTAACAATTGTGCATGAAAAAAATAGAAAACTTGAATAGACCTTCAAGAAATAACTTAAAACTAATTCATACATGCTTCTCCAAATGAACAAACAAAAAACTTAAAAGCAAAACTAGACTCAATGTCAAATATTCCAGGAATAGATTATTGACATTTTATTAAAAATCCCTTAAGGAAAAAAACACATTAATTATATCCATCTTCTTTTAGGAGTTTGATATACATTAGATACTGAAAACATGAAAGTGCACCTTGTTATTTGTGTTTACAAAACCTGTGTAGTATTCGTTATGTGCTAGGCATTATTCTAAACACTTACTGACTCATTTAATCCTTCTAACAACCAATTGAAGTAGGTACTCCTCCTGTTCCCATTTTGCGTATAAGAAGTTGAAGGAACGGAAAATTTTAGTAATTTTTCTGAGATAACAATGACAGTAATTGGTAGTGAATGAACTTGAATGCAAACAACCTGACTCTAGAATCCATGCTTTAAAGCATTAAACTGTGCTGCTTTCAAATAGAAATTAACTACAGGGCAATTTCACTTACTAGTACATGTACAAATAACTTTAAATTATACTATGTAACCAAATCTAATAATGTCTCAAAAGGAAACACTTTATGATTGAGATAGTCATATTCTAGTATTTCAAGAATTATTTAATATTTGAAAATTATTAATGTAATACACAAAGTATCATTAAATGAGAAAGCAATATGTTCATCTTTTCATATGTGGAAAATACTTTTACATAATTCAGCATTTATTCATAATTACAAAAAATCTCAGCAAATACTGGGAAAAAATGTCTCCTAAAATCTCAGCAAACTTGATGAAATAAGTGTTTTCTTTTAAATCAGAGAAATGACAAGGATGCCTGCTGTAGCCATTTTTATTCAACATTATGCTCAAATTCCTAACCAGTGATATAATATAATAAAAATAATAAAAGCTATTAAGATTTGGAAAGTAAGAAACAAAATTGTCAATATGCTCACTCAATGTGTTTGTATACTTTGAAAATTCAAGAGAAAAATATTTGAAATTGATAAGTGCATTCAGCAAGATAGCTATATATAAGATCATAAGTCTATTCCTATACACAACAAAACAAGATGATATAAAAACAATGAAAACTATAAAGCATTCAGTAATAAATATAAAGAAAGTGTGTATGATGTTTAGGATAAGTTATAAAATTTTACTGAAAAGCATTAAAGAGTTAAGTACAGAAATATTTCATGTCCATGGCTGGAAAGTCTTAATGATACATATAGAATAATACCATCCTAATTTATATATTAATTTAATGAGTAGAAATCAAAATTCTGTCTTAATTTTTATGGAATTTGCAAGTTGTTTATACCAATTGTAAGGTAATTGAAAGGGCCAAGAATTATTGAAAAAATTTAAGAAAAAGAATATGTTGGTGGGTATTTTCCACTCAGATGTCAAAAATAACTTATGCTATTTGTTTAGAAAGATAGATAAGTGTACTAATGGAAGAGAACAGGCAAAATAAAAAAAATTGTACACATATTAAGCCGTGCTTTATGTTAGATACAGCACTATAGATCAATGAGGGAAATAATTGATTTATACACAGATAATGATGATGAAATTAGTTACCCACATGAAACAAATAAAAAATATATTTACCTCTTACCATGCCACAAAACCAATTCTAGAGGGGATGAAAATCTAATCAGCCACAATGTATACATATTTCAAAACATCATGTTGTATACCATATATCTATATAATTTTATTGTCAATTAAAAACTTAATTTGTCAATTAAAAAACTTAATTTGTCAATTAAAAATTTACAAAAAAGAAAACATAATTAGAGCAAAATGTTACAATGGGGAATGTCTGATTTCCAAAAGACAATACTTAAAATAAGTAAAATGGTAATACCCAAGGTCCACAGTCCAGGGGAAGTTAATTGCAGAATACACAAATGCCTAGCAGTAGTATTAGAATATCTAAATTAAAAAAACCTTGGCCAAGATTTAAATATAACATATAGAATAGTGCTGAATAGAAAACAGAAAATATTCTATCTACTTTTATATATATGTGTATGTATATATATACACATATAAAGAAGGTTATTAACATCAAAAGGAGGCACACAGAAGACTAAATGTATAGGTAATATCTTATTTCTTTTTTGAATTTTATTTTAATTGACAATAATTTTTATATAGTTCTGGGGTACAATGTGATGTTTTGATATATGTTTACAATGTGGAATGACTAAATCAGGCTAATTAACAATTCTATCACCTCACATACTTACCTTTTTTTTGGTGATGAAAACACCCAAAATATACTCTTTAAGCAGCTTTGAAATAAACAATGCATCATTATTTATTATAGCCAATATTCTGTGAAATAGATAACTAAAACTTATTCTTCCTATCTAACTGAATTATTCCTTAAGTGACTGCTGAGAACATGGACCTCATGATATTTATATACCGTATATATTATTTCACTGAAATATTTTATAAATTTTTTAATGTAGACAAAGGATACTGTGTGTTTAAAAATGCTGAATGACTTGCAGGTCACACTCTGTTTTGTTCAACTTTGTATCTCCAGATCCTGACATGAAATATTTCTCAGATAATTTGTTCATATGAGATTGTGAAAGAGTAACAGTCATTTAAATTATGATAAAAAATTTAATTAAATTACTATAAAAGAAATTTATCTTAAGAAGAAAATAAAGAGGTGATAGGTGAAAGTAATATATATCCAAGGATAATATAAACATTTACAGAGAAGGATTGGGGTTCAGGAGACCTCATTCCAAATCTGACCATATGACCATACACTAACTCACAGAGTAATTTTGGGCATGTTGTTTCTGGTGGATTAACATTTATCACAAATTCTTTGACATCCCTTTTACTCAGAAGTGGAGTTCCTTCTCCACCCCTGGTTCTGGGCTGGCCTTTGACTGATTTGTCCAGTGAAATATGGCAGAAATGACGCCCTCCCAGTTACTACCCTAGTCTTTAAGAGGACTGACAAGCTTCACCTTGGTCTCCGGAAGTCCTAAGCTAGCTACTATATAAGAAGTTCAGCTACCTAGCCAGAGAGAAGACATAGAGATCCCCTGAGACTACAGGGAGAGGGAGAAGGGCCAATTTGAGCCCAGCTTTCTAACTATCTCTGTAAAGGTGCAGGCATGTAATTGAAGCTGTGTTGGACCCCTCTACCCCAGCTCGAACATCAGCTAAATACCTCTGAGTAATCCCTAAGGATGGCATATAAAGCCAAATTGCCTAGCCAACTTGGCAGCTTGGACTGCTGTTTACTAATGGCTTTTTTCTTAAAGAATATATTTCACATTGTTTGAACATGACCACTTAAATGGGTTGTAATTCCTAGTCACAACAGAAATTTATTCAACAGAAATGGTGTTTATGGAGCTACTTCTGTTCAGACTGGCTTTTTCTTGCCCGTAAAATCATGAGATATAAAAGTATAGTTTTTGTTTGAAGCCAGTATGTGTTTAGTAGTTTGTAAATGCAGCAATAGATAGCTGGAACTGAATTTATTACCTGGAAGTGGGATGCTGCTGTAACAAAAACCTAAAGCGTGTGGACCAGGCAGTAGGTAGATGCTTGGAGGACCTCAAGTAGACTGACAGTGAAAGCTTAGAAGTAGATGGGGCCCTGAGGGACAGTGAGGAAAGGGTATTTGATGGCCAGATTAAAGGTTATCCTTGTTATACAGTGGTGGAAGGTTTAGCAATGCTGTTACCTATAGTAATATGAACGATGGGAAATAACACCTAGTGGCTTAATGATCTAAGATGATTTCTATGCAGAATTTGTAAAGAGCCAACTTAGTTCTGGTGGCCTCTGATATATGTACTAAAGAAGGAACTGTTAAGTTTTCAAGTTAAATTTGGAGAAATACAATGTATTCAGAACAGTCTTTCTAGCCAGCAAAGAGTTATCAAAAGAAGAAATAGTCTCAGGTGAAAGATGAAATCCAGAGCCATGAAACATGATATCAGGGAATAGATGTAAGGCTGTAACAAACTTTGCTAAGACTTCAGACCCTCTTCGCTGCATAATAGATTGGTGCTTTCAGAATCTCGGGAGTTTTCTACAGCTACATTGCAGACAACCCAACCAAAGCCTATCTCAGAAAAATATAGTTGTAAGACTTTTTTTCCTAATGAAATGAACACCAATAAAGCTCAGAGTAAAGCCACAGAGTTTCTGTTCGTTTGTTTGTTTTTTAAACAATTGCATTGGCAGAAGCACCACTAGCTTAGATCAAAAGGGAGAGCAGTAGTTCAGAAGAAGTTGGAGTTTCCAACTTTCAGTGAGCAGGAAGCTGACTGATAGGGCTATTCAGGTATTGACATTGGCCATCTTTTTTTTTCAATGTAAGAGGGAAGATGATTCAGAAGGCAGAATATAGAGCCCAGATAATGAAGCCAAGATTGCAGAGAATCTGTCACAGGGAGCAGGACTGGGTTCTAACTAATGAATTAGGAATATTGTATGAATGGATTTCAGAATTTCTATAGCCTATTGATTGTTATATGCTTCCTCTTCCCTTCTTTTTGAAAATGCATGTTTATCACAGTTTTCTTATGCCCCCCTTTTTATTGTATTTTATGTGTGTGTGTTGGGGATGGGGAATATAACTTATGTCTTTAATTCAAAAATTTTGCATTAACAGGAATCTTATTCAGGGAGTCTCATCCACATCTGACCTAATTTAGATAACGAGACACTGGATATCAAGTCAATTTTAAAATAAGATAAGACTTTGGGGGATCCTGTGAGGAGTTAAGGAGTTGCATGAGAAAATTGAATAATTTATGAACAGAGTGAGAACTATGGCATATTAAAAATGGCAAAAATTATTTGACACTCATTCCAATGAGTGGTTATGTTGGTTTCCCCACCATTTGAATCAGACTAGTAAATGACTACGTTGAATAATGAGTATGACTAATAATATTGCATATTCTGGGCCTATTCTTTAAAAGAACTGTCTTGATCTCTGGAAGTTCTGGGTTTCCATGCAATAGGTCCAGCTACCCTGCTGGAGAGAACCAACGAGAGACTTTGAGACTATGTAGGGAAGAAACGTACACCTGTTTTCAACCTTCCAACATTCCTGTCAAGTTACCAGGCATATGAGTATAGCTGTCTTAGAAAATGCCTGATTTCATGACCCACAAAACAGTTTGATACAAATCGTTATTAAACGACTACCTTTTGGGGTATTTTTACACCGCAACAGATAATTAGATGGACAGATAGGTAGGTAGTCAGCTAGCTAGCAAGATAGATAAGCAACTTAGTATCAGAATCCTGTTAGTATAGCTGTAAAAATAGAGATGTTTCAATTACATTATTTCTGACCTAAACACTCTAATTCATAAAGTTAAGAATTTACTCCAGTTTCTTCTGTCCATTTTGAAGCATTTTCTCAGGCATTTTGGTAAAATCTCTAGGCCAAATAATAGAGAACAGAATAAATAATTAAATCATTGCTAGGCATTAATTATGGCAAAGATATTTGGACAACTGCCTCTCAGTTTAAACCAGCTGAACTGTGACAATGCACATGATTTTAAAAAGACCTTCATTGTAGTTCATGCTCTATTTTCTAAGAGAAAGGTGTCTGTCCCCTGACACTTCTTAAAATAATCACAGTGAAACAGAGACTAAGCTCCTGGGATATATATTAATTACCCTGTAGTATAGGAGCTGAGATTCCCTGGAGATGAGGACAAATTGTGAAGGGTCAGTTTCAAAGTAAGTATTATGAGGTAGATTAGAAAACAACTGTTTTCTTAGAGAATAAATTTAGCATTATTTGGTCATTATTAATTAAACTTGTAAATGCTAATCATAAGCAAATTAGCCAACATATATGCTTTTAAGCGTGTAATTTCTGCTCACTTTTTTTCTGAGAAATTTTATTGTGGAATATCAATTATATATATATATTTCTCCACGAATTAGAGGGCGCAAGTTCAGCATACCAATTCTATGATGATTTATATGAGATTAACAGATGATTATCAAGGGCTTACTTTATGTTTTGGTACAGTGCTTGCTAGTGTCTATGATTGTCCATGAAATTCTGGGCAATATTTTAAGGTCTAAAAAAATTAACTCAAGCTTTATATTTTTATAAACTATAACTTCCTACTGTATTTATAGATAGTAAAAGGGTTAAATGCACCATCGGTTTCTTCTCCTTGAAAATTCTGAACACCTGAAAGGTCAGCACAAAAATGGTAGCAAAACAGATACAAAAAATGCAAGATGTCAAATATAAACTTTAATTTCTGATCTGTGGAATCAAACACACTCACTGGGTCACAATTGTAAATTCAAGACTGTAAACAACTCATTGCATTTTCTGATAACTGAAGTGACAAATTGCTAACTTGAACAAGCATCAATGTTGTTAGTCCAGATTTTGGCATTTGCACTTGAATAAAATTTTTCCTTTCATTCAGTGGGAGCCCAAATGAAGCTCCTGTCTTTAAAGTTTATTTTTCCTTAAAATCTTCTTATTTAAATAAAACTTAAATAAAAACTTATCTACAATAAACTGAAAAGTTAAAAAGCTGAGAGATGCTTGAAATATATATATGTTTGAAATAAACACACACACACACACACACACACACACACACACACACACTAGAATAAGCTCTTCATGGAGCCACAAAGAGGCATCTATTTATTTATGATTTCTGGGTGTCTTTCATGATTTATTTTCAAACATGACTTACACTTGCACTCAGAAATATACTATTGTTTTCTTTCTAAAAGTATTAATTGGATTAAATAGAACATTAAATAGAACATTTTATATTTTCTATTGTAATTGCTTTTTGATTTTTATATATAATTATCTACATAAATGAATATACTGAATTCTCCCTGATTAATATTTTTGAGTAGCTATTACTTCAAATAGTAAATAGGAATAGTGAAGAATGCAGTTATGTGAAAGAAAAGATTCCATCACACATAGAGCTTTAAATAAATAGTTTTAAAGTTTATGTGTATATTGTATAAGTGCTTATGAATTTTATAGTTAAGGATATTCCTTAATATACTGTTTTGAAAAGATGAGTTTGTGTGTTTTTTAATTATCTTTATTCTTTAGCTAAACAGGAAGCTATAGAGAGAAGGGGAAAGATGGAAAAAAATCAACAAAATGCACTCATAATGATCTTTTTTCATAGTAACAAGATACTTATAATGGATAATCTCAAATAACTGATAATCTTGTAGATATGCAAGGTATATAATATAATTTGTAAAAAAGGGACACACATGCGCACATTTGAACATATGCTTTTTTCCTCTCTAATTTAAAATAGAATTCAAATTTAATATAAGCCAAACAGAAACAACTCTCTAAATGCCACTAAATTCTCAAAGTTTAGCCAGTAAGAAATATCAGCTATTAAATAAAGGTGCTCATATCTAATATATTGGATCATAGGAAGAAGTTTCTGAAGATACATTTACAAAGTAAAATGCTGAAACCCCCTTCACTTCAAAATGCATGCTTAATGCTACTGGGTCAATGCCCTTGGACCAAGACACTGTGAAGCCACACAAAAAAATCAGCAGAAATAGGTCTTTATAAAAAGGAGCAGTCTAATAAGAGTGAAAAATGTGAACAAAATGTAATAACACAATATCGAATGTGAAAGGTTTCAGTTAGAGACATATAACATTTCACAGGAGCTACCAGAAGGAAAATATTGCTTTACTTGTAAAAGATCCTGCAAACTTCCTTTCAAAAATCTGATGAGATATTTTTGGAGGAGTAGGGAAGGGAGTAGCGGGCAAAGACTGCCAGTGATCTTTGAAGCTGTTTGGGTAAAGGCCACACCTGCTCTGCTGTGGAGGAAACTTTAGCAGGGCACATGCATTCCAGACAGATCTGTCTTTTGAGAGACCACAAGACCAAGAATACTGTCACAAGGAGGAGAGGAACATCACTGAGTCAGGTGTCAAACCGTGAGCTGCAAGATTTATAGTCAATACAAGTGTTCCTTCCTCATCCATTTGGTACTTGAGTTCAGATCATGAGTTTAAGTAGTGTGAGTTTGGATATACAGGGATATTTGCACTGCATTTTTCACATTGCAAAAGTCAGCTTTATATGGTATAATTTGCACACATTAACATTGAAAAAAAGAAAACCCTGCAAAGCATAAGGACATTTGCATTACTCTGTATAGTTACATGGTAACTCTTTATAGTTCATTTCCTCCACTACCCATAGAACCTTTCAACCAATGACTTGCTTTTTGTTATTACAATGTTGCCTTATGTAGAATTTCAAATAAACAAAATCATACGGTATGTACTTTCTCCATGTCTTTTTCATTTAGCGTAATGCTTTTAAGATTCACCCATGTATTTGTGTTTCCCAGCGGTTTGTTACATTGATTGCTTAGTTTCTTTTTGAACTGATTCTATTGCATGAATATATTACAATTCATTTACCCACTCACCAGTTCAAAGGTGTTGGGATTGTTTATCCTGTTATTAATAAAACTATGATCATTCAAACATAACTTTTTTGTGGACAAGTGTGTTTTCCTGGAAATGAAATAGCTGGGTCATATGATAAGTGTACATTGAGCTTTATGACATTGACAAACTGCTATCCACCATGGCTGTACAGGTTTGCATACCTGCCAGCAACGTAAGAAGAGTTTCAGTTGCCTCACATTTTTTTGTCAAAACATGGTGTTTTCATTCTTCTAAATTTGAACCGTTCTAATTTTTTTAGAAATATCTTATTGTGGTTTTTTTTAGTTCTCTAATGACTAATGATGTTGAGCATATTTTAGGTGCTTATGTATTCATTTACATCTTTTGTCCAGTTAAATTTTTTGGCCTAATATTGAGTTATAAGGGTTTATTATATATTTTATATACAAGCCATTAAGAAAATATATGATTTGTAAATATTTTCTTCTAGTGTGTGGCTTAGATTTTCATTTTCTTAATGGTATTTTTGAAATGCAAAAGTTTTAAGTTTTAATGAAGTTCAATTTATCAGGTTTTTTTCTTTTTTATGGATTGTACTTTTGGTGTCATATATGAAAACTCATTGCCTAACAAAGGTCATGAAGATTTTGTCCTTCTTTCTTCAAAGAATTTTATAGTTTTAGCTCTTACATTTAAATCCATGATCCATTTTGATTTAATTTTTGCATATTTTGAGTTAAGCGAATTCATCTTTTTGTCTATGGTTATCCAATTGTCCCAGCACCATTTGTTGAAAAGATTACACTTTACCCATTGAATTTTCTTGGCATCTTACTCAAATTCAATTCACCATGGATGTAAGAGTTTATATCTAGATTCTCAACTCTGTTCCATTGTATTATGTAAGGTTTTTTTTTTGTGTGCTAAAATTATACCTTGATTATAATAGCTTTTTAATAATTTTAAAATTGGAAAGCATTAAGTCTTACAGTCTTTTCTCAACATTATTTTGGATATTCTGGGCTGTTTACATTTCCATATACATTTTAGAATCAGCTTGCCAATTTCTGCAGAAAAGCCTGCTATGATTTTGAAAAGTATTCTAATAACTGTGTATTAATTTGTAGAGAATTTCCATTTTAAGTTATTCTTCCAATCAAGTGACATACTGTACCTCTCTATTTGTTTTGGTCTTTTTAAATCTCCCCTAAAAATATTTTACAGTTTTCAGTCCTTTCACATATTTTGATAAGATTATCTTTAAGTGGTACATAATATTTTATGTTAACCAGTAAATGGTATTTTTAATTTTCAATTTCCATTTTTGTTGTTAGCATTTAGACATAAATTAATTTTTACATAAAAATTGCCTTGAATATTTCCCCTCCCTACACTTGCTATTTCTAATAGCTTTTTAATAGATTCCTTATAATTTACTTTGTGTATGTTCAGGTTATCTGAATTAAGACAGTTTTATTTTTTCCTTTCCAATATTTATGTTTTCTTTCTTCTTTTATTTTCTGTGTTTTCACCTTATACTGGCTAGACCTTCCATTATTAAGATGAATAGAGGTGGTGAGAGAAAATCTTTGCCTTATTCCTGAAGTCATAGGCAAGCATTCAAACTTCCAACTTGCAATATAATTTTAGCATTGGTTTTCCATAAATCTTATTGACTAGGTTGAAAAAAATCACCTTCTATTGCTACATAGGTGATAGATTTTAAAATCAGGAATAGATGTTGGATTTTTTGAAGTGCTTTTCCACATTTATTAAGGTAGTTATGTTGATTCTTTTCCAGTCTGAAAATATAGTGAATTATATTGATTGCTCTTAGAATATTAAATTAACCTGTATTCCTGAGATAAGGCTGACTTGGAATGGTGCATAATATTTTAAATATATTGTTTGATTTAATATGCCAACATTCGTTTGTAAAATTTTATCCCATGTTCATGAGACATATCTGTCTGTAGTTTTCATGTAATGTCTTTTCCTAGTTTTGATATAAAGGTAATGCTGACTCCACAGAATTGGAGGGAAAATCTTTCTTCCTTTGTTATATTCTGAAAGAGCTTGTGTAAAATCTAATAGCTTGGTTTTGTTTTGTAACATTCTTTAAAACACTTTTTGTTTTGTTTGCTTTGTTACATTCTTTTCTGCCTTTTTTTAATCTCATGTCAGTAGGCCCATGATAGATCTTCAACTTGGCTTTCCTCCATTAGGTCACTGAATGCTCTTAAGTAAGTTGTGTTTTTTTATTTGTTGGTTCATAATTTTGTGATTCCTTAGAACACAAAATTGTTCTAAGGAATCGTGAAGATCAAATTGTTGACAAGCAGAGTAGCATCTCCTCTTTTGAGCTGACATCCAATGAGCAGAAAAATCCAGTCCCTCTCTAGCAACAGGTCTCCCAACGTGTGTAGCAAGAAAGTTTGCTCCACTGCAGAATCTGGGAGCTACTTGGCTCACCAGAGCAACTTTCCTGCAAATCCATAGCCAACAGGTGGGTGTAGAGTCCTGACTCCTCAAAAAATCCACACCAGGAGCTGTTTGCTTGTTTGTTTATCCAACAAGGGGTAGCAGGCACTCTTCTCTGTAGCTAGTCATTTATTCAATCATTCAACAAATATTTATGAAAACCTACTGTGTTAGAAAGTATTCCTAGCACATAGAACACACCAGGAAGCAAACTGAAAAAGATCTCTGTGCTCTTGGAGTTTATTGGGGTTTAAAGGTGATGAACCATAAATATAATAAATTATTAAATAATATGGTATGCCAAAAAGTGGTAAATGCTGTCAAAAGAAGAAAAGTATGACAGTAAAAAAGACCTCAAATTTTAGGGAGAGAAAGTTTGCTGTATTAAATGGGATACTTAGGAGATTCTTCTCATTGAGAAGATATTAGAGAAGACTTGAAGGGCATGAGCAATGGAATCAAGTGACTTTCTAGGGAAGAGCATTCCAGGGAGCGGGAATAGCTATGGCTAAGGCTTCAAGGCAAGGCACATGCCCCTCTCTGCATTCTGGCATCAAGGAAGAGGTCCATCCTCTACTCATCCTCTGAGGATTTAGGCTCTGCCATCATTCATAGCCTTGTTTCCTTCCCAGTGGGAGGTGAGAAGAAGAGGGAGTCACAGTTGTATTCAGAACTTGACTCAGCTTTTCAGAGTTCCTCTCCTACGAAGTATGCATTGGAGGCACTGTCCAATAATGAATACTAGCCCAGCTTGTCACTTTAATATTCCAGAATGAGACACATAGGAAACCAATTAATATGTCACTGACAGAGACTATTGTATATCATTTTAAGGTAGGACAGTCCTGATGACAAATAGCATAACACAAGCAAAATGATAATTAGTGTTTGATTTGTTGCTGAAAACGCCTGCACAGAATTGCTCCTTTTTTTTTTTTTAACTTTAAAATAGCCAAGCAGAACAGCTTATCTAAATGCAAAAAATGCATTATTTATGATTGGTTTTCATCTATTCAAAGATATCAGATTTTAAGTTCCTGTAGTATCCTTGGGATCCGTCTATCTTGGGATCCATCAAGAACATTGGGAAGTAAGATAAACCTGAAGGCAGTATCATTTATAAAAAAAATATAACATCGAGGCCTTGAATATTCAACAATTTATATACCTGGCATTTTCTTTATTAAAAATGTATTCCTCTATATTTTCTTCTTAGTATCTGATTAATATCTTAGTACCTGATTATTATCATAATCTAGTACTGATGGGTTGAATTGTTTCTTTTCTTTTGTAACAACTGGAATAATTTGTCGATCTTTCAAGTCTTTCAAATGCAAAACATGAAATAAAAATTACATTACATCATAAAAATTACAGTAGTTGGTTTGACAGCTATTTTAAAGTTAAACCTGTATTTTTCAATAAATTTCCAAACCTTTTTGTGGTATCGAAATGTACATATTATGTAATACATGTAATTTTAAACATTATGTAAAATTTCCTTTGAAATGTTTTAAATACAAATGTGAAATGTTTTAAATACAAATGTGTATGCATACATATGAACACATATGCATTAAATACATGTATATATTCATGGCAAAGTCATTGAATACACTTCAGACCTAGTCTTACTTTGGTTCTGAATAATAATAAGCATTTAAAATGTACATACATGATTTTCCAGGGCAAGAATTTTCACATTTGAAAGGAGAATTGTATTAATATTAGACCTTTTATATAAAATAATAGATACGTTAATTATTGTATGAACCTGGGCATATTTATTGTTCACTAAAGATTTAGAGGTATGTTTGTGTCTCACTCAAGTTTTTATCGAGCCAATCAGAAAAGTTGTAACATTCTGGCTAAGAAATCCAGTTGGATTTAGTAAAAATTTATTTATACAAAGTTCCAAGAACCCTAAGTGTTTCATTTTTAGAAAACAAATTTAAATAAAATTGCTTTGGGCAAACATGTGAATAAATCAAACCAAGTGAACATAAAAAATGGCACAAAGGTCAATAGAAGTGAGAGTATAACATTTTTTTAAAAATACAGATTAATGAGAAGATAGCAACCTAAAACATTTTTAAATGCTTTTTAGTTCTAAGACCCATTTATTAGCTTTCTAGGGCTGCCATAACAAAGTACCACATATTGGATGGCTTAAACAACAGAAATTTATTATCTTACAGTTCTGGAGGTCAGAAGTACAAAATCAAGGAGTCAAGAGGTTTGATTCCTTCTGAGGGCTTGTTAGCAGTGGTGAATCCATACGGGCGAGTCTGCAGTGACTCCTCGAAGGAAAGAATTTATCTGAGGGGCATAAGGCAGAGTGAGAGAGTGAGGCAAGTTTTAGAGCAAGAGTGCAAGTTTGTTAAAAAGTTTTAGAGAAGGAATGAAGGGAAGTAAATTTCAGTTGGAAGAGGGCCAAGCAGGCAACTGGAGTGATCCAAGTGCCCTGTTTGGCCTTTGACTTGGGCTTTTATACATTGTCATGGTTCCAGGGCTTTTGTACCTCTCCTCTCTCCGGTTTTCCTTGGGGTGGGCTGACTGCATGTATAGTGGCCTGCCAGCATTTAGGAGGGGCTGCATGTGCAGTGTGTTTACTGAAGTTGTACATGTGCTCATCTGAGGTGTTTTTCCCTTACCAGATGAATGTTCCTATGGGAAGATCATATACCAGTTAAACTCTGCAATTTTCCTCTTAGTGCACATGCTTGAGCCCACTCAAGAGGGAAAAAAATAATCTCTTGATTTGCAGTTTATGAATTCTGCAGCTACTAATTCATCTTGAAAGACTTCAAATTTAAGCAAGCTTCATAAATATACTGATAGTGAATGTGTTCTGAGATCTCACCAGGAAGTTGGTGATCACCAGCTTCAGGTGTTTTCTATCCATAGGGAGACTGCCTTTCCCTAGCACCAGCTGCAACCAATTATTATTTTAGAGATACAGTTGAACAACGGCCTGGCCATCACCTGATGGTCACCTGACATTCCTGGGGCTCTCCTGCCCTGCTCATGTCTGCCTAGTTACCTACTCTAACAGGCTGTGAGGGAAGAATCTAGGCCTCTACCCTTGGCTTAAAGATGATCATCTTCTCTCTGTGTCTTTTCACATTGTCTTTCCGTAATGTGTATCTTGACTTTGTGTACAAATTTTTCCTTTTTATATGGATACCAGTTATATTGTCTTAAGAGTCCACAATAATGAGCTCGTTTTAACTTGATCTCCTTTGTAATGACCCTATCTCCAAATAAGGTCAGACACTGGGAGTTAGATCTCCAACATATCTTTTTTTTTTTCCTTTGGGAGAAACAATTCATCCTGTAATATCTTAGAAAATCAAAATAGAACAAAATTAATATTGCACAATTTCACTTAGCACACAAATTATAAAGTTAGCTATTAACTTGAAGCAGCATATTACACAAATTGTCATACTCACAAAGTGTTTCCTCATCTAAGGCTACATACTTTTGCCTAGTGTTTTTGTTTGTCTAGTTTGTTTGTTTCTCTGTCAGAATCTCACTATCCAAATCACCTATTCTCACTTAGAGCAGAGTTGGAACACATGTGATTAAACTGAGAGAATCCACTCCAATAATTAGAGAAGATTATATCAACTGTTTCTGCCTCATGGACACAGGGAAAAAATTGTCTGTCTGGTTGAACACACTCACTACCAGTATATTTACAAAGCTTACTTATATTTGAAGTCTTTCAAGATGAATTAGTAACTACAGAATTCATAAACTGAAAATCAAGGGATAATTTTTCCTTCTATTTGCATTAATCTTTCTCACTACTATAAAAAAGAATGTGTTTTTATTTATGTTATACTATCTTAGTAATGCAGCTAAACAGAAAAAATGGCAATTATATTATTTACATCCCCAAATTCTCAACCCAGCAGACTTATTTTGCTTTTATCCTCTTTCTTGAGTAAGTTTTGATCAAGACATCCTTAATGTTCTCCTCAACTTGACTAAATTTTAGACAGGCTTCTTTTTGACTATAGGCCTCTTACCTCCATTTCCTTTGAGCCTGGAGTGCAGTGGCATGACCTCGGCTCACTGCAAACTCCACCTCCCGGGTTCGCACCATTCTACTGCCTCAGCCTCCCGAGTAGCTGGGACTACAGGTGCCTGCCACCATGCCTGGCTAATTTTTTTTGTATTTTTATTAGAGTTGGGGTTTCACCTGTGTTAGCCAGGATGGTCTCAAACTCCTGACCTTGTGATCCACTCACCTCAGCCTCCCAAAGTGCTGGGATTACAGGCATGAGCCACCGCTCCTGGCAGGAGTTGTAAATTCTTTCTCTGCTCTTTTGAGATGTAAATCTTCTATAACCCAGGAGTGTCTTTCTCTAGGACCTGGGAGCCATTCCTTTGAAACATAATCAAGAAAGGTAGGGCCCTTGTCTTCCAACCCCTCTGGAAGGTAAAAGCCTGGTTTCCGTAAATAACAATTTGCAAACATAGGTGTTTGAATCACATTGATCAACATCCCCACCCCTTCATCCACACCCTCCATTCTTCAGTACTTTTCCATTAGCTCACCTGAGCATTTAAAAAATCCTCCTGCTTTTTGTTTCAGGGAAGTTGAGTTCAAGCTCAACTTTTATTCCAATAGTCTTTGTCCCTAATTGCAATGGTCTTGAATAAAATCTTCCTTGCCATTTTTAACAAGTTTCCAGTGCAATCTTTCTTTTTAATAGTTTTGTCTGGGCCTATATTGCGAGTAAATATATATGAATAAGAGAAGCTACATAATTTTACCTTATTCTATAATCAAATTGACTACAATATTACATTTCATTTTAATGTTAAGGCTATGAAAGGCCTGAAATTACTTGGTATCATAAACATAATTTCTGTGATCTATTTATATATTCTGCTTTTGCTATATTCCATGCAATATTTTGATTATTTCTATTTCATGATAAAGCCAGGAAGATATTTGATGATGATTTCAAATATACAAAGTTTTTCTACACAGAATTCTGAAATTCCTATCTATTTGCGACCTAGATATTTCTTGAGTTCTGTCTCTCTGTTCAATTTCTATAACTACTTATATATTTAAAATCTGCATCTCTTTTGTCTAGACCAGACATGTTTTACTTGAATTTGCAGTTTCTACCTAATACTACTCAAATCCTTTTTTCCACAATGCAAAAGGATAATCTCTCCTACTTGGAAATCATAATATGTAATTGTCAGGGCCACCACTGCCCTACATGGTAGCTTTGTGAATTAGAAAAAGGGTCTTTTCCTTCAAGTCAAATAGAATTTAAGTCAGTAGACTACGACCTAAATAACTATCCTTGGGATAATCCAGGGAAAGTGGGAACTTGGGCTGTTCTCTCTTGATGGTTGAGGATGGGAGTGCTTGTTGGTTGGCAAGAGAAAAGTGGAAAACTTCAATGTATAGAGCAGGCTGTCCCATTTTAACCAATTAGCCATTACTGTAACAGCAATAGAAGGGCAGCTGGCTTTCTATGCTTTCTGGTATGATACATATGAACCAGTATAATCTATGAAGTAGTCTTGGCAAAATGATTGTAATCAGCACTTACTTTTAGGTCTAACTTCTAGTTAACAGAAAATATAGACAACAAAGCTATAAGTTAAACATCGTCAAAAGAACACAAGCAGGCAAATTTAAAAGGTAAGACATTCTATAGGACAACTGGCCTTCTATCTTTAATAATGGATGCCGTGAAGAAAAGGATTTGTGGTAGGTTAAAATTCATTTAAAAGCTACAGTGACCACACATGGCATAGCTCATGACTGGTTACTGACTGATTGATTAAACTAATGAGCTATATTTGTTGAGGCCCCTGGGAAAATCTGAATATAAACTTGTCATTAAATGCTATTTTGGGATTATTGCCAGCTTTGTTAGGTTAGATAATAATATTGTCAGTATGTAATAAAATATACTTACTTAGGAGCGAAATGTGATAATAGCTGCAATTTACTTTTAAAAACTTCTGTGAAAAAATAGTTGAAGAAATTATGGCAATGTATAAACAATTGTTAAATTTACATGCTGTCATAGACATGTAATTATGTTATGCAGTCTTTTGACTTTTACATATAGTTGGAATTCTTTATAATAAATTGTCAAAATACTGTAGTACTTTAAAAATTATGAATGTAAAGCTACAGTTTCAGTTCTGACGTGTAAAGAACTTGGAAGTTGTCATTCCCACTCTTTTAGCAAATAATAGGAAGAAAAAGCTTGGAATAAAAGACTTTCGTTGGAGCCATTAGATAATTGACTTTGAAGGTTAAATAATCAGCCAAATTTAGAAAGACAGGTGTTATCCAGAGAGATACAGATGAGACTTCTTACTTTGACCAGAAGATACTGGAGCTATAAACTGGGAGAAACATATAAATAATAATTTTGGAAAACTTCTGAAAATTATAGAATTCTCCCCTTGCCTATTGCTTATCAACATAGCAACAAGACTCTTGTGTAATAACTGGATTATAGCTGAAAGAGCTGGAAGGCCAGATCTCTATATGAGGAGGAGTTCTTAGGGAAACACACAGAGAAACAGGGAACAAAAACAAGGACATTAGAGAAACTCAAAGTCTATGGTACCTAGAGCTACAGCAAATATTAAACACAGCCCAACCCTCACAGAAATTAACATAAATCCTCACACTGTTAAGCTTGGTTTCTGTTACCCAATATATCATGTCTGGCTTAAAAAAATTCGAAGCCATGACGAAAGTCAAGAAAAATTCTGTCTGAAAAAACACAGCAATCATCAGAACCAGATTCATATGTGACAAAGATGTTGCAATTATCATGTAGAAAATGTAAAATAACTATAAATATATTTAGGGCTATAGTTAAAAAGTAGACATGTAAGCATGCATGAGTAATTTAATCATACAAATGTATAATCTAAGAAAGAATCAAAAGAATGTGCTAGAAATAATAATTAAAAACAAACTATAAAGAAGGCTTTCGTAGGTTTATCAGTAGACTCATACAACTAATTAATGACTCTTATTTACCCGTTAATATTCATTCATTTCACAGCTCTAGCTTAGCCATTACTTTTTAAAAAATACATTCTCTAGTGAATATATCCCTCCATGTTTTATTACCTCATTGACTGACTACCCATCTCTTAGGGCATCACATACACCAGGCTTTTTATGACCATGGTGTATGCAATATTGATCATCTTGTTATTATCATTTTTTATGAGTCAAGGCTAACTCAGCATAATGCCAAAATATGCTGAAGAATTGTCAGTAAATTGGATATTTTCCGAAGCTCTAAATGTCTATATTAAAGAGGTCAAACATCTGAGATATCTAATTTACTTTTTAAATCATTGTTTGGCATCCAGAGATCAATATTTAGAAAACTTCTCTAAAGCCACTCTAAGTTATAATACAAGAGTTGTAGTTCAAAAAAGAATATAAATTTTGATTAGAATAAGCTAATAATGGAATATGCATCTAATTTTTTTATCCAAAGAAAACAACTCTTAGACATATTATTTGAAATGCAAAAGATAGCTTTAAATAATGAATGTTTATTTTCTTCCCCTAGGTTTGACCTTAATAAACTTTAAGAGACAATTCTCCTTAGGTCTCTCATGTTTCTGCACATCTTGTGAGCAGAGACACTGACTTTCATTGTTCTGAACTATATTTTCAAGGACACTTCTATAGTGAACAACTTTGAAAGACATAATGTTTCCCTCCAGAGCAAAGTACAAATGGAATTATGCTCATTAGAAAAGACTCAGGATCTTTAAGATCATGGTTCATCCCCTGTAATATAATCCATTATGTGTGCAGTTATCACCTGCCCTCTGCATTGCCATATAGGAATTCAGGCTCAGAAACTCAGCCAAATGCTGATAGTCTGACTGCAGCTATTGCTATGAGTAATATACTGTCCTTTGTCTCCAATCCAGGAGTCTCAAGTCTTCTGCCAGAATTCATGATACGATAGTAAACTAACTTGTAAGCTTGCAAGTATTGTAAAATATCATGTCCTTCACAGTTCTTAACATATACTAGAGAAAAAAAAAATGCTTTCATTTGTGACCGGGAGCTGCTTTCTAAGCAGTAACTAATCAGGTCAGGCATGAATTCTTCTGAAACTATTAGTAATAACATAACTCATGAAAGAAGTAGTCCCACAGTAACTGAAGTGTTAGTTGGAAATATTGAGCATTTTATGATACTAATGTATTCAAGTGGATAAGAATGGCATCTTCCTTCTTGTAATTCAGAGCCTAGGTGTGTGTTTGGCAGGGGGGAGGGGGTAAAACAATATACTGTGATGTATTTCCAGGATTCCTTACTACTATGTTAGTCAAAGAGCTAAACATAGACAGATCCATTAAATTATTCAAATTCATGTCTTCAGGTTGTGGTTGGTGACAGACAGGGAAAGAATATGGGAACACAGACAGGTTTGCCAGAGCTTTTATTTTTACACAGGCTGAAAATAAACCTGAGAGTGAAGAGAAAGAGAAGAGAGAGGGAGAGAGAGAGAGAGAGAGAATATGAGAATGAATTAAGAGTAAATAGTAGGCACTTATCTAAATTGACAAATATCTTGCATTTAACTGATTGGCTGGATGGTTAAATTTATACTGTGAAGACGTTAAGAAAATAATCTTTTCACTATCATTTTTCTCTCTGGATCTATTGATCTGACTTGATAAGTCATTATTCCATTAAATTCGACTGAGAAACTACATTGAAGGTACCTAAGACCCAAGACCACAGCTTAATATGTTAACTCTTCTTTCAGTAGTTCAAAAAATATCTGCATTCCACAGTTGATATATTACATTACTGGGCTTAATATAGGATTGCATTTTGATACTCAATCCATATGCTTTGTGGTAAGGTCAACCCTGAATAACAGTTGAATCTTAGGTATGCAAATCATGTGAATGTGTTGATTGAATTATTGTGTAAAAAGACTACACTAGGATCTGAATAGTATTTTTGCAAATTAGACATATAAATTGCCTACAAGTCTATGAAAAGATGCTTGACTTCACTAATAATCAAGGAAATGTAAATCAAAGCTACAGTGAAATAACACCTCAGCCTTGTTGGGATCGTCGTTATCAAAAATTCAAAAGCTAACAAGTATTGGAAAGAATGTGGCAAAAAGAAACCCTTGTACATTGTTAGTGGGAATGTAACTTGGTACAGTTATTACAGAAAATAATATGGAGCTTCATAAAAATTAAAATGACCATATTATCCAGCAATTTCACTTCAGGGTATATATACAGAGGAAATAAAATTACTATTTTGAAGGGATATTTGCATTCCCGTATTTATTGTAGAATTATTCACAATAGCCAAAGTAAGGAAAGAGCCTGTGTCCATCAATAGAAGAATGGATATAGAAAATGCTGTATATAAAAAACAGAAAGTACATATATATATATGTATATATATATGTATATTTGTGTATGTGTGTGTGTGTGTGTGTGCGTGCGTGTATAAAACAGAAAATTATTCAGCCTTAAAAAAAGAAGGAAATCCTGCCATTTGTCACAAAACAGATGAACCTAGAGGACATTTTGACAAGGGAAGTAGGTTAGACACATGATATGGTTTGGCTGTGTCCCCACCCAAATCTCATCTTGAAATGTAGTTCTTTTAATCCCCATGCATCATGGGAGGGACTAAGTGAAAGATAATTAAATCATGGGGGTGGTTACTCTCATGCTGTTATAATAATAGTGAGTGAATTCCCATGAGAACTGATGGTTTTATAAGTGTCTTTTCCCCCCTTACTCGGCACTTCTTCCTGCCACCACATAAAGAAGGATTTGTTTGCTTCCCCTTCTGCCATGATTGTAAGTTTCCTGAGTTCTCCCCAGACCTGTGGAACTGTGAGTCAATTAAACCTCTTTCCTTTATAAATTACCCAGTCTCAGGTATTTCTTCATAGCAATGTGAGAACAGACTAATACGATAAGTTTATACTGAGGGAGTGGGGCACTGCTATAAGGATACCCAAAAATGTGGAAGCCACTTTGGAACTGGGTAACAGGCCCAGGCTGGAACAGTTTGAAGGGCTCAGAAGAAGACAAGAAAATGTGGGAAAGTGGAAACTTCCTAGGGACTTGGAGAGCTCAAAAGACAGGAAGATGTGGGGAATTTTGGAACTTCCTAGAGACCTGTGGGATGGCTTTGACCAAAATGCTGACAGTGATATTGACAATGAAGTCCAGGCTGAAGTGGTCTCACATGGAGATGAGGAACTTGTTGGGAAATGGAGTAAAGTTCATTTTTGCTATGCTTTAGCAAAGTCACTGGTGGCTTTTTGCCCCTGACCTGGAGATCATGGAACTTTGAACTAGAGAGAGATGATTTAGGGTATCTGGTGGAAGAAACTTCTAAGCAGCTAAGCATTCAAGAGGTGACAGAGCATAAAAGTTTAGAAAATGTGCAGCCTAATGATGCAGTAGAAAAGAAAAAGCCATTTTCTGAGGAGAAATTCAAGCTGGCTGTATACATTTGCATAAGTAATGAGAAGCCAAATGCTCATCATTAAGGTAATATGAAAAATGCCTCCAGGTCATGTCAGATACCTTCACAGCAGCCCCTCCCATCATAGGCCTGGAGGCCTAGGAGGGAAAATTGGTTTCCTGGGCTAGGTCCAGGTCTCCCCTGTTGTGTGCAGCCTTGGGACTTGGTGCCCTGTGTTCCATCTGCTCCAGCCATGGCTAAAAGGGCCTAAGGTACAGTTCAGGACATCACTTCAGTGGGTGCAAGCCCCAAATCTTGGCAGCTTCCATGTGATGTTGGGCCTGGTAGTGTGCAGAAGATAAGAATTGAGGTTTGGGGACCTCCATCTAGATTTCAGAGGATGTATGGAAATGCCTGGATGTTTAGACAAAAGTCTCTTGCAGGGTTGGAGCCCTCATGGCAAACTTCTGCTAGAGCAGTGTGGAAGGGAAATGTGGGGTTGGAGCCCCCACACGGAGTCCTCACTGGGGCATGACCTAGTGGAGCTATCAGAAGAGGGCCATTCTGTCCTTCACACCCCAGAATGGTATATGCAGACAGCTTGCACCATGCACCTGGAAAAGCCATAGACAATGCTAGTTTGTGAAAGCAGCCAGGAGTGGGGCCATACCCTGCAAAGCCACAGGGACAGAGCTGCCCAAGGTCATGGGAGCCTACTTCTTGTATCAGAGTGACCTGGATGAGAGACATGGAGTCAAAGGAGATCATTTTGGAACTTTAAAGTTTAATGATCCCTATTAAAGTTTAAAATCCCTATTGGATTTTGGATTTGCATGGGGCCTGTAGCCCCTTTGGCCAATTTCTCCCATTTGGGATGGGTGTATTTACCCAATGCCTATACCCTTATTGTATCTAGGAAACAACTAACTTGCTTTCAATTTTATAGACTCACAGGCTCAAAGGCAGAAGGGATTTGCCATTACTCAGCTGAGACTTTGGACTTGGACTTTTTGGTTAAGGCTGGAATGAGCTAAGACTTTGGAGAACTACTGGAAATGCATGATTGTGTTTTGAAATATGAGGACATGAGATTTGGGAGGGGCCATGAGTAGAATGATATGGTTTGGCTATGTCCCCACCCAAATCTCATTTTGAATTTTAGTTCCCATAATCCCCATATGTCATGGGAAGGACCCAGTGGGAGGTAAATGAATCAGGATGGGGGGGTTACTTCCAGCTATTCTTGTGATAGTGAGTTATCATGACATCTTATCATTTTATAAGGGGCTTTTCCACCTTAACTTGGTACTTCTCCTTCATGCTGCCATGTGAAGAAGGACACATTTGATTCCTCTTCCACCATGATTGTAAGTTTCCCGAGGCCTCCCCAGCCCCATGGAACTGTGAGTCAATCAAACCTCTTTCCTTTCTAAATTACCCATTTTCGGGTACTTCTTCACAGCAGCATGAGAATGAACTAATACAACACTGAAAGAAAAATATTGTGTAATATTACTTATATGTGTAATCTAAAAAAGTCAAACTGATAGGACAGTAAGTAGAATCCTGGGTACAAGTGGTTGAGGGTGGGGGGAAAGGAGAGACATAGGTCAAAGTGAATAAAGTTTCAGATATAGGATGAATTACTTTTGGAGACTGAATGTAGAGCCTGGTGCTATGGTTAATAATAATGTATTTTCTTCTTGAAATTTGCTAAGAGATTAGATATTAAATGTTCTCACCACATACACACCACACAATTGTAACTGTGTGAGGTGGCTGATACGTTAATTATCTTGTGTTTGGTATTCATTTCAAAAGGTATATGTATTTCTAAACATAAGCGTTTACAACTTAAATGTATACAATTTTTGTCAATCATACATCAGTAAAGCTGGAGGGGGTTAAAAAAACAACAATCCCCCTCAGTTGGCTATTTATATTACTAAGTGAAAAGTGCTTTAAGAAAATATTCCAAAACTGATATTCTTATGAGATTTTAGCTATAATTAAACCAATGATAGGTAAAGAGATATCAGTGTTCTCTGTTGAAGGCTTTTACATATTTAAAATCTAAATAGGTTATGCATGTCAGTACACTAATGAAGACTAACAAAGACCTCACATGAGACTGAAAAACTGAACTGGAGATGTAGAATAATTGATGCAGTGATGGTATTAAAAGAGGAAAGGCCATTCAATGCTGTTAATAAGATGTGAAAGTGTTTAAACAACTGTAGAACACCAGAGCTTCTGCTTGAGTTGAAACAGTGGCTTTAAAATGGTATTTAGTAATCCAGGCATGATGGTTCAAACCTATAATCCTAGCTACTTTGGAGGATGAAGTGGGAGGATTCCTTGAGCCCAGGAGTTCGAGGCTGCAATTAGCTGTGATCATTAAAAGCAGGGAAACACTCTACTTTTAAATGTCTCCCATGATTGGGTCAGTCCTAATCTCTGTTATTGTGAGGCTAGCTGAATTAAGACAGTAGTTACATCCACGAAATCCCTTCTGCAACAGCATTTGAGTGAATAATGAGAGTAAGGAAATCTTGGAGGCAGACAAATGTTAGAATTCTCCCTACTACAATCTCTTTATAGTAACTGAATAGTTGACATATGTGCTAAAAATTTTTAAAGCATGTGGAATTTATATTACATGTTTTCATCAAATGTTCCCTCAAATCTGCTCTGGAAAGGTCCCAAAGTTCTTGCCAGGCCCTGTCCATCATTATGAAAGCTCCCAATTATATAATATATAATATATAAATATATAATAATTAAATACTCAGCCCAGCATAATGTAATACGTAATTTCCAACTTATTCCAAAATTAAGTCTTTTTTCTGGATAATGCCACTCTAAACACAAAGTTAGGAGTGGCCAGGAGAGTCCAGTTTATTTTGCAGCCCATAAAATCCCCTCCCAACTTGATAGCTGCTGTTTCTGACACCTCCAGCATCAGGCTAAGGGATTAAAAAAGGGAAAAGGAACAGTCTTACACGATATGACCTTAATATCTTCCAGATTTAACCAGTTATTCAAAGCTGCTATTTCCTCTCATGAAGTTTTTTGGAAATTACAGATTCCCCTTCTTAATTCTGCTCACCTTCTATTCTGTTTCTGTTTCTGTACCCATAGAGAAAAACAAAAGGACCATACTGAGTGGGCTTACTTTGAATTCGTGACCTTTGTTCTCATGTGGGCTTTTTTTTTTTTTTTTTTTTTTGAGAAAGAGTCTCGCTCTGTCGCCCCAGGCTGGAGTGCAGTGGCGCGATCTTGGCTCACTGCAAGCTCCGCCTCCTGGGTTCACTCCATTCTCCTGCCTCAGCCTCCCGAGAAGCTGAGACTACAGGCGCCCGCCACCACGCCCGGCTAATTTTTGTATTTTTTTTTTTTAGTAGAGATGAGGTTTCACCATGTTAGCCAGGATGGTCTCTATCTCCTGACCTCGTGATCCGCCCGCCTCGGCCTCCCAAAGTGCTGGGATTACAGGCCTGAGCCACTGCGCCCGGCCAGCTCTTTTTTTTTTTTCTTTTTTTTTTTTTTTTACACAGAGTCTTGCTCTGTCGCCCAGGCTAGAGTGCAGTGGTGCGATCTCCGCTCACTGCAAGCTCCACCTCCCGGGTTCACGCCATTCTCCTGCCTCAGCCTCCCTAGCAGCTGGGCCTACAGGCGCCCGCCACCACGCCCAGCTAATTTTTAGTATTTTTAGTATCATGTGGGCTCTTAATGCTGCTCAGTAATCTTATAGTGTCTTTAGTCTCTTTGTCCTCCTAGATGACATTTTAACATTTTATCCTCACCCCTCACCTTGACAACTTTTCCTCCTTTTCCTTTTGGAGAATATGGCCATTCATTTTTATATTGCGGGAAAAAAATAGGCCGTCAGAGAAGAATTTCTTTGGCTTCTCACCAGCCTACTTCTGTGCCCCTATGTAATGCCTCTCTCCTGCCCCATGGAGGAATTCTCCACCCTTCTTTAAAGACACCTTCTCCACGTGTGTTCTAGATCCCAGTGCTCACACCTCCTCAAGGAGTTCTCTACCCACTCTCTCTTCCATGCATTGTCAGTATTTCATTGATTACTATATACTGAATCATTCTCGTCAGCATACAAGCATGTTTTTTTTTCCTTCTATTGTAAAAAAACATCCTGATCTTGTTGATACTTCTTGTATTAGCTAGGGTTCTCCAGAGAACAGAACCAATAGGATATATATATATAGATATATATCATACATATTATATATATTATAAATATATGTAGGGATTTATTAAACCACGCCTTAAGCATTTCAAATTTATCATGAGAAAAACATGGCTTAGATAATTATATAAACATATAGATACTTGTTATAAAATAGTAAGTAAAAAATTGATTAACTCAAAGTACATATATAGGAATGTAAATATGAAAGATATATGGCTACAAAACTTTGCATAAGCAATCATGAAAATCAAGTCAATATAGAACCTCTAGTGATAAATTGTGAAGTTCAATATTGAAAAGCTTATGGATTTTAAAATGCATAATATCATCAGTTCTGATTTATTAATAGATGACATAAGTGACTTAGAGAGACAATGTGATAGTACCAACTCTTCACAGGAGAGCATAAGCAGAAGACAGACTAGATTTCTAGTCTTGGATCTTCTTACTATTACACCACCACTGCTGTTTTTAAAAGAATGGAGCTTATGCCTCTAGCAGCGTTCATAAAGAAGACACTATAATGAAATAGGAGTCAAAGAATTAGTTTTCAACAAAGGTGCCAGAATACATATTGGGGAAAGAACACTCTCTTCAATAAATAGTGCTAGGAAAACTGGATATTTCTATGCAGAAATATATCTTACCATAAGCAAAAATTAACTCAAAATGGATTGAAGATTTAAACTTGAGACCCAAAACTATAAAGAAAACAGGGGAAGGGCTTGAGGACATTGGTCTAGACAAACATTAGTAAAACCCCAAAGCACAGGCAACAAAAACAAAAATAGATGAAACTATATTAAACACAAAGCTTCTGCTCTGCTACTTTCACAATCAATGGAGTGAAGAGACAATCCACAAAATGTGGGGAAATGTTTGCAAACTATTTATCTGACAAGGGATTAATCCAGAGTATATAAGGAACTCAACAAACTCAACTCAGAAGGTCAAATAATCCCTTGAAAACTGGGTGAAAGATGTAAATAGACATTCCTCAAAAGACATACAAATGGCTAACAGGTATTTGAAGAAAATGCTCAATATCATTAATTATTGGGAAAATTCAAATCAAAACTGCAATGAAATACTATCTTCCCGCAGTTAGGAAAGCTATTACCAAAAAAAAAGAAAAAAAAAAAAAAAAACAAATGAGACAAGGATATGGAGAAAACTGAATTTTTACATACTGTTGATTTGAATGTAAAATAGCAGGGCAATAATGGAAAACAGTATGGAGATTTCTCAAAAAACTAAAAATAGAAATAGCAGATGATCCAGCAATCCCGTTAGTGGGTATTTATCCAAACGAAAGAAAAGTCAACATATCAAAGGGATACCTGCACCCCTACATTTATTGCAGCACTATTCACAATAGCCAAGATGTGGAATCAAACTAAGTGTTCATTCATAGACAAATGGATGAAGAAAATGTGATATATATACACAATGGAATAAAATTCAGTCATGAAAAAGAATGAAATTCTGTGATTTGCAGCAGCATAGATAGAACTGGAGGACATTATGTTAAGTGAAATAAGCTAGGCACAGAAAGACAAATATTACATGTCCCCATCATATATGAAAACTTAAAAAGTTGACTTTATGGAGGTTGAAAGTAGAAAGTAGAATAAGAGTTATCAGAGGCTGGGAAAAGTGGTGGGGAGGACAAGGAAGGGTAGGTTAATGGGTAAAACATACAGTTAGATAGAAGAAATAAGTTCTAGTGTTCAGTAGGGTAAACACTAGCATAGTACGGTGACTATAGTTAACAACAATATATTGTATATTTAAAAATAGCTAGAAAAGAAGATTTGGAATGTTTCCAACACAAAGAAATGATAAGCATTTGAGATGATGGATATCTTAAATACTCTGATTTGATCATTACACATTGTATGGATGTAACAAAATATTATATCTACCCCATAAATCTATAAAATTATTAGGCACCAAATAAAAAATCGAAAGATTTTCCATCCATATTATTTTGCAATAGTTAGAATTAATAGATATTATCTGATTTTTATAAAAATTGGGGTTAAGATTAAAATAGCAATCACATGCTATATTTAAGCTTTAGCTTTTAAAACAAAGTGTTCATCAAAAGACATGATAGGCAGATTTAAGAATTATTTCAGTAATGACTTGAAATTAGTTTGAGCATATTATATGAAAAACTTTTGGCTTCTTCATAAGGTGTTTAACGAAAGAAGAAAAATTATAGCATCAGACATTCTAAAATGAAATGCTGTTACTACTGATATTTTAAAACATATCATCTGCTTCAGGCAAAAATATTTAATTAAAAAAATCAAATGCCTTAATGGAAACAGCTGCATTTTTCATGCATGTACAATGAGCCTTTGAATTTAGATGAAATAAATGAAAAGTGACAGCATAACATCCAAAGGAGAAAGGAACACAGATTTGGTATTATGATTCAAAATAATTTATTTAAACAAAGGGGCAGTTAAGTGAAATTGATAGTAAATTTAGTAAATAAAACCAATTGTTTTGTTCTACTAGTATTTCTGAATATGGTACTTTCAGAGAGAAAAAAAGCCCTCATTGCTATTTGACTAAAAAGTAATAGACATACTTTTTGTAACATAAAGTTTTGTCTAGTCTCTCACCCAACAGTTTCCATAAAAGTCTCTGGTCTTTCACCAAAGACTTTTTTAAAAAAATTTATTTGTTCCTATGAAGTGAGAAAAAAAACTAGGCAAGTTACAGGGTTCACCTTTCTTGATTTTAGTCTAGTATTCTCCCTTTTATGAATTCTATGCGGAGCACAATTTAATAATTTGTCCTCAATGGAAAATTCAATATAAAAGTGGCTATAATACATACATACAAGGTTTAACCAAGATCGGTATTAAGTAAACATAAATATCACATTTTAGAACTAGCAGAAAATTTCACATTGTTGTAGTCTAATAGCCTATTTTACATGAGAAAAACAAGAAGATGAGTTTCCTGACTTCTGAACAGGGATTCATCCTACCATATTAGGATGCACCAGTATTTGGCCATGTTTTATGAACCACATACAGTGTCGATGAAATGATAATATTCTCGATTAATTAACAAACTCTCCATAAGGCTTCATTTATTTCCATCAGTTACAGCACTCATGACTAACAGTGAGTTATTTTTACACCTATCAAGTTGGCAAAAAATTTTTAATAAAGGACCAGATAATAAATATTTTAGGTTTTGTCGTCCAGATGGTTTGCCATCACTACTCACTCTGCAAAAGCAGCCATAGACAATAAACAAATGAATGAGCATGCTTTTATTCCAGCAGCATTTTATTTGCAGAAACAAGCGATGCAAGATATATATACTTTTTAAGAGTCAGAATCTCACTCTGTCACCCAGGCTGGAGTGCAATAGTGCAATCATAGCTCACTGTAGCCTCGAACTTCTGGGCTCAGGAAATCTCCTGCCTCAACTTTCTAAGTAGCTAGGACTATAGGCATATGACACCAGGCCTGGCTAATTTTTTTCTTTTTTAAAGACTGGATCTCACTATGTTGCTCAGGCTGGTCTCAAACTTCTGGCCTTAAGTGACCCTCTTGCCTTGAACTCCCAAAGTGCTGGAATTACAGGCTTGAGCCACCATGCCCAGCCTTGATGATTCAAGATAGTTTTGCCCATGGTCTATAATTAGATGACTCCTGATATAGATCAATGATAACTTTATATGTATTTCATAAATTGTTACTCTGTGTATATCACTATCATATCATTTACTAAGCTGTATTGTAAATGTTTGCCCTCTCCCCCATTCACACACAGAAGCTAAAGTTGTTAATGTAGGAGCTCTCATTTTTTTTTTATGTTCCAGAATGTTGGCAGGGTGAATTTTATCTATCAAATATTACAGTTCCCAAGACCAAATGGAAATAGCACAGAAAACAAGAGCTTTCAAAAGCTTGTTCAGCCAGTTTCTGACTTCAAGAGATGCTTCCACAAAAGACAGTTTATTACCAAATAAGTTTGGAGCTCTTACATGATATAAAGTTTGTTTGAAAGTCACAAAATGTATTAGCATAGTGAAAGACATTATAAGTAGCTGTCACAAAAAAATAGTTTCCAAAACTTATTTGAAAAAAAGTTTTAAATTCAATACCTGCTGTCATCTTAGCACATTTCTTCTTTCTCTTTTATTTTATTTTACTTTTTTGAGACCAGGTCTTAATTTGTCACTCAGGTTGAAGCACAGTGATGTGGACTGGGCTCACTGCAGCCTTGACCTCCTGGACTCAAGTGATCCTCCTGCCTTAGCTTCCCAATTAGCTGGAACTATAGGCATGTTTCACCATGCCTGCATAATTTTTTTTTGGATTTCTGGGCTTAAGTGATCCGTCCTCCAGTCTCAGCCTCCCAAAGTGCTAGGATTACAGGTACGAGCCACCACACCCAGCTCTCTTTTGCCACAGTTACTACGGGACTGAGCGAAGGAGGACGAATGAGAAATGAAAACTGAAAACAAAAGAAACTGTTTTAAAGAAGGGGTCCAGGGAAGAAGAGGGCTCCCTGCTTCTAGTGAGCAAGGGCAGCCACCTGAACCTCAACAGCCCTTTGTATTTATTGGGTAGAAAGAGCAAGGAGCAGGAGGTAACTATTGGTCAGCTGCTTAATTGATTACAGGTTCACATTATTGCTAACAGGCTTCAGATGTGCCTAATCACAAGAAACACTACGCTTGGGGCGTGACTGCCCTCAGCATTCCTTCTGGGAGGCAGTCGCAGTTTGTCAGTTTGCCAACATTCTGCATTTATGAGAACAGTTTGCTTTTTACTCATATAGCCTCCAGTGGTATACTGAATTGATCATGACCCTCACTCTTTCGGCCTGCAACACCGTTTCTCTACTTTCATATCTCCACTCACCAATACTTGTGCTACACTGTCAGTATGCTACACTTGGTATGCCAGCTTAAATCTTATTTAAGATGTCCTTTATTCAATGAACATTTTTAAAAGCATATGAAATGTCTTTTTTAAAAACAAATTTGTTTTTTTAGAGTAGTTCATAACAAAATTGAGTGAAAGTACAGGGAGTTCCTATATACCCTTGACCAGCCCACATACACAGACAGCCTCTCCCTCTATCAACAGTCCCGACTGGAGTGATACACTTGTCACAATTGGTGAACCTACATTGACTCATGATTGTCACTCAAAGTCCATAGTTTACATTAGGGTTCACTCTTGATGTCGCACATTCTAGAGGTTTTGACAAATATATAATGACATGTATACACCATTATATTATCATGCAGCATAGTTCCACTGCCCCCAAAATCCTTTGTGCTCCCACCAGTAATATCTTTCTCCCCCTAAGCCCTTGGCAAACACTGATCTCCATAGTACTACTGTACATATTATACATAGTATAAATACTCCACAGTACTATTAATTATACAAAGTATAAATACTCCACAGTACTATTATACATAGTATAAGTACTCCATAGTAGTAGCATATGTATTATACATAGTATAAATACTGTCTCCATAGTAATTAGCCTTTTCCAGAATGTGATATAGTTGTAATCATAGAGTAGGTAGACTTGTCAGATTGGTTTCTTCCATTTAGTGATGGCATCTGAGGTTCCTCCATGTCTCTTTATGCAGTAATAGCTCATTTATTTTAGGGCTGAGTAACATCCCATTGTCTGTGTGTACCACAGTTTTTGTAACCTTTCACCTACTGAAGGACATCTTGGTTGCTTCTATGTTTTGGCAATTATGAACAAAGCTTCTATAAACATCCTTGTGCCAGTTTTTGTGTAAACATTAGTTTTCAACATATTTGGATAAATACCAAGGAGCGCAACTAGTGTATTGTATGGTAAAAGTATGTTTAATTTTCTAAGAAACGCCAAACTGTCTTCCAAATTGCATTCCTGCTAGCAATAAATAAGAGCCCCTGTTGCTCCACATCCTTGTTAGTATTTGGTATTGTCATAAAATGCCTTTTAGAGTTCTGTTTCTTGAAAAAGCTAAAAAATGTAAATAACACCCACATTTCTTTATTTTCGTTTGTATTGTGTTCAAATATCATGATTGTAGATGATTGCAAATTGTTGTGTTGAGTGTTAGAACAATGTCTTTGAATTGAACCAGCATTTTATGATCTATCACTTCCTTTACCTGAAAATCTGAGATTCTAGGTTTTGGGACTGACTCTTTTCTCATTATATGACTCCTTTGCCCACCAGACAGCATGGGTTTTATGATTTTTGTTAGAGAGATCCCCAAACATATGTGGCCAAGTTCAAAAATAAGCCTTCCATCACAGAAGTAGAAAAATTGGCAAAAAGACTATTGATAAAAAGATTGACAAGAGGATAGAACTCTTGCAATGTTAAAATAAAATGAGAAGTAAATGAGTTTTTAAAAACTATTCACCTTGGCTGAATATTTTATTTAGTCTTTGGGACTGAAGATATACTGGGTGTGACTGAGACAAAATATTGTGAATGGAACATCAGGTGATAAATGCTTAATCTTCTAACCAAATTCTCTATCCAGAACATTTAATCTATGTGTTATAAGACTATTCTTTAATTTCTCCTTGGTACCATGATCATAAGTTGATACTTAAGAAATAATTAATATTTCTATAGAACCCACTCTCAGTATTCCACTAAAATATAATATATCTGAAATGAACATAGCAATCTCTTAATATTTCTAAAGTTTAAGTGCATCAGACATATTCTGCCACATGCCAAACATGACACACAGCCGGCATGGAAAATACTTTACAACTTGCTGAGCCAATTCCAGGAGAGTTAGAAAAATTCTGGATATTTTTTTTTTGAACTAGGTTTAGATGATTTATAATTTCTTAATGATTCTGTTTACTTTCTAACGTTTTATTTTAATAAACAAAGTTTAGAGGGAGAGAGTAGTTCCGCATTAAGAGCCAGCATGAAGAAGTGCATATCATTTTTTAAAATTCAAACACTCTGCAAGAACATAGGATATCTCTTAGGCTCCCACCTTTGGTTTCCACAGCAATTTTTGGGCTTGTCTCTGGAATATTCCCTGTAAGTGACAACATTTTCATGATTTTAATGTTTACCAGGTTTGCACTGGAGGAGGAGCAAGGGCTGGTGAATGGAAGAGATGTTTGGGATACACAAGACTCTCAGTATAAAAGTTAAAAAGTAGAGCACATCCTCATGTTGCATTCACCCTTTCTGGTCTAACTTCTTGGGTGTTATGAATACTGCTGATTTTAGACCAGAATCTTTGAAGCATAAGTAGTGTTTCCTAGAAATTGCTTTAAAGAGAAAGGATGGGATGAAAGAATTAGAGCATAGGACTGACAGATGATATGAAAGAAAATAAGACATAGATTATTTATCAAATCAATCCATGTGAAGAAGCTTTATGGGTGGGAAAGGCCAGGAAATGATGGCAGAAATATAGTATAAATTATGACAGATATTGGTAATAACACAAACTTTGAATTTGATGAGGGAGAAATATGATTATAAACATAAAGTATCATAAAGAAAATGTTAGGCAAATGTCATAGACTCTCTTCATCTTGATCATTTATTTCAACTCATTATTCAATCCTTAAAATTTATTTTGGTAGACATATAATTATTTTTTAGTGTTTCTTTTTAATTTAATCATTAGTTTTTGTATTCGAATATGACCTTTTTTCTCATTAAGTGGTATGGAATGTAGCAATACAATGAAAACTTCTTAGAGGCCAGAAAACTAGATAGAAAATGATTTTAAGTTACACTATAAAATGTTAATTAAGAATAATATATTTTACCGTTCAAGGTGGAATGAAAACCATTTGAGAGAGGAAAGCTAGAGATTCTAGTCAGAAAGAACAACTTTATTTTTGCATCTCTTATACTGAGAAGTTGCTAAATGTCTCAGAAGTAAATAAACAAAGATTAAGGTCACACTACTAAGGTGTGGCCAGACAAGTAAGAATCAAGAGGTATCAGTGATTCTTGGGCTGAAAGTATGCGAAGAGAAAATAATGAATTACTTATTATTGGAGTAGTTAGCATTTGTGTTGAACTACTTCATTTAAAGGAGATATCCAAAATGTATATAGGCTTTTAGTAGCAAAAATGTAAAAAGTTTGCCAGCTCATTTTTGAAAGTATCTTATTTCATATTTCTACGCCTCTCAAAGGTTCTTTAGACAATTTGGTTTATCAATTGTTGGTTATATCTGGAGTCTACTGATAGGTTGGCAAGAGAAAAGTAACAATTTCTTTATAATGCTCGTTTGCCCAGATAAATCCTTCCTCAGAAATATACGAGTCAGATAAAAATGCAACATCATGATAACAGATGTAAGGCCACCACGTGATTCTGAGGTTCCAACACCGTTAGGTTCCCTGGCTGATGGATTCTTTACTTCTGAGGGGTATATACAAACAATGTAAAAATCTGTTATTTCCACATGAGGTTATTGGTGAATTGGACCCATTCTTTCTTTCCCTAAAGAGTCATATTTATTCAAGTGGGTTCTGCAAGACACTGACTTTTCTTGCAGTTTCTCCTGCAATGTCCACAGAGTTTCATGTAGATTATGGACTATGGTGATAATCGGAAGAAAGATTGTATTCTCTCTCTAGAAATATGCATATATAAGCAGACATTAAAAATCAATTATACAATTTCCCCAGGTTCATGGGCTCCCCCAAATCTTATCCTTGGAATCTGGTTTAATTAAATAGTCTTATAGTGGATGGGTCAGAATATGATTCCTTGGTGAATCCTCCGGAGGCTGCCACATAAAGTGACAGCAGTGAACACTGTTGATGCTTTATCCAGATCTCCTGTTTCTATTTAACACTCTGTGCTTTCCTCCTTCAGCCCTGTGGTGCTTTTCATATCCAATACGGTTCTTTCTTAGAGGACTATCCTCAGCTGCTGGAGCCATTTTACTTTCTCCTAAAGTACCTGGGGGTACACTTAGCTGGTGACTAGGGTACGCAGTCCCTGTGAAATCCAGCTCCGCTGCCTCACTTTGGGATAATCTCTGTTGTGTATTTTCTATTCCGGCATCCCTTGAGCGACTAAGTAAAAGCCATCTTCAGTAAAACTGCATGGACTTGTACTCTCCTTGACTTCTCCTTTCCTTTCCTGCTCTACTCTTCTTCCTTTACCCGTTTACTCTGGGAGCATTTCATTAATAAATCACTTAGCATACAAAACATTCTCTCAGGGTTCGCTCTTTACCTAAAACTAACCATATAATTTAATCATCCAAACTAGGTACAATATTGGAGAGCAAATGGGATGCTATTATCAATTATACTGTCATAAGTGGTATAAATGGCAATGATGTAGAACAAATCAGGATACGTGGTTGTACCAAGGCTACGTGGCTTTTTACAAAGATAGCTCTTGTGAACTCTTTTATTCAAAGCCCTTCTAAGACATGGCACATCACTGAGTTGCTCTCATTAAACTCTCCTTAACATCTTGATGTTCCTAGTATGTTACCAACATGAGTCTCTATTAGCTCATGGTTAACTGATATCCTTTTCCAGACTATCTCCTCACCCCACCTGCTACTCCAAGACTCCTCTCTTCTCATCCTACCCTTATCTTCCATACTGGGTTGTAACGTGAAGTCTGTCTTTTGTCTTGGAAATATCCTTACTTCAGTATATTCTGGAACTTAACAACAACAAATTCCTCTTCACATATTCTTCCAGAGAGCTCAAAAGCAGAATGCAAATTGAGTTCTAGCAATAGCCCACAATATTCCATATTTCCCAAAGGAATCTAGGCAAATTGACCTCTGTAAGTGGCCATTATTACATGTGATTTTTGGATCTGTTCTGCCCTAGTTTTGACTAAACTTTTAATTTGCATACTGAATTTAAGGAAGATACAATTATGAGATTCGATTGAGCTTCTGATGTTTGAGAATTTTAAAATTATTTACAGAATTATTGTGAGCTATTAAAATCTTATCCTAGTGGACAATGTACACTCTCTTTGGTTTTAGTTAAATTCTAGAAGTGTAATATGTGAGTCTTCTATTGACAAAACAAAAAGCCCTTTCATTAAAAATAATATTGTATTGCAATAAACCCTATTTTTTTAGATTAAGAATTCTTGTCTCAAAATGTTTACCTTCTCTTATGATATACTAGCCACATTTTACAAATATAGTTGGCCCTTGAAGGCCACAGGTTTGAACTGCTCAGGTGTACATATACACAGACTTTTTTCAACCAAACACATATTTTAAATACGGTATTCATACAATGAGAAACCAGCATTTACAAGGAGCCTTTTCTCATATGCAGTTTCCATAGGGCTGACTGGGACTTGAATATGTGGGGATTTTGGTATAAGCAGGAGTCATGGATCCAATCTCTTACATATACCGAGAATGACTATATAAACTATATAAACAATCATCTCTTAGCTATAGGTCTGAATGGACCTAATTCAGTTTTAGAATTATCCAGTTGACTATGCAGCCATAAAAAAGCACTAGATCATGTCTTTTGCGGGAACATGGGTGGAGCTGGAGGCTATTATCCTTAGCAAGCTAATGCAGGAACAGAAAACCAAATACTGCATGTTCTCACTGAGGAGTGGGAGCTAAATAATAAGAACGTAAAACACAAAGAAGGAAACAACAGACCTCCCGGGGTCTACTTCAGTGGGGAGGGTGGGAGGAAGGAGAGGAGCAGAAAAGACAACTATTGGCTTATTACCTGGGTGATGAAATAATATATACAACAAACTCTTGTGACATGTGTTTACCTGTACAACAAAACTTTACATGTACCTCCTAACCTAAAATAAAAGTTAAAAAAATTATCCAGTTGATTCCAAAAACCAGAATGTAACTGAATTCATTGTAGGTATGAAGATACTTAAACCTAGTCAATATAAGCAATTCATAGAGGCTAAAATGGATTGAAATGTAGACTTTTGTCAGTATAGGATAAAAATTACCTCCACAGCAAATAGAACTCAATCAAATCAGAATCATAATCCAGTTTTAAAATAGACAGATTTAAGTAATAAGTTGTTTGATGATACAATGATTAGGATACTGTTTGATTTCAAAGAAGCACTGCAATGAAGTTTTGTAATACAGGTTGGAATCTCATAATCAAGCCAGTGATCTCTTGTTCTTTCTCAGCCCAAAGTAAATACCATTTATGAATTGGATATCTTTCCAAAACAAAGATATAATTAAACTCAGGAGGTAGAGAATATAAAATAAAATAAATTGAGTGTGTAAAATAATTAAATTTTGTCTAAGAGCCAATTAGGCATGGAATATTGGCAATTCTTGTAATTTCAATGTAATGTTACCATTTGGCATAATAAAGCCATTAATTCAAATATAAAAATAAATATCAATTATGAAAATGTACATTTTTACTACCAGAGAATTTTAAGCACATTAATTATACTTTAAAAATTATCTTAAGTCTTCACAGTATTTACACAGGGTTAGCTGTTGTATTAGGGTTCTCTTAGAGGGCCAGAACTAATAGGATAGGATTATAGGATATAGGATATTTATATATATATGGGGCTTTATTAAGTATTAACAATCACAAGGTCCCATAGTAGGCTGTCTGTAAGCTGAGGAGCAAGAAGAGCCAGTCTGAGTCTCAAAACTGAAGAACTTGGAGTCCAATGTTCGAGGGCAGGAAGCATCCAGCACTGGAGAAAGCTGTAGGCTGGGAGACTAGGCTTATCTCTCCTTTTCACGTGTTTCTGCCTGCTTTATATTCACTGGAACCTGATTAGATTGTGCCCACCAGATTAAGGATGAGTCTGCCTTCCCCAGCCCACTGACTCAAATGTTAATCTCTTTTGGCAACACCCACACAGACATACCCAGGATTAATACTTTGTATCCCTCAATCCAATCAAGTTGACAGTCAGTATTAACCATTACAGCTGTGTGACAATCTTATTCCTAAAAAGTTTAAAAAGAAACTATTTTACTTTATCTGATACTTATACCAAAATGCCTCTTAGAGGATAGGATACTTAATACATTAAGAATTACTAGTACATTGAATTAGCAAGGAATGAATTTTCCTTACCATTATTATTGTTATTATCCCAAGTATAAGTCAGGATTTTTGGAGTTGTTTACGTATGACAGTGAGCATAGCCTCATTTTCCATAATGACATGTGGCCTATATATATACATATATATGAGAAGAGATATATAGTTATATCTTTTAATCTTTTAAACTAATATGTATATATCTATATATATCTATATATAACCTACATGAGAAAAAAACCTGCATGATTGAAAGAGATTTATCTCTAAGAATACTGATCTCACGCCATAGGTTTAGCCTTTGCACAAGAAAACAAATAGAAGAGAAAATATTGTTATATGTCTTTTGTTTTCCCAAATCATCTAACAATAAATATGAACAACAGGATCATCTGTTTGTAGCCAATTTATGTTGTTTTCATATTTAAGGGAGATATGAGGGATAATGGCAAAATCGTTAAGAGGATGCATATAAATTACACAGTTTGCTAATGTTCAAAATTTTAAAGTTTATTATTGTCTTATTAGGTATGGAATTGGTCTTTGTTTTAGAAGAGCCCTTGCCAATAATTTAGCTAAAACTTGGGCTCTTATCATATCATAAAGCATTCTTCCAACCTTCTTCTGCCCTATTGTTTCCTTCTGTCATCAGTCAGCCATAATGATAATTTCTTAAGAGCCAAATCACAAAAGCATAAAGCAATAACAGATTAAGGTGTCGTGCCTCTTCTCAGTCATTGTGACACTCACTCTCTCAGCTGACTCCACAGAATATTCATTTGCCCTTCTTCCACTTATGTTGTACTTACTGGATTAGGGAAATAATTAATTTTAGAAGTCATATTTCTATAATTTCCCATATGTCAAATTTTAATTATTATACCGTATGGATTGAGATCTTAACTGTGTCAACAATGATAAATATGTTAGCCTAATTTGTATAACTCATTTTGATTTTAAAGTGAGTGTGATACACATAGTGAAGTGTTTCTCAATAATATCAAATCTGAATAGCAGAAAATATCTTCTTTGCATTTGAACTGTTCCAGCTCTAATCCTATTTCATGACTCTGTGTTTTTGTTAAAAAAGATGGAATTGACACTCAATCACCGTGATTATTTTGAACTTATTGAAAAAGACCAACAATAAAATCATCATTTTTCTGTAGATACAGATGCACATCTGTGGACTCACCACTCTTTGATTAATTCAGTTTTTTTTTTAAAAGTAGAATTTAAAAGCAGACAGTAAAGTTTCCTATTAATGGTGATAGAGCATTATGAAATATTTGTGTAGTTGTTATTTTTTATGTTTGGGGGCTTTTATGTCTTTATTTCCCATATGAATTTTTTATTACACTAATAGCATATTAATGGATATTATAAAACACACCTGCAATATTTTTAATGCTTTATGATAAATTTGAAATAAATTATAGTAGATTGTAATAGTCATACATTGGGAGAGGGAAACATTAATTTTTTTCAGATATTATCAATTACCTGAATGAAATAGCAGCAATCAGTGGAACATGGTTTTAAACAGTATCAGTCAATAGTCAACATACACTTTGTGTATCATACTAACTTTAAAAATAACATTGGTAGAAGGAAGATTAGCTAAAACTTACAAGGAATCTAATGCAATTTTGCAAGTTGCCTCACCTTGCTTTTCTTAGAGAACAAGAACTAGTGATCTAAGGAACAAATTATTTCACTCAGAAAGCATTTATATCACAGAATTTTAGAGCTAGATGAGCTCTTGGCATTCATTATTTATGGAAAATTCCTAGTCATCCTTTAAAACTTTAGGAATGTTTACACTTTGCTCAGTCTTTCCTACCACCTAGGATCAAGATAAATATTCTTTTTTTTCTGTTCTTTCTTGAGTTACTTCACATATAAACTTAATGATTATTTTATCATGTGACTATCTTTATGAATCTTATTTGTATTTATATTACCAACTTTAAATACAGGAACTGACAGAATGTATTTGCTTAACATATGTCTAAGAAATGGATAAATGAATTAATGAAGAATTATTGAAATGACTTGCTAGTGATACTTGTGGCAATACTTTGACGTAAGTTTTATGCTCATGCAATTCAGCTTCTAATATCCTCCTGGGTAAACCTTTAAGATTTTATATCCTTTGGCTGCAAACAAATGATACATACATTGCACAAATCAGTCTAATTAACCACGGATATATTGTTGTCTCTTCAACTAACATGCATAAATCCCATTGTGGATTTTATAGGAAATATATCTATGTAGTTCTTCATGAATGAAGCTATGAAAAGAATTATTTAAATTGTGTATATTGATAGATTTGCAATTGTACTCATGTTACTGGAATCACAGTGATGATGAATTTTAATTTATTCTTTTAAAGAACATAATAAAAATTAGCCTAAATTATTTTTGATGTTCTATGTTATTTAATTTTTATCTGGTATTCATTAACTCTACATAAAAATTGACATACAAAAAATCCAGTAATGATCTAGTGATTGTTTTAAACTGGGTTTTAACTCCAGGAATTGGAGTGAGCTAACAGAACGTAGGAGAAAGAAGCAATACATCTTGGACTTCTAAGTGGTCTTGTTACTTCTAATTTGACTTCCTTCTGATCCATGAGCCATACTCCGGTGTTTGTGAACTACTATTCTTTGCCAGGCACTGTTCTAAGAGCTTTATATGTATTTAGGCCTCATAAACCCAAGAGATAAGTATATTCCTCTCTGTCTTGTGCAGCATATAGAAACTGAGATAGAAAGGTTGCTGAAGGTCACACAACCAAAAAATGAGGGAGTTGATTCTAAGCCAGACACTCTTAATGGAGGTGCAATGCCCTTGTCCACTATAGGGTAGATACTATAGCCTTGTACTGCTTTTATACTGTGAACTGCTTTGACCCTCAAACTGTGGGTTATTAACCTCTGAAAACAGCACACACTTACGTAAAGCAAGTGGTTTAGAGCCATCTATTTCAATATTTGTTCATTGCTATCTTTTTGGTCAACAAAATTATTTTCATGTTTTATACTTAAATGATAAAATTTAAATGAATTTCCTGTCAATTTTATTTTAAAACTTTATTTAAAGCTTACCATGTTTTTACTTTTCTCTCCTTTGACTGAGCTCAGCTATACATTCATTTCTGCTTTCTCCCCCAAAGACATGCCTTGAGGTTTTGTGAATATGATGTTAATAAGTAATTAATTTTGTGTACCTGGAGAATAACATGTTCACACAGCAGGTGTGACATTATTTTGAAAAATGTTCTGCTAAACAGAGCCGAAGAGAAATGAATTTGCATATAGCTTAAGTCTGGCTTTGTTTTTTTTTTTTATCTTAAAGTGATATTTCATTCATCTGTTGGATTAATGCAAAAAATGCAATAAAACTCTCATACATATGAGTCATCCACTAAGTAATTCTTCACCATGTGATGGTTTATCATAGAAGCCTGATACATTGTAATTTTTAAAATTTAACCTGGGTACCAACCTGAGTCCATGTACCTTTCCACAGGGAGACTGAAGCTAAAAGTCTTTGAATTCTTACTAATATTGGTCAGACATAGTTTTAATTTTATATCTTCACAGATAGCAGACAGAATGACACTAAAATGACCCTGAGAAATATTAAACACACCCCAAACCCTGTTCGTCCATCAGGTTGTCAAAGTTATCCTATAATATCTAAATGTTCAATAATGTGAACTTTTTCTGATATAGTTTGGCTCTGTGTTCCCACCCAAATCTCATTTGGTAGTGTAATCCTCATAATCCCCATGTGTCAAGGGCAGGACCAGGTGGAGGTAATTGGATCATGGGGGCAGTTTCCCCCATGCTTTTCTTGCGATAATGAGTGAGTCTCATGAGATCTGATGGTTTTATAAAGGGCTGGCATTTCCCCCGCTTGCACTTCTCCTTGCTGCCACCTTGTGAAGAAGGTGCCATGATTCCTCTTCACCTTCCACCATGATTGTAAGTTTCCTGAGGCCTCCCCAGCCATGGTAAACTGCTAGTCAATTAAACCTCTTTCCTTTATAAATTACCTAGTCTTGGGCAGTTCTTTATAGCAGTATGGAAATGGACTAACAGATATAATGCTGTTAAAGAGACTACAGGCTCAGGAAGAAGAATAATTAATAGATCAATAAACCTTGGTTCTCTCTCTCTCTCTTCTTCCCTCCCTCCATCCCCCTCTCTCTTTCTTCCTTTCTTTTCTTCTTTTCTTTTCTCTTTCTTTTTCCTCCCTCCCTTGTTTCTTTCTTTCCTTTCTTTCTTTTCCCTTTCTTTCTTCCTTCCTTCCTTCCCTCCCTCCCTCCCTCCCTCCCTCCCTCCCTCTCTCTCTCTCTCTCTCTCTCTCTTTCTTTCTTTCTTTCTTTCTTTCTTTCTTTCTTTCTCCATTAGGCATTTCTTCCCTTCATCCTTCTATTTGTCCAAACATCTTTCAACAAAGATTTTTGAGCACCAATTATTTTCCAGGTATTGCATTATTTACTTGGTATTTATAATTAAATAACATTGACAAGGGTTCCTGCTCTCCTGGAAATTGCATTGACATCATTCTCAGAACAAAATTTCCCTAGCTAGATGTGTTATGGGTATCAGAGCAGAATGAAAATGGAATAATACGTAGGCTTCGAAACAGAAGTGTGCCCATAATGAATAGTGGACATAAATATTATGTGATTAGCAGTTTTTATCAGTGAGGCTGCTGACCTTTGCATCAACATCACAGTGTTTTACCATTGTTGTTTATGATCAAAACTGAATTTAGACTGAAATTCTGAAAGCTGAGTCCAGATAAAATGGCTCAGATTCAGAAACTCATCTACAGTTTGCAAGGCTCACCAAAGGACTGACCATTTATAACATTAAAAGACCTCATATTTCCACCTATGTTGAGATAGATGAATGTTTCTTTGCCAGTTGTTAATTTATGTGATTTTCTGATTTGCCTTTTATTGAAACATATTTGGTCCTGTCATGGATAGCTTCTAGTGATTTTAAATGAGGAGTGAGAGGTAAAACCTTCTTAGGCAGAGTCCTGAATAATATCTGAAATAGCTGAAAGACCTGCAGTTGTGCTCTGATCTTTCCGTTGTTTGAGCTCCTACATCAACTGCTTGAGTGGCTTGATTCTTACTGCTAAGAAGCAAAACCACTCATTTACATATCAACAGGAACTTTCTAAGTGGCAGGTTGTTAGAATTTTGTGGTGTGGAAGAAGCAGTGTTGATGAGTCATCAACAGTTGTTTGCTATATTTAAATTATCCACTGTTTAATTATTAGTATACTGTAATGACAAGCTTTCTTTAGTGCCCTGGAAATAAAAATGAAGCCTATTACTAAATTCCACACTAAGCACTATGTATTTTTTCCAGACAAAATGCAATTAGCACAACACTGTTTAATAATGCAGTTTTAAAATAATGCAGTATGTAATAATAGTAGCCCACTGCTATTAAGTGACTATCTAATATAACAAAGCAGGAAACATACAAGGCAAAAACTACTCCAAATGTTTTTAGGAGTTGATTAGAATTCAGTATTACCTAATACCTCATAACAATATGAAGTAATAGATTTTTCTTAGGAAAATAATTCTGAATTTTCTGAAAAAAATACTATATTCTGGGTAAACTGTGATATTATTCAGGCAGCATGAATTTCTGTGTGGTTTATTAAATTTACATGTTCTTAGTTTTTTGTAGAGGTACGTACAAAACTGTTTTATAAAAAACAGAATTTTAAAGTAACTCTACCTGGGACAGGATTGAATGTATAGGTGGCTTTTTGTTTGAGCCATTTCAGTGCAATATTTCCTCCTGCTAAGAAAAATAAAGTAAAATAATTTGGATCTGCTGAAAAATATGCTTTGAAGATTCAAAATACTTTATAGCTTGAAACCCATAGGGCAAGTAAGATGATTAGTAGCTTTAGTAACGACATTTGAAATTAATACTAATATATGCATCTGAAATGCTATTTTTTTCTGTTATATTTAACATTCATTTCAGCATTTATTGATCTTCCGCTATGTTGAAGACACTGCGTCAAGAAACTTGGGAGACACAAAGTAAAAGGAGAATAAACAACGAACATGCTCTGAAAGCAAGCTTAATATTTGGCAGGTAGTAGGATGGGTGATAAAATTTCACTATGATTCAAGGCAGAATATAGTAAATGCTTCACCAGAAGTATACACGGAAGACAGGGAGAATCCAAAGGAAAGAATAATTAAAACATCTAATGGGTGTGTTTCTCTGGGACGTAAAGGAAAAGCAAATTCTTATGGGTGAATAATTAGCAAAATATATTGTCTATTGTAGACTGAAGGAATAGCATAGGAAAATGAATATACTGCTTAGGAAAAAAATAATCTCCAAGAATTGGGGTATAATGAATTGGATGTTGTGGCTGTACGCATGGAGAAAGATGTAGAGCAAGTTGGAATGTGGAAATTCTTGAATGCCATGTGTCTTACCCATACCCTAGAAAACAGAACCTGGGGCAAAGCTTACATGCTCTAGTGTTATTGGATATTTCACTCCTAGGAAATTTAGAGCATGGGAAAGTGCAAGTGAGGCAGGCAAGATGGAAATAAAATGTAAGATATTGCATTACTGAGTTGTCACCTGTTTTACAAGAAATCACAGCTGGATGTTTGGTCAAGCAGGACATCTCCAAAGAGGCCATATGGAACAACTGCATCTCAATGCAGTCTGTCACAGGGTAGAAGGTGAACAATTTTTCTCCTGTCTGCTTCCCATTTTCTATCTCCCATAGATCAAAATTCAACCCATAAGTGATGATAGTGTCCTAAAATTAGATAGTGGTGATTTTTGCACAACTCTGAATATATGAAAAACCACTGAATTGTACACATCAAAATGGTGAATTTTATAGCATGTGGCTCATATCTTAATTAATTATAAAAAAATCAATCCATCACAAGCTAGAACGTTTTTGGGGCCCAATTAAATTGGACTTAGGAATTACAGCTTCTGTAGGTTCTGTATGAAACATAGCAACTCAGATAAGCTCAAGTCCTGTTCCCACCTTTATGAACAACTGAGACAGTTATCAGTGTGAGAAGATGGAGTGAAGATTACTGTGGTTATAGCACTGTTACTTAAGAAATGATTTGATCCTCCACTCAGATTAGGAAACAAAGTTATTGGACAAAGCCCAGAAAAATAGTTAAAACTAAAAATATCTGGGAAGATGCATAAACCAGATCCAATATAGCTTCGTTGTAATTTATTCTGATCAGTTGCACCCTCTAATATGAGAATAAGATGCCTTTACTTTCAAAATGGTTTATTGTAATCACCTAAAAAAGGCTTAGAAAAAATTAAGAAATCAAACTGCAGTTTCCATCGCTGCATCAGATCTTGAGCTCTGAGATTAAAGATTGTCACAGATCCTTTGCTCCTCTGCTCCTCCTTCCATTAAGAGGTGGAATCCAATTACCCTCCTGTTGAATATGGGCTGGTCTTAGTGATTTTCTTGACTAGCATAATGAAAAAGAACTGACTTTCTGGTACTTGGTTCTAGGAGCAATAAAGACTTGCAGCTTCCATCCTAATCTTAGAACACTCCCTCCCAAAATGATAAGAACACATGGACACCAAAAGGAGAACAACAGACACTGGTTTTGGCAAGGAAGCTCCAGATGTCCAATAGAGAAGAACTGAAGTGCATGGGTGAAAGGTTCTGAGCTTCCAGCAGACAGCCAGCACCAACTTTCTTCCAGCCAACAACTAGCAATAACTTGCAAGCACTGTGAGTGAGCTATCCTGTATCGAGCTTCTCCAGATGATGATGCTGTGAGGAAGAGATGCAACCTGCCCAGGCAAGCCCTTCCTGAATTCCTGGCGCACAAAATGATGAGACATAATAACATAAATTTTATTTTTATTTATTTTTTTAAACTTCTATTTTAGGTTCAAGTGTACATGTGCAGGTTTGTTATTTAGGGTAGATTCGTGTCATGGGAATTTGTTGAACAGATTATTTTGTCACCCAGGTACTAAGCCTAGTGTCCAATAGTTAATTGTTTTTTTTTTTTTTTTTTTTTTTGAGTCGGAGTCTCGCTCTGTTGCCCAGGCTGGAGTGCAGTGGTGTGATCTCGGCTCACTGCAAGCTCTGCCTCCTGGGTTCACGCAGTTCTCCTGCCTCAGCCTCCTGAGTAGCTGGGACTACAGGCGCCCGCCACCATGCCCGGCTAATTTTTCTGTATTTTTAGTAGAGACGGTGTTTCACTGTGTTAGCCAGGATGGTCTCGATCTCCTGACCTCATGATCTACCTGTCTCAGCCTCCCAAAGTGCTGGGATTACAGGCATGAGCCACCGCGCCCTGCCCCTAGTGTCCATTAGTTATTTTTTTCTGATTCTCTCCCTCTTCCCACCCTCAAGTAGAAACCAGTGTCTGTCGTTCTGCTTTTTGTGCCCATGTGTTCTCATCATTTAGCTCACTTATAAGTGAGAACATGTGTTTTTAAGTCACAGAGTTTTGGAGGTCATTTGTGGTGCTGTAGTAGAAAACTATAATTGATATTCACAATCTCTCTCTTAAGCCACCCATTCTAGATTTTCCTCACCACCATTTGGCTGGCTTGAGTTATTCTCCTGATAGCATAACTCAGATTTTCTTCCCCAAGGTACCTAAGATTTTAGTCTCCTTGATTTGGAACCATATTTTCTCTACTTGTTTTCATCATGATTACTTGGTATGGATACATTGGAAGCAACCCAGGGATCACCTGGGTTTAAGAAATACTTCTCCTTTCTCCCATGGTTTAATGGCAAACCTAGATTCTCATGATTATTTTATCATTATACCAATGTTTTCCTTTGCCCACTGGTAGGCTGGCATGAAGTGCACAGGTGGCTATGTGTTTTCTGCAGCTTCTACTTTAGTAGAAACTTTTCTGTGTTTCCTGACATAAGTGTTTACCCGTGGGAATTAGGCCTCCAGATTGAGAGGGTAAAAGGTTTTAAGAATACAAAGAAACTCATCAAGTAGATCACTGGCAGTGATAGTAAGAGGAATGAATCTTATTTCTACCTTTTACGTCGTGGACCCATGGGTTCAAGCTGTTGGGACACAGCCCTAAATCCTAGCCATTGATAAAGTGCATATACTGCACCCCAGTAGACAGTATCTCAAGCCTCAAAGTATTGTCCCTGAGCTTGCACTCTAGATGAACCTTCAACAGGTCATTCAACTATATTGTCAGCTGCCTATTTCTGGATAATGAAGTCCATTGCCAGAATGATGAATCCTGTGTCATTTATCTCCTGTGTCATAAAATGTGCCTCCCAGTCCTAGAAAATATTACGTGGGATATTATATCAATGAATGACTAGTCTATAAGCTCTTGGATACTGGTACTATCAGAGTCTTTGCAAACATGGAAAGTAAACCAATATTTACAGCAGAGAATGATTCTAGAAAAAACAAATTAATTCCCACTGCAAAGTGAAATATATTTAAAAAACTCAAACATTGTAGCAGTTCCCTAATTTTTGGAGTTTTATACCACAACATCTGTCATACATGTGTCTAACTAGAGCATCTAGCCTATTCGTCAAGTCCTGCATTATGCCATTAATGTAAAATCATCAATGTTGTAGAACAGGGCAATTTTTCATTGGAGTGTCAAGGTGGCCAAAGTTCCTGATGAGTATATTATGACAAAGATTATCAAAGTTAGTATAGTTTCAAGGGAAGACACAGATTTTGATCCTCTCTACTATTGAAGATAAAAAAAAACTTTCTAAAATATAACCATATATAATGTGCCACAGTCTATGTTGATATGCTCCTGTAAAAATATCACATATGATGTGACATTTTCAATATGGGCTACAACCTGATTAAGTTGACTATAATCAACCTTCGTTGCCCAAAATTGTTCTGTTTTTTTTTCAGAGGCAACAAGATGAATTGAATAGGGATATGGTGGAGTTTACCATATCCTCAATACTCAAGTCCTTGATGGTGACTTAGATTACCATTCCTCCCAAGGAATGGCTTTTAATTTGCTATCTTGGCCAAGGTTGTGGGGTGAGGTCTTCCCCATTGCCGTTCCTATAAAATGGCTGTTACACTACAGATTGTGAAACCAACATGAACCTTTCTGTTACCTTAAAAGTATATTATTCCAGTTATAAAGTTGGATCCTGGATTAATAACCAGAGCATAGGTCTATTAATTACCTGTTTGCCATGAGTGTCTACAATGAACTGAAGTCCATGATGATAAATTTTAAGGGCGACATAAATTCCTTAAATTGTCTTTGGTACTTTTTTTAAGTTATCTTGGAAAACTGCCTCAATTCCCTTTGAAATATCTCTCCCTCCTCAGCCCACATCTATCTATTCATCGTATCTCTCAAAATCAACAGACCCTCCCCTTTTGAGATATATGCTGTGCTTCTCTGGGTTACCACAGCATTTGGATCCACCTCCACACACATTGCCTTGGCTTCTGCTGGTACATATTAATCAGTTTCTATAATTCCCTTGATAAGGGTGTGATTTATTCTTTCAGCAGAGATTATACTTCTCTCCTCAGGCTATGCCCAGGCCTGCTATGGTTATCAGCCTGGTAGAAATGAAGTAGTGGAAATTGAAGAAAACGAACAAGATTAGAAGAACGGATTCTTTTGCAACAAGGGTTAAAGTGTTGCTGCTTTTGGCCAGGAGGGTTAAAAGAGACATGGAGGATAAAATATTCAGTTTTTCCATCCCATAGACCTTAGGGCCACACCCTTTCACTCACAGAGCACTTGTTTGATGATCAGAGACCTCAATTATTGAAAATAATTTTCCTTTAAAGTACTACACTCCTTATAACCAGGTAAATTTTTAGTACAGTGTTTCCTGGGACTGTAAGAGGACAGTCTTCATTAAAGCTCCCATTGAAACTCTGTGGTTTCATAGTCTGATGTATGTTAGCAAATGTTTCCTTGAGCTCATCATTTTTTTTTTTCAAGACTTCCCATGCTGTTTAATGCAACCACCAGACATCAAATACATTATAATTATTACTGCATTGTACTGATCAGAGTAGCACCACTTGATCTTTCCATTTTGTACATTTTACCTGCACACTTTTCTAATTTAATCATAAATGAAAGCTTTAATAATTGTGATTCCACTAAATTTCAAAAATTGTTACCACCTTGCTTGTCACCAGCAATATGGTTCCTATTGCTTCCAAACAGGCAGACAATGAATGTAGATGATGGCTTACTTCCTAGAGTCCCTCTGACATTAATTGTCATGGCCTAGATTTCCTGGAAAACAGAAGCTAAAGTAAATGTTCCATTCATGGAATCAAAAATGAGAAGAAAGGAAGCAAAACAGGAATACAGGAAAATCAAATAAAGGTGATGCATTATTGAACTGGTCGCAGCTTCTATGTAATAGTTACCTAGTGGTTGGGTCATAAATGATATATCTGGAGAGACCAAATATATTCACTGCATTTTGAAATAGTATATTTAAATTAAAAAGTCTTGAAAACTCCATCAAGGGAAGAAAGGGAAAGCAGTTTATTTGATAGCTGTTTTCTACCTCTTGCTGGTTAAAATTTGTTCCATAGGATGCTAGTTTCACACTTTTGTATTCTATTACACACATCTTATAGGATGCCAGGGAAGTTTGGGTCTTATGACACTAATTGAGTCACACCTGGGCCTTAGAGCTCCTGTGGCTTACACTGAAGTGAGTATGTATACGTCCTGCAAAATTCTAGCCTTGCTCTTGTAGAGGTGTGAGACAATTAGAGGTTATGGGAAATGAGGTGATAGTGGTGGCATTTTGGGCTTGGAGACTATATGTCTAAAAAATGCATATCATCATTAGTACACATTCATAATCCACAGCGTAAGGCAACTGTATAAAATATATTTGAATATCTCCACCTGAGGTATATTAGGACACAGTTCTTTTCTATGTCCAACCATCACAATTTTTCCAGGATTATGTTGACTATAGGTAAGACATGACTGGATATATCCTCTGATATTAAGAAGAGTTATCAATCACCGTTTGATTAATGTGGAAAATTCATTCCTTTTATGGTGGGTTATCTCATGGAAACATAATTTTTCAGGTATTCATTTGAGTTTATTTTGTGTCACCATTCAGCCTTCCTTGCTTTGTTATGGCTTATTATACAATACATTCTTAGTATTTCACTTCAGGATCAGTGGTCAAATTTTATGCATCTATAAATGGAAATTTTTACCTTCATGGATTTTTCTTTTTGTTATATAAGAAGTCTTTGCACAGAATATTAGTCAGCAAAACTGGCTTAGCATAGTGACCTGTGTAAGCATTTCCTGTACATACATTTATTATGTCTTTTATGGTGGTCTCTACCTTTATAATCACAATTTTATCAGGTAGCATCGAATCATCAAGCGATGAATATATTTATTGTCCAATTTTTGTAGGAGTACTTGAAGAGGATAAGAATCATCTATGTTTCCTTAGAATTTTAAGGCTGTGAGCTATAAAAATCTATCAGCTATCTGTGATTATGTTTATCCTTTTACATTAATCAAATTGACATACCCTGCAAAGGGCTGTAAGTTTAGCCACTGGAGCTGATTTATTTTGGTAAGAAACTGGATTCTACGCATGAATATGGAGTAATTATTCATCACCAGCCTGGTATGTTGCAGGAAGTCAGGGACCTCAAACAGAGGGACCGGCTGAAGCCATGGCAGAAGAACGTGGATTGTGAAGATTTTATGGACATTTATTAGTTCCTTAAATTAATACTTTTATAATTTCTTATGCCTGTCTTTACTGCAATCTCTAATGTAAGTTGTGAAGATTTCATGGACACTTATCACTTCCTTAATCAATACCTTTGTGATTTCCTATGCCTGTCTTTACTTTAATCTCTTAATCCTGTCAGCCAAGGAGGATGTATGTTGCCTCAGGACCATGTGATAATTGCGTTAACTGCACAAATTGTACAGTATGTGTGTTTGAGCAATATGAAATCTGAGCACCTTGAAAAAAGAACAGGATAACAGCAGTTGTTCAGGGAATAAGAGAGATAACCTTAAACTCTGAGCGCCGGTGAGCCAGGTGGAACAGAGCCATATTTCTCTTCTTTCAAAAGCAAATGGGAGAAATATCGCTGAATTCTTTTTCTCAGCATGGAACATCCCTGAGAAACAGAATGTGTGCCTGCGGGTAGGTCTCTAAACTGGCCCCCCTGGACGTAGCCGTCTCTTATGGCCAAGGCTGCAGAGATGAAATAGACTCCAGTCTCCTATAGCACTCCCAGGCTTATTAGGAAGAGGAAATTCCCACCTAATAAATTTTGGTCAGACCAGTTGATCTCAAAACTCTGTCTCCTGATAAAATGTTATCAATGACAATGGTGCCCGAAACTTCATTAGGAATTTTAATTTCGCCTCGGTCCTGTGTTCCTGTGATCTTGCCCTGCCTCCGCTTGCCTTGCGATATTCTATTACCCTGTTAAGTACTTGATGTCTGCCACCCCCACCTATTCGCACACTCCCTCCCCTTTTGAAAGTCCCTAATAAAACTTGCTGGTTTTTGTGGCTTGTGGGGCATCACAGAACCTACCGACATGTGACGTCTCCCTCGGACGCCCAGCTTTAACATTTCTCTCTTTTGTACTCTGTCCCTTTATTTCTCAAGCCGGCCGACGCTTAAGGAAAATAGAAAAGAACCTACGTGAATATCGGGGCAGATTCCCCGATACTGGTGTTTTACCTTTTCATTTGTGAGATAAGACACATCAACACACAATGTTCCATAAGGATTTGGTATAGGAACGTCTAAATAATATGCTATGAAAATGGGCAATTATCAAACTACAGAAGCATAATCATATTCTCCATCAGATAAGGATATTAAACTTGCTAATTGAGAGTATAGATGCACATTTAATATGAGGAAAGAATATATATTTTTCATACTTAATCAGCTAGAGCATGACCTAACCATTCATGTACATACAAGAAGAAAGGCCTATAGTAATTTGGTAGACCCACATAGGTGGGTGTTGAAGGAATATTTTGAGATTATTTAAAGGATTTTCTATTTCTGTAACCTATGGGAGTGGTTCTAAGATGTTTGATTTAGTTGCTATAAAAGGACATTTCTTTATTTTAGAAAAATGTTGGTGCCCATTATCTAGATTATCTGTTTGATGCAATAAATTCCTTTGTCCTTTAGTTATTGGTCATGAGTAATTTGGGATAATTTGTAATCTGCTCTTGGATAATGCCTTCAGCTGGTGGGTCATAGCCTAGAATAATGAATTGTTTTGCAGTGTTGAATTTTGTTTTTTCTTAGAAGCTTGATATCCCTTTTTAAACAGCTTGATGAGTTTAGAAAGAGGGTCAATTTTAGGATTTTCCAAATTAAGAGAATGTAATAGGGTGTTATCTTTTTATTAGATCAGAGTGAGTCCACCGGGGCTCTGTATACTGTAAAGATATTATTTCAATATTTGGAAGAAGTAAAACATATCTTCAGTGAATTCTTTGGTATGCAACTTTCTAGGAGAATTGTTGATTTTCCCTGGAGGATGCAAATAAACATTGACTATGTTTTATCAATTTGGAGACTAAATTAACAAATATATCTGAGCATAGATATATTACCATAAAGAATTTGGCTATAGATGGAACTGAGAAGAATATGAGTAAGGTACTACTCAGAAGCAAGGAGTTACAAGGAGTTCGTATTTTGTGAATTTCTCATTGAAGTTCAAAACAATATAAATCCTCCACCAATCATATTGCTGGGGCTGACTAAATGAATGATGAGTCCACTGTCCATAGATACAGTTGGTCCAAAAACTTCCTTGACATCAGCTTAACAGGGTATTGTAAAACTTTAGACAAAAATTTTGAAGACTAATCTGGGCACACAGGGGTTTACTCTAATTATTTTGCTTGTCCGTATAGATTCTTTGCCCACATGTTTCTGGAAACAACTACGTTTTTAGGTGTTTCTTGAATTACATATAGTGTAGCTACGTAAATGTATATATCAGCTATCATTTGATGGTGGGTAGAATTTTCTAGGACTGAAGAACACTTTATCTGGAAATAACATTTTCAAAATAATTCCCTATCTATTGAATTTGCAGGAGTCATGGCATAGAGGAGTCATGCTGGCATCATGGGCATGTGACCTGTGCAGTGCCACAGGGCCCCATGGTTACAAGGATCTCATGCTTGCTTTAATGCCCTGCTGTAATCATCTTAAAATTCCTATTAATTATTGAACAGAGGCCCCACATTTTCATTTTGTACTGTGTCCCACAAATTATGTAACTCGCCTTGCAGAAGACTGGTACCAGAGTTCATAGTTACAGGTTAGTCATAGACAAGAATTTAGGATTCTTAGAAATCCCCAGTTTAAGTGGTTTGAGTACTCTGGGGGATTTGGTTTGCTGTATAGTAATGGAGTTGATTGTACAGTGGTACCCATATCAATAAGAAAGCTATATTATTATCTATTTATATTATAAGTAATTCCCAATGGAGCTTTAAAACGAGATAGAAAATTGCTGGTGCTTATGTTTCTGTTGGATCAACTGTCTTTGGACAGTTTTTTTTTTTTTTAATCAGTGTGAGGCATTGATGTTCCAATGATCTTTTCTTCCAATATCTACAAGAATCCTTACTTATAAGCTTTATGTTCTTAGATAGTAGAAAATCCTTTCTTACTGTGTTTGTTTGTTTGTGTGTTTGTCTCATCTGGAGAGCTGGAGTATATATATAGAGTGGAATGATTGCCACAATCAAAGTAGCTAATACATTCGTCACCTCACATAATTACCATTGTTTTCCTTTTGTGGTGTGAACACTTAAGATCTACTCTCTTACAAAATTTCAAATATCAAATATAGCATAATTAATGATAGACACTATGTTGTACCTTAGATCCCCAGAACTTTTTAATCTTACAATTGAAAGTTTGTAGTCTTTACCAACATCTACCCAAACCTTGCCCCTTCCAAACCTTACCCCTGGAAACCATCATTCTAGTATGTGCCTTTATGAGCTTGACTTTTTACTATTACACATACAAGTGAGAACAAACAGTATTTTTCTCTCTGTGTCTGGCATATTTCACTTAGCATACCGTTCTCTAGTGTTATTAATATTGCCACAAATGACAGAATTTCCTTCCTTTTATGGCTAAATACTATTCCATTGTATGTATAGACAACATTTTCTTTATAAAATCATTCATTGATTCACAATTTGGTTGTTTTCATATTTTGACTATTGTGAAGAATGTTGCAATAATCATGAGGTTGCAAATATCTTTTTGAAAAACTTATTTCATTTCCTTCATTTATATATCCAGAAGTGGAATTGCTGTTTCATACGGGTAGTTTCATTTTTACTTTTTCTGAGGATCCTCCACACCGTTTTTTATGATGGCTCTACCAATTTACATTCCCATCAACAGTGTAAAAGGGTTCCCTATTCTCTACATCTTCACCAGTACTTATTGTCTCTTTGCTTTTTGATAAGAACCTTCCTAACAGGTATGAGGTGATATTTCATTGTATTCTTGATTTGCATTTCCCTGATGATTAGTGATGTTGAACACTTTCAGATAGCTGGCAGTTGTTTGTATATCTTCTTTGGAAAAATGCCTATTCAGAATCTTTGCCCATTATTTAATAGGGTTGTTTATCTATTTTTGCTATTGACCTGTAGAAGATTATTACCTAATTTGGATATCAACTCTTTATCAGATAGTTTGAAAATATTTTCTCCCATTTTGTAGGTTGCCTTCTTATTTTTAGTTGTATTATATCTTTCAGTTCCAGAATCTCTGTTTGATTCTTTTTTTTATGGTTTCTATTTTTTCATTAAACTTCTCATTGTCTTCATGCAGTTTTCCTGATTTTGTTTAGTTGTATATCTGTGTTCTCTTGTATCTTGTTGAACTCAAGATAATTTTTTTAAAATTGTTTGTTAGGTAATTTATAGATTTCTGCTTCTTTGGGGTAGTTTATTGACACTTTATTGATTTCCTATGGTGATGTTGTGTTAGTCTGACTCTCTATGATTTGTGTGGCATTGAGTTTGTGTCTGTGTATTAAGGGGCAAAACACTTTTTCTAATCTTTACAGATGGGTTTCAGCAGGCAAAAACCTTCTCCTGTCAATTTCTTGGGCTAATGAGATTCCCTTTGGGATCCAGGTTGAGTGGGGTTGGAGCCAGGTCACATGGCTGCTACTAGATCTGAGGTTGACAGCCCTATGGCTAGGAGTTCAGGTGGGTATAGCTCTTGCTTAATCTTTGAATAGGCAAGACTACATTCAGAACCTTGGTCAGTAGAGCTGGTACTGAAACAAGTTTCAAGGTCTGCAGTTAGTTCTGCACGTGGTAGACCTGTTACCAGATTCATGTGTAGTTTTGGCTCCTGCAGGTTCCCTGAGAATATTCCCCCTAGGTCACTGGGTGTATTTCTGGGTGTTTATGGCTGCTCCTGACCACAGCTGAGGGAGAATGGAGCTGGGTCATGGGCCACTTCAGGATCCACTCCCAGAACCAAGTTGGTGGGCCTGTTACTTGAGGCATGGGAAGGTGTGGCTCCATTTGGGTGTCCTGGAGTATGGCGCTGGTGGCAGGACCAAGGCCAATTGGAGCTGTAACTGAATCCACAGGGGTATGGGGCTGTTTCTGGGTTCCTAGTCAAGACCATGATCAATGAGCCTGTCATCAGGTTGCAGGCCTGATCTCTCAATATAGCTCTCTTTGGTCTTCAGATTCATGAGGATTTCACAACATGCTACTTGGATTTCATTGCTCTACAAAAAAGTATTTTTGTCTGGATAACTACCAAATTATTACTGCTGGAAGGGAATGTGAGTGGAGGACCTACGGTTCTGCCATTTTACTGTTCTCACTCCCCACCAAATCTACTGTGAAGAAAAAGGGGTTTCTAACGGTCTTATATAATGTATTTCCTACTTGTTCTTGGCTTTTCAAGGCCAAATTTTTGACATATGTGTATTGGGTTTTTTAGATTTCCTCCTGATGTTTTCTATTATGCTGCTTTCAACTTGTAATTAAGAAAAAAAGTTGATAAAAATTTAGTACTCCAAGACGTTAATTATCTAAGAAAACACTGAATTGCACAGCAGATTTTACCTATTTTTTGAGGCTTAGGGAAATTCTTAATTATAGTTCTTAAGAACTCTAGACTAAGGTTTAAGTACAACTTCTATAGACCTGCCTTCTAGTCCAGCAATGGGATTTTTAAAATGCAATTGTTTATTTCCTGAGAAATACCATGAGGAAAATGTTTCTTATTTATGAGGTCAGGGGAAAGAGCAGAAGGAATATAAGTGGTATAATTTATGAGGAAATTAAGTCTGAGAGTAAAAGAGGTACAAGAGGGGGAGGCTTCAGAGATTTGGAAGGAGTTTGATTGTTTTTTCCTTGGACTTTTCTACAAAGTCTTTGAGGGTTTCTATCTTGGAGTCAATATTTTGATTTTAGGACTTCATATAAGAAAGTCAATCACAGATTACTTGGTATTTGTCTCAGGTCTTTTTTTTTTTCAGAGCTCCTCGTAAATGTATTATTCTTGATATGTCAGAAGTTTCCCATATTGGCCATTGTAATTCTTATTAAATCTTCCTATTTATCAAGATAAGCATAATTATTTGAGTTAGAGTAAGACAAAATATAGGAAGCAGACGTTCTGCCAGAGGAAAGTCAGCTTTAATGTAGAGATGAACTTGAGATTAACAAAAAAGTGCACTAAAAACAGTAAACTCTCTGTATTTGTGAATAGTGTCTTGGCCTTCCCCAATCAAGCAAAGGTATGCCAACAATGCCTCAATAATTTGTTTAATTTGTTTCAGCTTTATTGAGGTATAATGATATACAAAAATTTTCATGCATTTAATGTATACATTTTGATAAATTTAGATACCTGTGTATACCCATGGTACCATCACAACACCCAAGATACTAAACATATTCATCACCTCCAAAAGTTTTCTTGTGTTTTTTATTTAGTGGTGTGTAGGTTTTGTTTGTCTTTGTTTGTTTGATAAGAGCATGAGGTCTTTCCTTTAACTTATTTTAATGTATATAACACTGTATTGTTAACCCTAGGTACTATGTTATGCAGCAAGTCTCTAGAATGTATTTTTATTGTAAAACTGAAACTTCGTACCCACTGGGCAACAATTTTCCATTTTCCCCAACCTTATCCCCCGGAAATCAGCATTCTACTCTGTGTATCTATGAATTTCACTCTTTTAGACACCCCATACAAGTGAAATAATGCAAGATTTGTCTATCTGTTACTGGGTTGTTTCACTTAGCATAGTGTTCTCTAGGTATGTCTATGTTGCAAATGGCAGGATGTCCTTCTTATTTTAAGAATGAATAATATTCCATTGTATGTATTTACCACACTTTCTTTATCTAACTGTTAATAAACATTTCATTTTTTTCCATATCTTGGCTATTGTGAATAATATTGCAGAACCTGGGAGTAAAAATATCTCTGTGAGACTGATTTCAATTTTTTTGGACATAAAACCGTAAGTGAAATTATTGGATTATATAGCATTTTTAATTTTAAATATTTTGAGAAACCTCCTTACTGTTTTGTATAAGGGCAAACAATTCTAAATTCCCACCAACTGTATAGAAGGAGTCCCATTCCTCCACATCTTTGATAAAATTTGTTATATTTTGACTTAATAATGGTCATCCTAATAGGGCTGAGTTAATATCTCATTGTGGTTTCAACATGAATTTACCTGATGATTAGTGATGTTGAACACCCTTTCATATATGTGGTGGCCATGTGTATATATTCTTTGGAGATAAGTCTATTCAAATCCTTTGTGCATTTTAAAATCTAGATATGTATGAGTTTTTTTGCTGTTGAGTTTTAGGAGATTATTATTATATTCTTGGATATTAACTCCTTATCAGACACATAGTTTGAGAATAGTTTATCCCATTCTGCATGTTGTCTTTTTACTGTGTTGATTGTATATAATTCATTGTGCAGAAGGTTTTTAGTTAAAATTAGTTTCATGTGTCTATTTCTGGTTTTGCTGCCTGTGCCTTTAGTGTCAAATCCAATAAATCATTGCCAAAAACAATATCAAGAAAATTTTATCCATTTTCTTCAAGGAGCTTTACAGTTTCATGACTTAGTGTTTAATACATTTTTAGTTGGTTTTTGTGTATAGCACAAAGTATGGAGTTCCATTTCATTTTTTTGCATGTGGATGTCGACCACAAATTTGGAAGTGGCTATCCTTTCTCCAGTGTGTGATCTTGACACCCTTGTCAAAGATCAGTTGGCTGCACATGCACGGGTTTATTTCTTGGTTCTCTATTCTATTCTCTTGGTCTATGTGCTTATCTTTATATTAGTATACTGTTTCTATTATTGTAGCTTTGTAATATATTTTGGAATCAGGGAATGTGATGTCTCCAGCCTTGTTCTTTCTCAAAATCACTTTGGCAATTCGGAGTCTTCTGTGGCTCCACATGAATTTTAGTATTGTTTTTTCTATTTCTGTAAACAATGCCATTGGGATTTTGACAGGGATAACATTGAATCTGTCGATTGCTGGTCATAATATGGACATTTAACAATATAATCCTTTTCTATAAACAGGGAATGTCTTTCCATTTATTTGTCTAGTTTAATTTCTTTCATCAGTGTTTTATAAGTTTTCAATGTTCAAGTTTTATCTTTATGGTTAAATTTATTCCTAAGTATTTTATCATTTTTAATGCTGTTGGTAATAGGATTGTTCTCTTAATTTCCTTTTCAGATAGTTCATTGTTACTGTGTAGAACTACAAGTGATTTTTATGTATTAAATTGTATTCTGCAAGTTTGCTTAATTTCTTGATTAATTCTTACAGATTTGCGAAGTCTTTGGGAGTTTTGTACATATAGGATTATACCATCTTCAAACAGAGGCAATTTTACTGCTCCTTTAAAATTTGGATGCATTTTATTTTGCTGCTGTTATTGCCTAATTTCTTTGGGTAGGATTTGTAGTACTACGTTGACTAGAATTGGTATAAGAGGAGGCATCCTTGTCTTGTTCTTGATCTTAGACAAAAATACTTTGAGTTTTTCACCATTCAGTATGATGTTAGCTGTGGAATTGTCATATATGGACTTCATTATAGTGAATTCATCAACAATTGTTGACCTCAGAATATAAGCCAAACAAAGCAGCTTTCTTTCACAATTTTCCCTCATGAAGGCTTTGTAGGAAACCTGAGGCAAAGTTTGACCAATTGCCTTTTCTACAAATGGACTGCTGGTCTAACAGACTACAAACTTTTGATATGTAAAACTTTATTCCGTATAGTGTTGATTTTTGTATATGGATACTAACCGAACCTTTAAAAATTATAATTTTATTTATGAATATCAATTCTCATTTTATTTTATATTCTTGCTATTGTTGGTATAAGAGAATAATATTGTTTGTGTGTGTGTCCATGCACAAATTGATCATTTTTTTTCTGTCAACCCTCCTTAAATCTCTTATAAGTTCTCTAATATTTATTGAATAAATAAGCCTGTGTTGGGTGTAATATATGTGAGTGTTTTACTATCTTCATATATCTCTCTAAATCCTAGACACTAGACTTTTTAGAAAACTGTTAAGTACAGAATCTGCTGACCTTCACCCAAGAAGTTAGTGTCTTTTATATTTGCTGCAGTAAACTACACATTTCCCTGTTAGAGAAATGAGATCATTTTGATTGCATTATTCTTATTTGCTCCTCTCAATCTGGCTTAGGTAATTTTTATGGGAAATCATCAAAAGGCAGCAAATTATTTTAATGATACTTGTGGATTTCTAATAACAGATATGTATTTAAAATTCCAAAATCTTAATTCTGCTAGGACACTGGTTTTTCTAGAATTGCTCCTTAACTAAATCCTTTCCCAAAGCAAAAAGACCTCAAAAGCCTTGCAAGTCTTCAAAGGTTCATCCCTGTTAAGGTAAAGAATTTCATGGCATTGCAATTCTTTATGTCTCAGTAGGGTATTTTCCAATAACATCTCATCAGGAGACATTTCATGACTACTTCATTGTCTCACCTGATCAAGAGGGATTCTCTTTACTTCTCTATAATAACAACATGAAGTCTAGAGTGTGAGTGTCTTTGACTCACCAGTAGTGTATCATATTAATGAAACAAGCAGTTCACTATTTTTCCTGGACCATTTTTTAACTCTTATCTCTTATGTGTGATCTATGTCTGCTTAGTACATTTGAGTGGAGCCACTTCAAAGATAGTTCATCTCTCCCTCAGGAAAAAAAAAGGGTAAAGTGTCTCAGAATTTTTTTCTGAGGGTAAAATCAGCAAAGTATAATACAATGCAATACACTGATGTCATCAGAATCCATACATAGCCATTTGCAGCATTTACTTTCAGCTACCAAGGAAACATAGAATCAGGCTATTCAATGGTAATTTCTGGAAAAAAATTAACTTAATAACCCTTGAATTATGGAGTAAAATTTGATTGTTTCATGAGTAAAAGGACTAGATTTACTTCCATTTAGATATATAGTGACTTATAATAACTAAAAACTTACAGAATATCACATTAAAAAATCTTAAAATTATGGTTTTTATTTCAAGATTAAATGTGGACTGCAGTTAATATGTAGCTGTGTATATAGTATCTAAGTATGCTATAAAGTAATTTTCAAAATAAGAAAATCATTAATTTATGAAGACATTACTACCCATAAAATACTTTTCATATACATGTACTAAACATCCAGAAATGTAAATATGAATTTCAGAGTCTGTTTTTTCTTTTTTCTTAGCAAAATATTATTTCATGGAACATTTTTTAATCACATTTTTCCTCCTTTCCTATTCTCTCTAAACTACCTATCACATAGCCTCTTCCTCTATCCTCTTTTGAAAATCATTTTGCTGGGATCTCAATTACCTCTTAATTGCCCAGTCTAGAGAAGACAGTGCATTTAATGTCTTCTAAGACCTCTCAGTTGCATTGCATATTTTTGACCTTACGCTCATTATTGCAATTCTTCTTTGCTTTCTGGGACACAATGTTTTGCTTATACGCATGCCACCACCCTGAAATTCTGTGCTTGGCTTTCTTCTCACTTATATTCTCTCTCTGAGTCATTTCATCTATTTCTATAACATCAAATACTCTTTACAGGCAGAATTCTACTAAGTCTATACAGTTGGCCCTTGAACAATATGGGTTTGAACTGCACAGGTCCACTTATATGCAAATTTTTGTCAATAAAATATACACTGAGTGTGCCTGCCTCTCTCTAATGCCTCCTCTCCATCTCCTCCACCTCTTCTGTCTCTACCACCAGAGACAGCATGATCAAACCCTCCTTTTCCCCCACCTCCTCAGCCTACTCAGCATGAAGATAAAGGATGAAGACATTTTTGATGATCTACTTCCATACAATGAATAGTAAATATATTTTCTCTTCCTTTTGATTTTCTTAATAACATTTTTTCTATAGCTTACTTTATTATAAGACCATAGTATATAAAGTATACAACATAAAAATATGTGCCAATTGACTCATGTTATCAGCAAGGCTGTGGTCAACAGTAGGATACTAATAGTTAGATTTTAAAGGAGTCAAAATTTGTACATAGATTTTTGGCTTTGTGGGTGTCAGCACCCCTCACTCCCATGTTGATCAAGGTCAACTGTATTTTCATTGCAGAACTATTATCTGAATTCTGGACTATTATTATCAACTCTGGTTCTGGGCATCATATGCATCACATGCTGAACTCATAAGCTCTACTCCATAAGCATTTATTTACCTACTCTGACCTGTTTTAGTTAGAAGAACCATTTTTTTCTGTTATATTCTTAAGTCTGAACCTTTCATGTTCCAGATTTAGATTTCACTATCAAATTCTATTTATATGGAGTATATCTTGTCTATTTTACTCCGTATTTCTCATTCAGTCTGCTTATTAGCCACCTAACTAGTGTTTTGTTCTTTATTTTTATGCAGTCCATTCTTCACAATTTTAGTAGAATAATCTTTCAAATATTAAATAAGTACTTCAACTTAAATTGATTTGGTATACAAAATAAAATAATTGGTTTTTGTAAAATTGCAAGATAGTTACTCAAAATCTAGCAAATATTTCTTATTGCATTTGTGATGTCTATATAATTGTATAATCAATTCTTATACACAATTGAGTCTCTTTCTGGGCAATCCTTTCCAATCCATTGTTATTGTTGCTGATTTGTGGACTGTGCTACTCTATATTATGTATTATGCCTTTATGATTTAGTCAGATATTTTAAAAATCCATATTCTTCACAATAGTCTTTTATTTATAAATTACTTTTTATATAGTCACCTATTGATCTTTTTTCAAATAATTTTGTGACTCCCCCAGAATTTCATTTGAATTGCATTGGAGCTATGGTATAATATTGGGAGAACTGATTATTTTTGTGTATCATTGCTTTTGAATAATATGATATACCAACCCATTTATTCTCTCAAAGTGTTATATCCCTAAATTAAAAAAAAGTTGTTTCTTTATAGATTTCAAACAGGGAATTAGAAAGAGGATTGAAAGATCCCTTTTCACCACTTTATTTTTCAAGGCAAAATTGTGGCAAGAATATTCCCTTCTAACAATTTTATATAATTTAGGATTGGAACCAGAAAGTTAGTCATTCATTCTTACCTCTCCTCTCTAAAGCACAACTAATTATCTGTGACTTTTTGAAGTCACTCTTCCCTGAACATCTAAAGAGAGTGATTTAAGGTCAAATTTGGGCAGAGATAGCTGAAAGTCCATTACAATTTGGTATTTAATAAAAAAATGTGACCTTAATTTGTAGTCACAACTGGTGGAGTGGGGATATTATAACTGCAATTTAATTTATGACAAGATGGAACTGTAAAACATATTTTCTTTATTGTCTGCTATGTTTATATAGTCCAAGAGATGATCCATGTCTCTGATGGAGTCAAGCTAACAAAACGAAATAAAAGACTAGTCTTTAAAGTAGAACGATAAATTATTATTTTAAAATAGCATGTATCAACTTCTAGTGGTCATAGTTGCCAAATAAAAGTAGTAATATTAGTAATAATGGCTCTTATTTATTAAAAAAATACTCTGTTCCATGCACAGAGGGAGTATAATAAGCCTTACGTTTCAGAGTTTAGGCTCTGTTAAACTTTTTAAGTTCAGCCTTGGCTCTTTCAATTAATCAGTCTATTTCTTGGGGCATATAACTTAACCTCCAAGTGCCTTAGTTTTATCATTTTGAAGCACTTTAAAATGCCTAAGATAGCTGTTGTGGTGATGAAATGATATATGTAATGAACTTAGCATAGTGCCTGACACATACTAAATGATCAATGCATGTTAGGTATTACTTAGATAACAAGGATAATATTCTGAAAGTATTAAATCTATTAATTTAATCTAATTTAATTTATTCTTATGTTCATTTAAGTTATATTTTCCTGCATTCTTGCTGTTGTTAAGACTAAAATATGAGACTTATCATCCAAAATAATTTTCTTTTTTACCACCCTTGACTCTCAAAACTCCCTTGAAATAATAAACCCAGGCTTTATTGAGGGAAAAAATATATTTTTGCATTTTCTTACAAACTAAAAGACAGTTCTAGTGTGCTCAGGTCACCAAACTTTTATAATACCATAAGTGAAAGGAAAAGAGACCTCAGGATATGACATTGGAGAAAGGAGAAGGTATACTCAGGATTGAGAGAATAAAGAAAAGGTTGGGCAAGAGGTCCTATTTGAGAGCTAGGGATGGTAGAAATCCCAAATGAGTTGAGGGTGAAGCCCAAAGCAGAAGGTCTTAGACCTGGTTGTCTGCCTGGAACTGTGGGTAGAGGCCACTAAATACGTGTCTCTGAGCTAGGAAAAAAAATAACAGTTTAGTGAGTTTAGAGAATCATAAACAGAGTACCTGGTTCTCTTTTGGGTGTTAGGTTTTGAGAACCCAGAAATTCTAGCATACTCTCAGAATTGAAGCAAGGAGTTGAAAGTTAGTGGAGCTGTCCTAGGACCATAAAGGTAAAAGGCTGGGGAGACTTTCCAGGAGAGCCCATGAGGTGGATTAGTCTTTATGGAAGTTACAACTGATAGTAAATGCACAGCTGATGATACCTTGGGTGGGACTTATTCATTAAAGCGGGGATTTCCCTAGGGACGAGACTGAAAGCTGAACATGCTGTTGACCTCAACTGGCATGGACATTTGCTACCAGAATGTCCACTGAGCAAGAATCACTGGAACTACCACTGTTGATTTAGAGGGTGGTACAAACACCTACATTTATGTCAGTTGCTCCTTTAGCCACCACCAGAGAAATAACTATGCCATATGGGGGTAAAAATATAAATAACTCAAAAAGACTAATTTTTAGTGAAAGCATTCCAGTTCATTCAAAAGAAACTGAATTAATATTAGTTGACTAAATTTGTACTAATCATATCTCATTCCACCATCCACAAAAATGGGGACTTCATGGGAATCTGAAAATAGTATTAGAAAGTAAAGAATTATGCTCTTTTCCCCCATTTAAGGCATGAAGTGTATGTGTTGACACCCAACACATTAGCATTATCTTATTAAGATATCTTATGAAACAACTACTTTTCCCTCCTCTATTTTGACAATTTAAAAAACCCAAAACCAAAAAACAAAGCTAATTGAAACACAAAATGTGTATATGGGCGAGCCAAGAACAAAACCAAGGAGTTTATTGCCACAATCTGTGTGCCTAGGTGCTATTGTGCCATACAGGGCTGCCATCAGATACCATATCTAGATTGTCTTTGTACCTTTCCACTATAGAGTTCTTTGGTTACTCTCTCACAGTGTCATCACCATAGTATGTTTCTTACTCTGAACCATCTCACCATATTCCTCCCCCTCAAAGTCTTTTCTTTGGAACTCTCATGTTATGGCTAACAACTATTGGTCATCCTCTACTTTTTCACTGAACATTCACTCTACCTTGAAGTTTTAAATAAAATCTGACTATTTCCTTAGTGTCCCCTTGATGCTGTTCTTCCTCCAACATCATAGTACCTGAGGGCTGGTGAGTGGTCAGGGTCAGATCCACCTTCATTATTAAAAATTTCAGGTCACTATTCCTTTATCTTCATGTTAAAATTTTGTTCCCTTAAAGTTTATGATTTTCAGTGATTCTCAACCTTCACCATTCATCAGAATCATTTTGTTAAAAGAGACAGTAGATGTGGGCTGAGATCTAAGAATTTGAATTTTCTAACAAGTTGCCATGTGATGCTGATGCTGCTTCACAGTTACATGTATATCATTTTAGATCTAAATAGTAATAATAACATCTATAGAGATTTTAGAGGTGCTGTTTAATCTTGAATTGAATAGAATTATCTCAGCAATTCTTTCCTTGTTATTAAAACCTGAAACAATCTTTTAATTTTTGCAGAAATTTCTACTTCTTAATTCTACTAGATATTAATTCGATGAATTTTAATGCTACCCATATATATAACTTTGTATTTTTTTCATATATTAGAAAGGAACATGAGTAGCAATTATAAAATGCTTTATGTGAGCAAATCAGGTAATTCATGATTAGAACAGTTATACACTGATGTAAAATTATCCTGTTTCAGAAGAATTTCTGCAGTGTATTCTCCTAGGTTTCATACTGAATTTCAGTCTTTACAAAACCTTCTAAAAGACCACAGTGTTCCTTTTTTTCCCTGGTGTTTTATATTATTTATGGTAATATTTTATGAAGAATAGTATTTTCTCTTTTCCATTAATATTTATATGTCCATTATCAGCCTTTTGCAACTCTCAATATATGTAATCTCAATAATTATACAATGAATGAAACCGGCAAACAACCTCCATGCTTTGGATTGCTTTGCAATTTTCTTTTCAATTTATCGTTTAGGTACACAAATAAATTAACGCTAACAGCTTGTGTCAAGGATAGCATATATTAATATGACAATTCTAATTAAAACTGTGAGTTGACTCTCAGTTATTTTAAATGTCAAATGACAGGCAAAACACTGTTTTCTAGATAAATACAACACATATCTAAAAGACAGTTTAAAGCACAAGTGTCAGCAATGGTAAAAACAATGTTTGTAACCAAAAGACAGAGAACAAGATTATCTATATGTTATTTAGGAAATACTGACAGAACAAGATTAAAACCAATGGGGGAATAAAGAATACTTCTTATCCTCCATTATTTGAGTCCTTTGAAAATGAGTGATCCCCATTCCTTTGTGTAAAACTACATTCTTTTAATTCACATATATTATGGGTCTAGATAATTTAATGTTAAATCCTATGGTTGTTGTGATTATACATATAACATTGAAATAAACATAACCAAGATGAAAACCCTGATTTTCTTATCCAGGCATGTTTTGTTGTGGAGAATGGAAACAAGTTTGAATTAACTTATTTAAAATAAGTTATATTTTAGTGGTATCAGTAAACTCAGGGAAACATAGGAGAGTATCATGGGAACTTGAAATTCTTTATAAAGCTACTTAGCCTTTCTGGGCACAAATTCTCATATTTTCTCTTTCTGCCTGTTGGCTTGATTCCCCTGCCTCTCTCTGTGGCCCAGCTCTCTGTGCTTACATATCACTGCATTCTTGGCTTATCAGGGCTAACCCATGGCAGCTTCAGTTTCTAGTCTGTCAAAGCTTTCACCTCAGCTCCACACATTTGAGTAACTCATTCTGTTTCTCAAATGGAAATTGCCAGAAGAGAAACTGAGCAGCTGATTTTGAATCAGATACCTAACTCCAGTTAAAGTTTGGTCACTATGTAAGTGCAATATTCTAAATCTTTTCTTTCTACCTCAAAAAAACAGAAAAAAGTCCAGATTCCTTAAAATGTGTAGAATCCATATAAATCACATTCCTCCACTGTTCTTAGTGATTAGATATTTGTACATTGTTATTATTATATATTTACCATTAGTATTCTCAAAAGTGGTTTCGAAAGTGCCATGCAGCCCGGCTGAGAATGCTTGTGGACTTTCACTTTCTTGATGCTTCCAGCTTTTCATCCATTCTCATTCTAAGTTAATGACTATTTCTTACATGTCATAGATAAATGCACAAGAGGGAATTTTTCCATCTTCAGAACACTATACATATACCTACCTGCATCAACATCTATTCTTTCCTTCTTCCCTCTTGCTATGAAGGAGTAATAAAAATTTCTCCTCCCAAAGCTCCAATACACTTTCATTTACCCTCTTCAAATTTCTCAGGGGTCTTATATCTCAGCCACCTCTGTGATGAATATTCCTTATCAGAATTCACACATATTTCCATTTCCATTTATTTACTTATTCTAACTTGTATTTGAAGTTCGAGAGTACATGTGCAGGTTTGTAACATAGGTAAACATGTGTCATGGGGGTTTATTGTGCAGATTATTTCATCAGTTATGTATTAAGACTAGTATCCACTAGTTATTTTTCCTGATTCTCTCCCTCCTCCCAACCTTCACCTTCCAATAGGCCCCAGTGTGTATTATTCTCCTCCGTGTCTATGTGTTCTCATCATTTAGCTCCTACTTATAAGGAAGAACATGCAGTATTTGTTTTTCTGTTCTTGGGTTAGTTGGCTAAGGATAAAGGCCTCCAGCTCCATCCATGTCCCATGGATGAAGAATGAGATCATGAGGACATGATCTCATTCTTTTTTATGGCTGCATAGTGTTCCATGGTGTATATGTACCACATTTTCTTTATCCAGTCTATCATTGATTGTCATTTAGGTTGATTTCATGTCCTTGCTATTGTGAATAGTGTTGCAATGAACATAATGTGTGCATGCATGTGTCTTTATAATAGAATAATTTGTATTCTTTTGGATATATAGCCAGTAACGGGATTGCTGAGTTGAATAGTATTTCTGTCTTTAGGTCTTTGAGGAACCACCATGCTCTCTTCCACAATGGTTAAACTAATTTACACTTCTACCAACAGTGGATAAGAGTTCATTTTTCTCCACAACCTCATCAGCATCTGTTATTTTTTTAGTTTTTAATAATAGCCATTCTGACTGGTGCGAGATGGTATCTCAGTGTGGTTTTGATTTGCGTTTCTTTAATGATCAGTGATATTGGGTTTTTTCCATATACTTGCTGGCCGCATGCATGTCTTCTTTGGAAAAGTGTCTCTTTATGTTCTTTGCCCACTTTTTACTGGAGTTGTTTGTTTTTCTTGTAAATTTGTTAAGTTCCTTATAGATGCTGGATTTTAGACCTTGGTCAGATGCATAGTTTGCAAAATTTTTCTCCCATTCTGTAGGTTGTCCGTTCACTCTGTTGATAGTTTCTTTTGCTGTGCAGAAGTGCTTTAGTATAATTAGATCCCATTTGTCAACGTTTGCTTTTGTTGCAATTGCTTTTGGCATCTTCATCATGAAATCTTTGCCTGTGCCTGTGTCCTGAATGGTATTGCCTAGGTGGTCTTCCAGGGTATTTATAGTTTTGGGTTTTACATTGAAGTCTCTCATCCATCTCGAGTTAGTTTTTGTATAAGATGTAAGGAAGTGGTTCAGTTTCAATCTTCTGCATATAGCAAATAATCTCCAAACCACACAATCCTTCCAAATGTTGTCTTTTTTACATATTCGCCCTTTACAGTTAAGAGTCCTTGAAATATTTTCCTACAGTTTTAGATGTTTCATTCTTTGTTTCTCATTCACTTTTCAGCCCACTGTAATCTGATTTGTTTACCTACCATTTCACAAAAAACAGTCCTTGCTAAATAACTGATAATATCCGTGTTGCTTAAAATAGTAAACACTATTCACTATTAACTTTACTTGACATTTGGCAAGCATTTGACATTATTGGCATTTCCATTATTTTTAAACATAATCTTATCTTGGTTTCTATGGTGATGCATTCTTCTCATTTTCCTTCTACTTTTTTGGCCTTTCCTGGTTAGCCTTTATTTATGTCTCATTTTCTTTTTCCACATATTATACTTCTTACAATATGGTCTTGGATCTTCATCTTTTATTTGTCTCCACTATTTAAAAGTGATCCTAACCATTTGCAGATCTTAAAATAATACTTAACTGCTAAAATCCCAAGGTATATTTGTACTCCAGAATTCTCTTCTGTGTCTCACACACACACACACACACACACACACACACACACCTCACGTACATACACAGACATAAATGTGTACGTGAAATCTCCCCTCCTATGTTTAACAGGAACTTTTCAAGCACAGCACTTCCGAAACAAAAAATATTTACCTCAAATCCTCTAGTTGCCACATAGTTCTCTAATTCTCACCTCACTAAATATCCTTTTTCATATAATTCTTCATACAGAAAACCTGGGAGTCACTACTGGCATTTTATTGTTCCTAACTTCTCACATTTCATCTAGATTTCCTCTTCTCTCTACCATCATTAGTAGAACTACTCTGTGCTACTATCACTTCTTGTTTGCATTTCTGTAATTGCCTCTTATTTCTTCTAAATGCATTTTTTCATAGTAGAGTAACCAGGGTAATCTTTAAATTTAGCTTTTAAACAAATATTTATGCAAGATATGCATGTATATAGTTGAAAGGGTCATTCCACAAGGTTTGTAAAAACAAAACAACACAAACAAAAAATCAACACAAAACATAAATAATGACTCATTTTTCAGTTTCAATTTATATTCTACAGATGCAACCACTTTCAAACTTATCAGCTGTCTTGTACTACTTAGCTCTATCTCTCTAGATAACATTCCTACAATAATGATGCTGGTACTACTACTTACTTCTTTTTTAGTTTTATCTTTGCTTTTTATTTGTTCATCCGAAAATATCTTTTAGTTTCAAACCATAGAACATAAAGTTTTAGCTCATATACCTAATCTCTACCGAAAAATATTGTCCAGCCACACCCTTGATTTTCTTTCCAAAGCATTTTTTCTAATATTACATCTAATATTAGCATCTTTTGCAAACTGAATCGACTGAAATTTTTTTAAGCCATTGTGTTGGCTTTTTGTTTTTCATGAAATTTTTCCCTCAATTTATCTCCTTCCTTTCATATTTTACTATAAGCATCCAAAAAAAAAAAACTAGGTCTACCTTCAACACTTTGCTTGAAAATCTCATAAATTAGGCCGGGCACGGTGGCTCATGCCTGTAATCCCAGCACTTTGGGAGGCTGAGGCGGACGGATCACGACATCAGGAGATCGAGACCATCCTTGCTAAGACGGTGAAACCCCGTCTCTACTAAAAATACAAAAATTTAGCCAGGCGTGGTGGCGGGCGCCTGTAGTCCCAGCTACTCTGGAGGCTGAGGCAGGAGAACGGCGTGAACCTGGGAGGCGGAGCTTGCAGTGAGATGAGATCGTGCCACTGCACTCCAGCCTGGGAGACAGTGAGACTCCGTCTCAAAAAAAAAAAAAAAAGAAAATCTCATAAATTAAATATTCAATTTTATAATTTACAAGTTTTGCTTTATACACAATTGTTAAACATGCTTCATTCAGTTTTCAACCACTACATAACAGGGATCACCTTTACTCCAGTTTCCAATAATGTGGTCCTCATTTCTTCCTGAGCCCCATCAGTAGCTGTTTTAACATCTGTACTTCTATCAATAATATCTTCAGGGCATTCTAGGCTTTTTCTCTATATTCTTCATATTACTTTCACTATTCTTCCATCTTCTACCCCTTGCTCAGTTCCATAGCCATTTCCACAGTTTGAGTTGTTTGTTACCACAGCACCCCATTTCCTAGTATCCAAAATCTGTTATATTCCCATGGCTACTGTAAAAACTACTTAAACTGGAAGGCTTGAAATGGGAAAAAATTATTTTCTCACAGTTCCTAAGGATAAAGGTGTAAAATCCAGGTGTCAGCATGACCATGCTCCCTCCAGAGGCTCTAGAAGAGAATCCACTGTTTGTCACTTCCAGTTTCTGGTGGCTGTCAGCATTCCTTGGCTTGTGGTTGCATCTCTCCAACCTCTCCTCTGTGGTTAAGTTGCCCTTTTTTCTGTCTACATTAAATCTCCCTGTGCTTCACTCTGATAAGGATGCTTATTGAATTCAATGCCCACCCAGATAATCAAGAACCACCTCATCTTGATGTTCTTAAGTGAATTACATTTGCAAAGACCCATTTTTCCAAATAAAGTAACATTCACAGATTCCAGGGATTAGGATGTGGACATACCTTTTTGGGAGCCACCATTCAATTCACTACAGTGTATTAATACTTTATGTCCTCTGTCCCTGAAATACTCCTCCCACATGTAGGATACTCTATTCCAACGTTCTCAACACTCTCAACTTATTTCAGCTCCACTCTAAGTCTAAAATCATATTTAAATACCATGAACTCAAATGTCCCCAATCTCATTATCTAAATTATCTAAATCAGTTATGAGTGAGACTCTGAGCATAATATACCCTGAGGAAAACTTCCCCTCCATCTGTGGACCTGTGAAATTTAAAATAAGTTATCTGCTTCCAAAATGTAATGGTGGGAGAGGCATAGGATAGACATTCCCATGCCAGAAAGGAAATCGGAAGGAATAGAGTGGATGAATTACACTAGGTTTCAAGATCTGAGAATCATGCTCTGTGGCTTAATGGAACCTCTGGGTTGTGGCTTTGCTTTCTGTGCCCATGACTCTGCCAGCCTTTGTCTTTGTACCCATGCTTTCAACCTCCAGCTGGAGGATTTACCTTCAGAGTCACTCTCCCTCTTTCTGGAGAGTTGGCATGTTTGGAGCTGAGTAACTTTCTCAGCATTTTCCTTACTGTAGAACTCTGGAAGTTTGACAGACTTCTTCCAATTTCTATCTCTGTCTTTTTCAGTCAAATCTGATAGACTCCAAGAATCCTGGCTTCCAGAACAGTGAGATAATACATTTCTGCTATTTTAAGCTATCCTGGTTGTGGTAATTTGTTACAGAAGCCACAGGAAATGAAAATAGTATTACACATTACCTGGAAAGGCATATACTTCAATGTCTGTCTCAGAAATACTGTATAGAAGGTATTTTTTGAGACATCACTTGTCTAAAAATATCTTTCCATATACATAGCTTATAGTTAGGGTATAGAGTCTAGTTTCAGAAATGATTTTCTCTCAGAAATTTCAAAGCATCATTTTTTCTAGTTGTGATAAGCAGAATTCTAAGATGTCCCCCTAAGATCTTTGGCCCCAGGTATACACAAATTATCTCCTAGTTATTTAATCAATACCAATCAAAGTACTGCTATGAAGGAATTTTGGAGATGTAATTAATGTCCCAAATCAGTTAACTTTAAGACTGGCAAGTTATCTGGTAGTGCTGATCTAATCAGATAAGCCCTTTAAATGCAGAGTTTTTCTTTGGATGGTCACCTAAGAGGAAGCCATATATGTGTAGAATGAGAAGATTTCAATGCACCACTGCTGCTTTGAAGATAGAGAAGGCCATATGGCAAAAAAATAAAAAATTGAAAAAGAAATGGAGGTCGCCTCTAGGAGTTAAGAGTGGCCTCTGCATGATAGCTAACAAGAAAATGGGAACCTCAGTCCTACAATCACACACAAAAAGCTGAATTTTACCAGCAACAATGAGCTTGGAAGCAGACTCTACACTTGGTCTCCATATGAGAATTCAGCTTAGTTGACCCCTTAATTTCAGCCTTAGCAGATAACCCAAATATGCCTTCATGGACTTCTGACCTACAGAGTTATGAGCTAATGAATAGGTGTTGCTTTAGGCTGCTAAATTTTTTATTGTGCTGTGGTAGAATACTTGTACACCAGTCGTCCATATTGGCATGTTTTTGAGAAATCTAAACACATTATCATCCAAAGTATGATATTTAATTTCATCCTCCTTAGTAAGATTTTTAGAATCTTCTTTTTGACACACTGTTTTGAAATTTCTAAATTATATACATTTAACAAGAATCTACTTCCATTCTTTTTTTGGGGCACATGATGAGCTCTTTTAATAAAGAAAAATTTTTGCCCCTGGAAAATTTGTTGAAATCATTATTATTTTTTCTTTCTGTTTTCCCTGTAATGTCTTTCTAGAACTCCCATTATTGATATGTTGAACATCCTTGATTAATATACCAATTTTAAATCATTTTATCTAATTTTTCATTTCCATGCATTAATGATCTTTTCCTTCTTGACTTAACAATTTCAGTTTCTAACACTTCTATTAAGTTTCTCATTTCTGCTATCATAATATTCATTGCCATAAATTCCCTTTTTCCTCTGATTTTCAAAGTGTATAGAATCTAGTTGTTTTGTGGACACTCTCCTTTTTACTCTCAGACAATATTAACAAGATTTATTTGGTGTGTGGTTTCCAAGTTTTCTCATGAGCTTCTATTTCCTCTTTTTTTTCTGTTAGTGGTGTTTTGTCTGTGTCTTTTATGTTGGGGCTTTCTTAAGATGTCTGGTGCTCTTTTACTTTCTGGTCATGCGTAAGACTACAGTACTCAGTACTGACAGGAGGGTGTTACATGTAGGAGAGTTGTCATCTGACTGTTGTACTGTTGGGTGATTCAGAAGGGCTTTCATTGGAAAGTCTCCAATATTGTAACTTATAAATCTTTTCTCTCACTATGGAAAGAAGACCATACCAGTAACTGGGATTAGAAGAGTGTAAGCCTTACCTTTATAATTGTGTAAACAAATCACCTGGTCAATGCTCAAGGAACAGGATGAGGGAAGAAAAGTATAGTCTTGATATTCAGTATATAGCATTTCATTTAGTCTGTTTTCAGTATGGTACCTCTGCCTGTCCACTCTCAGTTCAGAGACTCTATTTTATTTTCTCCAGAGAGTAAGCATCCTTTTTCTGCTGAGGGTAGGGCATAATGTGGGCCAGTGGCCTGGCTGTACAAAGTGGAAATGGGGAACTGCAGCAGGGATCTGGGGTGGCGTGGGGTGGGCAACTGCAACGAAAATTTTATCAACCAATATTCCTGGGATTGGACCCATTCTCATACTTCTCCCAAGGTATTAGAGTTTGGAGGGCATTCTGAAATGCAAATCAAATCGCTTCTCAGTTTTTACCTCTCCTGACTTGAAATAAGCTTTTTATTGTTCAACATCAGCTACTGCATATCTTTGTGATTTCCAGTTTTCAAATTTTGCTGCCATAATTTTTTTCTACTGATCTTTGTCCTTATAGGTTTGTGGATGTTTAAAGCATATTTTATTGCTGTTTTTAGCAGAGATTAAACATCTTCCATATGTTAGAATAATCTTTATAAATCATATCATGACAAATTTAAATATATCAATGACTTCCTTTTCCATTGGAATGGAGCACAAAATTCTACCTGTATAGCCCTTGCTTCATGCTTCTCTGCTATGTTTTGTACCATTCTGCCTTGATCAATCTGCTTTGAATATTAACCTCTTTTTAATTTTTCTATTATGCTAGATTATTTCTATACTAGGGTCTTCATGCATTCAATTTTCTGTATGTAGACTGTTTCTTTTATTCTCCTTAACCCTTTTTCTACATTTCTTACCAGGTTAACTTTTATTCATTTGGTTTAACTATAATTCTTTCTAGGAGGTCTTCTCCACCTCCCAGTCTTAAGAATGTCTTTCTGTTACATTACTTGGTTACATTATCCTATATATTTTTGTTCTTTCTGTTGCCTGACACAATTAGTAACTATATCTTAGTGTGATTATTTCTTGAATGTTTGACTCTGCTAGTGGTCTTTAACTTCTTGAAGAGAGGAAATATGTATTTTTTTTATTCACCAGTGTATCAGTTAAAGCCTGTTACAATTACAGCCATGTAATTAGCATTGATTAAGATTTGTTAAGTATATGTATAAATGAGTTGATGAATATGTAGGGATGCCTCTTTCAGGCTGTGGGTTTTCTCAAGAAAAGTGGACAATATGAGGGGATAATGCTGAGAAGTTCTTAACTGAAAAGGAGAGATGCAAAAGAGAACCCACAATAGTTTCTGAAAATGTAACATAATTGAGGGCTCTGCCATATCCCTTTCTTTGTATACTACAGTTTTCTCTGGAGAATTTCTGTTATTGTTTATTGGCTGTGTAATTCTGAGTATGATGAATACATTCTTCAATTCTTCATTTTTTACTTTCTAAAATTGCACAATAATGTCTTAGACACTAGCTTTTTCAAGGGTTTCTCATTATGTACATGTAAAGCCATCAATATTCTGTTTGCCTTGAATACTGAATGCAATTATTAAACATATTTTCTTTTCTTCCTTACTTTCTCTATGTCCTGCATTGATTAGATATGAGGAAGATATATTTTCTAGGCAGTGAAAGACTTAAAACAAAATAAGTTCCCTTGGGACACTGTGAAATTTGCTTTTATAGCTGCCTTAAATATTAGGATAGATTTATCTGTCAGATCTTGATTGACTAAGCCAGGCTGTGGATTAAATGAACTCTCAAGGTCTCTTTCAGGCTTGCTGATTCTAAAGCAGAAGAATAGTATAACTAGCGCTAGGGATGTCATTCATTATGTGGAACAATCCTACTTACCAGTAGCAGTAGCACTATAATTGTCCAAAAAACGTAACTAATCTTACAAGGCTTAAGGTATATTAGAAAAAAATATCAGAATAGCTAAGAGTCAAAGTTGTATATATAATATCCTTGAAGTCAGGAGATGCTATCTTATGCATTCTAGATTCATCAATATAGAGCACATGCTCTGACATGGAATATTGGCTAAAGTAGCTATTTTAGCCAATTAACAATTAATTACTTGGCTAAAAAGGAAACTGCAGCACTTTCTTGTTATGACAGACAAGAATTATCTAAACGCTCAGCATTTTGACATTGCTTTTGGTTAGTAATCTTTCTTAGGTCAATCTTACCCAGCCAACATATACAATTTGAGGACCTATTATATGCAGAGAACTGTTAACCTTAATTTTAATTTTGTATAATATTGGAGATAAATATTACTGCAGGCTCATTTTTTCTTTCTTTGAAGCTTGACTTACTAAGTTGTGACTTCTTATGAAATGTTAAAATTGGCAACACTGAGCAGAAACAGAAGCTACACTGAACTGAAAAGTATCAGCTATTACTTCCTAGAGGAGGTGATATTAGAGCTGCCCGTTAAAAGGTGCTCAAAAATTTGATAGCTTAAGATAAGGTCTGGTCCATATCATTAGTATCGGCACAAAGCATATTCAGGCAATACAAAATAAGCTAGCTGTATTGTAACTGAGTTCACATAGGGTAGTTGTTGGAGTTAAGATGGAAAGTAATTTCTAGGCAGCATCTCTATGTCCCTATTCTCTCTGGTTAATTTGGCAAACTCCTATTTCTTCTACCAATATCAGTTTACTTGTCTTCTGCGGGGGCAATCCTACTTTGACTCCCTGTAGTACATTAAGTTCCCTTACACCTAATGTCTACAGGCTTCCTTTGAAAATGTTCAAAACTTGCCTCGGGGCTAAAGCGAGGAGATTTGGGCCTGGTAGCTATAGCGCTATGATGTAGTGTATTAGTTTTGGATTATATTTCATGATCTACAGAAAAGACTGTCTTAATCATATCATCGAAGGTGGTCTTTGCCACACCTGATCAATTGATAAGCCTCTTTCAATACAGTCACAGGATTGGGTCAGTTTCTGAATCATTCTATTGAAAATAGGTAGCAGTAAGAATGACAGATTTTCTGTATCAGATTTGCTCAGTAATTGAGCTCAAATGCTCAGAATCAAAACAAGCATTGGTGTTTCAGTTTGTATGAGAAATTTCCCAGGCACTCAGTTAAATTGTCCTTAGAATACAGCTGTGGTTGAAAGATACCATGAAAGCCATTATCCTGACTGGGCATTTTTGGCACTTAGCAATTACAAAGGCTTATAAATTCTGGGCAGAAAGAAAACCAAACTTCTTTTACATTAACTCCTGTAGTATATAAGCAAATAATGTGAGTCAAGGACTCGCTGGAAGTTTTTTTTTTTTTTTTTTTTTTTTTTGAGACGGAGTCTTGCTCTGTCGCCCAGGCTGCAGTGCAGTGGCGTGATCTCAGCTCACTGTAAGCTCCGTCTCCTGGGTTCACGCCATTCTCCTGCCTCAGCCTCCCGAGTAGCAGGGACTACAGGCACCCGCCACCACGCCCGGCTAATTTTTTGTATTTTTGTTAGTAGAGATGGAGTTTCACCATGTTAGCCAGGGTGGTCTCCCTGATCTCGTGATCCGCCCGCCGCGGCCTCCCAAAGTGCTGGGATTACAGGTGTGAGCCACCGTGCCCGGCTGGAAGTCTATTTTATGGGGAGGAGCTTGGAGCTGTAGCTTTCCTGGAAGTCTGTTATGCAGAGCCAGGGCTCACTAGGTCAGCTTTGCCAACGGTTTGAATTGAGAGATAAGTTGTGACCACTTAGGAGAAACAATACTGACTTTCAGAAAAGATCATCCTCAGACTTATATGTTGGACTTTTTTTCTTCAAGTTTTTCAATTATGTTTATAAAGTTGAATTTATTTGTTTTACCTTTAAATACATGAATATATTGAGGAACTTTGTTCCTTGGGTAGAGGTTAAACTGAAATTGCCTATATGTTTCAGATTCTTTATTTATTTACAGAATCCTACCTTTAGAGAATTTTAATGTGTGTAAAATCTAAGTAGAAGATGGTATGGGGTGTATATATTGAAAGTAGGCCAATTCTGTACTCTGTTAAGCTGTGGGAAATGTCCTGATTTTTAAAGTTATGGTATTGGCCATATTTATCTTCATTTCAGTTTGTTGTGTTTCTCTTCTGGTAACAGCACAGGAACAAAATCCATAGTTTTCAATAAGGAGTGACTTTGACTTATTTTAAATGAATATTTACTTCAAATTATATCAATTTGTTTCTGTTGGCAAAGTTTCTAAAATAGAAAAGTATCTTCTACACTTTATCTATTTATGTAAAGGGCTAAGATATTCTCAACTACGGTGTCAAAAAACTCAATTTGAGGTTGTTGCCTGTTTTAGGGAAATGGAAAAGCAAACGCTGATACTGATACCCACTTTATAAGGAAAGGTATTTTGAAAGTTTGTTACTTTCTGTATAAATTTCTATCTCAGGGTAGAAAAAATAGAAATAGCTTACCAAGTAGCTTACTTATTTTAGAAAGTTTGTTTTTTATCTTTGAAAATTTTTTACCTGCAGACTTTTTTTTCTTAGATGTTAAATGAATGAAACAACTGTTAAAGTTAGTGGGAAAAAGATTTCCTGAAAATTGTGAAATAATTACTTGAATCAACGTTTCTTTCATGAAGTACAAAAAAAGATTAATGAAGATTAATTTTATAATAGAACTTTAGGATTTAATGCCACTAGTATCAGAAATTTTTCTACATTTGCTAAATGTGGAAGCCCTTGTTAGAGTCCTGGTTTATAGAAATGAGGGCAATGTATATTCCATTTCATGTTCTAGAAAACCATTTTGCCGTCTAACATGGCCTTCCAGTTGTGTAACTGCAGCCAAATATGTAGTTCTTAAAAATATTTTCATAAGGTAGAAAATTTTTCTATTGCAGTTGTTGAGATTGGGTTAAAGCAACAACAACAAACAACTATTTATTAGCAAAAGAAAAAAAATGAATAAAATAAGGTTCTTTGTATACATTCCAAAACACACAAACAAACAAGATATGCTCCTTTAACTCCCTTACATTTTCCCTAAAACTTTGCTAAACAATAGGGAGGAGTTATCTTTTCCTTTTCTAAAAGGGAAATAGATATGCCCTTAACTTAATCGTATTTATATACAGCCCTGCAAATGTATTTATTTAAAGGGCATCAAAGTCATATTATGGTTTCTAAAACATTGAACTTTGCTATCTAAGACTGAAAAAAATGATCTATTCTTGATCAGCTTTATATGACCATTTTATTTGATTGTTTACCAAGAAGATATTTTTAGTTTTATATCACCATTCCTTTTGCACTTCGTCCTTGGTTGAACTAGCTCACTGCTAAGAATTCTCAGGAAGACTAAACTCAATTTAGCATTAGTCTAAGAAAAATTTAATTAGAAATATGATACATTGGTTGCATAATAAATCATGTAATAAATTCCTGAGCTCATCATGAAGGATTGTGAGTTATGGGCTAATTTGAATAATCCAGGCCAACTGAGAATTGCCTCACTGTCGTTTGTATATGAAGAAAAGCAACCCTATAGTGACTGATCTGTTTTTACTGTCAGTTGAAGTGATTTCTAAATAACAAGTTAGAAAGTGTTGCTGAGAAGCTAGAATGAAGGATTTACAGAAACGTTTTACTCTTTGAGATTTCTTTACTTATTACCCCTGTAGGATTACTAATAATGTAGTTCAGGCCAGTCAGCATTAACATTCATATGTCTTTTGTGCAGACAGAAATGCAGGGTGCCATGGACCCTATACCTATGGATATGGTAATGGTGGGGACCGCAGAGAGGGGAAAATGGAATGTGGGTGGGATAGAAGTCTGCCAAATAAGATAATATGCAGTGTATTCATCAAGAGTCATAGGCTTAAATGCCTTTAGGACTGTGTTAGCATCCTAGTGACTGGAAGAAAACATGCCTCATTTCAGAAGTCCCACCTCCAGAATGCATTGCATTGTTGCATTGAGTGAATCCAATCTTAGTGTTGCTAAAGTGTGAGATCCACCAATAAATGAATTATATCCGAGATGAAGCTCAGCATTCATTTACAGGAAGCAACAAAATATAGAAATTTAAAAATGTAACATTTGCTAATCTCTTGCAACAAATAAAAAATCACTAGCCAAGCAAATAAATAGAAAAATATTGCTCATAATAAGGAGAAAAATCAGTCAATAGAAACAGATTTAGAAATGAAAGATGATGGGATAAGAAGGCAAAAATTTTAAAACAGCTTATGTAAATATGTGCAAAATAAACATAAAATATTATGAATAGACAGTTGACCAAGGGAATCTAATTAAAAATAACACTTTCACTATGGAAGCCAAATAATTTGTTGCCTAATGATGTCATCCAAAATAAAACTCATGAGTTTTGATGTGTATGTGTGTGTGTATGTAACTTGAAATATAGATACAAGCTGTCTAAAAAGCAAAAAGTATTATTTTGGACCTCCAGGCTCAGTAATGAAACATATGTGTGTACAAATTACCAGATAGAGATGATGTGTTTTGAAAGGGAAATAGGTTTTTTTTTTTCTTAACACTTCAGCAGTAGTTGTATGACAAACACATACATAAATCCACAGAGATTTACCCCGTTTTAGATATATTGAATTCAAATACGTGGGATATATTTGTTTGAGTCTTTAAACATAGCATCCTTGCAGACGTATCTAAGTGAAAAAGTTGACCCTGAAAAAGATAGAAGAAAAAATATTTCATTTTCATTAGTTTGCTCCTCTAGTAAGAACTATTTGAAAGTTAAAACTTGTTTATTTTTCTTCAGAGAGATAGTTGAAGAAATGAGAGGAGAAGGATTGTTGAGCTAAATCCTAGAAGCAGGCTCTTGACTTTTACAGAAACTAAACTCTTGGGTTCAAGGGATAGTTTCTCCAACTTACCCAAATGACTAATTTAGAACAACCTGTGCTGTGCAGATACTGGCAAGAAAGAAGATTTAACACTTCCTTTCAGTATTGAACAAAAATTGGGATAATTTATAAGTTATTCTTATTTTAGTGATCTTGATTCAAAAGATACACAAATTCACTTTAGATTAACCAAACCAAGTAGATTGCATTGTATTTTGTGAGCACAATTAAGGTCTGAATTTGGTATAGGCCATTGCAATATTATCAAGTAATTCCACTTTAAACATTTCCCAAAGGGAATGTCTGCTGTCTCACTCTATTTTTGCGTTTGTGTAATCTGCCTGGTTCTCACCCTTAACTTTCTAATTCCTTGGGCTTGTGGAAGAGCTTGATTTGTAAGTTAGTTTTGTTCTGGTTTTTGGTTTGCTGACAGTATTGTTTCTCTCCTTTTCTCCAATAAGATTTTACCCTGATTTTAGTTCTAATAGATTTTATAACGTAGAGCACCTCTTCTTTGAGTCATGAAAACACTGTTACTAAATGTTACATAGAAAACCTGTGGGTAAAGAAGGGAAACATTTAGCTGCCTCTGAAAAGCCTCTCTATCCCAAGTCTCTGAGGCAAGTCCATGGACCTTTAGATCTTTTGAACTTTAGTCTTCTTGTCAGCAAAATAGAAATAATACCTATTCTATCTAAATAGGATGTTTGTTAAGAGGATTATAATAAAATGAGTTTATTTATCCTATGGTAAAAATGTATCCTGAACTTTGATAATTTTAATTAGGTTGTCATTATTGTCCCCATAATATATTTTACAAATAGAAAATGAAGAATTGCAAATCTTTAGGCTTAGCTTTTCTAGATGAAGCAGTATTCTGCACTAAGGAAAAATGTGTTCTTGAGATGGCTAGAGAGACAGACAAGCTCAGTTTTCCACTGATCATAAGGAAATTACCTTTCCTCTTTCAAGTGTGTGCATTCATAGACAAATATCTAAATGTTTTCAGAAGAGCTTTAGGTTTAAATAATTATTGTGAAGATAGTACATAGAGTTCCTGTACACCCCACACCAACTATCCTCTATTGTTACAATCTCACATTAGTTTGGTACATTTAGTAAAGTAAACAAACCAATATTGATACATTATTAACTAAAATATATAATTTATTCCAATTTCTTTAGCTTTTACTCGACATCCTTTTTTTTGCTATTCTAAGATCCTATCTAGAACAATACATTATATTTTTCATCATGTTTCCTACACACCTCTTGACTGTGACAATTTTCTCAGATTTTCTTTGTTTTTGAGGATCTTGACTGTTTTGAAAAATATTGGTATAGTAATTTTCAGAATGTACTTCACTGAGGTTTTTCTGCTGGTCTTTTATGACCATATGGGTATAATGTGTTTTTGAGAGGAGGGCCACAGAGGTGAAATGCCATTTTCATCCCATTATATCAAGGATATATGCTATCAATATGATTTATTACTCTGGTTGCTAACCTTGATCATCTGACTTGATATAGTGTTTGTCAGATTTGCCCACTGTAAAGTTTTTCTTTTTGCTTCCTTTCTATTCTGTACTGTTTGGGAATAAAGTCCACACTTAAGGAGTGGGGAGTTATGCCCCACTTCCTTAAGGACAAAGTATCTATGTTAATAATTTGTGATTCTTATGCATGGGAGATTGGTGATTGGTTTATTCTCCCCTATTTATTTATTGATTCATTTATGTATCTCAAAATGGACTATTTATTATATACTTTAGGTTATAAGCCCCACTATTTCATTTGCTTTTGCTCATTTTTTTTTCATCTTTGGCCATTTGGAGTCCTTTCATTCGGCCTAAAATGCTCCAGGCTCATATTCTGTATTTCCTGCCCCAGTCCTAGTATCAGCCATTTTTCCCAGGAGCTCTGGCTCTTTTAATCAGAAAAGGTCTTAGAAACCAAGATCTTGTGCTAAGTATATGCATTGCTACTGATGTGTCATTGTTTCTAGATCTGTTCACACAGACAGTAATGGAGATATACACATATATACTAATATAAGTATATTCATATATATGTAAAATATGTACATATTTCTACATGTAGCCATCTATATTATACTGTAAGTTGCTGAACATGACTTCATACTGATGTCTTCTATGTTAACTTAACTCGTTATTGAGAGGTGAAGCCAGCTGGGCTTCTGGGTTGGGTGGGGACTTGGAGAATTTTGTGTCTAGCTAAAGAATTGTAAATGCACCAATCAGCATTCTGTGTCTAGCTAAAGGATTGTAAATGCACCAATCAGCACTCTGTAAAAACACACCAATCAGCACTCTGTAAAATGGACCAATCATCACTCTGTAAAATGGACCAATCAGCAGGATGTGGGCAGGGCCAAATACGGGAATAAAAGCTGGCCACCTGAGCCAGCAGCGGCAACCCACTCGGGTCCCCTTCCACACTGTAGAAGCTTTGTTCTTTCGCTCTTCACAATAAATCTTGATGCTGATCATTCTTTGGGTCCACACGACCTTTATGAGCTGTAACACTCACCGCGAGGGTCTGCGCCTTCATTCCTGAAGTCAGCAAGACCATGAACCCACCAGGAGGAACAAACAACTCTGGACCCACCACCTTTAAGAGCTGTAACACTCACTGTGAAGGTCTGTGGCTTCACTCCTGAAGTCAGTGAGATCACGAACCCAGCAGAAGGAAGAAACTCCAGACATATCTGAACATATGAAGGAACAAACTCTGGACACACCATCTTTAAGAGCTGTAACACTCACCGCGGAGGTCTGCGGCTTCATTCTTGAAGTCAGTGAGACCAAGAACCCACCGGAAGGAATAAATTCCAGGCACATTTTGGTGACCACAAAGGGACTTTCGCCTATTGCCAAGCAGTGAGTATCATCAGACCCCTTTTGCTTGCTATTCTGTCCTATTTTTCCTTAGAATTTGGGGGCTAAGTACTGGGCACCTGTCGGTGAGTTAAAAGTGACTAGCATGGCTGCCAGACTAAAGACATGGGTGTCAGGATTTCTGGGAAAGGGCTCTCTAACAATCCCTGACTCTTTGGAGTTGGGAGCGTTGGTTTGCCTAGAACCAGCTTCTGCTTTTCCTGTACTTCTGGGCTGAGCCAAGAGTCGACAAGAGAGGAAAGCCGTTCAGATCCGGGGTCCTGACAACAAGTTGGTTAGCCCTGCGGCCATGAGTGGAACTCTCAAAGTCTTGTCGCCCAAGTGAGACTCACCCATCTATCCTATCTATCCTGACCCTTGCCTCCTGGGTCCTAATGCCTGTCAGACAAACTTCCTCTTGCCTCTCTTCTCCAAGGCTAGTCCCGCTTCTAAAAACCACTGTCTCTGGTGCTTTTCTTGTTTCTCCTATAAGAATGATTTCTGGTACAAACTCCAGGACTCTATTCCCTTCTTTAGGCACCTGGGCTTCCCAGTCAGAAAGACATAATTTTTGCCCAAAGTCCCGTCATAGGGGGGACTATCTGGAATTTTAGGATCCCTCCTCAAACAAGCTGGCCTAACAAAAGCTATTCCTGAAGCTAGGATATGGGGAGCTTCAGAAATGATATCCTTCCTATTCAAGTGAGGACAAAAGGCATCACTCTTCTAACCCTGTAGATCCCTTCCCTCCCTCAGGGTATGGCCTTGCACTTCATTTTTGGGGCATAACATCTTTATAGGACAGGGGTAAAGTCCCAATACTAACAGGAGAATGCTTAGGATTCTTAACAGGTTTTTGAGAATGCATTCGTAAGGGCCACTAAATCCAATTTTTCTCAGTCCTCTTTGTGGTCTAGGAGGACAGGCAAGGGTGCAGGTTTTCAAGAATGTGTTGGTAAGGGCCACTAAATCCAACATTCCTCGGTCCTCCTTGTGCTTTGGGAGGAAAACTAGTGTTTCTGCTGCTGTGTCAGTGAGCGCAACTATTCCAATCAGGAGGGTGCAGGGACTGTTGCAGGTTTTTGGGCAAGAGATGTTTCTGCTGCTGTGTCAGTGAGCACAACTATTCCAGTCAGCAGGTTCCAGGGACTGTTGTGGGTTCTTGGGCAGGGGGAGAAACAAACAAACCAAAACCATGGGCGGTTTTGTCTTTCAGATGGGAAACACTCAGGTACCAACAGGCTCACCCTTGAAATGCATGGTAAGCCATTGGGACCAATTTGACCCACAAACCCTGAAAAAGAGGTGGCTCTTTTTTTTTTTTTCTCACTATGGCCCAGCCCCAGTATTCTCTCTCTGATGGGAAGAAATGGCCACCTGAAGGAAGTATAAATTACAGTACTATCCTGCAGCTTGACCTTTTCTGTAAGAGGGAAGGCAAATGGAGTGAAATACCTTATGTCCAAGCTTTATTTTCATTGTAAGGAAAATCCACAACTATGCAAAGCTTGCAATTTACATCCCACAAGATGACCTCTCAGCTTACCCCCATATCCTAGCCTCCCTATAGCTCCCCTTCCTATTACTGATAAGCCTCCTCTAATCTCCCCCACCCAGAAGGAAACAAGCAAAGAAATCTCCAAAGGACCACAAAAATCCCCAGGCTATTGCTTATGTCCCCTTCAAGCTGTAGAGGGAGGGGAATTTGGCTAACTCAGGTGTATGTCCCCTTCTCCTTCTCTGATTTAAAGCAGATCAAGGAAGACCTGGGGAAGTCTTCAGATGTTCCTGATAGGTACATAGATGTCCTATGGATCTAGGGCAAACCTTTGACCTCACTTGGAGAGATGTCATGCTATTAGATCAAACCCTGGCCTTTAATGAAAAGAATGCAGCTTTAGCTGCAGCCTGAGAATTTGGAGATACTTGGTATCTTAGTCAAGTAAATGATAGAATGACAGCCAAAGAAAGGGACAAATTCCCTACCAGTCAGCAGGCCATCCCCAGTATGGATCCCCACTGGTGTCTAGACTCAGATCATGGGGACTGGAGTCGTAAACATCTGCTGACCTGTGTTCTAGAAGGACTACGGAGAATTGGGAAAAAGTCCATGAGTTGTTCAATGATGTCTTTTATAACTCAGGGAAAGGAAGAAAATCCTTCTGCCTTCCTAGAGCGGCTATGGGAGGCCTCAAGGAAATATACTCCCCTGTCACCCAACTCTCTTGAGAGTCAATTGATCCTAAAAGATAAGTTTATTACCCAATCAGCTGCAGATATCAGGAGAAAGCTCCAAAATGAGCCCTGTGCCCTGAACAAAATCTGGAGCCATTGTTAAACCTGGCAACCTCAGTGTTCTATAATAGGTACCAAGAGGAACAGGCCAAAAAGGAAAAGCAAGATCAGAGAAAGGCCACAGCCTTAGTCATGACCCTCAGACAGACAAACCTTGGTGGTTCAGAGAGGACAGAAAATAGAGCAGGCCAATCACCTGGTAGGGCTTGTTACCAGTGTGGTTTGGAAGGACACCTTAAAAAAGATTGTCCAGTGAGAAACAAGCTGCCCCCTTGCCCATGTCCACAATGCTGAGGCAATCACTGGAAGGTGCACTGCCTCAGAGGACAAAGGTTCTTTGGGCCAGAAGCCCCCGACCAGATGATCCAACAACAGGACTGAGGGTGCCTGGGGCAAGCATCAGCTCCTGTCATCACCCTCACGGAGTCCCGGGTAGGTTTAACCATTGAAGGCCAGGAAATTGACTTCCTCCTGGACAGTGGTATGGCTTTCTCAATGTTAATCTCCTGTCCCGACAGCTGTCCTCAAGGTCTATTACCATCCAAGGAATTCTGGGACGGGCTGTAACCAGGTATTTCTCCCACCTCCTCAGTTGTAATTGGGAGACTTTGCTACAGATAGTAAGTATGCTTATCTAATCCCACATGCCCATGCTGCAATATGGAAAGAAAGGGAGTTCCTAACCTCTGGGGGAACCTCCATTAAATATCACAAGGAAACCATGGAGTTATTGCATGCAGTGCAAAAACCCAAGGAGATGGCAGTCTTACACTGCTGAAGCCATCAAAAGGGGAATGAGAGGGGAGAACAGCAGCATAAGCAGCTGGCAGAGGCAGCAGAAAGGAAAGCGAGAAAGAGACAGAAAGTCAGAGAAAGAGAGAGAGAGGAAGAAACAGAGAGACAAAGAGAAGAAGACAGAAAGAGGAAGAGACAGAGACAAAGAGTCAGAGAGAGACAGAGGAAGAGACAGAGAGACAAAAAGTCAAAAAAGGAAAGAGAGGAAGAAACAAAGAGGGAGCCAGAGATAGAGAGAAAGAGAGAGAGATGAAGTCAAAAAGAAAGAAAGATGGAAGTAGTAAAGATAAAACAGTGTACCCTATTCCTTTAAAAGTCAGGGTAAATTTAAAACTTATAATTGATAATTGAAGGTCTTCTCCATAACCCTATAACACTCCAATACCACCTTGTTGTCAGTGTGAACAAGGGCATAGCCTGAAAGAACTGAGGCCACAGAAAACCCATAGCCTTCCTGTCAAAAATCCTTAACCCAGCAGGTTTCCTAACAGGGTATCTAAATCTTAATTAATTACCATACAAGTGTCCTACCAGATGTAGGAAGAACTCCCTTCAGGACAGGACAATAGATGGTTCCTCCCAGGTGATTAAGGAAAAAAGACACAGTATTCAGTAAGTGATAAGGAAACTCTTGTAGAAGCAGAGTTAGAAAAATTGCCTAATAATTGGTCTGCTCAAATGTGTGAGTTGTTTGCACTCAGCCAAATCTTAAAGTACTTACAGAATCAGGAAGCAGCCATCTATACCAATTCTAAGTTAATATGGACTAAACGAGGTTTTATTAGTAGCAAAGAAAAATTAAAATCCCAAACTTACAAGGTTTTCAACTAAAGTTTGCCAAAAGTTAACAGTGTAACATGTATTATCCTACTATCACACACTCTCAAAGGATTTCTCAGACAGTTTGCAAGAAATAACGTAATCTATCCTTACTCTACAGTCCCAAATAGACTCTTTGGTAGCAGTGACTCTCCAAAACTGCCGAGGTCTAGACCTCCTCAATGCTGAGAAAGGAGAACTCTGCACCTTCTTAGGGGAAGAGTGCTGTTTTTACACTAACCAGTCAGGGATAGTATGAGATACTGCCTGACGTTTACAGGAAAAGGCTTCTGAAATCAGACAACGCCTTTCAAGCTCTTATACCAACCTCTGGAGTTGGGCAACATGGCTTCTCCCCTTGCTAGGTCCTGTGGCAGCCATCTTGCTATTACTTGCCTTCGGGCCCTGTATTTTTAACCTCCTTGTCAAATTTGTTTCCTCTAGGATCAAGGCCATCAAGCTACAGATGGTCTTACAAATGGAACCCCAAATGAGCTCAACTAACAACTTCTACTGAGGACACCTGGACTGACCCACTGGCCCTTTCACTGGCCTAAAGAGTTCCCTTCTGGAGGACACTACAACTGCAGGGCCCCGTCTTCACCCCTATCCAGCAGGAAGTAGCTAGATCAGTCATTGCCCAATTCCCAACAGCAGTTGGGGTGTCCTGTTTAGAGGGGGGATTGAGAGGTGAAGCCAGCTGAGCTTCTGGGTTGGGTGGGGACTTGGAGAACTTTTGTGTCTAGCTAAAGGATTGTAAATGCACCAATCATCACTCTGTAAAAATGCACCAATCAGCACTCTGTAAAATGGACCAATCAGTAGGACGTGGGCAGGGCCAAATAAGACAATAAAAGCTGTCCACCCACCCGAGCCAGCAGCAGCAACCTGCTCAGGTCCCCTTCCATGCTGTGGAAGCTTTGTTCTTTTGCTCTTCACAATAAATCTTGATGCTGATCACTCTTTGGGTCTGCACTACCTTTATGAGCTGTAACACTCACCACGAGGGTCTGTGGCTTCATTCCTGAAGTCAGTGAGACCACGAATCCACCAGGAGGAACAAACAACTCCAGACACACCACCTTTAAGAGCTGTAACACTCACTGTGAAGGTCTGCGGCTTCACTCCTGAAGTCAGCGAGACCACGAACCCACCGGAAGGAAGAAACTCCAGACACATCTGAACATCTGAAGGAACAAACCCTGGACACACCATCTTTAAGAGCTGTAACACTCACTGCAAGGGTCTGTAGCTTCATTCTTGAAGTCAGTGAGACCAAGAACCCACCAGAAGGAATAAATTCTGGACACATTATCACATGGATTATTTTAGCCTTCTTCACCATTGTATTAGTTACCTATTGCTGCTGTAACAAATGACCACAAACTTTGTGGCTTAAAAAACACAAATTCACTATGTAATAGTTCTGTGGGTCGGAAATAGGGCAGTCTCATCAGATTATAATCAAGATGTCAGTAGGGCTGCTGTGTTCTTTCTGAAGGACCTATAGGAAAATATATTTTCTTGCCTTTTCCAGCTTCTATAGGCTACATTTGAATGTTTCTAACAGCTTTATTATTATTATTATTTTGAGATGGAGTTTCGCTCTTGTTGTCCAAGGTGAAGTGCAATGGTGTGATCTCGGCTCACTGCAACCTGCGCCTCCTGGGTTCAAGCGATTCTCCTGCCTCAGCCTCCCAAGTAGCTGGGATTACAGGCACGTGCCACCACACCTGGCTAATTTTTTGTATTTTTAGTAGAAATGGGGTTTCACCATGTTAGCCTGGCTTGTCTCAAACTCCTGACCTCAGGTGATCTGCCTGCCTCAGGCTCCCAAAGTGCTGGGATTACAGGCGTGAGCCACCACGCCCAGCCTAACAGCTTTATTAACATCACCTCAAACTATAAGCTCATATAAACATTTGAATGTATGACATTATTTTTTAAATTGATTGGGTAAATACCTAGGAGCACAATTGCTGGATTATAAATAAAGATTATATTTAGTTGTTTAAGAAACTAACAGACTGTTTCCCTAAGTGGGTGTATCATTTTTCATTCCCACCAACTACAAATATTCATTCCTGTTACTCCATATACTCACTAGCAGTTGATATTGTCAGTTTTTAAAATCTCTGTCATTCTGATGCATGTGAAGTTATATATCATTATTGTTTTAATTTATAGTTTGCTAATGGCAAATACTTTTGAACATATTTTATATGCTTATTTGTTATCTGTATATTTTCTTTGGAGAGGTTTAGTTTCTGGTATTATGCCCATTTAAAAATTGTGTTTCTGTTTTCTTTTTGGTGAATTCTAAGAGTTCTTGGGCTTGGTGTAATGGCACATGCCTGTAATCCCATATACCTGGGTGGCAGGAGCAGAAGGATCACTTGAGCCCAGGAGTTTGAGGCCAGCCTGGGCAATGTAGCAGGACCTCATCTTAAAAACAAAAACAATAAAATGAATAAATAAACAAAAACGAGTTCTTGGTGTATTTTGGTTACAACTCCATATCAGTTATGTGTTTAACAAATACATTTTTCCAGTCTGTGGGTTGTCTTTTCATTCACTAATACTTTTTGACAACGCAGAATTTTTAATTTTAATAAAGTCTATTTTGTTTATTTCCATGGAGTAATGTCTTATTTTAAAACTCATCACCAAACCCAAGGTCAGTAGATTTTCCTTTATGTCTTCCTCAATAAGTTTTATAGTTTTGCGCTTTACATTTAGGTCTATTTTTCATGTTGAGTTAACTGTTAGGTAAAATGGCTGGATCAAGGTTCTTTTTTTCTTTCATATGGGCATCCAGTTGTTCTAGCACCATTTGCTGGAAAGACACATATTGGATTTGCTTTAATCTGATATCAAATATCAGTTGATTGTGTACCTATGAGTCTATATCTGGTGTCTTCGTCCATTTGGGGTGCTATAGCAAAGTACCACAGACTGGGTAGTTTATAAACAATAGGAATGTATTATTTACAACTCAGCAGGCTGAGAATTTAAAGATCAAGGTGCCAGCAGATTTGGTGTCCAGTGAGCGCCCACTTTCTAACTCATATATGGTGCCTTCTTGTTGTCACTTTACATGGTGGAAGGAGCAAACAAGTTCCCTCAGGCCTCTTTTATGGGGACACTAATCCAGTGATCTGATTACCTCCCAAAACTCTACCTCTTAATAGCATCACAGTGTGGGGTAGGATTTCAAAATACAAATTTTGCAGTGACACAACCATTTGAAAACACAGAATCTTGGTTCTTTATTCTGTTTCATTGATGGATGTGACTATTTTTTCACCAGGAGCACACCATCTTAAATAATGTAGCATTACAGTCAGACTTGAAATCAGGTAAAGGGAGTTCTCCAACTTCCTTTTTCTTCTTCCATGTTATATTAGCTCTTCTAGGAACTTTTCCTTTCCATATAAAGATTATTATTAATTTGTCAATATCTACAAAATAGATTGCTCAGGTTTTGTCTGGGATTACATTTAATCTATAGATCAAGTTGGAAAAATTTGGCATTATAACGATATTGAGTCTTCTAAACCCCAAACACAGAATATTTTTCCATTTCTTAAAATCATTCATTTTTATCACTGTTTTGCACTTTTGTTTATGAGTCCTGTGCATCTTTTGTTGGATTTATGCATATTTCAACTTTTGTGTGCTATTTTAACTATTACTTTTTAAAATAAATACATTTTATATTCCAATTGTTGATTGCTGATATATTGGAAAGCAATTGACTTTTGTATATTAACCATGTATGGCACAATCTTGTTATTCCCATTTACTAGTTACAGGACTTTTTTGACAATTATTTGATATTTTCTACATAGAAAATCATGCCATCTGTTAATAATGACAGTTTTATTTCTTCCTGTCTAATCTGTGTAATTTTATTTATTTTTATTGTCTTATTGTACTAGCTAAAACTTCCCATTTATTCCCTTTCTACTCAAGGACATTGAGTAGGACTGGTGAAAGGAGGCATATATTTGTCTTGTTCGCAGACTTAGATAACCAACATCCAGTTTCTCACCATTAAGTAGGGTATTCACAATAGGTAGTTACCGAATTACTGTATCAAATTAAGGAAATTAATTTTCTAGTGTTGAGATGGCTTCAGTGGTCACAGCCTTGTGGAAAATAAGTCAGTTGCCATACAATCCCTGGAATGGCCTCTGAAGAAGGACAGGCATAAAGTCAACAGTGGAGGCTAAAATAAATACCTAATCCCTTAATGCACAGATATAGACTTCCACAGGCACCAAGAATATTCAGGGAAATATGACCTTACAAAATAAAAAAAATAAGGTGTCAGAATGACTGTAAAGTGATGGAGATTTATGATCTCTCAGGCAAATAATTAAAGGTATCTGTTTTATGGAAGCTCGATGACTGTCAATGAAAGACAGAGAATCAATCCAGAAATCAAATAAAAAATTTAAAGCTATCTAGGGACTAAAAGGTTAAGTCACCAATCAGATTCAACTCAAATAAAAACACCCCAGGACGTATTATAATCAAACTCTGAAAGGCCAAAGACAAAGAGAGGGTCATGACAACAGAAAAAGCAAATAATATATAAATGAGATCAAATATTTCTTGTAGCATACATCTTAGCAGAAATTATGCAGGCCAGGAGGGAGAGGAACAATATATTCAGAATGCTGAATTTAAAAAAATGAAGCCAAACAGTAGTAATTTAACCAACAAAGTAAATCATCAGAAATGAAGGAAAGGTAAAGATTTTCCTAGACAAAAAACAAAGTTGAGGGAATTTATTCCTATGAGACCAGTTTTACAAGGAATGCTAAAGGGAGTTCTTTAAAACAAAAATAAAAAATGTTAAAGTGATTGTGTGATTGCTATACTAATATTGTAATCATAGTGTTTAAACCACTTCTATGTTTAGTAAGAAGTCTAAAAAATACCATTAAAATAATAACTACAACAAATACTTAGGAGATAGGTAATGTAAAAATGTAAATCATAGCATCAAAAATTCAAAATGTGGGAGGAGGAGGGAAATAATAGGTGCAGTTTTTTTTTGGTTTGGTTTGGTTATTTCTTTTATTTCTTGTCATAAAAAAGTTGGTATCAGTTTTAAATATTTGCTATAACTACAGTATGTTTTTCTCTAAGCCTCATGGTAACCACAAAGCAAAAATCAATCATAGATGTACTGGAAAAGCAACAAATTTATACCAGAGAAAATAACCACAAAAAAAGACAGTAAGAAAAGAAGAGAGGAGTTAAGAAAAACAACTAGTAAAAAAAGTAATAAAATGGTAGTAGTAAGGCCTTACCTATCAGTAATAATATAAATGTAAATGGACTAAATTATCCAACAAAAAGACATAGAATGCATGAATGGATAAGAAAACAAGATATAAAAATATGCTGCATAGACGAAACTCACTTCATTTTTAAAAATATACATAGTCAAAGTGAAGGAATGAAAGAAGATATTTTATGCAAATAGAAACTAAAAGAGATCAAGAGTAGCTATAATTGCATCAGATAAGATAGATTTTTGGTCAAAAAATATAAAAAGAGACAAGGTAATTATATGATAAATGAGTCAATTCAGCAATGGGGTATAACAACAGTAAATTATATATATAAAGCAAATAATAATAAGTCTAGGATTTAGAGCCAAGATGACTAGACACAGCCAAGAAGAACACCTTCAAGCAAGAGAGACAAGAACATTGGTAAGACCAGCACTCTGTAAACATCTTCAGAGGGAAGGTACTGACAGTGGATGGAGGGGGGATGTAGATCCTCGAATGAAGGGGAAGGAAGATAGGAACTCTGTACAGGGTTGCTGATCACTGGAACTCATTCCTTGCCCCTCGAGGTTCCTGGAGAAAGGAGTGGCATGCTTGTAACACAGAGCTCTGGAATCCTAGCTGCAGGAAGCCTGCAACTCCTGTGGTCACTTGAGCTGGCAAGGAGAGCTGCTTGGAGAGGTGATAGGGGCAGGACTCAAGTCTGTGCATAGCCCAGAGGGTTTGGCGTGGAGCACAGCCAGGGACTCCTATCCCCCAAGGCTCACTGTGCTTCCAAATGTGGCTCTGGCCTTTGATGATGTTTCAATCTAGAAAGAACTGGAAGATATTTCCTGTGGGATGAGGCCACTCTGATCTGAAAACACCCCTGTCTTCTGGCCTCTTCTGAGCCACAGCCTGGCCACACCTGCTTGCAATGCAGCCCCAGATGCCCAACCAGTGTGCTTCCTGAGTGTCATCACATAGCTCCTTCACTGACATACTGCACCTGACCATCAGAGAGCTCCAGCAGACAGCCCTGGCTGACAGGCACCCACCCACCTGCAGCCTCCCTCTGACACTTTGCCAGTGCGAACTTGCAGACAGCCCACCTCCACTACTTTGCTGGCCCACACTCACAGGTGGACATTTGTTAACAGCGTCTGTCATGCTACTGCTAAGGTGCGAGCACACACATGGACACCATAGTACTCTCCTCACCAGCATGCCAACCCCAAAAACTTGTGAGCACCCTGCCATGCCACTGCTATTGCTGATGTGCATAAGCAAGCACAGATCCTGCTGCCACTGCCCTTATGAAGTGTATTGGCCAGCACCCCCCAATGAAGTGTTGTTGCTAATGGAACAGGAATATGTTGGTCCCTCCAATGTAGCAGGTCCCTAACCTTGAGGGGCCAGAGAACAAAGCTGGGGGCCTGGTACCAGCCCCCTAGTGTTAGAGCACACAGCCCAGTAGTGCTGAGCTGAGGTTTGGTCCCCTAAATTCTTCCAGAAATTAAGCCAGTTTAGTGAACTCACCTTATACCACAATCAAACCTTCAAGGGCATCAAAGAGGAAAAAAGCAAAAATATTCAGAGGACAGCAATGTCGAAGACTAAAGGAACATCAGCCCACACTGTTAAGAGAACCAGTACTAGACCTCCAGCAACTCAAAGCCAGAGTGTCTTCTTACCTCCAATTGACCACACTAGTTCCCCAGCAAATAGTTCTTAACCAGACTTAAATGGCTACAATTACAGAAATAGAATTCAGAATCTGGATTGGAATGAAAATCATCAAGATTCTGGAGAAAGTTGAAACCCAATCCAAGGAGTCTAAGGAATCTAATAAAATGAAACAAGAACATAAAGATTAAATAGCCATTTTAAGAAAGAACCAAATTGATCCAATCAAGCCAAAAACTCACTACAAGAATTTTATAATACTGTTATAAGAATTAACAGAAGAATGGACCCAGCTGAGGAAAGAAACAGAGCTTGAAGACTGGTTCTTTGGATCAATGAAGTCACACAGAAATAAAGAAGAAAAGAATATAGAAGAATAAACAAATCCCCCAAGGAATAAGAGATTCTGTAAAGGGACCCAATCTATGACTCATTCGCATGCTTGAAAGAGGGGAAGAGCAAGCAACTAGGAAAAAATATTTAAGGATATTGTCCATGAAAATTTTCCCAACTTCACTAGAGGGGCCAACATTCAAATATAGGAACTGCAGAGAACCCCTGAAAGTTACCATACAGGACTACCACCCTTAAGACACATAGTCATCAGATATACCAATGTCAACAAGAAAGAAAAAATATTGAAGGCAGCTAGGGATACAGGGCAGGTCACTTACAAAGGGAAACCCATCAGGCTAACAGCAGACATTTCAGCAGAAACCTTACAAGCCAGAAGAGATTAGGATTCTATAATTCAGCATTCTTAAAGAAAAATTCCAACCAAGTATTTAATATACAACCAAACTAAGCTTCGTAAACAAATGAGAAATAAGATTCTTTTCAGACAGGCAAATGCTAACGGAATTTATTACCACTAGATCTGCCTTACAAGAGATCTCTAAAGGACTGTAAAATATGGAAAAGAATGACCATTACCAGCCACCACAACAAAACAAAAACAAACAAAAACACTTAAATACATAGACCATTAACACTATAAAGCAACAACAAATCAAGTCTTTATAAAACCCAGCTAACAACATAATGACAGAATCAAATCTGCATATATAAATATTAACCTTGAATGTAAATGGGCTAAATGCCCCAATTAAAAGACACGGGATGACAAGTTGGATTAAAAAAAAAAGCAAGACCTAATGGTATGCTGTCTTCAAGAGACCCATCTCAGATGCAATGACATTCATAGTTTCAAAGTTAAGGGATAGAGAAAAACCTACCAAGGAAAAGAAAAAACAGCAGGGTTTTTCCCCCTAATTTCAAACAAAATAGAATTTAAACCAACAATGATAAAAAAAGCTAAAGAAGGACATTACATAATGATAAAGTTTTCAATTCAACAAGAAGACCTAATTATCGTAAATATATATGCACTCAACAAGGGAGCACTCAGGTTCATAAAGGAAGTTCTTAGAGACTGTGAAGAGACTTAGATAACAAAGCAATAATAATAGGAGACTTCAACACCTCACTAACAATATTGACCTGATCTTCAAGGCAGAAGACTAATAAAGATTGTCAAGACCTTGACACTTAACAAAACAGGCCTAACAGAAATCTGCACAACTCTCCACACCAAAATAACAGAATGTACGTTCTTCTCATCTGCAGATGACACATACTCTAAAATAGGCCTAACAGAAATCTGCACATCTCTCCACACCAAAACAACAGAATGTACATTCTTCTCATCTGCAGATGACACATACTCTAAAATTGGGCACACATTTTGCCATCACAAAATTTTCAGCAAATTAAAAATAAACTGAAATAATACCAACCACATTGTCTGACCCCAACACAAGAAAAATAGAAATAAATACAAGGAGGATCACTCAAAACCATACAATTAAATGGAAATTTAACAACATGATTTGGAATGACTTTTGGGTAAACAATGAAATTAAGGCAAAAAATGAAAAAATATTTCCAAGTAATGAAAACAGATACAACATACCAGAATCTCTAGAACATAGCTAAAGTAGTGTTGATAGGGAATTTTATAGCACTAAACCTCCACATCAAAGAGTTAGAAAGATCTCAAATTAACTTATCATCATGCCTAGAGGAACTAGAAAAATAAGAGTAAACCAACCCCAAAGGCAGCACCAAAATCAGAGGCTGAACTAAATGAAATTGACATGGTAAAAAACACACAAAACAGCAACAAAATCAGACTTTGGTTCTTTGAAAGAACAAATAAAATTGGTAGACCACTAGTTAGACTAATAAAAAAGAAGATAACATAATCAGAAATAACAAAGGCGTTATACCCTTGAACCGACAGAAATACAAAAAACCATCTGAGACTATTACAATCGTCTCTATGCACAGCATACAAACTGGAATACCTACAAAAAATGCATAATGCCTGGAAATACACAACCTTCCAAGATTGAACCAGGGCGAAATTTAAAACCTGAACAAACCAATAATGAGTTCTAAAATTGAATTGGTAATAAAAAGCCTACCAACAAGAAAAAGCCCTGGACCAGACAGATTCACAGTTGAATTGTACAAATGTACAAAGATGTAGTACCATTGCAACTTAAATTATTCCAAAAAATTGAGGGCAGGGACTTCTCCTTAACCCATATGAGGCCAGCATCATTCTAATACCAAAGCCTGGCAGAGACACAATGAACAAAGAAAACTACAGGCCAATATCCTTGATGAACACAGATGCATAATTTCTCCACAAAATACTAGCAAACCAAATCCAGCAGAACATCAAAAAACTAATCCACCATGATCAAGTAGGCTTTATCCCCGGGATGCCAGGTTGGTTCAACATATGCAAATCAATAAATGTGATTCACCACATAAATAGAACTAAAAAACAATAACCACATGGCCATTTCAATACATACAGAAATGGTTTTCAATACAATTTAACATTATTCATGTTAAAAACCTTAAAAAAACTAGTCATTGAAGAAACATACCTCAAAATAATAAGAAACATCTTTGACAAACCTACAACCAACAACATACTGAATGGCAAAGGTTGGAAGCATTCCCCTTGAGAACCAGAACAAGACAAAGATGCCCACTCTCACCACTCGTATTCAACATAGTACTGGAAGCCCTACATGGAGCAATCAGGCAAGAGAAAGAAATTGAAGGCATTCAAAGAGAAAGGGAGGAAGTTAAACTATCTCTGTTTACAGATGATATGATTCTATACCTAGAAAACCCCATAGTCTCTGCCCAAAAACTCGTAGGTTTGATAAACAACTTTAGCTGAGTTTTAGGACACAAATATTAATGTTCAAAAATCGGTAGCATTTCCATACAAAATAGCATCAAAGCTGAGAGCCAAATCAAGAACACAATCAAAATCACAATAGACATACACAAAAATATAATACCTAGAAATACAGCTAGCTAGGGAGGTGAAAGATCTCTACAATGAGAATTAAAAAACACTGGTGAAAGAAAACAAAGATAACACAAACAAATGGAAAAACATTCCATGCTCATGGATAGGAAGAATCAATATTGTTAAAATGGCCATACCATTCAAAGCAATTTACAGATTCAATGATATTTCTATCAAACTACCTACAACATTTTTCACAAAATTAGAAAATCTGTTCTGAAATTCATATAGATCCCCCCAACAAAGCTCAAATAGCAAAAGCAATCCTATGCAGAAAACATAAAGCTGGAGGCATCACATTCCCCAAATTCAACTTATACTACAAGTCTACAGTAACCAAAACAACATGGTACTGCTACAGAAACATGCACATAGACCAATGGAACAGAATAGAGGGTCCAGAAATAATGCCACACACCTACAACCATCTGACCTCAGACAAAGTCAACTGAAACAGGCAATGGGGAATAGACTCCTTATTCAATAAATGGTGCTGGGATAACTGGCTAGTCACATGAAAAGTATTTAATCTGGACCACTTCCTTTTACTAGGTACAAAAATCAACTCAAGATGGATGAAAGAATTAAATGTAAAACTTAAAATTACAAAAACCCTAGAAGAAAACCTAAGAAATACCATTCTGGATATTGGCCCTGGCAAAGACTTTATAATAAAGATTCAAAAAGCAATTCCACAGTAACAGAAACGATCAACAGAGTAAACAGACAACCTACAGAATTGCACAGAAAAAGAAACTATCAACAAAGTAAACAGATAACCTACAGAATGGGAGAAAATACTTGCAAACTATGCAACTGACAAGGGTCTAGCAACCACAATCTATAAGGACTTTAAACACATGAACAAGCAAAAAACAAACAACTACATTAAAAAGGGGGCAAAAACATGAACAGATACTTCTCAAAAGAAGACATACACATGGCAACAAGGCCATGCGAAAATGCTCACCATTGCTAATCGTTAGAGAAATGCAAATCAAAATTACAGTAAGATGCCATCTCACATCAATCAGAATGGTCATTATTAAAAGTCAAAAAGTAACAAATGCTGGCAAGGTTTTAGAGTAAAAGTAACGCTTATACGCTGCTGGTAGGAATGTAAATTAATTCAGCCACTGTGAAAAGCAGTTTGGCTATTTCTCAAATAAACTAACACCATCTGAATCAGCAATCACATTACTAGGTGTATATCCAAAGGAATATAAATAATTCTATAATAAAAACAGATGTATACATATGTTCATCACAGCACTATTCAAAATAGCAAAGACATGCAATCAACCTAAATGCCCATCAACGATAGACTGGATAAAGAAAATGTGGTACATATTCACCATGGAATACTACAGAGCCATAAAATGAACAAGATCATGTCCTTTGCAGCAACATGAATGGAGCTGGAGTCCATTATCCTAAGTGAACTAATGTAGAAATAGAAAATGAAATACTGCATGTTCTCAGTTATAAATGGGAGCTAAATATTGAGTACATATGGACACATAGAAGGGAACAATAGACACCAGGGCTTTCTTGAGGGTGGTGGTTGAGAGGAGGGTGAGTCTTGAAAAGCTACCTGTTAGGTACTATGCTTATTTCCTGGGTAACAAAATAATCTGTACACCAAACCCCTGTGACACACAACTTACCTATATAACAAATGTGCATATGTACCCCTGAAGCTAAATAATACTAAAACAACAATCATGATAAATCAAAAGAGAGAATCTACATTACAATAGTAGAAGAGGACTTCAGCACTCCAACTGCTGGCAATGGACAGATCATCCATGCAAAATATCAGCAAAGAAACATTGGAGTTAAACTGTACTATAGACAAAACAAACCTAATTTTTTAAAAGAACATTCCAACCAACTGCTGCAGAATACAGTTTCTTCTCATCAGCACATGGTACCTTCTTCAGGATAGACCATATGTTAGGCTGCAAAACATGTCTGCACAAATTCCAAAAAAGTCAAAATTGTATTAAATATATTTTCTGAGCACAATAGAATAAAACTAGAAATTAATAACAAAATGCACTTTGGAAACCACACAAACACATTTTAACATGTTCCTAAATGATTACTAGATCACTGACAAAATTAAGAAGTAATCAAAAAAGTCTTAAATTAAAATAGAAACACAACAGAACCTCATAGATACATCATAATTGGTATTAAGAAGGACATTTATAGTAATAAATACATATATCAAAAAGTAGAAAGACTTCATAGAAATAATGATGCACTTTAAGAAAGTAGGAAAGCAAGAACAAACCAAAATCAAAATTAGCAGTGTAAAGGAAATAATAAAGATCAGAGCATAAATAAATAAATTTGAAACTAAAAACATAAAAAAACAATAGAATGAAATTTTTTTAAGGGATAAACAAAATTGACAAACCTTTAGCTAGACTAAGGAAAAAAGAGAAAAGACCCAAATAAATAAAATTAGAGATGAAAAAGGAGACATTACAACTCATACCACAGAAATACAAAGGATCATTAGAGACTATTATGGACAACTATATGCCAATAAATTGCAGAACTTAGAAAAAATGAATAAATTCCAGGAGGCATGCAACCTGCCAAGACTGAATCATGAGAAAACAGAAAACCTGAAAAGACCAATAATAAGAAACAAGTGAAAGAAGTAACAAGTCTCCCATCAAAGAAAAGCCAGTGACCTCATGGATTTATTGCTGAATTCTACTAATCATTTAAAGATGAATTAACACTAATTCTACTCAAACTATTTCAAAAAAGAAAAGAGGTGAGAAGACTTCCAAATTTATTCTAGAAGGCTGGAATTACCCTGATAACAAAACCAGACAAAGATGCACATACAAAAAAACTACAGGCGAATATTCTGAAAGAACATGGATGCAAACATTCTCAACAAAATATTAGCAAACAGAATACAAGGGCACATTAAAAAGATAACTCACCATGGTCAAGTGGGATTCATCCCAGGGGTGTAAGGATGGTTCAACAAATGCAAATCAATAAATATGAAACATCACATAGGCAGAATCAAAGATGAACGCCATATGACCATTTTAATAAGAGCTGAAAAAGCCTTTGATAAAATTCAACATCTCTTCATGAGAAAACCCTCAACAAATTGAGTATAGAAATAACATAACTCAACAAGATGCAGGATACATGTGATAAGCCCACAGCTAATATCCTACTTAACAGAGGAAAATTGAAAGCCTTTATACTAAGATCTGCAACAAAATAAGAATGCCACTTTCCCCACTTTAATTCACCAAAGTACTATATATGCTCACCAGAGCAAGTAGGTTCGACAAAGAAATAACCGGCATCTAAATTGGAAAAGAAGAAGTCAAATTGTCTCTGTTTTCAGAGAACATGCTCTTATATTTACAGCAACCTAAAAACTCCATCAAAAAATTCTGAGATGAGGCCGGGTGTGGTGGCTCACGCCTGTAATCCCAGCACTTTGGGAGGCCGAGGTGGGCGGATCACCTGAGGTCAGGAGTTCAAGACCAACATGGACAACATGGGGAATCCTTGTCTCTACTAAATAATACACAAATTAGTCGGGCATGGTGGTGGGCATCTGTAATCCCAGCTACTTTGTGAGGCTGAGGCAGGGAGAATTGCTTTAACCCCAGAGGTGGAGGTTAAAGTGAGCCAAGATTGTGCCACAGCACTCCAGCCTAGGAGACAGAGTGAGCCTCTGTCTCAAAAAAAAAAAAAAAAAAAAAAAAATTCTAAGATGAAAAACAAATTTAGTAAAGTTACATGATATAATTAACATACGAAAACTTGGGTGTTTCCACGTGGTAATATCAATGAAGCTATAAAAACAGATCAAGAAATCAATCTCATTTACATTAAGTATAAAAATCCCTAGCACTCAATGTAACAAACAAGTGAAAGACCTATAAAACCCTTAAGAAAGAATTGAAAGATGACACAAAAAAATGATATCTCATGCCCATCGGTTGGAAGATTTACTTAATATTGTCACAATGTCTATACTTCCTAAAGTGGTCTAAAGCTACAATGCAATCTTCATGAAAATACCAATGACATTCTCCACAGAAATAGAATAAAAATCTTAAAATTTACACAAAACCCCCAGAGATGCCAAATAGCTAAAGCAATCCTTAGCAAAAAGAATGAAGCTGGAGGTATCACACTATCTGATTTCAAATTGTACTGCAAAGCTACAGTAATTAGAACAGCCTGGTACTGCTCCAAAATAGACACCAATGGAACAGAATGGAGAATCCAGAAATAAATTCATACACTTGCAGCCAATTCAATTTTGACAAAGGTGACAAGAACACATATTGGGGAAAGGCCAGTTTTTAAAATAAATGGTGCTAAGACTGGATATCCATATGCAGAAGAATTGAACTAGATCCCTTTCCTTCACCATATACAAAAATTAACTCAAAATAGATTAAAGGCTTAAATGTAAGACCTGAAACTATGAAACTGCTGGAAGAAAACATTGGGGAAGCACAACAGGACATTGGTCTGAGACAAGATTTTTGGGGTAAAACCTCAAAAGCACAGGCAACAAAAACAAAAATAGACAAATTGGATTGCACCCAGGTAAAGAGCTTCTGCACAGAAGGGAAGCAATTAGCAAAGTACAGAGACAACTTATGGATTGAGAGAAAATACTTGTGAGCTATCTATATGATAAGGGATTAATAACCAGAACATATAAAGAACTCAAAAAATAGCCAAAAAAACTAATATGATTTTAAAACATGATAAAAGATATGAATAGATATTTCTCAAAAGAAGACATACAAATGGCCAATGGGCACATGAAAAAATGCTTAACATCACTAATAATGAGGGAAATCAAATAAAAACCACAATGAAACTTTGTCTTACCCTAGTTAGAATTATTTTCACCAAAAAGATGAAAAATAACAAATGTTAGTGAAGATGTAGAGAGAATGGAATATTTGTACACTGTTGGTGGGAACGTGAAGTAGTACAGCCACTGTGGAAAATAGTATGGAAGTTCCACAAAAACTAAAAATACAACTATTATATATATCCAGCAGTCCCTCTGCTGAGTGTTTTTCCAAAGGAAAAGTTAATCAGTATATCCAAGAGATATCTGCACACCCACATTTATTGCAGCATTACTCACAATAGCCAAGATATGAAATTAACCTAAGTATTCATCAGTGGATGAATGGATAAGGAAAATATGGTATAAATACAAAATAGAATATTATTCAGGTATAATAAAAAAATCCTGTCATTTGTAGCAACATGAATGGAGCTAGATGTCCTGCTAAATGAAATAAGACAGGCACAGAAAGACAAATACTGTATGGTCCTACTCATATGTGGGAAATAAAAAAGTGGATCTCATGGAGGTAGAGAGTAAAATGGTGGTTATAAGAGGCTGGGAAGAAAAGTGGAAAGGAAGAATAAAGAAAGGTTGGTTAAGGGGTACAAAAATACAGTTAGATACAACAAATAAGTTCTAGTGTTCTAGAGTACTGTAGAAAAATTATTGTTAATAGTTTATTGTATGTTTCAAAATAACTAAAAGAGAAAAATTGTAATGTTTCTAGCACAAGAAACAGATAAATGCGTGAGCAATGGATATCCCAATGACACTGATTTGATCATTAAAGGAGGTATACAGGTATCAAAATATCACATATACCACAACAATATGTGCACCATAACATATCCGCAAAACAAAACAGTTTGACTTTTTTCTACAGCAATTAATAAGAAATGAGACTAGAGTCTTATTCTTCTTTTGCTTTTCTTACTTTTGATATCACATAAAAAGTACAAGGAATTTTCTACTCAACTTGAAGTTCCTACTCACCTGCTCACCCATTTCACAGTATCAGTTGGCACATATTAAAGTGTCATGTTCAAAGTATTGTGCTGCTGCTGACGTTTATAAGTGTGAGTTGATTGGAAAAAGTCATAATTCGGCTTCCTCTGAAAATCACCTATCAAGATGCAAAAATCTAAAGCTTTCCCTCAGGGAACTCATCTAAATTCCATCTTTGCCTGTCATTTTTTCTCAGTTCCTGTCATTAAAATACATAGTACCTATTGATCATTCTGCCATATTTTTAGAGTGCTTTTGAAACTGGAAATCTGTGAACTTAATTTTATTATTTAGAGTATTTTGAAAAAGGTCTTCATTCAGCTTTGCTACATGTACATAAAAGTTACCTTCAAAGGCAGAATCAGCCATCCAGTAGGTAAGGTAAGCGGATTAGGGATCACACACTTGGTATGATTTGAGTAGTTCTGGGAAGTCCCATCTCCCCCAATCAATAATGCAGTTTGCTTATGCTTAGAATTTAATTCCTAGAGTTCCAAACTTTTGGGCTTTGTAGATAAGAATTTGTGAACAGTACTCCTGGGAGAAATAACAGAATATCTAAAGGTCATTTATTCTTTATAGATACATGAAAATTCCTTTTCAGAGAGCAAATTTCCAGAAGAAAAAAGATGAGAAACTAAAAAGATCTTGAGACTAGAAAACAGGATAGAGAAAATGGTTTCCGCAAGGATATAAAGAAGAAATAGTTCTGGAATATTGAAATGTTACCAAATTTACCTACTTCACAGATTTGCTTTATACTAACCTCAGAAGAGAGCCACTTCCGTTGAAGTAGACCATTTCCTCTGAAGGGCTACATTACTGAACATGTTTGCAATGGTAAAAGTGTCTGCTTTGAGAGAAGAGTCATTCTTAGATGTTAGTCTCTGATTTAATTAGACAGCTGGAAGAAAAGCGATCTTTAATTAATGCTTAAATTTCCATGCTAAGTGTCCTTAAGAACAGAAGAAGCGCCCTCAATGATAGAGTCAAGGCTATGGCTCATTCACCCAATGGTAGGAAACAACCAACCACAACTTCGAATTTACTCTACAACAGCATTTAGCCTCACAAGAAAAGTTCTCCAAAAAAAGTTTTTCTTACCTTTGTCTGACTACTTGCTTAGGATGCTGTCAGGCTGCTGGAAAAATAAACTGAGTAGCTTATAAACAACAGGGATTTATTTCTCATAGTTCTGGAGGTTGAAATTTCCAAGATGTAGGAACTAGCAGATTCATTGTTGGATGATGGCCAACTTTCTGATTCATAAATGGTGGCTTATCGCTGTGTCCTCACTAGGTGGAAGGGGGAAACAAGCACCCTCTTGCCTCTTTTGTAAGGGCAAAGGCCTATCTCTAAATACCACCACTTTGGAGGTTAGGATTTCAACATATTAATTTTTGGGGGAACCCAAACATTCAGATTATAACAGTTACCAATTCTGATCATGAATTACTGAATGGAGTTGACATTGCTCTGTTTTTTCACTACTAAACTCAGCTAACTTCAATCAACCATTTCATAACTTGACGCTGGCAATTACTAGATGAATAAAAAAAGAATTAAACAACATAAACTAAGAAGTAAAATGAGACTGCACACCTGAATTTTTCTATTAGACTACGACTAATGAGATTTCAAAAAAGTCCTTCCATTTTTCCAGGTTTCAGTTGTCCTCTTGAGTAAAAGAAGAGGGTTGCTCTCAATGATATCTATAATTAGGGTGAGGTATATCTTCCGAGGAAGAACTATTTTGAGAGCAGAAGGAAGCAGTATTAATAACTGCACCAAAAACACAGGCAAAAACAAGGTATGCTCAGGAAAACTAGTATGTTATGATTACCCCACCTAAAATGTACAGACACCTCTTGGAAGTTCTTACCAGTGCAGTGTCTAGGAATTTGTCTCCTCCTCATAACAGTGATGAGGGCTCAGAAGCCGTTCTACACAATGTTACTCTTATGTGTAGCCATAATTAGCTGCTTGAGTGGTAAACAATGGAGTTCTTCATCTGGCAAGCTAGAATTGGAACTTAAACATTATAGTTTCCATCTGCCTGTTAACTTTAAAGGAGAAGTTTTAATACTGGAAATACGTATTCAGAAACCAAAAAAGTCATTCTGAATGTGAGAGTAGAGTGAAGCAGGTAGAACATTTATTGCTGTCACATTTACTTAGCACAGTGGTCACCATAACATAGACACTCAGCAAAACTCTTTTAAATGAATCTTCTGTTTCTTAGCTGATCATTAAATAGTGTTTGACAGATCTCAAACCCTGTTTTCAGCCTTTGATCATTATAAGTAATCCAGAATGGAAAACTTATTTCCAATAAAGATTCAAGGTGACTCATAATATTAATATATTTATTAAAAATAAGGAATAAAGTGCTAGCGAACTTCTTGATGGTAAGAGAGAAATGTATAAGGAGCTTTGTTTCAATAACTTGTGGATTCTGAACATTAAATATTCTTTTATTTTTTTACTTTTTTGTGGTGAGATAAGGGAGGAGAGAGGTGTTTCATGAAAAAGAAAACAATTCCTGGAGAGAGATTTATTCATTAGTGTTGCAAAAGCATCACAGAACAGCAGGAAAGACACTCAGCCTCGGGAAGAAAGAGAACAAGGACAGGTGTGGGGACCTCAGCAGAGGAGTTCATAGATCGTTTCTCTAGAACATGGCTATTAACATGCCTTAGCTCAGTCCAGTCCTGTGGCTCTTTCTTCAGGTTTTTATTCCCTGGAAGAGATAAAATTGACAAAATTTCATTCCATTGCTTTTATTTCTAGACCAATCAGCTATATTGGGAAAAGAAGAATCATTTGTCATAGATATGGCCATTGAAGAATTTACTGTGAGTCAAGTAGCCATCTAAATGTATGTGCCAAATACAATGTTGCATCTCAAATTTAAAAAAAAATTAAAAAAAATATGGGAGTGTTACAGCCAAGTAAATATGATCTGATAAGGACTCCATACTTCTATATTTGAGTCCTTCTGGACAAACTGTAACCTAACTTAATAAGTAGACAAGATTGAAAACCTAACTAGGAGTGTGCACCTGTAACAATAGCTGAGCCTTGGCCAATCCCAGCAGCCGTACTTCAACCACTCATACACTGCTGAGTGTTCAAATAAGGCAAATGCCAACCTCTAACCAAACCAGCTGCTTCTGTACCTCACTTCCAGTTTCTGTAGGTCACTTCTCTTTTTTTTTGTCTATAAATCTTCTTCCACCACATGGCTGCGCTGGAGCCTCTCTGAATCTGCTGTGATTTTGAGGCTGCCTTATTCACAGATCATTCATTGCTCAATTAAACTCCTTTAAATTTAATTCATTTGAGTTTTCCAAGGCACAGACCCTGAGAAAAGTATTTGAGTATAAGAAATTTATTTGGAAGACAATCCTTGAAAATGCCAGTAGAGAAAAAGGAAAAGAGGCCAATGAAGAATATTTTATCAAGCAAGCTACTGCTGTGAGCAAACAGACCTTAATATCACTAAAAGGCTCTGAGAAACAATGTAGAACATACACCAACTCATTGGTGTTATCAATGGAGCCATGCTTCTGGGGAGAATTCGTTCTCTTATACTTCTGTCCTGATTGTGCAGAGACAGAGTAGGTATCAGCAGTCAGGTTAAACAGCTTGAGCAAAGAGAGATTGTGCTGTTGGTTGTGAGTAGTCCTGTAAGCAAGTAAATAGTAAATCACTCAGGAGGGAATATTGGTGCAATATAATAGCACAGTCTTTGGGACAGTTTGGTACTGGGAAAAATAAAGTTAGATCTTTAACCCAGGTATTTCGTTTGAAAAAATTATGTGGCTTAATGAGTAACTCATAAAAAATCAAGCTGTGATGATCTTATAATAAGGAATATCAGGTTATTTAACATCAAATAAAATGTGATTGACATTTTATTATAAATAAAGTTAAATAATTTAACTAATAAAGTTAAAGGCATGCTATGAACTAGGAAATGTTTGTAGCTTATATGATGAACAAAAGCAACATTATATTTAAAATTATGTCTTTTTTTTTTTTTTTTGAAATGGAGTCTTGCTCTGTTGCCCAGGCTGGAGTGCAGTTAGGTGATCTCAGCTCACTGCAACCTCCACCTCCCAGGTTCAAGCGACTCTCCTGCCTCAGCCTCCTGAGTAGCTGGGACTACAGACACGTGCCACCACCCCTGGATAATTTTTGTATTTTTAGTAGAGACGGGGTTTCATCATATTGGCCAGGCTGGTCTTGAACTCCTGACCGCGTAATCCACGTGCCTTGGCCTCCCAAAGTGCTGGGATTACAGGCGTGAACCACCGCACCCGGCCTAAAATTATGTCTTAATAAGAATACATTGTTCACCCCAGTGGAAAAATAAACTGTGGACAATAAAACTGAAATGCAAATGCCAATAAAATTATGGAAATATATTTAATTTTTCTTCTAATTAGACAGCTAAACACACTAGTTTTTGCCTACTGAATTAGTAAATTTTAGAAAATCAAATCTTAAATGGACCTATAAATCAGTCGATTCTTTCTAGATTTACTTTGTAAATTTCACTCATCTTCTTTTGTGGTAGCTAAAATAACTATTGTATTAATTATTCTGCCAGTTTTTCCATTTTTGATTCTCACAAAGATCCTTCCAAAGTAAGCATTCCAACTGACATAAATATGCATAGGATGTAAGTGTTGGCTCCCAAACACCATAGAATTTATTTTGTAAAGTTCTGCTTTTCCACATTTTCTAAAATTGCTTCTGCAACAGGCAAATAGCAAGGTCTCTTTATTTGAGGAGATAAATTTGATTGTGGAGTCTTTGAAAATCAAAAAAAAGGGAATTGTTTATCAGTTTATTATCAGGCTATTTATCTGTTTGTCATCCCACTCCATGAAAAGGAGAAGTTATATAATGAAAATCATGTGCAGAAAAAAAATTGTATTTTGGCAGATTTGGGAAGATTATTTGGCATGGAAAGAACCAGAAATAGCAAGGTAACCTGGGAATGTGACTTAGAATGATGAAAGTGAGAATTGAGGGTGATAATGGTCAGAGAGGAAAAGATGTTTACAAACAATATATATTTTATATATCGTATATATAAATATATTAATATGTATTTTTATTATCAATTTTATTATTTTATTATCAGTTGGTTTCCCTGGTATATCCTACATCTTCAGGCAATATATATATATATGTATATGAGTTGAGTGTTCAAACTGTGTTCAAATAAAGCAAATGCCAACCTATAACCAAACCAGCTGTTTCTGTACCTCACTTCCAATTTCTGTGTATATACATACAGGTTAAACAAGGAAAATCAGTTGATAATAAAATGCCTATAATTAAGCTACATTTAGAATATGTCAGTAAATTTATATATATATATGTATATGAGTTGAGTGCTCAAACTGTGTTCAAATAAAGCAAATGCCAACCTATAACCAAACCAGCTGTTTCTGTACCTCACTTCCAATTTCTGTGTATATACATACAGGTTAAACAAGGAAAATCAGTTGATAATAAAATGCCTATAATTAAGCTACATTTAGAATATGTCAGTAAATTGACAACATTAATGAGGATATGCATTATTCTGGAATGAACATGTTCCTCCCCAAATAGTTTCAAAAGAATGGAAAGCATAGCTTTCCATAATAATGGAAAGCTTCATTCCATAATAATGAAGATGAAAGCTTGTAAAACATATGACATTGAAAATGCATTTTAACATTCATTGCGCAGTCATTAACTTTCTCTCTATACCTCTTTAAACTGTGTTTCAATCCAGTAGTGTGAAAGCTTGAAATTGTTGCTTGATATTCCAGAACATCTGGAAGCTTTGGATGAAACAAACTTCAGAAACAAACTTTTTTTTCCTTTTATATATAGAGAATTTTCTCAGAACGTAGGTTTAAAATTGTAAGGATAGATTGGCTTGCCTTCTATATTCCTTCCACATATGAAAAGGCTGATATAAGTATTTCTAAAATATAATTTGCCAAGAAACCCTGAATAAAGCCGAAAATACTAAAAGTAGAAAAAGTTTACTTAAGGGATACTTTTTAAAGATTTTTTATTAAATGTGCAATGTCTAAATTGTAATTTTTATAGTAATCTAGTTTTTAGTGTATTTTAGTGTATTCAACTCTGCTGAAGTATACATATTTATTGGGAAATTATGGTTATAATGCAAAATAAGAATGAATATTAATGTAACTTTACATGGCCTTAAAATTATTCATAATAATGAAGATGAAAGCTTGTAAAACATATGACATTGAAAATGCATTTTAACATTCATTGTGCAGTCATTAACTTTCTCTCTATACCTCTTTAAACTGTGTTTCAATCCAGAAGTGTGAAAGCTTGAAATTGTTGCTTGATATTCCAGAACATCTGTATTTTTTAAGCAGGACTCTAATTTCCATCACCTAAGAGGCAGACAGGATATATCAGCAATGCAGGAAGGACAGAAACAAGGAAGAGGAAGGGGCTCCACAGAATAACACAACAGTGCGAGGCACTGAGTATATATATGTTGCTCTGAAAAATTGAATGGTTAACAATAAGATAATAAATAATATATTCATTAATATATTTAGTTATGAAGAAAATACACGGTTTTACTTATATGTGACACAATTGGCATAGTAATCAAGTTATTGTCCATTCAACTTACAGTTTACTTCAAACTAAAGACTAATTTCCAAAGCAGAAAGGATATTTTGTCAAATGGTGACCTTGTGACTAACTCATGTGTATTCTATTCTTATAAACACTTTTTCTCTATGTGAAGAAAAGTGACAATTGTTTTTTCAATCTCTATTAATTTATTTTTCAAAATTCATTACTTGTACAATTTATTTTCCAAGCTAATTCTTTGTTTTAATTTTTTTATTATACTTTAAGTTTTAGGGTACATGTGCACAATGTGCAGGTTTGTTACATATGTATATATGTGCCATGTTTGTGTGCTGCACCCATTAACTCATCATTTAACATTAGGTATATCTCCTAATGCTATCCTTCCCCGCTCCCCCCATCCCACAACAGGCCCCGGTGTATGATGTTCCCCTTCCTGTGTCCATGTATTCTCATTGTTCTATTCCCACCTATGAGTGAGAACATGCGGTGTTTGGTTTTTTGTCCTTGTGATAGTTTGCTGAGAATGATGGTTTCCAGCTTCATCCATGTCCCTACAAAGGACATGAACTCATCTGTTTTTATGGATGCATAGTATTCCATGGTGTATATGTGCCACATTTTCTTGATCCAGTCTATCACTGTTGGACATTTGGGTTGGTTCCAAGTCTTTGCTACTGTGAATAGTGCCGCAATAAACATACGTGTGCATGTGTCTTTATAGCAGCATGATTTATAATCCTTTGGGTATGTACCAGTAATGGGATGACTGGGTCAAATGGTATTTCTAGTTCTAGATCCCTGAGGAATCGCCACACTGACTTCCACAATGGTTGAACTAGTTTACAGTCCCACCAACAGTGTAAAAGTGTTCCTATTTCTCCACATCCTCTCCAGCACCTGTTGTTTCCTGACTTTTTAATGATTGCCACTCTAACTGGTGTGAGATGATATCTCATTGTGGTTTTGATTTGCATTTCTCTGATGGCCAGTGATGATGAGCATTTTTTTATGTGTTTTTTGGCTGCATAAATGTCTTCTTTTGAGAAGTGTCTGTTCATATCCTTCTCCCACTTTTTGATGGGGTTGTTTATTTTTTTCTTGTAAATTTGTTTGAGTTCATTGTAGATTCTGGATATTAGCCCTTTGTCAGATGAGTAGATTGCAAAAATTTTCTCCCATTCTGTAGGTTGCCTGTTCACTCTGATGGTAGTTTCTTTTGCTGTGCAGAAGCTCTTCAGTTTAATTAGATCCCATTTGTCAATTTTGTCTTTTGTTGCCATTGCTTTTGGTGTTTTAGACATGAAGTCCTTGCCCATGCCTATGTCCTGAATGGTATTGCCTAGGTTTTCTTCTAGGGTTTTTATGGTTTTAGGTCTAACATGTAAGTCTTTAATCCATCTTGAAATAATTTTTGTATAAGGTGTAAGGGAGGGATCCAGTTTCAGCTTTCTACATGTGGCTAGCCAGTTTTCCCAGCACCATTTATTAAATAGGGAATCCTTTCCCCATTTCTTTTTTTTGTCAAGTTTGTCAAAGATCGGATAGTTTTAGATGTGTGGCATTATTTCTGAGGGCTCTGTTCTGTTCCATTGGTCTATATCTCTGTTTTGGTACCAGTACCATGCTGTTTTGGTTACTGTACCTTATAGTATAGTTTGAAGTCAGGTAGCGTGATGCCTCCAGCTTTGTTCTTTTGGCTTAGGATTGACTTGGCAATGCGGGCTCTTTTTTGGTTCCATATGAACTTTAAAGTAGTTTTTTCCAATTCTGTGAAGAAAGTCATTGGTAGCTTGATGGGGATGGCATTGAATTTATAAATTACCTTGGGCAGTATGGCCATTTTCACAATATTGATTCTTCCTATCCATGAACATGGAATATTCTTTCATTCGTTTGTATGCTCCTTTATTTCATTGAGCAATGGTTTGTGTGACAGTTTTTTAGCTGGCTCACTTCACTCCCTTTGAAGGCAGCAAGTGTAGAGCTGACATGGGTGGTGTGTCAAAGGTGCATAATCTGCCTAGGGGAGTCAGGCTGGAACAGTCAACCCATCTGAGATGGTTGTTTTTAAGAAGATATCAATGAATGCAAAGTGTTTTTGTTTTGTTTTGTGGGCTTTTTCATATATTCAAGCCAATTCTGTTTCTGGTCTCCTCTGTGTTTGGAGCCATGGTTGTTTTTGTTAGGAGTGGCCATTTAGCTCTGGACATAAATATCCATTTGTTGAGCTCAGTTTGGTGTCAGCCTTTCCTTTGCTTACTGATTAAATTTTTATTTGGTTAGGCCTTGGTGTAGTCCTGATGTGGTTGTCAGGTGGTCCCTGTATGTCAGCTCAATCTTTGTTCAGAGCGATTCTTTTAAAATCACCCCAAGCAAGGAATCTAAATGAAGTCCTGCTCAATCCAAATGTGTGAAACTAAGTAGATAGAGAAATAGGTAGATACAGGTAGAGAGAAATAGTTAGATACAGGTAGAGATAAATAGGCAGATGGATGAAATTCAGCAACTGAAGGTGGTAAAATATGAGTATACTTGTATATCTGATAAATAGAAAGTAAGGAAAAAAATTACTTGTCAGTTGTCTTTGTAACAAGTATTTTATTAAATTAGGTAGTTCCTCTAATTTTGTTACTACTGTTTGTTTTCTTTGTTGACTGAAGATCTGTAATTGCCAAGTGCCTGTGGCTCAACCATAAGCATCCCAAGCACATATTAAAAAGTCTACCGATAATATCTCCCACACTAACAATGTATTTTAATGTCATTTATTAAGAGGTTAGTATTTACATATAAACTTACATACAAGTTCTTTCAGTGTTAAGAAAATCAGAGTAGGTAATTTACTAAATCTTTTGTTCTACTTTTATGTTGTCTAGGTGAGTTCATGTGTCTAGGGTAGTTATTTGTGTGAGTAGCCAGCTTTGAGTGAGGAGGGAAGGCTGACTAGATATCAGACATTATATAATATTTGGGGTTAACAAACTCTTTGGGAAATTATTTAAATCCATTTTTATTCTGTAGGTATTAGCTACAGTGAATGAGTAATTTTTGTTCATTTGTTCTTTATTTTTACTTTTCTCTTGTTAGAAAGGGGAGTTGGACAAAATGGAAATTTTGGAATGAAGGCTGAATCTGATTATCTTAGACATTGGAAAGTCTTTGAAGATAAGAAAGGGAAAGAATTACACTGTTGGTTGGGGGTGTAAATTTGTTCAACCATTATGGAAAACAGTATGGCAATTCCTCAAAGATGTAAAAACCATTCGACCCAGCAATCCCAATACTGAGTATATACCCAAAGGAATAGAAATCCTTCATGCATCATTCTATCATAAAGATGCATGCATGTGTATGTTCATTGCAGCACTGCTCACAATAGCGAAGACATGGAATCAACCTAAATGTCCATCAATGGTAGACTGGATAAAGAAAATGTGGTTCATATTAACCATGGAATACTATGCAGCCATAAAAAAGAATGAGATCTTGTCTTTTGTGGGAACATGGATGGAGCTGGAGGCCATGATCCTTAGCAAACTAATGCAGGAACAGAAAACCAAATACTGCATGTTTTCCCTTATAAGTGGAAGCCAAATAATAACTTATGAACACAAAGAAGGAAACAACAGACACTGAGGTCTACTCAATGGGGGAGGGTGGGAGGAGGGAGAGGGGAATAAAAAATGACCTGGGTGAAGAAATGATTTGTACAACAAAACCCTGTGGCATGAGCTTACCTATATAACAAATCTATACATATACCCCTTAACTTAAAATAAAAGTTAACAAAATAAGAAAGGAAAGGAATTGGAGGATACTGAAAAAGGACTTTGCCTAAATTGGGCTATGATGCTGAAGTGGAAAAAAGAAAACTGTGTACATAATTTTGAATTCTTGGAGTTAAAATATCTGTACTTCTATGATGGCAATGCTCTATCAATTTTGGCTCATATTATTCTTTTATTCCCAGTTGTGTTTAGTGCCTACGGTTTCTGTCTTATGTTCCTTTCCCCTTTATGCCTCTCTATTGTCACCTTCATCCTCGCTCACCTCCTTCACAATCTCTCTCCTCTCTCTCTCTCTCTCTCTCACACACACACACACACACACACAGAAGAAAAGGTGATGATGAAGAGAAATGGCTCTCTCTCTCTCTCTCACAGACACACAGCAGAAAAGGTGATGATGAAGAGAAATGAGGAGACAGATTTAGAACAAAGAGCTATTTTTTAAAATGTAGTTCACTTCCTAGCAAAGTGCTGGGTAAAGCAATATTTATAGTTATCTTATGCTTTGTATAATTTTCACTTTTTCGTTCTTTCTCATTAAATTTGTTTTTTTTCTTGCAAACAGGCATATCTGTACTCTCTCCCTCATATATATCGATGGCTTCCTATATACATATAACCACAATAGATACGGTCTTCTCTTTTTACCTTAAATTTTTTGCTTCCTTCTTCCTTTCTTCTCTTTTTTTACCATCCAATAGTCAAAACAATATGCATATCCAGATATCTTGACAGGAGGCTTTTTTTTTCTAACCTAGGCAAATAATTATTCTTTGGTTGTTACATAAATCACTTCAATTAAGAGATTGCCCTTGACCTATGTGAAATATTTTCAAATGATCATATTTCTAATAGTTTGGGGAGGGGCTAAGGAGGATATTGCAGAGGCCAGCCAAAAACTTGGGACCATAGCTACAGAGTCAGCTAGTAAGCTAATGGATAAGATTGACTTAAAAAGAGCGTGAGAAAAACTGGTCTACATTGACCTATAGTACTGGATCAGGAGTCCAGTTTTTTCTTTCTTTTTTGTTTTTGGAAATCACATTGTATATAATAGCTAATGGCTCATAAATATTTAATATATTTGAAGTTAATATCAGTCCTTAAAATTTCTAGTGAAGTTGGAAAAGTTATTGTTGGTTTTACCTGTGATTGTTTTTGCTTTTTGAGAAGAAACTTCATAGTAATAAATTATGACTCTTTCAGAGCTATAAATTGAAACATTTTATAGATTAAAAATTTGCTAAAGGGCTTTTTATCCACATAAAATTTATGAGTATATTAATATTCTACTGAAAAATTGCTGAGAAGACAAATTCATAATTATAAATGACTTAATTTAATAAAAATGTTGATTCAAGTAATTATTTACTTAAAGCTTAAGTTTGCCGAAGAGCTTCTAGCCAATTTTTTATTAACGTCACATAATAAAGTAATTGTGGTACTTTTAATTACGTTCTCAGAGTAGCTACGTTATACTAATATGATTTTTCTTTCTTCTAGGCTTTTGAAAAAAAACTGGCTTACCTAAGCTCTTCATTCAGGATGTCAGAGTGTGAGGCATTTAGAAATACAAGATATTTGTCTATTAATGCTCAAGTTAGAAACAGTTAGTTACGTTTTCAAGGTACTGGAGAAGTACAGGGGAGGGGAATTAAGATATATCTCTTCAGTACTAAATAATTTCTGGATGATACATTTCTCAAAGAATAAGATTTACCTCTTGATTGAGAATTCTCTGGTGAGAACCAGGACAGCTAATGACTTGGAAATATAATCATTAGATTGAAAATAGGGAGTTAGTAAAAAATATTTTTAAACCATTAAATATCACATGTTCATATGACCTTAATGGATGTTTCCAATAATTTAAATTTACAGAGTATTACCGAAAATTCTTTCCTTTGACATGATGAGATTTGTATTCAAGCTTTAAAGAATAATGAAATATATCCATTCTCTAACTATATTTCCATCCTTAGAAACTCATAAAACACACCACGGTGAAAACCTAACTAGATTCGACCCAGGAAACTAATCTTCCTAAACCTCCTAAGTTTTCTCCAAATCACCATCAAAGAGTAAAGTTACAATGTGCCTTATGAAAAGTGGTGATTTTAAAAGCCCTTGAGATTAAGAAATCTTTGTTTAAACAAAAATGCATAAAGAAAGTAAATATGAAAACCAGAATAATATTGAGCTGTCCTCCTTAGATCTGGCCCTCCCGCTCTGAATTTTTCTCTCTCCACACATGTAAGGAACTCTAAAGGAGCATGTGGAACAAAGTTTGTGTAAAACACTGGCCTACAGGACTGTTAAGAAATTATGTAGAAATTTTGCCATTATAAAAGGCATTATTAATTTTCCTCTTAGAAAAGAATCCATGAACAACAGCCCTCTCGGATTTTCCTCTCCCCTCTTCTCTCACTGCTCACCTTTGTCATTTATACGAGCATAATGTAAAGTAAAACAAATGGCACCCTAGGTAAATCAGTTTTCTTATTTATGCTTTGTTAATATTTCTAAAATTCTCTTAGAACATAAAACAATTCATACCGCACAAGAATATTGCAAAGGCTAGATAAATTAATATTTGAGTGAATGCTTTTACAGTCATTTTAATAAAAGAGTATTATTTTTGTGATTATAATTGCATAGTTGGGCCAGAACCCAGGCTTCTACCTCTTGATTTACTGCACTTTCTCCTAGAGCAGGCTGCTGAGAATTCCACCAGCTTATTTAACAGTGTCCATGGAATATGTGAAAAGACTAAATCCAGTTCTGGGAGCAAATACAGCAATGTCTGGAAGCACTGACACAATCACCATCTTGAGAATTGGAAACAAATGGCAGCATTCTTTTCTATTTACTTATGTTCTTGTATATTCCATCATTTCCAGGAAGCCTTATAACCCAAGGATTCTCATATGGCTTTATTTTTGTTAGTTATGTTGTAATGCCATGCCAGAGTTTTAAATTTAAATTCTGTAGCCAACCACCAAATTTGAAAAAAAGCTATTTTAAAAACACCATTTGGGCTTCTCCAACACTGCAGAGGCAGCTTGACAGCAGTTAGTCGTGCTCACCTTTCCTTTTTTCCTTTGTTCTCCTCAGAGAGCTGCATTGGACTGACACTTCTGACTCACTTTCCTGGAACTGTTTGAAAGGCATCACATAAAATTTCAAGGAAAGCGTTTAAACTTGTAGAAAACTAAAATGAGTTTAAATATAGTTCTTAAACATTGCTCTTAATAGTTGAAGAATTAATGGTATATATATGTGATAGAATGCCACTCAGAAATTAAATAGGATGTTAGAGTTTAGAACGTATCAACTAGAAAAGATAATCAAGAAGAACTTCCAATTGAAAAACAGTTTTTTTAACATTATGTATGCATGCATGTATCTATCTACCTATCTGCCTATCGATCTGTCATCTATTTATCTATCTAATTTATTTCAGTCTCAAATAACAAAAAATAATATCCCAGCAGGTAGGATAATTTTTTAATTTTCTTTTTTCTTGGAATTTTTATTTCTTTGCCTCTTCCTGCTTTCTTCCCCCTTCCTTTCTTCTTGTCTTTTTTCCTTCCTTCTTCCCCTTCCTTCCTTTTTTCCTTTATTCCTTCCATTTTTCTCTTTCTTCTTTTATGATGACCTTTACCACTATACATTTTCTGCAATGAATTGATGTCCCATGTATAGTAAAGCAGTATAACATTTAAATAGAAAAATAATATTTTAAACTTGTTCATAAGGCAACATCAGTGAAATATGGATTAACCAGACTGCTCTTACATAGCCATTGATTGTTTGCTAGTCTCATTGGCCTTTATATTTCTTCTTCATTTATGAAAGAGATGGTGCTTCAGAGATTAATCAGTATTAACAGCTGTATGACGGGTTATTTACTTGCCTGACACTTTTACTAATTCTTAGGCCTGATAATAGCTTTTCTCCCTTATGACACAGAACAATTTCTAAATGATTGACACTAAATGTTATTACAGTATTAGTGGACTCAGAATTAATTTTAATCAAATGTCAAAGCAAGGGCTTTAAGTAGGAATCGAGAACAATGCTTAAATATTGAACCATATTTTTTGTAATATAACAAACTAGTAACTTAAATTTTATTGTATTTTGATTATTGTGTTCAGTTATATTTTCCACAGAGCAAGAGATAAATTAAGCTCATTGCATTTCAAAAAGTAGTTCACAAGATTGCTAACTATAAATGTTTAAGGACATCAAATAACTGCAAATATAAAATGAATGGATAATTTCAGAAAGTTTCTAACACTACCCTTCCTGTCCCTCCCCTCCTTCTCTGTTGTTTTATAATAATCATCAGAACAGGATTTGTCTATGCTTAAGAAGTATATTTCTACAATTTTAAGTTTATTTTCACTTTTGACATGTGTATTAAAACTCAGGCACATATTTTTCATGCTTATTATGTTATAAATATACACTTCTCTTACAAGTTAATTTTTTAATGGAAATACAATATTTATTTGATTTGTGAGAGACGAAGTCTCGCTCTTGTCCCCCAGGCTGGTGTGCAATGGTGTGATCACTGCTCACTGCAACCTCTGCCTCCCAGGTTAAAGTGATTCTCCTGCCTCAGCCTCCCGAGTAGCTGGGATTACAGGTACCTGCCACCACGCCTGGCTAATTTTTGTATTTTTAGTAGAGACGGGGTTTCGCCATGTTGGCCAGGCTGGTATAGATTTCTGGACCTCATGATCCGCTGGCCTCGGCCTCCTAAAGTGCTGGGATTACAGCCATGAGCCACCGTGCCAGGCCTGTCATATTATTTTCTTTAGATTTTACAGAAGGTACATATAACTTTTTTTTTAAATACAGAAGTCAGAGTTTTCTGTCTTCTGTAAAAAAATCATTATACTATAATCAATGGATTTAGTAAGAAACAACAGAACAACACAATTTCACCTTGTATAGCTAATAATAGATAGTGCTATTTGTAAAAAGTAAGTCACTATAGGAAAGCCTGGAGTCTCCTAGAATCCTAAAAATATTTAAAGGAAATAACAAAGGCTTCTCTTTATTTTAATGTTTTTTTATCTAAAACTCTTTATTTCCTATATTTAGCTTATAGCACAGTAAGGGAAATTTAAATATATTTTTAGTATTTAAAAGGAAGTACAAATGTTAAATATCAATTTATTGTATTTAAATAATTTCTATGTGGAAATCAAGTGAGTAATGAAATGTAATATTAAAGTTTCAGCATTCAATTTTAATCTTTAGTTCTTTCATCAGACTATAGGAACACAACAGGCAACATATGCAATGTTTCCAAATTTAGAAAAAGCAAATTTGCTTAAGCAACAATTTTAAGATTGTTTACTTTAGATAATCAAATTTTAATCAGAAAAATTCCAACTCAAACTTAAGTAAACTCAGTATTTTTAAGATTATTTACTTTAGATAATCAAATTTTAATCAGAAAAAATCCAACTCAAACTTAATGCCCTATGAAGTCCTTACAAAAAAAAATGAATTTTTATGTAAAATATTTTTTCTTAAAATGAGCTTTTAATTAGGTTAAAATAAGTTTGTTTTCTGCAGATATGTTTCTATAGTACTATAACTTTGGGTTATTTTAATGTTAACTAGACTAAAGATTTGAATTATTTGCTTTAAGTTCTGTGCAAATATGACAAATCGCACTTTAGGATGTTACGATAATGCCAATAAAGTAGACGAAAGGGTTGTTTAAATCCTGCAAGTGAGTTAAAAGCTAAGGAGAAGTCAAACTATACCAAAGCCTAATATGTCCAAGTTGAGGTGTGCTGGACTCATTTCATTGAACTCAGTTGCACTATTCAGAATGGTAACACCAAGAAGAGTAGCCCATGCCTGCTGTTTAGGGACTGAAAATTGTTACTTTCCTTTTTAAAAACAATTTCTATGACTCTCAAAATACATTACTGACAGTTCCTTCTTCTGGTTGAGAAACATAGAGCTTGACAATTAAATATTTCACTTACTTTTAGTAAGTTCATTTACATGGCATAAAAAGATTAGGTGTAAATAAAACAAAAAGACAGAATCAAGCTCTGCCTAATCATACACAAGTTAAGTGCACACAAATTAAAATATCTGAAATACAAAGTGAATAACTCAATGCTATCAACTTCCCAACTTGCTTTCAAAGTACCTTGATTCACTTTTAAATCAATTATTGTAATTATAAATATGTTATCTTGTCTTTCTTGTTTTAGAGCTGAATTGCAACATATTATTTCCATGTGATCCTTAGTGCTTAGCACACTTGCACAAATAGGGAAATTTCAATACAGGCTTATTTAGTTAAGGTGATTAATGGCATATTCAGTCAAGAGCTTTTTAAAATGAATTTTGAGTGGTACAACTCCAGTGGAGTACTGGCTGAATTTCAGTGGGCTGTGTTGGTTGTTTGCAATGACACAGAGAGACACATACAGAGAGAGAGAGAAACAGAGAAGGAGACAGACACAGAGAAAGAGGGAGAAAGAATATGTGCAGGATTTCCTTTGTTTTTTCTATATCAATTTTAAGATTCTCCAGGCAAATAAGAACTTTGTTCATAAACTTAAAAAAAAGAGCAAATTTATTTTTATTACTTTGTATTTAATGACTTGCTGAGTATTGCATAGTAATTATTGAGAAATATTGTGCTTTTTCTAATAGAACTTGAGCAATCACGGGTTAGAGTTTGTGTATATTTTCTATGCGTTGAAACAATATTAAATTATACCTGATAATATTTTTAAGCCTTGCCTTGAGAGCCATCTGCAACACCTGAATGACAGGCCTCGGCTTTACACTCTCTAAATTCTATTGCATGAGACTATGTTAAAGCTGACATGTTTTTTAGGAAATAACTTTTTTTCTCTGGAGAATAGGTGTCAAGTATGTCATCTATGGCTGGCTAATTTACCACTTCACTGATCTTATTAGCTAAGTTAATTAACATTTTTAAGCGTATCCTTCATAGTACTGGTAATCATTAGAAATGATTTTTTAAAGGTATACACAAACTCAAGACTTACCAATAACAAAATACACAGACTGAGACATAAGTTTTCAAATCAGAGCCTTTAAATTAATTTGAGATGAACTTGAATATTTTCAAAAACATTGCATTATAGTTATCCCTTCATAGACATTAAGGTAAGTAAGCTAAATTGATACTCCAGGGTACAGAAAAAAATCAGGGCACACTTAATCAGAGAACAAACTTTGTGAAGAAATTACCTAACCCAAAATGCTTCCTCAGATCTAGAAAATAAAAGCTTGAGATTTAGGAGAATACTGGTGGGGGATGGGGGGAGGAAAGAGGAGAACATTAAACTACTGTAGGTAAGAAAATATCAGGAAAGGAGTGTAGGACCTACAATAAGGACAAAGGAACAGAAAGTTATTGAGAAAACAAGACAAGGTTTGATCTTTCAAAGGAAAGAAATGAAATACTGCAGGCAGTTTACTTGGCTTTGCTCACTCTCACTTTATTCTTCTAAAACTGGAATAATATCTAATTTCCAAGAAATGTTTTGAATATTAACAGAAATGTTCATAAAGCATCTATAATATTACTCCACACACAGTAACTGTTGACTGTATCTAGCTCACAAAAGCGCATATTAGTAATAATGAGACAAGCCTTGTGTTTGCAACATTTGTAATCAAAATGACAACAAAATTATATTTCATAAAAACAGAATCTTGAAAATTTTCTACTTTAGTTGATCCAAAACTCAATGAAAGCCTAAATTCCTTTTACATTATTAAGAATTAATAATCTTAAGATAAAGAAATTTTAAAACTGGAGATGTCTACACAGGGATTTTACACATTAAGCACTTTTCCAGGTTGTAATATCAATCCTCTCCAATGTCTTAAATACTTCATACAAATCTATCTACTATGTATGGATTTTGGCTGGTATGTTTTTAATTTTTTTTTATTTTTTATTTTTTTGAGATTGAAAGAATTCAACATGCAGTGACATAGTAGAAAAATAAGGCAGTAGAGTTGAAATGGTAAGACGATCTATGGGCAGACTTCTTATCTGTGAAAGAAAGAACAAATTACCTTAAAAATATACTACTGATATTACTTATGTAAGTGATTACTCCTTGTGATGGTTAATATTAAGTGTTAACTTGCTTGGATTGAAGGATGCAAAGTATTGTTTCTGGGTGTATCTGGATGTTTCTGGGTGTTGCCAGAAGAGATTAACATTTGAGTCCATGGACTGGAAGAGGAACACCCACCATCAGGAAGGCCAACCCACAATATGGGTGGGCAGCATTCAATAGGCTGCTAGCTTGGCTAGACAAAGCAGGCAGAAGAAGGTGAAATGAGCTGACTTGCTGAGTCTCCCGGCTTTCATCTTTCTCTGGTGGCAGAGGCTTCCTGCCCTAGAAAATCAGACTCCAAGTTCTTCAGATTTTTGACTCTTGGACTTACATCAGTGATTTGCCAGGGGCTCTCAGGCCTTCGGCCACAGACTGAAGGCTGCACTGTTGGTTTTCTAACTTTTGAGGTTGTGGGACTGAGCTACTACTACTGGCTTCCTTGCTCCTCAACTTACAGATGGCCAATTGTGGGACTTCACCTCATGATCATGTGAGTCAATTCTCCTTAATAAACTCCCTTTCATATATATATATACCTCCTATTAGCTCTGTTCCTCTAGAAAACCTTGACTAATACAATCCTCTTCTTGGCCCTATCAATAATTCTCAGAATTTTCACCTGGATGTACCTTGATGCAAATGGTTTACACATCTATCCTTGGCCTTCACCTTTTACGGTCTTCAGACACATCTCAGTTCTTTTGCTTTAATAGTCCTCTGAAGCCTGGATAATCTTGCCCAGGCCCTCTTTAAAGGACCACCAAAATAGATATCTGAATTTTGCAATTTTAGATTCTAATCTTCCTAACTCACCTTCTTCTCTTCTCTTTCTTTACAGTTGATTATCTTTCCCTCTCCTGTCCCATCCTACTAGCTCCTGCCCAAATAGAAACCAAGACTTTACTTTCTGTTTATACTCTCACTTATACAATCTAAAACATGGATTTGATATTTTCTGATTTCCAATTCTGGCATGATTCATGATTAATAATCAAATCTTTCTCCCTCTGGACAAGAATGAAAATTATTTGGGTAAGACTACTGTCTTGACTAAATCCTGAGACTTCCACCCAATCATACAGTATCCATATATATACAGCTCATATATATCTATCTTGCTGAGATTTGGACAGTTGTTTAAATGTAATTGCATCTATCTGCAAGTATTTACTTCTCAATTTATAATTCTCTGCATTATGAGGAGTCTAGATAAGCTCTATTGGGAACTTCACTCAGTAGGCCTATTTTAGGAGTCACATCTCTGAAACAAAACCTAGGACAAGGAATCTTATCTGAATTCCAAAATGGAATTCCAAAATAGGAAACCAAAAATGGAGAAATGTGTAGAGTAGTCCCCCTTCATCCCCAGAGATACGTTCCAGGACTCCAAGTGGATGCCTGAAATCACAGATAGTACTGAACACTGTATATACCATCATTTTTATTCTATATATACAGCTACCTACAAGAAAGCTTAATTTAATAAATTAGACACAGTAAGAGATTAATAACAAAAACTAACACTAAAAATAGAACAGTTAATATACTAAATAAGAGTTACATGAATGCATGCATGCTCTCTCTCTCTGACTCTCAGAATATCTAATTGTACTGCATGCACCCTCCTTCTTGTGATCTGTTGATCTGATAATCGAGACGGCTACTGAGTAACTAGTGTGGGGGTATCATATTCAGCATGGATATACTAGACAATGGAATGATTCATATCCCAGGTGGGATGGTGCAGGATGGCACAATATTTTACCATGTTCCTCAGAAGTATGAAATTTAAAATGTGTGAGTTGTTTGTTTCTGAGTACCATGCAGTCTTGATTACTGTAACTTTATAGTAAGTCTTGAAGTCCAATAGTGTCAGTTCTCAAACTTTGTTCTTCTTTAATATTGAGTTGGCTATTCGGGGTCTTTTGCCTCTCTATATAAACTTTAAGTATCAGTTTTTTCAATTCCACACACAAAAAATAAACTTACTGGGATTTCTATTGGGATTTCATTGAATCTGTACATCAAGTTGGGAAAAATTGACATCTAGACAATATTGAAGCATCCTATTTATTAGTGTGGAATATCTCTGCATTTACTTAGTTCTTCTTTGGTTTCTTTTATCAAAGTTTTATAGTTTTTTTCATATGGATCTTGTACATAATTTTGTTAGATTTATCCATAAGTATTTTATTATGGGGGAGTGCTAATATAAATGATATTTTTTATTTTCAAATTCTATTAGTTCATTGTTCATGTATAAGAAAACTATTGGTTTTTGTATATCAACTTTGTATCCTACAACCTTGCTATCATTGTTAATTAGTTCCAGGATTTTTTTGTCAGTTCTTTTGGATTAACTACATAGATTATCAACATAGATTATCATGTCCTCTGCAAATAAATACTGGTTATTTCTTCTTTCCCAATTTGTGTATCTTTTATTTTATTTTAAAATTGTTGTTGTTTTATTGTATTAGACATTTCCAGTATGATACTGAGAAGGTGACAGTAGCATCCTTGCCTTGTTTCTGATCTTAGTGGGAACTCTTGAGTTTCTTACCATTAGTATACCAGCTAGGTATACTAGCTGTAGGCTTTTTGTAGATATTCTTTATCAAGTTCAGGACATTTCCCCTTATTCCTAGTTTACTAAAAGTTTTTTTTTTTTAATCATGAATGGACGTTGGATTTTGTCAAATACTTTTTCTACATGTATTGAACTCATCATTATTTATCTTCCTAAGCCTGTTGACATGATGAATTATCTTAGTTGATTTTAAACATTGAACCAGTCCTGCATATCTGGGATAAATCTCACTTGGTTGTGGTGCATAATTATTTTTATACTTGTTGGATTTAATTTTTTAATATTTTGTGGGGGATTTTACATCTATATTCATGAGAGATATTAATCTGTACTTTTCTTGCAATATCTTCATCTGGTTTTGGTATTAGAGTCATGCTGGCCTCACAGAATGAATTAGAAAGTATTACCTTTGCTTCTATCTTTTAGAAGAGATTGTATAGAACCAGTACAATTTCTTCCTTAAAAGTTCACTTTTAGAATTCACCAGTGAACCCTTCTGTGCCTGGTGCTTTCTCTTTTGGAAGGTTATTAATTATTGATTCAATTTCTTTAAAGGATCTAAAAAAGTATGTAGTGGCAATATTATAAACAAATTAGAAATATGGGTTTTTATGTTTATACAACCATGGACCATTCTCAATGATTAGGCAGAAATGAAGTTTAAGTTATACTTTGAGATGCAGACTTACATTATATTGTGGAATTTCATTGAGGTTCTGTCACTATGTTGTTTCAGCACTTAAAGCAACTTCTGAATAATTTAATGAATTTCATTAAACAATGTGATAGGTTACTGTATCTTCTGTACATTTGAAGAGTGATATTTAGCTCCCATATTTTGATTATTGCTTATTTATGTCTTTTTCCAGCCAGAGTATGAGATGTACACTTAAAACATTTCATTTTAAAGGTAGCATGAAGACTTTCTCTAAGCTCAACTGTTGTATTCTTCCGACTGGAGATTTTGTTGGTTCATGTAATGTTAGAATAGTCATGGTAAACTTCCTTAAGTGCTTAAGTGTAAAGTGCTTATTTCTCATATAACCTTAGCAGTTACAACAACCTATGTTTTAGAAAGTTATGGTTCAGTGAGGGAAAAATGTGCAGTGTAATCATGAAAATAAGGAAAAAACATAGCTATGTACTAAATTCTTAATTACTACCTAAAGTTGAGATTTACAGTTCAAGAAGAGGCCTATATATCTTAATAAATTCAACAGTGACACATGAGAATAATGTAAGAAAACAACTTGGGTTTCTGAGGGTAGGGGATAAAAATATCATTTAAGAAAATGTAAAATTTGCAAATTCTGTTATTAAGAATGATCTCAAAATGATCTGAAAATATATAAATATAGGATGAAGTGAGACATTATTTTAAATATATCCCTCTATTATTTTGCTTCTATTTCTCAGGAAAGACAACGCTAAGCATTATAAAGAAAATGAATTAAACTTTAGACATAATTCCAATCTATTCTGGGCATTACTTGGAAGTAAAACAACTTACCACTTTTATATTTTATACATGAGATTGTTTTTATTTGATACAAAATGATATAAAAATAATCAAAAGATCATAACCTGGTAGAATTGAAAAAAAAATTGCAGATTATTTAGTCATTATATTGTAGCCCAATGCCACATTTTGTATTAATTTAGTGAAAAGGACGACAAAACCAAATAAGAATGTAGTAGATAAATTCCTTTTACTTTTAGATGGAAAATCAACTAATTCACTAATAAACTTGTTTTGTATTTTTTACTTTTCACATTTTCTTTCAGAATTGGAATATAAAGAAGACGTAATAAAATACTTTAAAAATTATAAACTGTTAAATTGTTTGATCTAAATTGCCAGACTAAATTCTGCTGTAATCTAAACTTCATTTTTTCCCCTAATGATGTCTGTCCCTGTAAAACTAACTAGAGGGAACTAGCAAATAATTCCCAAATACTCTGGAGGGCATTAAAGTAGTCACTTTCTCCTTTAGAAAAATGAATCCCCAAGGCAAATGAATCATTCTTCCCACCTCCTTAGTCAGCCTCCAGTGTACTTACCTCTTTCCTAGGCCTCAAGTTTGCCCAGTTATCTGTGCCACTGATTTTGCTTGGCCAGTTTTTATTTTTATTTTGTTGGGACTATTTGAATTTCTGCCTCTCTGAGCTATCAGAAAGCCTGAAAATTGAAGCTATTCTCAAATAATGTTGAAAAAAATCTGGAACTATGATTCTGGAAGTCTCTCAGTCAATGTAACTATAAAGCTACAGATTAGTTTTTTAAAAAAAGAAAAACAACAACAACAAAATCTATTGAGTTAAATTTCTTTCTGATTGAAGACATGCATTTTTTTATTTAAAAAATAGGAAAATTTTAAAGCTAAAGTTGAAAATAATACAGGGCTTTTTAGTCATAGTCATTTTTTATTATTATGTCTGTGGCTGATTAGCACAGTGGGTCTAAATTAATGGCCAGAAAAATGGTCACAGAATGCCTCAAAGCTCATAGCTGATGTTGGCCTAATATTGACCTTACGATGTTCACTTATCATTATGTATGAAGAAATCACATAGAAGCAATTACATTTGATAAGCACTTGTTTTCTATCATTTTCTTTGTGAATGCATAAAATTGTGAATACATACACATAGTGAATTTGAAACAATGATGACAAGATTACATCTTTTAGTTTTCTTTGTCGACATTTAGCTGATGAACAGTATAGGAAAAAGTATCCAGAAGGTTTTTAAAGCTATGGCTAGTCCAGTTCAGGGCAAATCAAAAGTACCACTAAATGACAAATATTTTCTTTCGATTTAATCCTTGTGAAATAAGTCAACTAAATTATGCAATTGTGGTTTCACATCATCCTTCCCCAAAGAAGTTTTCTCATTGCTGAACAAGGAAACATTAATGGATGAGGAATTTTCAGACCAATTTAGTTGTTTGTGTATATACATATATATATATATGTGTGTATATATATATATATATATATATGTATATACACACATGCATATATATACATATATATACATATATGCATACCAGGCTTTAAAACATGCTACTTTGTATTTCTATTTTTTTCAACATTTCCTATACACATATAGCTATAGAAAATTCATGTATATTAAAATGAGTATCCGTGTTTCTTAAATGATTTTTGAAAGAATTGTAATCACTATAAAGAGAATGTCCCTGAATCTCTTTATAGAATTGCTCTTACATAATGCACTTCCAAGCCCTCCAAAATGGTTCTACTCCCATACACAGATGTTTTTCTTTCTTAAAGTAGGAAAACATACATAGCATAAAATGCACACAGGCTTATTTTAAAATAATTTCAGGATTAAATTTCTGAATTAAGCTTTATTTTTAGCTTGTCACAAATTCCAAACAGCACATGCTTTTACAGATTTTTTAATGCTTCTATCAACAAACATGATAAATTATATTTTTATCATTCCATAGAGAAAGTGGATCTTTATCTATCTGACTCAGCGTTCTTAGCTTCAAGGTAGACATTTGATTTGTTGGCTTTCACTGGATGGTAATAGTAGACTATTTTAGAAGACAGCCTCAAATGTATCCTGACAATTATGAATTCTGCCTGCAAACTTTTGTTCATTTTTCCTTAGATTTGGACCTCAGGTCCTCTCCTTGATCTGAAACATCTTGTACCTCCATTGCTACATGCCACGTACCTCTCTTAGGAAGATAATTCTCTCACCCTCCGACTTCAAGACTTTGTCTATCTTTTGCTGCCACTATTAACTCTCTGTTTTTCCTCATTGCCTTTCTAAAACTTCTTTTTTTTATTATTGAATTACTTTTAAAAACGCCTCTCTTGCCTCCTTTCCAAGCATCCACACAAAAGTTCTGTAGGTTCCAAAAACATTGCCATCTTCTTCCTAAGTGTCTTTTAATCCACATTGATGACATACATTCCTGTGTTGTGCTCTCTTTAATGCCACAATTAAGTATAATCGATTTAATGCAAACTTTACCTCCCGTGATAAAGATAAGTCAAATTTATAGTATCATTCTAATTCTCTGTATTCCAAGATTATACAGGTTTCTGTAGCTGTAACACCAGTCACTTTCCACTGAAATTTCAACATGTGGAGGCTCTAAGGTCCTTTAGGGTCTTAAATCTTCATGAGGATAGAAACCTGGAGGTTTTTTTGTTTGTTTTCTGCTATATCATCATTGCTCACCAGATTTCTACTCTTAGTAATAGTTCAACAAATACCTTATAAAAGAATGACTGAGTGTTTTTATTTCTAGGGTCTCAGCTGCATGGGTGGTCTCCATAGCTGGAGAGCAGAACAAGCCTCTGTGTGTGAGCATTCCTTGGCTCCCTAAGCTACATTGCCATCTACTGCTCACACTTGTGGCCTTTCATGGTGGCAAACAGATGAAGCTCCCTCTCTCTCTCTCTTTCTCTCTGTGTGTGTTTGTATATGTGTGTGTGTATGTGGGGAGGGGGAGAGAGAGAGAGAGAGAGAGAGAGAGAGAGAGAGAGAGACTGACCTCGTTGGCTTTTATCTACACATTTTATGCACTTCTCTGTCTTTATGCTTTTGTTTTATTTAGTTTTTGTCTGACGAGAGTCCCTCCAGCCCCCACTACCATCCCACAGATTTCTTTCTCAGGACTTTGTTCTCCAATGGTCATATTGTGAAAATATAAATTTTACTGTGTTCTTTTAACACAAGTCTTTAATCCATACAGGTGGAGTGAAACACTGTTTAGAAATTTGAAAGTAAAACTGCCAACTAAAAATTAAATATTATTACTATTTTAATTTCTCACATTTGAATCCATCTTTTCTTCAAATGAAGGTGTTTTAAATTTTTAATTTTAGTGCCACTGTTCTGTCAGAAAGAGAAAAGATAAAATCACGTATGTGCTTTTTTCAAAATCCCAATTTTCTTTTAAGTCAAAGTCTAAGTGAACGTAACCTGATTTTCTTTCCTAATAATTAGTTAACTAATATTTAGTTGTTATATTGTATTCTCTCCTTTATTTGCCCTATCTGTGGTCTTTTCAGATTCTCACAACTATTTGTGTGATAATGTCCCCTTTGATGCTCATGTCATACAGAGATGTCTTCCATTCTGTTCTCGTTTTTTTTAAGAGTCATCCAGTCTAAGACAGTCACTAGAAAAAATATTTCTCTGAAAGAGACTTTATTTGAAACAGGTATCAAGTTGACTAAATAAATGCTTAAATATTAAATTTTCAGTATATTCTGTTTAGAGGACGTATGTATAGGTGTGGCTTTCCTTATTTTAAAAACACTGCTTAGAAAGAGGACAATGCAATCAATATTTGTTATACACTATAATTTTGATGGCATATAAATACCTATTTTAGAAAGAAAATGAGTAATGAATAATCTTCATATTGGAATTTCATTCAAAAGGTGAAAATTTGTTTCATATCGATGATTCTACAATGAGTATATTTAAGTGCAATTGTTCTGCTATTAATTTGTTTACTTTTAAAACAATGTTTCTTGTAGATGTTGGCAAAAGACAGAAGATTTGGAAAGAACACACCGATTTATATATAACAAAACAATTTAAAATATATTTTGAGCTGTCTTATGTACAGTTTTAGTCACATATTAGATCTGGGTTACTACCAAAAACAAAACCACACAAAATAACAAGAAGCTATACTCTATTCTGAAAATAGATCATAGGCTAAGGGAATCTGTCTCTGATAAATTCTGTGTTGTAATATTACTTTCAGGGTTCCAAAGAGTAAGTGGACTCTAAAACATGTATGAGATAATGATCCCCCTCAGCTAATGTTCCATAGCATTGTTAAATATATATATGTGTGTGTGTGTGTGTGTGTGTGTGCGCGCGCGCGTGCGCGCGCATATGTATCTATGTACCTGTCTGTATTATATTAACTTATAATCACATCACTTAAACCAGTAAACTTTGGCTACCCACTAGAATCACTTTTCAAAATACAAATTTTGGGTCTCATCTTGGAATAATTGAATCTAAATCACTAAATGTGGGATCCAGGCATCGGTATCTTAAAAATTCTCCATGATGATGCTGATGTAGAGCCAGAGTCAAGGACCCGTGAACAAATAAGTAGAGAAACAACCCAGCACATTATGAAGTATGTTAGTTACTAGTTTTCTGAGGCTGCAGGATGGCAATCATTATACAATGTGAATAAACTACAGAAGAAAGGGCATATGAGTAATTTTCAGCCCTAGAATTGGTTCTCTTATTGTTCATCGCATATGCACCCCTCATAAAAAGTACCATAAATACATTCCTTCAACAAGTGCAACAAAGGAAGCAAATTCAGAAATCATTCTCTTGTTACTTCCAATATGTGCGTATACCTTAGGCAAATGTCTAGGTCTCCATGGTGGGTTCTAACATGACTATCCTGTGGCTTCACCCCATGGGGAGACAAAAATTTTGTTTGCAGAGAGAGTTTATTTTTACAGCAAATCAGAGAAGAGGTTTCCCTCCATATGAATCCAGAATCTAAACCTTAGGTGGACAACAGAGGTCTACCTTGAATAGCCATGAAGAAGTTGTCTTAAATAGGAATGTTAATGCAGAATGTAGTCCCTCATTAATACAGGTTAATACAAAGATTCCTTGTATAACTAAAGGACTAAAGATCCTTTTACGCACCTTCTTCTTTATATAGCTACTTATTTCCGAATAAGTCTGGGAAATAATCAGTTATATTCTCAACCACCATTCCCTAACCTCTGCAAGACCAGAGGGTGGAACAGACAATGGAATTAATGTATCCTGGACTGTAAAAATGTGAGAAGAGGTAATTCGAAAGGTAAAACAGTCTCATATTTAAGCAGATTCTCCTTCTTTAGCTTACTGTGAACAGTTTTACTCCCATGATCAGAGCATGGATGTGGAAAGATCAAAAGTGAATTTTAATGAGAAAGTTTAATTCAAAGGTTTGAAATTACTTGTTTCATGAAATTACATGAAATGGGGGAATCCATAACTAGAGAAGACAGAGAATTTTCTTTTAAAAATATTTTATGATGTATTAATGATTATTTTCTTTTTACATTAGGCTATGTTGTACTGTTTTTATAATATATACATTTTTTATTTTTCCATAAATGTATGCCTTCCTATGATATATCTGAAAAGAAATGTTTAATTGAATGCTAACTTTTGGTCAGGGCTCTACACAATAACTGTCAGCTTTGAGATAACTATGTGTAAGGATCTTACTTCAAGTTAGAAGATAGGGGCCCTTCAAAATTATTAAGATTTTCAGTTTTGATTTTAGCAAAAAAGAATGAGCAGATCAGTTTATTCAAACTAGATCCATAATATCACACATATGCTTTCTTCTAGATTAATTTATCATTTCAGTTCAGCACTACCTGCCTTATATATAACTCAGCTCACTTTTAAGGAGAAATGATACTACAATTAGTTTTGGATGACCTTTATATTTTCACCAAAAATGTATTAGACATCCCTGACATGCCCCTTTTGAATCAGTTCCTATTTGTGAATGACATTGTTTGCAGATATGGGCTGTAACATTACAGAAACTGAAAATAGAGGGAAAAACTTCTGCCTTCATGGAGTTTACCTTCAGTAGGTGATTATCATCTTGAAGCCATAGTAGGGTAAAAGAGTTCTAACATTTTCCTTGATGATGACAGCTTCAAAACAAAATGTTCATTTTTGCCTAAAAATATTTAATATTTGTTTGAGTAAATTTTTTTTATTAAATTGTTTGTAAAATGCCGTCTCTTTTAATTTGCTATCAGAGTTATAGTCAATGTAAAACAGTAATTATTAGAGATGTATGACTTAGGTCAGATAAGTTTAGGTTACAATTTTGACTAAAGCCCATCACAAAACTCTATAAAGTAGGTAGACTGCATTCTCAGAGGTGAAACATTTATGAGGGATAAAGAAGAGCAGAATTAGATGACTTGGTGAGTACATGAGTACATAAATTGGTTACACTGGCATAGAGAGTGGATCAGTTTCAAAGTTTATATTTAGGGCACTTGTCTTAAATTTAAATAATTTTTTTTGGCAGCTTTTGCTTTTAGATACAGTAAAAAATGTAAAAAGCTAATGTTAAACCCTAAGATGAATAGCTTCCAAAGGAGATAAGCTATTGAAATTAGAATTGATTTAAAAAATAGCTTGACCAATAGCAGATTTAGCATTAGAATGAAGAACTATTTACAGTTTTACAAATTTCGGTTGATTATTTAGGTTTTGTAGGGATTATTTTCTAATAAAATATCCAATAATATATTACTATTAATCTAATAATAGATTATATTCTAATAATAGTTAATAGATATTATCTATATCTATTATTTATCTGCTTATGACATTTATTCTGAAGCTAAATGTGTTTGTTATTCTGAAGACAAACATTACAATAATTATAGGAGTAGAGGAGATAAGACAGGATATATTTCCAATTTTCATATTATGTCAAATGGTTGACATATAATAAAAATCATGCTGAATTTGCTAATAAAATTAGTGATAATGTGAGTATATTTAGATATTAGCAACTCAGAAAAGGAGATACTTTTAAAGTAAATATACCTCTAGGACTTTCTCTTTCTACTTAATTATTGGGACTTTTCTATAGTACTTTCCTTAAACACTAATAATATTTTGTGATTCAGATGATCCCTAGGTTTCTTGGACATATAAGGTATGTACATTCTTGCTAGGAGTACCAACTGTTTTGTTCAGTATTAATTCAGGAACATATACATATGTCTAAGTAATTTTTGTATAAATCATATGTACATATGAACTTATTTTTTATTCTTTATTGAGGATATGGAAGCAAAACCATTTTTGGCGTACAATCTGATGCTCAGTAGGAAACTTCCCCACATTGGAAAAAATTTTCCTTCAGCACGCACCTGTGTGTGACCAAAGGAACAACTACAATTACTCCATCTTTAAAATCCAGTGTCTTAATCATTTACAAAACATGAATGCTCCTGACCTATTGTAATTTCCTGTAGGGAAAAACTAAGATTATACATGTGTATATATACATATATTTTTTCCTCAGTTTTAAGTCATCTCCTGATGTATTCATTATTTGGAAAAATATTATTTAAGATTATTCACTATAACAGAGACAGAAGTTGACATCAAATCCTTATGATGGAGCTATAATTTATTATATGAGTTCAGAAAGTTCCTAAGAAAAAATTCCTCCTGATATTTGAAGATCTACACAGTAAAGGATCATCCAAATAAGAAGCAACAGTATAAATGAAGGCTGTATTTACAAGGGCTCTGGGCTACTTTGCAAAAGTCACATTAATAATTTGTACCTTGTTTTCTGTCCCTTTTCATTTACATATCACGTTAAAAATGACCATTTTTCCCGCTTTTAATTTATAGATTAGAATTTGGATATATTTGTAGGTATTGCATTTCAAATAAAAATCCACTCATAAAGTCTTAAATGTGTACTATATATGCATAACCTGATTTATTTCTTAACAAATGTGTTTCTAATGCTATTCTTGTAACTAAAAACCTAATATATTATTACTATATGATTTATACTGCTGATTTTAATGTATTTTATAGACTATATAATATCAATCTAGTTCTGGTGATAATCTGTTATTTTTATGACATATTTACTAAAGTAATGTAGAAGTTATTTATTAAACATAATAGAAATACTTTTGAGAACATAATTATAATTAAACCTCACAACAAACTGCTAGGGGGGTTAATCCTTATTTTTCAGATAAAAACAACTGAGACTTAGAATTAGTTAAATAATCTTTCCAAGGTTACATACACAAAGGGCAAGAGTTAGATTTAAATCCAAGTTTCCTTGACTTTTAAAATTGATGACTTTCAATGCTATAGCATATGGCTCTGTACTGTGTTGTATATAGGATACAAAGAAATATGACAATTGTGTGTTTTCAGGGAGCACAAAATACAGTTGAGAATTTAATTATTGAAAAAATGTTTCTTCCATTTAAAAAGTTGCCAACTTTGTTGATTACCATGAAGCCATCTTGTTTATATAACATGTTACATTTAATTTCCGTGTGCCAGATAAAGGAATAGCATTAGATGGTATGGTCTAAAAGTTTATGATTAGGTATTGAAAACAAATTAAATAATTCATTTAAAGTAAGTGTATGCTTATTAGAGTGTCATTCAGGTTGCTGCTCAAATATAACCCTCTCAGAGGGGCTGTTTCAGCCCATACCTTCTGAAATTGCCACGTTCCAGGCAAAGAAACAACATTCAGAAATGAATGCATAAATAAGTTTAAAATCCTGAACAAAAAGTCACTACTATAATTTTAATTTTTATGCCAATGAAAGCGTATTCATGTAGGATAAAAATAAAAAGTTTAGGCCAGGTGCGGTGGCTCATGCCTGTATTCTCAGCACTTTGGGAGGCCGAGGAGGGCTGAACACCTGAGGTCAGAAATTCGAGACCATCCTGACCAACATGGTGAAACCCGTCTTTACTAAAAATACAAAATTAGCCGGGTATAGCGGTGTGTGCCTGTAATCCCAGCTACTTGGGAAGCTGAGGCAGGAGAATCCCTTGAACCCCGGAGGCAGAGGGTGCAGTGAGCTGAGATTGCACGATTGCATTCCAGCCTGGGCAGCAAGAGCGAAACTCGGTCTCAAGAATGAATGAATGAATGAATAAATAAATTAATTAATTAATTAATTTAAAAATATCTGCTGCAGAAAGTATATATGGCTGCATATATTTTTTGTCACACTTGCAGTTTGTTACTTTCCTTAATGGTTGCATTTAAGCTAACTAGGATTTTATTTTCAGTATGCTCTCCTTGAATATCTTTAAAGCAGACCAAATATGGATGATTTTTCAGCTAATTCGGGTTTTGGGAAATCTTAATTTTAAAATTTATATGAAAAAATCATAATGGATTTTGCACAGATGTTCTGTTACCATAATTGATAGTTTTAAAACATTTTTGTCTTTAGAGAATTACTTTTTACTATAAGATAATAATAAAATTTGCTATTTAAATTGGTATTAAGGCAATTTTGTTCGTAATCCTTAATAGAGAAATTTCTGCATTGTACAAAATAATAAAATGCTTCCTCGGTTTTTGGACATCACTTAATGTTTATTTACTTTAAGACATAAAGTTGTTTATGCTTAATTGTCAATTTTTATAACGTTTATGTTCTTTGGTTTCTTTTATTGTGCATATGGTCTATAAAACTTGCTTTATCTGTAGACCTTACATAACAAAGAATCAGAGTTTCAATAAAATAAATATTTAATTTTAAATAAGACCTAAATTATAATTATTTTTGAAATATATAATATGTCATATTTTTAATAGTATAGTTTGTACATTTCAAAGAAAATTTAAAAAATAGAAAAAGCAAAGAGAATGTTACCAATTATTTAATCACTTATGTAAGAATATTGTTAACATGTTAGCACTAATATAAGCCCATTATGATTTTTTTCCTTCAACTGTTTTTTATGCATAGTTTTGTGTTGTAATTGTAATTTTTTAATAGCAATACCTGAACACGTGATTTTTCTAGCACAATATTAAATTATAATTTTTTTTGATATTTGAGCAACCATAATTTTATTAACATAATAATACCCAATGGATTTTGGCTATATCATCATTTACCTATGATTTATCCATTGAAATTATTAAACTCTTAATTGAATATCTGTATGTACCAGACATTTGTTTTTGTTCCTGAAATTCTGCAAGAAAGGCCATAAATTTCCTTTTATCTTACAAAGCTTACCTTCTATGGAGTAAGACAGTCGATAAACTAATAATGCTATAATATACGTTAGATGATTATAAGGACTATAATGAAAACAATAAAACAGAATAGAATTTGGAGGGGGATGATATGCATTTACATTATTCATGGCATGAGAAGGTTTCTATTTTTCTGGTTTTACATTTGCTGTTAGAAATGAAGAATCAAGAAAACAAACTTAAGGCAAATGAGGGCCAAAAACAAAATAGATACACAAATATTTGATGAATAAATGAAAAAATAAATCAGTTTAGTAATTCTAAGGAATTTGGACTTATTCTAAAGGAAATGGAAAACAACTTGAATATATTTTCTTTATTGAATAATGTCATCAATGGATAGAAACAGAATGAAGCTGGAAATAAGTAATTATTAAAGTAAATTTTTTTACGGAAGAAATAAATACAAGTAACATCATGAAAATAGTAACTGAAACTAAGATAGAAAAGCAAGAACCATAAAATAAGCAAAATCTTGTTATTGATTTGAAATAGAAAGAATTATAATCATGAAATAATACTATTTTTCCAATTTTTAGAAGAATGTGATATAAGAAATCTCTTATTCCTCTGTGGATTTTATTAATACATTAATAAGATGTATCAATATGGTTCTTAAAGTTGATCTGCACTTTCATTCTTGAAATGTGATTATAGATTTATTTGTTTCAGAAGCACTAAGATTTTTTATTGTTAATATTTTCATATGTAATATGAATTTAAAATAATTTAGAACTTTTAATTCCCGTATTGTCACCATAGTTCATTTCTCATTCTAATTAACTTTATTTCCAATTTTGTTTTTAGTAGGCTTTAAAGGGTCTATACAGTTATTCATTTCTTTCCTTGAATGTATTGATTGCATTATCTTTCTGTTATCTAATTCAAATATTTCTGCTTTCATCTTTATTAGTTCATTTTTCTGCTTTTCTTTGGATATGTTTGTTCTTCTTTTAAATTCTGAAGATGAATAAGTAGCTCAAGTCTTTTCTTTCTGTTATTTAAAAACACCATATTAGGGTCTGCTATGGTTTAGATATTGTTTGTTTGTCCCACCAAATCTCATATTGATATTTGTCCCCACTGTGGTGATATTGATAGGGAGGGCCAAGTAGCAGGCATTTGGTTCCTGGGGGAGGATCTGTTATTAATATATTAATACTCTTGCTCAGGCATGAGTGACTTCTCACTCTGTTAGTTCTCAGGAGGCCTGGTTGTTAAATAGGGCCTGGAACCACTCCTCTCTCCAGCTTGCTTCCTCCTTGCAGTATGATCTCTGCATATGCTCTCTCTGTTTCTCATTCCACCAAGAGTGCAAGCAGCCCGAGGCCCTCACTAGATGTAGTTGCGAATAGTGAACACTTTAGCCATCAGAATCATGAGCCAAGTAAACAATTTTTCTTTGTAAACTACCCACCCTCAGGTATTCCTTTATAGCAACACAAAACAAAGACGGGGTATAAGTTTGTGACTTCACCTTAATGTAAACTTGTGCATTTGTCCTATAATTATTTTATCATTGTTTTCTAAGGAGTCAGTTTCATATTTTATTTATATATTAATTGATAGTTATTAAGGACATAAAACAGTTCAATATGATTCCATTCTTTTAATTGTTTCCTTTTAATTATAGAAAATGTTAATATTGACACAAAAACAGAGAATTAATACATCTACATGTCCTCAAATTCAAAAAGTATCTACTTAAGGCCAATCTTATTTTATCTATGTCCTCACATTCAAAAAGTATCTACTTAAGGCCAATCTTATTTTATCCATATCCTCACCCTCTACTTCTCCAAAATAATAATTATAATAAATATAAATATATAATATACATTATGTTTAATAAATAATTAAAAATTATAAAAATAATATAATATAATAATAATTATTATTATTCTTTTTGAGGCAGAGTCTCACTCTGTCACCCAGGCTGGAGTACAGTGGTATGATTTTGGCTCACTGCAACCTCTGCCTCCTGGGTTCAAACAATTCTCTTGCTTCAGCCTCCCCAGTAGCTAGGACTACAGGCATGTGCCACCACGCCTGGCTAATTTTTGTATTTTTAGTAAAGACAGGGTTTCACCATGTTGGCCAGGCTGGTCTCAGACTCCTGGCCTCAAGTGAGTTGCCCACCTCCACAATTATTTTTAAGTGAATTTTGGAAATCATATAATTTTATTTATAAATTGATAATGTTTGATGTGTTTCTAATTCTGTATTATAAGTTGTTCTTCCTCCATAAAATTTTAATTTTTACATTTAATTTTACTGCAGAAACCAACCAGTAAGTTCTTAGAAAATTTCAATCTAGATTTTGCTGATTGCATTTCCAAGTGTCTATTAGCATATTTCTCTCTGCCCCTGTTTTTTTCCTTATAAATTGAGAGGTAGATCTGGAAGTTTGATTATAGTAAACTTCAAGCTTTTGGCAAAATCACTTTATATATAGTGGTTCATAGTTATATCTGGAGGTAAACAATCTTCCTGTCTGTCTTTATTTGTGATGCAAGTAATCATTGATGATTTTTGCCAATATCCATCATCTCATTAGGGGTTACAAAACAATGATAGTTTAATTTAATTATTCTTCCTAGTGGTGACGATTCTACAAAAAAAATTGCTCATCAACAATTGAGTTGCCTTCAGTAATAATTTTATATAATTGATAGAAAAACATTAGATTCTCTACTTTTATTTGTCAGTTTTCAAAATACTCAGTTGGTACACTTACATCATTTAAATGTGACTGAGGATTTTTGTTGTGGTTGGTTTGTTTTTATCATTAAAAATTCATGTTTAAACATTTTTTATTTGTTAAAATGGTTGGAATTGTTGTTATTTCAGTTACATTTTAGTTCTTAATTTTATTGTGAACAGATCAGATCAATATATTGTGTTTTTGTTATTTTATTCAAGAATAGAAAACAAGAAAAATAAAGCAACATGTTTGTAAAATGAATCATAGATGGTAAGCAAGAAGATTCTGAAACATGTTAGATATAGATTAAATGAGTAGATCATTTATATGCAGACATAGACAAGAAGAGATAGAATTAACATGTATTAAATATTCATGAAGCATCAAATTTTTAGGACAGTTATATCACCCTTAAGTCAGTCACCCATTGGTATCACTCATCTGGCCCGATATCTTCTCTATCTGAGGTATGTAGAAACAAGCTATGGTATTGCACAGCAAATTGTAGAAAATCTAACTACTGGTCAGGAATTTTTCCCCTGCATCTCTTCCATAAAATAAACACGTGTATTGGTTACTGGCATCTTCATTCTTCTAAGCCACTTTGACCACATTCAATTGTTGTTTCTTATAGCCGTATTATAGCGAGGAAGGCTGATGCAGGAGAAGGTGAGATAGTGGTTCAGAAAGAAAGGAGGGAAGGAGGAAGGGAGAGAAGGAGGGAGGGAGATACTGTGGTCCTTCTATCCATGCTGCCAAGGCTGTATTAACCTAAATTGGTTTGGTCATGTTTTAAGTGGATTCAATAAACCATGCAGTTTGGGGATCTCTAGTTCATTTTTGAGGCTTTCTATTCTGTGACTTTTAGGATAGAGTACCGGACAGTGCACTTGACAGGTAATAGCATCACCGTGATTTCCCACTGCAAGGGTAGCCCAAACCCAGGGATGAATTGTGACTTTCATTTGTCCCTTTCTTCATAAATAAATAAAATAAAATGTATATTTTATGACTATACTGGTATAAATATGATTATATTATGTTAAAATATAAAAGTTCATTTTTTCTTGTTTTAAAAAAATTATTTTATGGACCCCCTAAAAGTATTGCAGGCCCTAGGCACTGTGCCTACGATATTTTATGAATATGTTAGCCCTACTCTAGCCTTCCTTTTTGCTATTTTTTCATACTTTTGTTTTTCTATTTTTTTAAAAGAACTTAGATTATACAAATATTAAAATAGAAAGCAAAAATTTATCCTATTTCAACACATGGCTATTTGTTTACAGTTATATATATACATATATATACTTACAGGTTATGTTTTCTTCTTTTTATACTGGAACACACTATACTCTATGGTTTTATACTATGATTCCTGTTCTTTACCTTGAACTTTTCATTAACAATGTATTGTGGACATATATATTGTGGAGATAATATCTTAGAGATCAATTACAGTGGGTATCATGTGTATTTGCAGGATTATTATAGAATATTCAGTAGTGCTATAGAGAATAAGAGGAATAAAAGAATAATGAGGAAGAGATGAAATCATAGATAGCAAACAATTAGGTTGTGAGTTGTGTTGTCATAAAATTCAAATGAGGTGATGTCTGTTAAACCACTCATTAGACAGGAAATGCAATTTATATTTATTTCTATGTCTAATGGTAATCTAAATTTAACAGTATAAGATTTAGGGGTGCTATGGTTTGAATGCATCCCTGCTGAAATTCAGATGTTGCCAAAGTGATAGTATTAAGAGGTGGGGTCTTTAAGAGGGATTAGGGCATGAGGACTCCATGTTTCTCCATTGTAAATTGGAGTAAGATCCTTATAAAAGAGGCTTCTTGTTGGTTTTGGCTATCTGTTGTCCTTCTACCTTCTGCTATATGAGGATGCAGCATGAAGGACCTCATCAGATGCAGTACCTTGATTTTGGACTTCTCAGCCTCTAATGAATTTTTGTTTTCACACATTACCCACACTCAGGTATTCTATTACAGTAGCACAAATGGGCTAACACAGGGGAGGTCCTTTAGATAGTCCCACAACTAGCACCAAAACCCCTGGTTAGTAACATAAGGAGACAAAGCTTTACAAAGTGTGAAAATTCTCTAGAGGTTGGTTCTAGTTGATGGCAGATTGAAAATATCAACTGTGCAATGTTATTGCCAAAATTAAACACAAAGAAGCCAGCCAGTAAACAAATAGGTAATATTCATAGGCCTCTGTTCACAATGAAAATCTTAATTAGAACATACCTCTGGCAATGGTCTAATTCAGGACACTGCTATATTTTTTCTGTTACAATTATCATAGATTTTGAACTGATTTCACTTTATGACAGATATTGATCATCTAAGGTGGTTCTAGAAAAGATCCATCAGGAGTTTGGGCACAGTCTGATTCATATAAAGACAGATATCTAAAATAATTTATAATATTAGTCTCAAGGTGACAAGATTTTTAAAAGATTTGATGTAACATTGTCATAGAAGTATGAGAATACACGATCTCGAGAGTTAATGAATTCCCATCACTGGGTTTATCTAAATTTGAACTCAATCTTGGCTACATGTTAGACAGCACAAAAGACTGAATAAAATACCAAAGGTCAACCCCATCCCAGAAAAAAAGTTAAATCAGAATTTCTATGGCTGATAGCTGGTATTTTCTTAAAATATCCCAGACATTTTAACATATATCAAGGTTGATAATCCCTAATTGAATACATGAGTTTGACCAGTGTGTAAGTGGGTAATAGAGTATTTAATAACTGGATCTATAGTCTTTCAAGCCATATTTGAATCTGAGATTTTATCATGTAATAGTAATGCTATCCTTGTTATTTAAAATTATAATTCACTTTCCTCATTGCCAGCCACAGTTGACACAATACAGTAGTCCACTTTTTATTCACAGTTTTGCTTTATATGGTTTCAGTTACCCATAGTAAAGTACAATAAAATATTTTTTGTGAGAGAGAGAAAAAGGAGTATATTCACATAGCTTTTGTTATAGTATATTGTTATAATTATTCTATTTTATAATCAGTTATTGTCATTAATCTCTTACTGCACTTAATTTGTAAACTAAACTTTATCATAGTTATGTATGTAAAGGAAAAAAGGCATAATATATATGGGCTTTGGTACTACACTATCTGCAGTTTTGGGCATCCGCTGGGGATCTTGGAACATATCCCCTGGGGATCGAGGGGACTGGTGTACATCACACACTTTTTTCACCTGCGTGCTTCACTGCACCATCAACTTGCTTCCCCTCTTCTCTGGCTGGTTGCTCCTTCTTTCTCAGGATTCAATTTCTACTCTTCTTTTTTTTCTATTAGTGACAGTCACACTAACTTTCTTAATGTTATTGAAGCATAGCAAGAGCACGCCCATGTCTGGGGCTTTAAGTTTATTCTTCCCTCCGACTCTATTTCACATAGATTTCCCTGGATATCTTCATGGCTCCTTCCCTCAATGTCTTTAGATTTCTGCTAAAATGCTAAATTTACCGGAAAGCGTTTTCCTGATTATCTCATTTAGCACATTCTGTTCCACTTTTTTGCTTTATTTTTCTTCATAACACATATCACCACTCTATAAGAGTTTATTTGTATATATGTTTGCTATGTCTTGTCCATTAGACTGTACATGCCAGAGTTCTATATCAAAGCAAGACTTTGTCCACTACCAAATTCATAGCATCTAGAACATTGCCTAGAATATGGCTGATACAGTGTCTGTTGAATGAAGGAATGGATGAAGAAAAATGAAGACATGTTGTATGTTTGCTTTTTCTGTGTGGCATTTTCTAAGTAAAAATGAAAGAAAAGTATTTTTTCTTTGCAACATTCTATATTTTAAGTATAATTACATCAAAAATCTTAAATGTACCATTTTGACATTTCAGCAGAGTTTTGACAATGGTATACACCTATGTAACCCATTAGAGTCACGTCACCACTGAAAATTCCCTTATGTCCCTTTCCACTCAGTCCCTTCACCCAACCTGAATTAAATGCTTCCACATGTCTTCCATAGATTAGTTTTGCCTTTTCCATAGACTAATTCCATAGATCAGTTTGGACACTTATTTCTTATTGTTAATGGAATCATGCACTAGGTATTGTATGTGCACAGTTTCTGTCTTTCCACATCATATGTTTTAGATTAATATTTGTTGTTGTATGTATCAGTAGTATATTCCTTTTAATTACTGAGTTTTATTTGGTGTAACAATACATCACAGTTTATCCATTATTTTGTTAATATTTTAGCTATTTCCAGTTTATGGCTATTATAAATAAGATTGCTCTGAGTGTTGCTGTTCAAGTCTTTTGATAGATCTATGTTTCCATTTCTCTTGAGTAAACACAAGTGAAATTGATGGCTTCGAAATTAGGTGTATATTAAATTTTACAAAAAACTACTATGCACTTATTCAAGTGATTTACTATTTTGCATTCCTAGCAAAAATGTATAGTTTCAGGTGCTCCACGTCATCAGCAAAATTTGGTTCTATGGGTCTTTTTAATTTTAGCAGTTCTAGTGGGTGCAAAATTGTAATTGGTTATAGTTTTATTTTTCATTTCTCTGATAATTAATGATTTGGGGCACTTTATCATACAATTATTGGCATTTTTTGGTAAAGAGTTTGTTATAGTCTTTCTCCTCATTTTTAATTAGATTATTTGGCTTATTATTATGTACTTATTTGTGTTTGTATATAATCTGTCAGTCATTTGTCAGTGTATATGCTACAAATATATATATTTTGTAATCTGTGGACTTTCTTAATGCTATTTTTAATAAGAAAATATTTTAAATGTAGTAACACATAATTTATTATTATTTTTTACTTGTGCTTTTTTGTATTGCATTGGAAAAATTTTCCTGGTCCAAACCACACCTAAAAAGGCTGTTTTCTTCATAAAACCCTCCGGGGATGTTGAAAGGGATCTCATTAAATGTATAGACTGATTTGAGGAGAGTAGACCAATTAATAATCTTGCATCTTTCAATTCAAGAACATGGTGTATCTTTTCACTTATTATTTGTTTATGTCTTTGAAAATTTGCCTCAAATATATATCATATTTTTAGTATAGACGTCTGGTATATTCTTTATCAGACTTGACACTAAGTATGTGACATATTTTGGTACTCTTTTCAATGGTATATTTTAAATTCAATTTTCTAATTGTTCATTGCTGATATGGAGAAATGCAATTAATTTTTATAACATAACATCTTTTTCACATAACCTGGCTAGATTCACTTATTTGTTACAGAATGTTTTAGAAGATTCCATAGGGTTTCCATGTGCATGATTATTATGTGTGAAGAAAATGGCAGGCTTATTTTTAATTATTTTGCTTTTTGTTACCTTTTGTTACCTTAATTAACTGGCTAGTATTGTGTTATAATTTTGGATGGATATAATGGTAGACATCCTTTCCTTGTTCTTAATAAGAGGCAGAAAAGTTTTAATTTTAGATCATTATGCATGATGATAACTATAGTCTTGTGTGTTTTGGGTTTGTTTGTTTTGTTTTGCTGAAGTCCTTTATCAGCTGAAGGGACTTTTCTTTCATTCCTCATTTGTTGCAATTTTATATCATGAATTGGAGTTCAATTTTATTGAATTCCATTTCTGCATTCATTTTTTCCTCCTTCTATTAATATGGTAAATTTCACTGATTGATTTTATCAAGTTAAGTTAGCCTTGCGTTCCTAGTATAAACATTGTCTCAGTTTTATATTGCTGGATTCATTTTGGTACTATAATATTAAGGATTTTTGTGTCTCAGTTCATAAGATATTGAAATGTAAATTTCTTTCCTCTTTTTATTTTCTTCTTCTTTTCTATTGTTTTATTTCTTTTAAAGGACTTTTGAAAATATTTCTTCTTTAAAGAATGATCTTAGTAAAATTGAATTTGATTGTTTAAACATAAACTCATTTTTGTGCATACTAATATTGAAAATCCTCTCATGCCTTGGAGAATTGTAACCTTTAGCCAATTATAAAGCTTCATGAAGTTTACTAAGCCTATTCTGGTAGAAATATTTTTCTTCTTTTTTAAAACAGGATGAAGAGCTGCTGATAAATTATTTGAGGAGATGTGTGTAGTGTGTGTGTGTGTGTGTGTGTGCGTTCATGCATGTGTGTGTAAGGCGGAATCAAAGAAGCAAGCATGATTCTTCAAGGAAAGCTAAGCTGTAGTTTTGTTCTTGACTTGGCCTTTATTCAGAAAACTCTCCAACATTTGTATGAGAGTAAAGTTGAGGACTACATTACAGAAACATTGGAGATAATTTCCTACACTTGCAAGAAAAGACATATCAGAATTAGCCAATTTCTGAAGATACTCTGGAATTTCCCCCACTCTACAACATATCACTGAAATCCTCAATTTTCCCCTTAAATGGGAAGGGAAAATTATTCAGAAAGGCTCTTTTTATAAATTGCATGGATTTGGGGTGGGAAAAATCAAGGTTTGCTATTTTCTAGTTTTATGATCTTGGCATGGTGTTTTATTTCTACATACTGCTATTTCTAATATACAAAGAGAATTATGATACTTATGAAAAGAGTAATGTAAAAGTAGATAACATTAAATATAAAATTCCCTAAATAAAACCTTGAACCTGCCTTTTACTTTCAAGCAAAACTGTTAAATAATATAAAAAATAAAGGTGGCCGAAAGAACATTTAAAAACTATTTCTACATTTTTTGAAATTCTGTTTATTAGTCAGGTGATGTATTAACATAACACTAAGGGATGACTTGGGTCATGTGATTTGTACCTAAATAACACAAATTTAAGCAATACCAGTCAAATATCAAATACACTTAATTTCATATTCATAGCTTTAATAGTATGCTCTAGTGCACATTTCTACTCTTATAACTATTACACTTAATAGCTTCCAAAAGTTTCCTAGTTTTTCACAAGGGTTTTGTTAACATTATATAAATATATTTAGCATCTAGAAGTAAATTTTAAATATCAATTCTAAGTTAATGGGACACCAAATATAGCTTTCAAAAAAAGTTTTAGTACCTTATGTTTTGCTTTTGATAAAAGTAAGATATAATTATATTTTATATTATTTCCATGAAAATTATTAACAAGACTTTTTTTTAGCCTAATCGGTCAGCCACTGTAATTTTTTTTCTTATGGTGGTCTTAGGAAATGTGTTTATCTTTAAGAGTGGGAAAAGTAAACTCTACAGTTTCTTTCTTAAGCTCAAATTCAAGTAGCTATTGCTCTATGTAGTTTCTTCTGATTATTGCTCTCCAGGATTTCCACATAATCCTTACAAACTGTTACTATTTAGCTTTTTGTACTTATCAAAAATATTTTCTTTTTTCTATTGAACTCCAAAAAATGCATCATTTTTAACTGTGAAGGAAAGATAACTATTTTGAAGATAAAACTAATCACATTAGGTCTTCAACAATCTACTTTCCATTCCACAGTTATATTTATATCTTCAAAAGGTCTAATCCAGTTCAAGGAAAAGGAAAAGATGTATGAAATCAGTTTGATTCCCTAAGGCAAATCCAGGGAGAATCTTATATTTATTTCTTTTAGTAAACTTATGGCTGCTGTCTAAGCCAAAATTAAAAGCATAAATAACAAATAGAAATGGACCAAAAAGCTAGATAATTTGACTTCACAATTAGATTTACATGTTGGATCACCAAAAATTTCCCCATCCCAAGCCTTAATTTATGAATGCCATCTTCAGTTTGAGCCTTTCCATCCTTTCTTATTGCTCCCCAGCCTCTGCATTAAAGTACCTTGAATTTCCTCTGACATATAATTCTCCTCTGACAATAATATAATAAATATAAAGGCAATATTTACTACATTTCTTCTGCTAAAAATCTTCTCTCATATGTACCTTTCCAACCCTCCTAAAGTACATTCTTCAAAAACCATCCTTAGCATTAATGATAAGAAAAAACAAAGAGCTATGTATTTAGCCTCACATGCATCCTTATGAAAAACGAAATTTAACAATCTGTTTCTGAAATTGACATGATGCCATGGCTTGAATGTATCTCCCCAAATGCATGTGTTATAAACTTAATCCCAAGTGCAACAGAGTTAAGAAGTGGCACCTTTAAGAGTTAATTAGGTCATGAGGGCTCTGCTTTCATAAACGGATTAATGCTATTATCAAAGGAGTTGGTTCCTGCTAAAATGATGTTTGCTCCTCCTCCTTTTCTCTCTTGTGCACACTGTCTTGCCCTTCTGCCTTCTGACATGACACATCTGACAGCATGAAGGCCCTCATCAAATGCCATCCCCTTGATCTTAGACTTCGTTGCCTCCATAACCATAAGAAATGGATTTTTGTTCATTACAAATTACCCAGCGTGTGTGTTCTGTTATAGCAGCACAAAACAGACTATAATATGTATTAAGCTTTTCCTATGAGTTTGGGACAATGATAAGTGCTTTAAATTGATTTAATCTTCACAGGCACCTACTATAACTATACACACACACACAATAATATGAATAGTTTATTGTAAAAATATTTGGTACGTACCTGTGCTTCTTATGAGGTTTATAAAGACTCATACAATCCTGTCAGTGTCTAGTTTTCCTTATCTTCTTTTTCCTAGTTTTTTGAAAAAAATCGATATTCTTTAGTAAGACACTGCTTTTTCTTTTTCCACAACAATATTGACATTCTGTGTCAAAGTTCTAGCTGTTTCATACATCAGAATGGAAGGTTATTCTCTCTAAATAGGTCCTTATTGCTAACAAAAATACCAAAATTAAAATTTGATAGACACTAAAATTAATTTCTTAAGCAATTAAAACATCTCCTCTATACGATCTCTCTCACATTTGCTCTTTATTTCATCCTTTCTGTTTCTCACTCTCCTCATCTTCTTCCTCTATTTCTCTTTTCCTGTTTTACCTTTCAATTGGGCAGTAGAACTTTTGAGTTCTAGTCTCTGCTAAATTGAGTTACAACACTATAACTTTGACAAGTCACAATATGTACTTGCGATTCTAAATTTCTGTCTTTTAAAATAACAACATAAAAATCGATAATGTATGATCTTACTTTTAGACTTAAAGTTCTGTCATTCAAGGACATAATTAAATACCACCTGGGGTTATGTAACATGGGCAATGATAAGTTTCAAATGAAGATTCCTGAAAGTACATTTGCTTGAAAGGCAGCATTTTACTTTGAGCTAAAATGTTACATTAACCACATATCTTAGGTTTTCTTTGTTCTTGAGGATAGAGGAATAATGATACCAGGTTTATAAAGGTTTTATTTATTGTAAGGAGAAAAGTAAAAAATAATGGAAATCCAAGAAGGGGGGACTTAATAGGGCCAAATCGAATGATGCTTAGATAGGATATTAATGCTAAACTCTCAGCTGTGCTAGGAACTCAGCCATAGCAATCTCAGCATTGGTACCCTACCCTGGACATGTCTCAGGTATATACCACACGAGCTCTTCATAGTTAACGTTTTTTCCTCTGCTTACGTATACTTTCTGTTCTCTATGCCTTCAATGACTTTGACTCCATGACTCTATGACTTTGGCTCACCATGACTGTCAATCTACCATCTAGACACACTTAACACTGACTCCCATTGCCAATCATCTCATTTGTTTTCTCTCAGTCCAGATTAATGAGACTAAATCCGATAATGTTCCCTCATCTTTTCACACTGAGCCTTTTCGGACAGGACCAAACCCTGCCCCAAATAGCAGTGGTAGAGGATGCAGTTATGTCCATATATTAAAAAATATGACAATGAAGGCCATACCTTTTAGCAAGGAATGTGGGTTGCATACTTCCTCTTGAAGTAGCTATGACAGGCAGGTAACATAAAACATATTTAGCACACCATAATCTTGGCATAAGATTATGACAACAACTGCTATTGTTAGACATAGGCACTATTGTAAGAGACATTTACATACTTCTTAAAGGAAAATCATCTTATAGGAAGTTTAGAGCAACACTAAATAGGTAATGTTTGAGGTTATTTAATATGTATCTCTTATCTAAAAGAGGGTAGACATTGACTTACCTTAACTAAGGAAGCTACTGTAAAGGAAATGTTATAATATTATAAATTGTCAAGGGCTTATATGAAAGCAAAAGCTAATTGTAATATTTAAGTCAAGGAATTTTTCAGTTATGTTTTTAGAAATTTATTTTGACTAACTACCTCTCTTTCTCTATTTTCACCCATAATAAAAATACATGTTTGAAAATTGAAACCTATGAACTATGAATTTGACTGAGGAGAAAAGACACATTTGAAGAGAAATATGAATTTGTTGTAGTTGGGTTTCTATGCTAGTAGTGAGACTGTGTCAAAATTATCTTATGTAAATAATGCAACAAATATATAAAGTGTTCTGAAACAGCTACTAACAATAATTATTTTATGTTAATATTTTGTTTATAAATCGGGCCTTTTAACTGGTTTGAGACAATAACCAATTTTTATTATATACAAAATTATCCCATAAAGTATATACTGTACCATAAAATACTGGAATTGAGCTAAAATTTATAACTCATTAATTTGAGGGATTTTTTTTTAGTACATGCCGTGTATAAAGGCATGTATTATTCATCTAAGTTGCTAGCTTATTTGCATTTTCATTAAACTGTATAGACTATATCACTGTAATGTGAGTAGAATTTTAACATTATTCTGCCTTATAATGCATAGCCAATTACTTGTGTTTAAAAGTCAGTGATTACTAGTAAGCTTCTATAAATGAATGCAAACATGCACATTTAACCTGCATATACATGTGTATGCCCATAAGTAAGGACAAAATGCATGAAAATAAAACACCTAACATCCGATTTATCTGCTTTTATTTGAAGTAAGAAATTTTTCCATATAGGTGAATTTTCTAGATAAATGAAGCGTTCTCTTAAGAGCTGAAACACTTTCAGAAATATTGTTTAAACTATATTACAACTTTTTTCTTTTGAAACCAAATACAATAAATATACTTTTTAATATTGATGAACCAAAGAAATGCGTTTTAGAAGCTCTTAAAACTGTAAGGATTTCTAAAAATAAAAGACCACTAATGCATATTTTTATATAGATAATTTTATGGGCTCTAACATATTGTGAAGAGGAAAGAAGAGGAAATGGTTGCTTTTCCATGGTGGTTGTCATCTTCTACTTTGTTTCTCCAAGTTTACTTAGTCAGTAAGCAAATATTTATTAATGTTTATGAATAGGCACTTGAATTATAGAGATAAAGAAATAGGCAGAGATTTGTTAAGGAAGGAAATATAATAAACTGATGAAGATTAAAGTGAATAAAGATGATTTCCAGAATTACTAGGGATTGTATTATGCTGTTGATATGATTCAGCTTTGTCCCCACCCAAATCTCATCTTAAATTGTAGCTCCCATAATCCCCATGTGTTATGGGAGGGACCTATTGAGAGGTAATTGAATCATGGGGCAGTTTTCCCGTGCTATTCTAGTGATAGTAAGTTCTTATGAGATCTGATGTTTCTATAAGGGGCTTCTCCCTTTGCTTGGCTCTCATTATTCTCTCTCCTGCCACCATGTGAAGAAGGACATGTTTGCTTCCCCTCCCACCATGATTGTAAGTTTCCTGAGGCCTCCCCAGCCATGCAAACTTTGAGTCAATTAAACCTCTTTCGTTTATAAATGACCCAGTCTCAGGTATGCCTTTATTAGCAGCATGAGAACAGACTAATACAACTGTTATAATAATAACACTTAATAACTATCAAACAGTTTCAGTGTACCAAGTACTATTTTTTAATGGTTTAATTCATTTGTCTCTCTAAAAAAACTTAAGAGTTTTATTAGTACCAATTGTTCATATGAGGAAAATGAAATGTTACATAACTTGCTAGTGCACAGCTAGTAAGTGTTGGAAATATAATTAAAAATAAAATCTTCTGCCAGCCTAGAAAACCTGTGCACAAAGTTAAAAGAGAAAGGGAAGAGTTTTATTATTGAATAAGCATTAAATCAGAATATCATGCCCCTCACAAGTAATCTTCTAAGAGATTACAAAGACAGAAAGAAATCCAACCTTTACGTATAGTCAAACAGATTGAACCTATTATATACATGTTCTCAGAATAAACTAATCTTCATGTAAGAAAACTTGTCAATACCATTTGTCACACACAGTTCATTTTCAATTAACCTGGTAATTGTGGTGGCCATCTATGTGAGCTAATTGTCTTTATCCAAAGGAGCAATAAGATTCCCATATCTTTATGACAGGAGGTAGTTTTCCAACTGGGAGTGAGGCAGTCACCAGAGTTAGTCTCCCACTCTCCCACCAAAACTGGGAGATACAGATGCTATCTTCCTTTGATATGATTGCATATCAAAGAGATGGTTTCCAGGTTCTAGAAAATGACATTTCTGGGTTGTAAGGCTGGCAAGAGGTTTCTTTGACTTTGAAAATATTTACATATATTTTAAAGAGGCAAAAAGAGAACATACAATTACAAGTTTTCTAAATAAAATTCTCAAAGAAAATGAAAAGGTTTCATCCCTTATATGCCATCAGGAAAATTCAGTCTCTTATTTTTAATTTGTATTTGTTTTTATATAAGTAAATGACATAATTAAAATTTACGTTCAGGAGATGTGGGCAGAACTCATGCTGTTAATTACTGCCATAACGTGGCATTCTCCTGTGTGCATGCTTGCCATGGAGACGACTGTCTTCACTTGATTAGGGACTTACATAATAGAAGGATGCAGTCATGTAAACTGCAGGAAAAGAACATTCCTAGTAGAATAAATGACAAGTAAAAAGGCCTTAAGATAAAAATAGGTTTCATGTTTTCAAAGGGCAAAATAAAAAATAGTGTGTCGGTGAAACCCTGTCTCTACTAAAAATACAAAAAATTAGCTGGGCGTGGTGGCGGGCGCCTGTAGTCCCAGCTACTCCTTGGGCTGAAGCAGGAGAATGGTGTGAACCCGGAAGGAGGAGGTTGCAGTGAGCTGAGATAGTGCCACTGCACTCCAGCCTGGGTGACAGAGTGAGACTCCGTCTCAAAACAAACAAAACAAAACAAAAAAAAAAAACAGTGTGCCTGGACCCAGCGGATGGGGGAACAACAAGCATGGATATTAGTTAGGGGTCAAATGCAATAGCCCTTCTGGGCCATAGTAAAAATTTAGATTTTATTTTGGTGGTAGTGGAGAGTCCTTTGAAAGTTCTCTTAAGCAGAAAATAGTTACAATATCATTTCTGATTTAAAGAAATTATTTTTATTGTCACGTGAAAAACTTGTGTTCTGTTGGGAATTAATGATGGAGGCAAAGTAGTCCCTAGGAGGGTCCAGGTCATTGATTACATCAACAGAGAGTTGGGTGAAATTTTTTTCTATTTTTGGACATAAAGTGAAGGAGCTTTGCTAATGTTTGGGTGTGAAGTGTGAAAAAAGGGAAGACTCAAGGGTGATGCCAGGAGTTTTGTCTTAAGTAAAAATGATGGTTTAATAAACTGGGATAGGGAAGTCTTCAACTTCAGAGCAGATTGAAGGATGAGGTTGGAGATTAGTAAAAGTTTCAGCCATATTAGGGTTGTGATGCCTCTTAAATGAAGGTTCAAGTGGAGATGTTTAATTAGCAGTTGAATATTGCAGTCTGTGGTTCAGGGTGAGTGGTCTGAGTGATAGATGCAAATCTGAGGGTCATTAGCATGTGAACAATATGCATATAACCATGGGATCAGCACTGAATAAAACTACTTATCCTGTGAGGACAGATAGAGAAGAACACTGAGGTAATGAAGTTTTTTGGATGTATGTGTAAATTAAAGTAATAAACGTATATGTAAACTAAAGTAATAAAGTAAGAACATTTGGCCTGAGAATTATTTGTTCACAAATTGTGGGGGAAAAATTGCATAGTAAGATAAAAAGAGACTGGAAGAAAGCCACAAAACACTGTTATTAAAGAAGTAAAGGAAGGAGATAAGACCTATAGAAAAGTAAAATTTGATCAAATGAATCATCTCCAATGGATTTAAAACTAAAATATATTGAGTGCTTGCTTTATTTCTGAGACCTGTCTAAATCCTTTACACATGTTTATTCATTTAATCTTCACAACTTCTATCCTCTCCCAGAGATAGGGATAAGTATTACTGAAATTTTACAGAGAAAACAGAAGTTAATTAACTTCTTCAAGGTATTAAAACAAAAACTTTAGACAAAGTAAATTTAACAGAGTTTATTTGAGCATTTAAATGATTCATGAATTGGGCAGCTTTGAAAACCAGAAGAGGTTCAGAGAGCTTCACTGAGACTGTGTGGACAGAGATTTTATAGGCTAAAAGCAGAAGTGAAATAAACAAAAGATATTTGATTAATAAGAGTGGAAAGATCTTAGTTAAAATCTGGAGATTTCTGATTTGTGAAATCTCTAATTTCATTTTATTGTTTTGATTGGGCTTCTGCTTGCTTACATAGGAAGCTAAAATACTGGAGCCATCCCAGAATGGCCTCCCAATTAAAAGTATTTTAGTAAAGGGTATACAATTTGAAAGTGATGTAGTGGCATTCAAATTCAGGAAGCGGGACTCAAGAGCCTCTGCTCCTAATCATTATGCTCACTGAAGACTTTTTGAATGCAATTACACTGAGGAAGTAGAGAAATTTACTGTTGCCTGGAAAACTCTTCCCCAATATCTACACATGCCTCTCTTACTTCCTTAAGATCTCAGTATGATATCACATTATTAGAGATTCCTTCTCTAAAACTCAACCCGTTGGCTGTCTGCTTATTCTACTTAATTTTTCTTTTTAGAACTTACCAGTTCCTGAAATTATTATATATTTGCCTGAAGAATAGATATATCTGGAAGCAGGGACTTTATTTTCTCCACCATAATATAAGCAGTGTCTAGTCTATTGTGTGATTCAATAAAAAGGTATTGACCAAAGAACCGAATGATGAGTTAATAAATAAATGAATGAATAAACATACTCTTGGTTGGAGTGTGTAGCTGATATTAAATATTATGGGTCTTCAGCTTCACCAATACTGAAGTTCATGTGATTTCCTCCAACAGATATTAGTCGCCAAAAGGGAAGAAGATTGTGAGAATGGATTAGAATTGGAATAGCCAGAAAAGAAAACTGATTCAGGAATCTTAACTAAAGGGAAGACAGTGGTTGGAATTACAAGCCTTAGGATAGCAGGTAAATAGGGAATAAGTAAATCTTGGAGGTTGTTGAATTGAGAAAGAAAGGCTGGAGATGAAAGCATGGGAAGATTTCAAAAAGAAGTTTGAGTGGGATAGGGGATATCAATAAGTGGAACAATGGAAAGGTGTAGTAACATTGTGGAATGTTAGAATTTAAATCTTTGTAAATTGTTATCTATGATTACGGTAAAAAGGAATATGTGTCCAAAACTCGTAAAAATGTCTTAGTTTCCCATCAATGTTTGCATCAATAAGATCTAATTTTATTAAAACCCTATCTCTGTAGGAACACATTAATAGCTATTTTAAAATTAAATGTCTTCTCAACTGAACAAAATATGCATATGTTTATGTAATCTCAGACATTTTGCAACTTAAATTTTATATTTTAATATTGCAGTAATCAGAATTTTTAATTAGAGCTCTGTGTCTACTTGCAGACTGATCGGTAGAGGACAATAGTTTTGAATTATTTTTTCCATAACTGATTCTTTGAAAAATTTCTATTTACTGTATCCCCTTCTAATCAGTAGAATTATTTTATTAACTAGCTAGCCGGAACTATGGCTAAAATCTAGGCTGTTGATATTTGCTTTTCTCTGTGTGAATCTAAATAGGTTTTCTGAAAAGCTGCAACAACCAACAATGTGAAAAACCAGAACAAAACAAATAAATGTCTTGAACTTTAGTATCAGTGTGAACAATTGTCCAATACAGCGCTACAAATAGCTCTGAGGTATACATATTCATAATTTCAAAATAATTAATAAAATTGTATTTGATGCATGGATTCAGAGACAATATAATAAGAGGAACCCACTTAGTGGTCCTGGCAATGTTCAGTTTTTGTACTTGAGAAATAAATAGGTTTTTCTATAATATTTTTCTATGATGGAAAAAGGGAGCAAAAGTTATCTCCAATTCCTCAGATTGAGATGACCTTTTAGAGGCAATTTTACAATGTTAATAAATAGGAAAACCCATTACCATCTGATTTACTAGAGTGGTCAGGATTTGTAGCATGGTTTATTGCAGTTCACTTAGCACATAAGGCATGCATATTGTTTTCAATTTCTTTATACTCCCAGCTGAGTAGTAAAACTATTCTAAGTAGTATATTAGTAACAGTAATAGAGTAAAAGCTGGAGGGGCTTCTGAAATATCTTGAGAAATTTATTTCTACTTCTGTTGTAACAACCACTCAAGGCATAAAGTTCTTAATGTGGCACTTATACACTTCAAGGATCATTTAAAATAAAATCTAAAACAGTAAAACATTAGCAACATTGCAAAGCAGAAAATCACATTAAAAATCTACATTGCTGTATATTTAGACATTTGTATGTATCACCCTCCCTGCCACAACCACCTTCCTCTTGTCTTGAATGGGAATATTTTATTTAAATCAGAAGGAAGTCATAGTTAAAATACTAAGTGTGATTTTATATTTAAATTATATTTTAAAGGATTTAATTCAATAATGTTCAAGTTTAAACTGGCTCCTTACAAGAGCAATCTGAGAGCTTTATTCCATACTAAAAGAGGATACACTTACTATTTATCCTGTTAGCCTGATCTTTGAGCTCTCCACAGCTCCACATAGATCTAAGAAAGCAGCTGAACTTAACAGATATGACAGTGGGTCGAGATAAAAAGATCATGTATTCTTCTACTGTCACAGAACAATGTGGGAATATAGATTATTTACTTGGTTTATCCCTGATATAGGTTCTGAAACCATTAATTCTGGGTGGGGAAGTCCTGAAATAATATGATTGAAGCATTCTAGGAGACAAAATGGAAAATTAAAGCTTTATTTATCTACTTAACTAGTTTTTATTGGTATCCATCTGAGCTAAGAACTGCTGGGCCCAGGGTTATCACTGCAGTATATGACAGACCTGATTCTTTCATTTCTAATGCTGACATTGCAGTATGAAAAATGGACAGACATATAAGTGGAAACAAATATAAACTCTGTTTATTTTTATAAAGGAAGCAGACAGGAACCGAGGTAGTAACTAATGGGAGTGGTACATTTGCTGCTACAGAGGGCACAGAAGGCGTCTTAGAAGAGAGACGTTGCATTTCAAATGAAATATGAGAAGAAATATAGCCATTAAAATAACAGAGAAAAAGTAGTTAAGACAAACAAACAAAAAACAAAGCAAGAACAACAAAAGAAAAAGTTCGAAGGCAAGAAATGTTCAGGTTATAGAAATAAAAGCAATTTACCTGCAGTATAATTAGAGCAGTACACAGGGAATCATGTGTTGAGAAGTTGGATAGGGAGACAAGGCAACCTCATGGAAGGACCTTGTAGGTCCAGAATCTTTGATTTTAGAATAAATGCAGTGGGAAGCCACTGGAGTGTTTTGACCAAATAAGTAATGTGATTTTATTCACATTTTTTGGTCAGTGGATTGTAGGAGGTAGCAGTGGACTCAGGAAGACCAACTAAGAACTTGCAGCTTTTTGGGGGACTGATAATAGTATCTTGGCCCAGATACTCTAGCAAAGATAAGTCAGAGAGAAGTAAACATTCAATATGTATTTTGGAGATAAAACCTGTATGAGAAACTGGTTCATTTACTGGAGGATATGAATGTAAAGAAAAGAATCATGTGTGATTCCCTAAGTCTTTGGCTCAAACAACAGGGTGGATGGGGGCATGATGGTGCCCTTTATTTACATGGAAAAAATGGACAAGGGGAAAATTATCGACAGCCTAGTATGCTTTTTTTCCCCCATAGGTTATAGTGGAACAGGTGGTGTTTGGTTACATTAGTAAGTTTTTTAGTGGTGATTTGTGAGATTTTGGCACATCCATCACCTGAGTAGTATACACTGCACCCAATTTGTTGCCTTTTATCCCTCACTCCCTTCCCACCCTTTCCCCCGAGTACCCAAATTCCTTAATGTCATTCTTATGCCTTTGGATCCTCATAGCTTAGCTCCCAGTTACGGGTGAGAACATACGATGTTTGGTTTTCCATTTCTGAGTTACTTCACTTAGAATAATAGTCTACAATCTCATTCAGATTTCTAAAAATGCCATTAATTTATTCCTTTTTATGGCTGAGTAGTGTTCCATTATATATGTATACCACAGTTTCTTTATCTACTCGTTGATTGAGAGGCATTTGAGTTGGTTCCACATTTTTGCAATTGTGAATTGTGCTACTATAAACATGCGTGTGCAAGTATCTTTTTTTTATAATGACTTCTCTTCCTCTGGGTAGATACCCAGTAGTGGGATTGTTGGATCAAATGGTAGTTCTATTTTTAGTTCTTTAAGGAAACTCCACACTGTTTTTCATAGTGGTTGTGCTAGTTTATATTCCCACCAGCAGTGTAGAACTGTTCCCTGTTCATTGCATCCATGCCAATATCTGTTATTTTTTTATTTTTTTGATTATGGCCATTCTTGCAGGAGTAAGGTGGGGTATGACATTGTGGTTTTGATTTGCATTTTCCTGATCATTAGTGATGTTGAGCATTTTTTCATATGTTTGTCGGCCATTTGTATATCTTCTTTTGAGGATTGTCTATTCATGTCCTTAGCCCACTTTTTCATGGGTACACAAATCAGTAGATCTCCTATACATTAACAGCAGCCAAACTGAGAACCAAATCAAGAACTCAACCCCTTTAATTATAGCTACAAAAAATTAAAATACTTAGGAATATATCTAACCAAGGAGGTGAGAGACCTCTACAAGGAAAACTACAAAACACTGCAAAAAGAAATCATAGATGACACAAACAAATGGAAACGCACTCCATGCTCATGGAATGGTAGAATCAATATTGTGAAAATGAAAATGACTGATAGTCTTTGGCTCTGTGTCCTCACCCAAATCTCATCTTGTAGCTCCTATAATTCTCACATGTTGTGGGAGGGACTTAGTTGGAGGTAATTGTATCATGGGGAAAGTGTTTTCCATGCTGTTCTCGTGATAGTGAATAAGTCTCAGGAGATCTGATAGTTTTAAAAAGAGGAGTTCCCCTGCACAAGCTTTCTCTCTTTGCCTGCTTACATTCATTTAAGATGTGATTTGCTCCTCCTTGCTTTCCACCATGATTCTGAGGCTTCCCCAGCCACTTAGAACTGTAAGTCCAATTAAACCTATTTCTTTTGTAAATTGCCCAGTCTTGTGTATGTCTTCATCAGTAGCATGAAAACAGACTAATACAATGACCATACTGCCAAAAACAATCTACAAATTCAATGCAATTTCCATCAAAATATCACCATAATTCTTCACAGAACTAGAAAAAAAATCTGAAAATGTATATGGAAACAAAAAAGAGCCCACAGAGCCAAAACAAGATTAAGCAAAAAGAACAAATCTGGAGGCATCACCTGATTCAAACTATACTATAAGGCCACAGTCACCAAAACAACATGTTACTGTTATAAAAATAGGCACATGGACCAATGGAACGGAATAGATAACTCAGAAACAAACCCAAATACTTATAGCTAATTGATCTTTGACAAAGCCAACAAAAACATAAAATGGGGAAAAGACACCCTATTCAACAAATAGTGCTGGGATAACTGGCAAGCCACATGTAGGAGAATGAAACTGGATCCTCATCTCTCACCTTATATAAAAATCTACTCAAGATGGATCAAGAACTTCAATCTAATACCTGAAACTATAAAAATTCTATAAGGTAACATCAGAAAATCCCTTCTAGACATTGGCTTAGTCAAGGATTTCATGACCAAAAACCCAAAAGTGAATGCAATAAATCAAAGATAAGTAGTTGGGACTTAATTAAAGAGTTTTGCACAGCAAAAGGAACAGTCAGCAGAGTAAACAGACAACTCACAGAGTGGGAGAAAATTTTCACAAACTATGCATCTGACAAAGGACTAATATCCAGAATCTAGTATATGTTTTAAGGACTCTTTTTTTCCATCCCCACACTTTCTCTGAAATATAAGTATAGCCATGTGGTTAAGAGTGGAGATACTGGGAGTCAGGAAAAAACTCCCACAATCCTCTTGTGACCTTCAACAATTTATTACATTTTCTGAGACTCAATTTTCTCACCTGTAACACAGGGAACATAATAATACACCTACCTCCTGGGAATTGTTTTAAGAAAGTGCCTGTTAGATTAGATAATCTCATTAAATATTAGCTATTAGTGTCAGAGACAAACCATGGTGTCTGGAATTCCAAGGTCTTTTTTTTTTTTTTTTTCCTCCTTGCTTGAAGTCACTGGTTTGTACTGTGCAGTTTGTTTGCAGGTACTGTGATATTTGCAAATTATTTCTATAGTAGGTGTGAAATCCTTTACATGTCTGTCCAGAAAGTTTGACAGCTCTGCAAGCCCATGGGAGAGAAACAGAATGTTTATTTGTTCAAGTGTCATTAATACAAATTCGTCTCAATGATATATGTGCCAGTGAAGTATTAATAGCTGCAGGAATGCTAGTGAACTTGACCTTGTATTTCCCTTATCACTAACTTAGTTTGGAACTTGATCTAGTTTGGAAAAGCAAGAAATTGTATTTTCTGTTTTTTCTTAAAATGCATTTTAATCATTAGGGCTTTTATGAAATTTGTTAACGTTCGTGTTTGCATTAAGCAAAACTCACTTCTTTTCACATATATAGTTTCACAATTTCAGACAAGTGAATACAATTGTGTAAGTGCCATGCTAGTCAAGAAACGGAATGTAATTATTACCCCCAAAATTCCTTCATACTTACCCTTTTATACCACCAAACCCTGGCAACAATTGATTTGTTTTTTGTTCCAAAAATTTTGCCTTTCCCAGAATGTCATATAAATGGACTCATTCAGTAGCTACATATGATTCTGATTCACCCATGTTATTGCATGTTTTATGTTGCTACTAGAATTCCATTAGTTTGGATATATTAGTCAGCAGTTAGAGAATACTTGGATTGCTTCCAGATTTGGTGATGATGAATAAAGCTTCTAAGGACATAACTTTGCATTTCTCCTGGGCAATATCTAGAGTGGGATTGCTGGATTACATGGCAAGTGTATATTTAACTCCATAAGAAACTGTCAAACTGTTTTCCAAAGTGGCTGTACCATTTTGCATTCTCACCAGCAATGTAGGACAATTCCAGTTCTTCCCTTCTTCACCAGCTCTTGATATTGTCAGCTGTTTGTTTAGCCATCACAGTAAGCGTAAAGTGTCATCTTTTGTGCTTAAAGCTTGCATTTCACTAATGACTAAAGTTATTGAGTCTTAATGTTCTTCTCTGCCATCTGTATAATTTCTTTGGTAAAGCCTTGGGTAATCTGTGTCAATCCAGTCTTCTAGCTTTAGTTTTACACCCTTTCCCAACGCACACACCCCACACACACCATACCTGACTGCTGCTTACCATAGTACTTAAATTTCTGCATTTTTCTGGTTTGCCGAACCAGTTACTGCTTTTTCTGTTTCAGTTTCCAAAAATGTGTTGACATCTCCTATCCAGAAAGAGTTACTGATACACATGTGTGTTCAATCTGCTGAGTTTAACTGAAATCTCTAGTTTTTCTCTAATCATTTTGTTAGCAAGGCATAGAAATGAGATAGAGAAGAGACTGCACTGTAACTGACCCAGCCAGAGACATTGGAGAGCACACATCTGATAGCTTCTTGGACATACAGACATACTGGGAAACACTTTGCAAGGAGATTTGGAACTTGCCATTTTGAGGGTGACAGCTTAGTTCAGTGTTTCTTGAACAATGAAAGTTAAGTAGAATGATGCATTAAAATTTAAAATTTTTAAACTCTAGTGTTATGTGACTAGGCTCAAATTCCATCTGTGCTATTTGCTAGGTGGCTGAGGTTGTGCAAGATTGTTAACTGCCAGAGCTTTTGTTTACTCAGGTGTAAAATAAGAATTAAAATAGTCCTAAATTGATAGAATTATTTTAAATATTAACAAAATGAGTATAAAAAACTTAGGAGAATGCCTGGGCAAGGTAAACGATTCAATATTTATTAGTGATCATAATTAATTACTATTACCAATTATTATTTTAATATGTGTGTTCTGTGTTTGCTGGATGGTGATAGTAAGACAAATAGCACACAAGTTTGATTCAATACAATAACATTTAAAATCTTTAAAATTTGACTTTTTATTTAAGTCAAAAAAAATCCGGGTGATTACCTTAATGCTCAAAATGTGTAAGAAGTAACATAAATTTCAACATCATTTTTGATTATTTGTATGAAAAAAGTTAAATATACACTTTTTAAATAAGGCATAAAGATGTGATTAAAATACCTATTTGAGAATAAGAATAAGCATCATACTCAAGAAAAAATTAGAGTCATCTTAATTAAAATCAGGAACAAAAAAATTTCTATTAAGTACCATATCTCAGAGTATTCTGAAAATTTAGTTATTTAAATATCTAGGAGAAAGAAATAAGACTTGTAAGAATTGGAAGAAAGAAGATTAATTGTTTTTGTCTTGTGAAAGAAACTTCAGAAATTCTATAATAAAACTATTATAGTAATAGAATCCAAGAAGTTTGCTAATTGAAAAATACATGTATTTTCTAAATATGAGAAATAACTAGTTTAAAAGTTGAATTGTTAAAATTCAGATACAATGTCAATAAAATTTAAAACTAACCAGCATCAGAGCTTATAAAAGAAGAAATGTAATAGCAAGTGGTTAAGTACAAGAATTTGGCATTGTATGGAACTGGGATTGAATCTCAAATTTTACCACCAAGAGTTTACATTTATTAATGTTCTCTCTGAGGCAGATGCTATTATAAGCAATTACTAGGTAAATAATTTAATATTCTAAACAACTCTGAGCTGGGTGACAAAATGTCTATTTTACAGATAAGGAAATTTAAGTCTATAAAGATTAAAAATAATTGTTCTAAAATCACAGCTAGTAACTTGTGGAGCCTAGACACAAATACGGGCATATTTTCTTTTATTATGCTTCACTTTATTGCACTTCACAGCTATTTTATGTTTCATAAATGGAGGGTTCTTGGCAATCCTGAATCAAGTAACTGTATTGGTAAAATGTTTCTAGCAGCATGTGCTCACTTTGTGTATCTGTGTCACATTTTGGTAATTCTTAAACTATTTTAAAATTTTCATCATTTTTATATTGGTTTTGGTTATCTGTTATCAATGACCTTTGATGTTACTAAGGTAATTGTTTTGGGGTGTCAGAAACCACATCCACATAAGATGGCAAATTTAATTGATAAATGTCATACATGTTTTGCTGCCCCCAACCAGACATTATCCTGTCTCCCTCTCCTCAGGCCTCATTTTTCCCTCAGACCTACTAATGTTGAAATTAGGCAAATTAATAACCCTTCAGTGGCCTCTAAGTGTCCAAGTGGAAGAAAGAGTTGCACAACTCTCACTTTAAATCAAAAACTATAAATCATTAAGTTTAGTGAGGAAGGCAGGTCAAAAGGCAAATAGGTTGAAAGCCAGGCCTCTTGTGCCAGTTAGCAACATTGTGAATGCAAAGGAAAAGTTCTTGAAGAAAAGTAAATGTGCTACTCCAGTAAACACATAAATGATAAGAAAGTGAAACAGCTTCACTGTCGATATGGAGAAAGTTTTAGTGGTCTGGCTAGATCAAATCAGCCACAACATTCCTTTCAGCCAAAGCCAAATCCAGAACAAGGACTTACCTCTTCAATCTATGAAGATTGAGAAAGGTGAGGAAGCTGCAGATGAAAAGTTTGAAGCTAGCAGAAATTGGTTCATGAGGTTTAAGGAAAGAAGCCATCTCTGTAACATAAAAGTACATGGTAAAGCAGCAATTGCTAATGCAGTAGCTGCAGCAGGTTATCCAAGAAGATCTAGCTAAGATCACTAATGAAGGTAGCTACACTGACAACAGATTTTCAATGTATACAAAACAGCCTCATATTGGAAGAAGATCTTCCCTAGGACTTTTATAGTTAGAGAGAAGTCAATGTCTGGCTTCAAAGCTTCAAAGGACAGGCTGACGCTTGCTAGGGGCTAATGCAGCTCATGGCTTAAGTTAAAGTCAATGCTCATTTACCATTTCAGAAATCTTAGGTATCTCAAATATTATGCTAAATTTTTCTCTGGCTATGTTCTATAAATGGAACAACAAGGCTTAGATGACAGCACATTCGTTTACAGCATGATTTACTGAATACTTTAAGGTCATTGTCAGCACCTACTTCTCAGAAAAAAATATTTCAAAATATTACTTCTCGTTGATAATATTCTTGGTCACCCAAGAGCTCTGATGGAAATGTACAGGGAGATTAATGTTATATTTATACCTGCTAACACAAGATCCATTCTGCAGCCCATGGATCAAGGAGTAATTTTGACTTTCAAGTCTTATTTTAAAAATACATTTTGTAAAACTATAGCTGCCATAGATAGTCATTCATTTGAAAAATCTGGGCAAAGTAAACTAAAGTAAACTGAAAACCTTCTTGAAAGGATTCACCATTCAAGATTCCAGTGAAAATATTTGGGATTCATAAGAGGAGGTCAAAATATCAACATTAACAGAAGTTTGGGAGAAGTTGATTCCATCTCTCATGGACTTTCAGGGGCTCAAGACTTCAGTGGAGAAAGTAACTGCAGATATGGTAGAAATAGCAAGAAAACTCGAATTAGAAGTAAAGCATGAAGACATGACTGGATTGCAGCAACCTCGTGATAAAACATGAACAGATGAGTTGCTTCTTATGGATGAGCAAAAAAAGTGGTTTTTAAAAATGGCATGTATGCCTGGTGAAGATGCTAAGAACATTGTTGAAGCAATATTCACAACAATGTTCACAGCAAAGGACTTATAATATTCCATAAACTTCATTGATAAAGCAGCAGCAGAATTTGAAAAGACTGACCCAAATTTTGAAAGTTATACTTTGGGTAAAATGCTATCCAATAGCATCACATACTACAAGAAATATTTTATGAAAGGAAAAGTCAATTGATGCAGCAAACTTGATTATTTTCTTAAATTAACAAATTGCGAAAACGACTCCAACCTTTAGCAAACACTACACTGACCTGTCAGCAGCCATCAACATGGAAGCAAAACCCTCAACCAGCAAAAAGATTATTACTCCCTGCAGGCTCAGATGATTGTTAGCATTTTTTAGCAATTAAGTATTTTGAAATTAAGGTTTCCATATTGTTTTGTAGACATGATGCTCTGGCACACTCAATAGACTGCAATACATTATTAACATAACTTCTATATGTTCTGGAAAACCAACAATTGTATGATTTTCTCTATTGCAATATTTGCTTTAATGGAGAAGTCTGGAACTGAATCTGCAATATTTCTGAGAAATGCCTATATTATGGTGGTAGAGCCCATGCTTTTAGAAATCTTAAATGTCTGGTGTGATCAGCTTTCTCATATATAAAGTGGGAATGATTAAAGCATTGTTACATGAATTGCAAACATTGCCTTTAGTATACTGCATGATTTATATCAAGTACATTAAATGGTATCTCTAATTTTTATTAAAATATATATTTCATATTTCCCTGATATAAAGATATATAATAGCTCTTATTTTAATTGTTGCTGAGGGTCCTGACTGTTAGAAGGAAAACTAACAAACAGAAAGGACATCCACACCAAAACCCCATCTGTACATCACCATCATCAAAGACCAAAGGTAGATAAAACCACAAAGATGGGGAAAAAACAGAGCAGAAAAACTGGAAACTCTAAAAATCAGAGCGCCTCTCGTCTTCCAAAGGAACGCAGCTCCTCACCAGCAATGGAACAAAGCTGGATGGAGAATGACTTTGACGAGTTGAGAGAAGAAGGCTTCAGATGATCAAACTACTCCGAGCTTAAGGAGGAAGTTTGAACCCATGGCAAAGAAATTAAAAACCCTGAAAAAAAATTAGACGAGTGGCTA